>NC_000014.9:48361713-48986713 GCF_000001405.40 Homo sapiens | reverse complement strand
TCCAGAGCTCTTTTTCTTTCGTTGTAGCAAGGACAGGAGAAAGCGGGCCTTGAAGGTAAGTGTGGGTACTCTGAATTGGAAGTCACGGTGTGCGCTTTACAGTGACAGATCAAATGGCGGCAGAGGAGCAGTGTGTATGAAAACCTAATTCTTAAGAACGGGATAAGGAAAAAAGGAACATTAAATCACTTCAAAAAGGTTTATTACAGAAAATTATTCTTAAAAAGATAGGAAGTATCCAGACAGTGATGGGAAATTAGAAAAATTAAGCTTACATGCACTTATTGTTAAAAAGAACTATAGATTTTGACATTTGAGAACTCACGTCCTTAAAATAATTGTATTGGTTTCTGGAAAATATTTATTTGAAACATTAGATGGTATAGATTTTTCTATTTTCTTTTCTAAGCTCTTTCCAGTTACAAGTAAATTGTGCCACTGAAATGGATTGGATTGTTTCAATGGTTAAAATGACAGGGGAAGAATGTATTACAATGTTAAATTCCACTATATTGAACCATGTATCTTTAATTGTGTTGAAAAGAGAAAATTGCTAAGGGTATTACCTAAAACTAGGAATTACAGGATCTTTAGCAATATAATCTGATCTCCGAGTATAGAAAATAATTTGAATATTTTACATGGGATAAAGAGGTCACCAAAAGTTTCCATATTCTCCTTTTCCAGATGAATTCTTAAAGTTTAAAGGCAGAACACCCTAGGGGCCCTTTAAAACAGAGAACCCAAGGAAGTGGAGTTTGTGAATTTAAATGGCTTTTTCCAAGCAATGTGTAATTCTGTATTCAATAGACTTACGGATTTATTTTCTGTAAGTCTAAAAGTTCCACACTGGTGGAATGTCAGCTCCTTTCAGAGTCAGTATAGCCTCTCTGTGTGGCCCATGTGATGTTAAATCTGAGTCAGATTTAGAAGTGAAATCAATGGTCGTAGGAAACGTACCACATTTCAGGCAAGGAAGGCATCAATAATTATTCTAATTTCTAATGTACATAATTGCATATTAACTGATAACATTTGCAGTTATAAAGACCACTGCAATGATAAAGGAGATGAGGGTTAGACATGAGGAAAGGTAAAAATTTAGTTTTGGGCTTGCTACATTTTCAGTGTCTGTCAGTCATTGGAATAGAGCTGTTAAATATTTCCTAATCCTTCATGAACTGTGATGGTCACTGGGAATAAAACACAAATACTATCTTCAAGAAGCTTATATGGCATTATAAATTTGGCAGAATTTTTGCCCATGTGTTCTGTGGGCTTCTAAGTAAAGCTGTATGCTTCTAGGCCAAATAGAATATGGTATTTTAAAAAGTCAGTTATATTCAATTTTTGCTGTTATAGTTTGTTTATTGATTTTTCTAACATTTTGATAAATGAGTAAATAAAAATTTTGAAGGGTTATCTTTATTTTTTAAGTTACCTATTGAGAAAAATAAAATCTTGTTTTCTTAGGGATGAGTTATTTGAGGTTGGTGAACACTTATCTCACATAACAGATACAGGTAGGCTTTCACAATATGGTTATCAATGTCTGTGGGCTAGGAGTTATGTAAATAGGACACAATAATTGTGATTCAAGTTTTATAAGAACTGGTATACTTCATTTACCTTTAATATTATTATTAAATATAATCAGTATCATTTGCAATCTCTAAGACTCTGATTTATAGATATCCATATTCAGATCCTTAATTTCAAAATTCATTAATGGTTTTTCAACTACCTTTTTAGAATTTGGTTACTGTTAGGATGTAAAAATTTTAACATCTATTGTGGGAGTATGGTTTTGTTGGGGGGAATTCAAAACTATGGATTAGATGGGATTCAAATCCATTAATTTTGGAATGTTAAGAAAGCAATGATAAGTAAGAATATCCTACATTTGTACAAATGTGTGTGTGTGTATTCAAAAATGTGTTGATTTTAATTAAATTTTCTCTGTGACAATTGGGTAAGAAAGTAGCTCCAATTTTGTTGTTTTTCGGATAACGATCCTGCAGCTCAGAGTCACCTGTTGTTATTCTTTAATGGTAGAGTCTGGATGAGTGAGTCATCTCTGCACACTTAGTTCAGTTCTTCTTCTACTATTCCAAATGGATGGACCACAGGGTATGAGGCAATTGTTTAAGTAAGAAATATAATATGGATTTTTACAAGCTTGCTAGAACTGTTATGCATTGGGTTAGTTAGCTCTTCTACTTAGTTTATAAACACCAAAACTTGTAAGTGAAGTTACTGTGATTGTGAAGAAACAATAAAATTGGATGGAATAGGTCATTTGTTATAGTGTGCCCTTCAGCTTGGAAACAAACGTATGTGATAAGTTTCTTGATTCTGAAATATTATGATAAAGAGTGTCATAAAAATAATTAGGTAAAGTTAGCCCTTTATTTAGAAAATTCATGCTTCCTATAGTTCTAGCTATTTAAGGTTTGTTTTGGTAAGCAGGTATTATTATTTTTGTATAAAAACATGAAAATTATTCTTCTGCTTTATGTACCCATGTCATGTAAATATATATTAGAGGAGAAAAGCTACTGCATCCTAAGAAGTCCAGGCATTAAGTCATAAGACACATCTCTTTTTAAGCTACAGACATCCTTCAGTTTTAAATATTTTTATATTACTCTGATTTATTTAAAAACAGAATGTAGGTGAAAATGTCAGATTTCAAGGTAACTCACAAAACTGTTTTAAGTAA
Source organism: Homo sapiens (assembly GCF_000001405.40). Lineage (NCBI taxonomy): Eukaryota > Metazoa > Chordata > Mammalia > Primates > Hominidae > Homo > Homo sapiens. Next base: position 48,983,991 of record NC_000014.9, on the reverse strand, counting down.
TGCACCTGTATCTTGACATTATGCTTATTCACATTTTAAATAGATAAAAAGCCTTACTTCTCAGTTAAAGATCCGTATGTGGCGTACAGGGACTCCAATCAACTGACCTTTTTATCTTTAAATAAAATGTTATGATTTTGATGACTATTACCAAATGTTGGGAGTATGTGTGTATTTTTACCCATAGGTTATAACAACAACAATGTATGATGCACCTGTCATGCAAAATACGGATTAATAAAAAGCATAAGAAAATTATGCCTTTGAACTGTGAATTGCAAAATCTCTTGGGAGTAAACAATTTGACACGAATGTGACATTTGAAAATGAAATTGCATCAATAATGTGGAGACTGTCCCAGGTTTCATTGGAATTGCCGATAGTGCTTTGCAAAAGAGCTTGGACTGGCTGTGTACCGGCTTCTGTGACTGTGCTGCTCCTTATCTGGCACAGTGTCAAATAAACTTCACGAAGATTTAAAGCCTTAGAGATAAGTGTGCAATTGAAAATGCATTCCTATTATACATTTAAAGCAATGTGATACTACCTATTCCCTAAACTGAATTGTAAACAGCTGGAGCTATTGGGAACTAATTTCGTGGGTTTAATGCTAATTTTCTTGATTATTCATATCACAGTTCATTGTAATATTCCATTTTAAAATATGAATTTGGAATTATTTTAAGTGATTTTATGGTGGGATTGTTAGTAAGAAGTCACAAAGTGATTTCCATACCACCAGCTTATTTCCATGTTGCTAGTTTTTCTTATCCACAAGAGTCATTGCCTGGTAAGACTTAGAAGTATGAAAATAGCTGGCTCTATTTGGCATGCCGATGATCAACTTATGGCTTAAACCCAGAGATGAGTGGTTTCATAAGTAATTGTCTGCTGTGTTCTTAAACGATTTAACATATGTTCCAAAATGTGTTGTTTCTAGTTTGCTTTTTTCAAAAATTAGAGATGATCTATAACATGTCTTATAGACACAATACTCTTTTCAGGATGATGTTGAAGGAAGAACCTGGTTGAGCAGACTGGTGGTCCTATCTGGTCAATTATGTGGTTTGGGCAAGTTCCTTAACCTACCTGGGCCTTGGTTTCCTTATTTCTAACTTGGACATGTTAATACTACCTCACAGAGCTATTTTGTGGTGAAATAACAGCATATATGTGAAAATACTTTTACAAACTATGAAGTCTTATTTGAGAGTTGGATTAAGACAGTGTTTTTCTCCACTAAGTTGCCACCTTGCCATTTAGCAAGTCAGGAAACATTGCTGATTAAAAGGACTGGGGATCGGCAAAGAAATATGCTACTGGCGTCTAGTGAGTGGAGGTCAGATAAGCTGCTGAACAGTGTACATTGCACAGGACTGGTCCCCCACAACAAAGAATTACCTGGCCTCGAATATCAATAGTACTGTTATTGAGAAATCCTGGAATAAAATAAAAAACTTCAAACATTTATATAACTTTAAGGAGATTACTCTCTCAATTTTTTCAAACATCTTTTAGTGGCTATAAATGCCATATTTATTACTTAATGCATGCTTTCATTCCAAATATGCTTAAAAATAGTAGTACTCACTATAGCATTACAGCCTATTTGAATTAAATTTTGATAATACATTACCATACATATACACTTTTTTGTTAAACTTTATACAAGAAAGTAAAATTGTGATTTATGAGTGCTGTCTTAAATCTATGTTTGGAGTTTCCAAATTCATAGATATTTTAGTAATTCTTTAAAGGATTTCTCTTAGTTTTTAATGCTAGTTTATTACAGGCCCACAATGCATTCTGAGACTCTTAGTCTTAGTTTTTCAGAGTTCAGCATCTTTTTGGACTTTAGATAGGTAATGTAGTGCAAATTTTATATAATGTATACATTATGTAACACCCTACTAAGGTCTGGGGAAGTGCCCTGTAATCAACACCTTAATATTTATTCAGTCCAATGTGTAATAGGCACAGTAAGTGTGTTGTGTTAAATAGCTCATATGTGTTTAGATCACGCTTTACCATTAAAAAAATTGGGGTCAGCTCAGATTTTGTTGTCAAATGAATTATAAAACACGTTTTCAATTTTCAGGACTTTGGAAATCTTCGAAATGTAGATAAGATACAATGGACATCTTTCTATCTATTATCTATCTATCTATCTATCTATCTATCTATCTATATCATCTATTTATCTTCCTTTACTAGGAATAATGCTCTATGTCTGCGAATTCATGTCACATCATCAAAAGAGCAACTGAATATATAAATTTTTATTGTACCAAAGAGATATGCACCCTCCTCCCAACCAATTCAGTAATTGTTGGAAAGGGCATGTATATTTGAAACATGCTCTGCCTTAATTAATGTTCTAAGTTATGCCAGATTATATAAATGTGTCCCAGTTAATGAGCAGTTGCATCCAATTTTCACAGTTACAAGGAAAATACATCCTGCAAAATGAAAACATTCATACAAAGGATACAATTTATAACACAAGATATTTACAAAACTATAATTGGATATACCCAGTCTGGGACTAAAAGTATTATTGGTATCTAATAGTGAATACATATGTTCAGAATTTGACACAGTTTCAAGACAATGTCACCATGACTGCTTAATTATGCATCCAACTCTTACTGTATTCCCTTATGAATGCTTAAAATTGAAGACTCACTTAAAGAGGAAGTTCATGGTACAAATACTTGGTAGCCTCATGACAGAATGTATTGGAAATACAAGAGAACACTTCTTCAAGGCAATGCCATCTGCATAAAGACTATGGATGTGGAAAGTGTATGATTCTTACTGAGATTTATAGACAAGCAGCTTTCTCCCAAGACAGTTCTTCAGGCCCTTTCACACTGAAGCATGTGAGCCTGAAGTGTTTCAGAGTTACGTTTCATTATGATCTCCCATATGCTATAGGAGCTTTGGCCCTGCCTCATGTATCTGGTTTGAGTCAGACTTCTTTGTTGTAGATTTCCCTGGAATATACTTCCACTCTTGAAACCCTTAAGGACTTTGGTATCAGGAATGTGGTAGTAGACAACCTGTATACTTCTACTATAAAATATTTAGAAATACTGTAGAAAATATTTTTAAAAATTTAATTTCATACCTAGGAACCTAAAGAGTAAAGAACATTTCCAGTAGCAAAAAACAAAGAGAGAAATTAATTTAGGAAGCACAGTTATGAAACAGCAGCAAATGAGGAACCTAGAATGTTAATATCTACATGATGAGAAGAGACAAGGCTGAGTGAAGGGGCAGGGAGTGGAGATGGAACTGAATTTCTTATTAAAAAGCTAATACCTTTGAATAACTATACCTTCATAAAATGATGTAATAGGAAAAATTGCTAATTGGCTAGGAAATATGACAAATAAGTTTGTTTTTGACATTGAATAAAACAATAAAACAATAAATAAGTAAACAATTAAATACTTATTTCAGAAAAGTTTGTAATCAGAACTACCTTTATATGGGTTGGCTTCATACTTATAAAATATGCAGTCTGTTAACCTTTAAATCAAGAAATTAGGATAAATGTTGTCCTTGGGGTAACTGGCAGAAGAGATGCCAAATATTTCTGTGGAAACAGACAGCTAAAGCCCTGCTCAATATAAGCTAATGGTCCCAATTATCAAACATACAAGGAAAAAAAATCAACCAAGAATGGGTTAGCATACATAACAAATACAGGATTTAGCCTCTCAAAATTTAGAGATATCAGACATAGACTATAACATAAATTTTTACAATTATCAAAGTAATAAATGAAAAAATAGATATGTAAGGATGAGATAAAAATTAGTAGGAAAAGTTTGTAAAAATGCATATTTGGTTGCTAGAAATTTAAAGTAACGTCCAGTGGATGGGTTTAAAGATCAAATTAGAGATAAAGAAGGATTTCAACAAATCTGCACATGTACCCCTGAACTTGAAAGTTAAAAAATAAAAAGAAAATAAAATTTCTTTAAAAAAGAGGAATTTCATGATTTAGAAGGCATATGTGAGGCAATCACCCAGACTGCAGTACTGAGCGATGAAGAGATAATATATATGGTTAAGAAACATGAATCACTGAATGATAAGATTGAGCATCTCTATCTAAATGGGTTCTAGAGGGAGAAAATTGAGGAAATAAGGAGAGACATTACTGAAATAGAATATAACTGAGAATTTTCCAGGAGCTTTCAGAGACATGACTTCTCAAATTCAACAATCACAATGAATCCCTAAACAAGATCAATCAAAATAAATTCACATTTGGAATAGTTAATGAAATGGAGAATAGTGAGAATAAAGAGAAAATTTTAAAGGCATCAGAAAGCAAAGGTAGATTACATGTAAAGGAGTGGTAGACAGTCACATGATTTTTCAATAGCAACAATATAAACCATGAAATAGAATGATCTTCAAGGTTATTAATATGGAATTCTGATCCCAGATAAACATTATGGTTGAATAAAACAATAGTCATAATAAGCACTCATTTGGGGGGTATAAGGTTAAGATGGAAATAGAGCAGTAACGAACAGTAACTAGTAAGAAATAATAGAGGCGAGTCAATCATTTGTTAGACAAGTATTATGAGTCAGGCACTTGATCTAGGTGCAAGAGATACCACACTGAATAAAACAGCCAAAGTCACTGCCTTCACGGAGATTTTATTCTAGAGGGAAGTGGGAGATAGCTATCAAAACTAAATCATATGCTATTTCTTTCATGTTAAAGAAAATACAAAGCAGAAGAAATAAAGAACCTGAGTTGGATGGATAACAATTTCAGTTAGGGGATTAGAGTGGGCATCATTGAGAGGTTGACATTGAGCAGCAATCTGAAGGAGGGCAGAAAGCATGGATCCAGGCAGAAGAAAGAGAAAAATGCAAAAGCCCCAAGGCAGGAACTGGCCTGGCACGTTTGAGGAAGAGCTGAATCAGAAGAAACCAGGAGAGCAGTGGGAGGTGAAGTCACAGGAATGAAGGCTAGAGTGTTGGGAATTTACCCAAAGATGTCCTATGCTCTAGTCTATAGAAAATCCTTTTTAAAACGTTATGTTTTTTATATTTACAAGAAGAAAAACAACCTCATCAAAAAGTGGGCAAAGGATATGAACAGACATTTCTTAAAAGAAGACATTTACGCGGCCAACAAACATGAAAAAAAGCTCAACATCGCTGATCATCAGAGAAATGCAAATCAAAACGGCAGTGAGATACCATCTCACGCTACTCAGAATGGCGATTATTAAACAGTCAGGAAACAACAGATGCTGGCGAGGCTGTGGATAAATAGGAACGCTTTTACGCTGTTGGTGGGAATGTAAATTAGTTCAACCATTGTGGAAGACAGTGTGGCGATTCCTCAAGGATCTAGAACCAGAAATACCATTTGACCCAGCAATCACATTAGTGCATATATATGCAAAGGAATGTAAATCATTCTACTGTAAAGACACATGCACATGTATGTTTATTGCAGCACTATTCACAATAGCAAAGGCATGGAACCAACCCAAATACCTATCAATGATAGACCGGATAAAGAAAATCTTGTACATATACACCATGGAATAATGTGCAGCCATAAAAAGGAATGAGATCATGTCCTTTGCAGGACGTGGATGAAGCTAGAAGCCATCATCCTCAGCAAACTAACACAGGAACAGAAAATCAAACACTGCATGTTCTCACTTATAAGTGGGAGTTGAACATTGAGAACACATGGTCACAGAAAGGGGAACAACACACACCAGGGTCTGTTGGGGTGTGAGGGGAGGGAACTTAGAGGAAGGGTCAATAGATGCGGCAAACCACCATGGCACACTTATACCTATGTAACAAACCTGCATGTTCTACACATGTATCCCGTTTTGTTTTTGTTTGTTTTTTTTTTTCAGAAGAAATTAAAAAAAACATGTTTTTAAAGATATATTGTTATCTTTTGGAGAACATAACCTTTAACCGCAAATCCTTGTAAACCATTGTTTCTGATGAAAGGTGACATCTAATCTGAGATATCTTGACTCCTTTCTTTACACATATGTTAAGGACTCTGTTGTTTGTCTCTTCTCTTTCTGGATATAAAGGTAGATTAACAAATTAATAACTTTAGTAAATTTATCCTGTTAAAATAAAAATATGTAAAAGTGATTTTTTTCCCATGACAATACCTGGACAATATAAAAAGGCAATTTATTAGAGAAACTCTATTAATTTAAATGTAAAATTTCTATATTAAACATTTGGCAATTCAATTTTCAAATGATCAGGTTGGGCTTATTCTGAGAATTCAAGGGTAATTAATTAAATCTATAAATAGATTAAAGGAGACATAGAGGTAGCAAAAGCTTTCAAGAAGATTCAATATCATTTATGATAAAATCTTTTACCAAACTGTGCATAAATCTAATGAACAGTATCTATGAAAAACACACAGGAAGGAACTTCATTCTCAAGCACTGCCTCCTCACACATACCTTCCTCATGAATAGTGGCAGAAATAGTTTTTTGTTTTTTTAAATTTATTGTAGTTTTCTTGGTGGGCAAGTGAAATTTTTACCACTAACATTTAACTGAGAGGAAAGCCCAGGTGAGTGCCCAGGCTTTTTTTTTTTTTTTTTTGAGACAGAGTCTCACTCTGTCGCCCAGGCTGGAGTGCAGTGGCGCGATCTCGGCTCACTGCAAACTCCGCCTCCCTGTTCACGCCATTCTCCTGCCTCAGCCTCCCGAGTAGCTGTGACTACAGGCGCCCGCCACCACGCCCGGCTAATTTTTTGTATTTTTAGTAGAGACAGGGTTTCACCATGTTAGCCAGGATGGTCTCGATCTCCTGACCTCGTGATCCGCCCACCTCGGCCTCCTAAAGTGCTAGGATTACAGGTGTGAGGCACCACGCCCGGCCGCTGGCTTTTTTATGTACTAGTTTCAGGCTACAACTCACTTTGTTGATGCCAAAGACTAATCTTTGTTCCCCAGAGTAGTTGTTAATTCTCCAAACCAGAGGTTTCAGGTACTGGCTTTCTGTCACAGAGTCAGCAGAGTTCTAAGTTCATGACTGTAGTTTAGCCTTACTTTTATTTGGCTCTTAGAGATTTTCTGTACTTTCTATTGAGTTTAAAAATGCATTGCAAAGTGTGTTGATTGTAATTTATCCAACGCCTGGCATTTAGCTCTCCCTCTCTCTCTCTATATATTTATTATTAAATATTTTAGGAAACTTAACTCTTTGTGCTAATAGTTGTACAACTTTTTCCTGTTAGTCATTTGTCTTTTGGCAAGTAGATAAATAAATGATGTTACATAAAGTAATATATGGGTCAGCATTTACCACAGTGCCTGATACAGAGTAGGTGCCAATAAGTTATTTCCTTTGCTGGTCGTTTTGTATATTAGTCCCCCAACTCCACCCCCGAAATGTCGTGTGTGTGTGTGTGTGTGTGTATCGCATAATATCCAGTTGGAGATATTAATTCATAACAAAAGACCCCATACATAATAGAAAAAAAAACCTTACAACAAGTATAACAAGAAATAAACATGATCTCTATGAATTATTTCTAAATCACTGTGAGGAAAACACGAAAAGAATCCAAGATATAGAGACTAATAGTATGAAGAAAGTATTTTTATGTCATAAATTGACAGCTCCCCATTGATAAACTAATTTATGTATTTAATGGGATTTTAATGAATATGGTAATGGTATTTTTATATACCAGAAAAACTGATTTCTACAGTTTACATGAAACAAGCAAAAATAGCTAGAAATATGAGTGTGTGTATGTGTGTTTGGGGGGCATGTGCTAGGTGGTGTTACACATTAAAGCACATGTTACATCTACAGTCATTAAAAACAGAGTGATATTACTGCTTGAATAGACAGACAAGAAATGTAATAGAAAATCCAGAAATACATATAAATGCTCATAGGAATTTAGTTTATGACAAAAAGACATCTAATATAAGCTGTAAAAAGATGGATTTAATAAGTGGCTTGGGAGAATGGCTAGACATCTTGAAAAAAATGGAATCTTCTCCTAAATTCAGAAAACTTTAAAATTATCAAAGAGCAATATTTTTTAAAAAGCCATGACAAAAATTGAGGAAATAATGAAAACAAATTTATAATCTGCAAGCAGGAAAGTCTTTTTTAACTATGACTGAAAAACACCTTCTTCAAAAAGAAAAACACCTGGGAAAATATTTATAATTCATATTATAAGGAAGGGTTAATTTCCTTAATATATAAAATACTCTTACAAACCAGTAAGAGGGGGCCAGCAAACCAATTGAAAAATAGCTTCACACCGGAAAGACAATACAAATAACTCTCAAACACATGAATAGCTCTTTAATATCATGCAAAAGAAAATGCAAATGAAAACTTTTACTTATCATAGACCACCAAATTTGATACACAATGAGTCAAGGAATATGTCTTTTCTATGAATCTATCTAGCATTTGTAACATGCACCTTTAAACTTATTACTCTCAACCTTCAAATTATGTTATATTACTCAATGTGTGATGTAAATTTTACATTTCTTCTGTTTTTTTTTTCTGCTATCTATACTTGTCATACATTTTGCATCTATATATGTCATCAACCCCATAATATATTTATAGTAGTTTTCTATTACTGCCATAACAAACTATCATAATCTTAGTGGCTTGCACAATATAAATTTGTTGTCTTATGGTTTAGATGAGAAGTCTGGTATGGGGCTCAGTGGGCTAAAATCAAGGTGTCAGTGGGCTGCATTCCTTTCTAGAGACTCTGGGGGCAGTCTGTTTCCTATGCATTTTGGTTGTTGACATTCAGTTCCTTAAGATTGTTGAATTAGTCTCTACTCTCTTGTTGGCTGTAAACTGAAGGTCATTCCAAGCATCTAGAGTATGCTGCATTCCTTGGCTCCCAACGCATGGCATGTCCAGTCCTCATGTCAAATCTCTCTGACTCTTCTTCCATCTTTGTATATTTCTCTCTAACCACAGCTGGGAGAGGTTCTCTGCTTTTGAAGACTCATGTGATCATATTGGACCCACCCAGATAATCCAGGATAATCTCTCCATCTCAAGACTTGTAACCTTAATCACATCTGCCAAGTCCTTTTTGTTGTACAGTGTAATGTATTCACAGGTTATGGAAATTAAGATGTGGACAACTTTGAAGGACCATTATTCTGCTGCCTGCGTTGTTAATATTTTTGCCTTAAACAGTCAATTACATTTAAAGAAAAGAAAGAATATTTTATTTAATATTTATCCACATATTTAACATTTCTGTAACTCTTCACTTCTTCTCCTTCTTTGTATAGACTTGCATTTCCATCTGTGATGCTCCTTCAGCCTGAAGAACTTTCTTTAAATTTTTTTTGAGAGCCTATCTGCTGGTAACAAGATGAATCAGTCACTGTTTGACTAAAAATGCCTTTGTTTTGCATTTATTTTGGAAGCATATTTTCACTGGTTTTGGAACACTAGGTTTATGTATTTTTCTTTGAACACCTTAAAGATGTTGTTTCTTAGTCTTTTGGCTTGGATTGTCTTTGATGAGAAGTCTGTAGTAATTCTCATTTTTGCTTCCCTGTTTGTAATGTGTCTTTTATTTCTGGCTCTTTTAAAGATTTTTTCATATTCATTTCAGCAATTTTATTTTGACATGCTTTGATGTTGTTTTGTTTGTATATTTTATGATGCTTGAGGTTCATCAATTTTCTGTGATCTCGTTTTACAGTTTTTAGCAAATTTAGAACATTTCTGCTGTTATTTCTTCAAATATATATATTTTTGCCCATTTCCTATTCCCTTCCTTCTTAGACTCCAATTATCACATTTTAGATGTTTGATCTTTCGCTACATGTTACTGAGACTCTGTACTTTTTTTTTTAGCTTTTTTTCCCCTTCCTTGCTTTAGTTTAGATAGTTTATTGCTATGTCTTCAGGTTCACTATTCATTAATCTTTTATTTTATAATATCCAATGTTCTATTGGGCCCATTTGGTAAAATTTTTAATTCAGATATTGAGTTTAACTTTTCTACATGTTCTATTTAGCTATTTTTTATATATTCAATTTTTTCTTATTATGGTCATGTTTTAGCCTAAATCCTGGAAAACATTTGTAATAGATAATTTACAATTTTTATTTTAATGATAACTAAATTTATTATGTATTATTGTTTCTTTATTATTTATTTCTCTCTTTTGTTGTGTGTCTAATAATTATTGATTAAATGCTGGGCACTTTCCACATTCTATTGCTGATTATCTAAATTTTTTGTCTTCCTGTCAGTTGTGCATTTTATTTTGTCTAGCAGTTAAATTATTTGCAGCTCAGTTTTATCCTTTCAAGACTTCTTTTTAAGGTTTTTAATGAAAGACTCCAAAGTAGCCTGTACTGTAGTGGTAGTTAAGCCCTACTAGTAATGTGTGATTCTTCTGGGATTTCTACTGGATGACCTGAATCCTTACTGAGATCTCACTGCTCTGGCTTCTTGAAATCAGATACATATTAATCCTGTTTGAATTCTAGGAACTTACATCTTATGTCTCCATAATGATGTTATTTCCCTGGTAACTGTCTTTTGCTAAGCCTCATTGAACTTTACTCTCATGTAGCTGTATATTTGACCAAAGTCTGAAATAGATCCAATTCCAGTCACCACAGCATTCCTGAACTCTTATCTCTATTTCCTCTGTTCAGCAAAGCTGCTATACTGTGCTTAGACTCCTGCTTCTTACACTGCAGCTCAATAAGTGAATCTAGGGGAAAAAAAAACAGCAAAAAAACATGCTGATTGTTGGGCTCATCTTTTTTATTTTTATTCTTTCAGGAAACATAGTCCTTTACTGTCTGTTTTCCAATCCAATTTTTTAGTTGTTGAGAGGGTAGTTCTGCTCTAATTGCACTAGCTGTTAGGAGGACAAGTTTGCTACCAATTATTTCATTGTGGCTGAGTGCAGAAATATGAATCATTAATTTTAAAATTTTATCTTATAAAATATTTTTTCTTACTCTAATATATGCCATAAATAAAAGGCATAAATATAAATTAGATGCCTTTCTAGTGTTTTAAGATGAATTTGAAAATATATTACTCTCTATATAGTTAAATTTACAAATTATTTGGTAAACCCATTGGGTTAATTAACTAAAAATTAGTAGCTTTTCTGAATTTTGCCATTTTCATTCAATCTCTAAATTCATGTGTAGACACAGCCTTGGACAGGGGCATCAGATTTCAAGTATTCTAGCAGAACTATATCATCTTGTTCTCTTGACTTTTTTCATAATATTAACATAAAACACTCTGTATGGGGCTCAGTATTTGCCTTATGTGCCACAGGTTATTTTAACTATAAGCCTTTAAGTTTTAAACTCTTATATAAAATTGTATCAAGTCTAAACTGCTAAGAGTGAGATATAAACTTATACTTTCATAAAGTTGGTACCAATATGCAGTCTCTAAAGCTAAGAATTGCAGCACAATATAAGGCAGATTAAAAAAAAAGGTGGATTTTTAACCTGAATTATTTGAAAGAATAAATAGAAAAAATACTGGAGCATTCAATATTTTTTAAAAAGATAATTCATTCACTGTTTTTGTAGGTATGTTTATAGTACCAAGGAACACGAAGGACATGTCTTACTTGAAGTAGCATAAAACACTTATGAAGAAGTATGTATTTGCTCTAAGAAAAGAATGTATCCTGACAGTGTACAGAAAAGTTTGTCTCTTCTAGTGTGGATGATGCTTACAAACAGAATACTTTAGATTTCAAGATTTACCTGGCCTACTATCTCACAAATGAAAACAGCACAAAAAAGTAGGAAGCCAATTGATTTGATTAGTTTGGGAAGGCCTTGACATTCATTCATTCTTATTGTGAACAATGTGTTCCAGTGGTTTTCTTATTGTAGGGACACTTTCTGATCTGTAACTGTCATCACTATGAGTTCTTTATATATGATTCTAAATTCACTGAATTTATTAAACAAACCAATCTACAGTGAGGTGTTTTCAGAAGACTTTTGCATGTCAACCTTCATGAGGCACATATAAAAAATAATTTAGTGCTGGTTGCTAATCAGTATCTATACAGAAATTATTTTGTATTAATGTAGCTTAGAAGACTCTATTATAAGACAAATGCTATTTATAATGTTTGGTTAATTTCCATGTGATAGCTGGCACTTTGGTTTACAGACTCATAATAAGGACCCGCAAGACAAATGGATCTATTTGCTATGAAATATACTACAGTTTACTCCAAATGATTCCTCCCATACTCAGCTTCTTTATGCTAGTTATGCTTTGGAGTTTCTCAAATCTACTTAAGAATGTAAGCATTTGTGTGGACATCTTTAGTTCTTTAAATTTAGTCTCTCAATTAATTTTCTAATTATTTTTGTCCTTTTGATTTCTGGAACCATTAATTTTAAAGTAGTGAAGTGCAAAATATATATTATGATTCTCAATTCTTAAACATTGCTTAGAAAATCTTTTCATTTTCCAGTTATAAATCCTATTTGACAACTTTCCCCCAGTTCTTGCAGCACAGACAAGCTTTTTCTCCTGAACATTTGCTAGTTAAAGAAATGAGTAGAAGATTCTGAGTAACTCCCACAATGAAATGTAATCTTTGATTCTCCTCCCCCACAACATTTTCCTGTTCTCTGAAGTGATTATTCATGTAGAGGACTGTTTTCATTTATAGACACTGGAGCCATTATTCAGACTAATGACAGTGGATCCTAAAGGCTTATAGATGGGTAAACCTGATAAATTCACCAGCTATTCTGAGTGGGTGCTCTTGCTGGTGTCATTAGTATGGCATTCACAATCAGAGTACCACTGAAGTCATACTTCCTGCAAGGATGTTGAAAATGGATGACATGAAGTCCTTTTTGAGGGTGTTTGCTGTAACAAAATCTCATAAGCTGTGTCATCTTTATAGCACAGTGCCATAATCATGATGGCTAATCTCTATTACTGTCTAAAGTTCAACTGATTTTATCTGTAAGACTAACAGGATATTTCTGAATGCCACTGTTTTGACTACATAATAGTTAAGCACTCCTGTCCTTAAGTGATAAAGGACTAGGGGTTGTAATTTCAAAGAAAGGTGCCCCCATGAAAATATTAGTAAGCATCTCAAAACCTCAAGGACTATGAAACTAACAATTATGCTTGGGAAACTCCCTATGGGAAATATGGCAGTTTACTTTGTTCTGAGATTCTCACGTTGCTGTTGTGGTACTATGATCTTCTGTGTTTGAAACTCATAATGAAGTGGACCTTCATCTTCTATTAAAAACCTGACCTTCAGTTTCTTGTGATCCTTTGGCTAAAAGAGATAAAAGTGCCTTCATTCCTGTAAGATTGTCTAACAGGCGTTGGCAACCTTTTCAACTCTTCTGTCAAGCTAGGTAGGGCATGTTGGAGTAGGATATGTCCCTGCTGAGTAACCTTTCCCTGTGACCTGACATTTTAAGTGTCTCTTGTTTCATCTGCTGAGGTCCATCTGTATTTTCAGAGTAGAGGTAGAATAAGATAGAAGAAAAGGGAGAATAAACATAGATAGGAAGACGTACTAAGAGTGGATGGGTCAGGTGGCAGCTGGTACCAGACCAGGAAACCTTGCTTTTACCTGCTGTATTTTCACTGGAATTTACAACTCTGGAGTTTGGAGTTCTTCCTTATATTTATATTGTTTTGTATATTCTTTCTCAATCTATTATTTTATAACAGTGTTAATCTCCTGGTTTATTTCATAGATAATGCCATTTTATGCTACTAAAAAGAGGTGTTACTCCATCATTAATTTCTGAAACACAAATTTTTTTTCTGTAATTTCATCATTTGAAATTTTTTTTTTCTATTGCTTTCCCTAGAGAATAAGTTTAAGCTTTATAGTTGGAACATGAACTCTTTTAAGGTAAATCAGGCCTTAGTTTACCTTCCTAATTTCCTTCCTGTGGCATCTCCCAGCATACTCTAGCCTCCAGTCACAACGAGCCAGAAGCCCACCTGGTTTAGAGTTAAGTTTGTGCATTGTAAATCAGAGCCAAAATTCCTTTCCAGCATCACACACTGGCAGCTGCTCTTTATTTTCACACTTTCTTTAAGTCCCCTGACTTCCATGCCATACCTCTGTCTATAATTCCCTTAACATTTTTACTGTTGGTTACTCAATTGTTTCAGGTTCCAGTGATCTTTACTAAGTGCTTCATTTGACTTTGTGGTTCCTATCCTATTTCTTTGACGATTTCCTTTAAAATACAGGGCAGCAGTATCTGGCATTTTAATATCCGTGCCATCTTCTTCATTTGTTTCTTAGCTGCAGGTCCAGCAACATCATCTCTTGGCAGTCATGATGTATCAAAGCTGTTTGTAAGCATACAACACTAATTTCAGAGAGAGGCCACAGAAAGATAAATTTATTTTGCAGAATGCACTCAGCCCAGGATTGGTTGATAAAAGCTCATTGGCTGAGAGCTGTTGCATGATGGTATGCTAACTCTCATTGACTGAGGGTGGAAAGCAGTTTGGTGGGAGCACCCATTGGAAAAAATGTTGGAGAGTGCTCTGAGAATGTAAAAAACACATGTAACAACAGCATGTAGATATATAAGCACGCATGTGATGTCTTTTATCCATTTTAATGAGGAATATGCAGGGACAAATAGTTTTATAAGAAATTAGCACTCAGGAGAACATCACAAAGCAGGATATCTGTGTACTATAGAGTCCCCCAGGGTGCTTTTTTCTTTCATATTTCCGTGTTTTTCCCTAAGTTGTTTCTTTTACCTGGAATACACCTTCTAATCATCCTTTTGAATGTGGTGACCATATATTCATTTTTTGATAGCTATCTGAAATGTCATCTCTCTGGGAAGCCTTCTTGTTTTCCATCCCTACCCCTGGAGTTTGTCCTACTTGCTTTTATGTTCCCATATATCTCTGAACTAGCTTTATTATAAAAGTTAGCCTAATGATTAGACTTCCAGTCTATGTCAGTATAATTATCAAGAACGTGCTTCTATTCCTAAGTTGTCATCTGTTAGTTAAAAAGCCTCTGAAAGCTAAGTGAGAAGTATTGGCCTATCTGAGCACCCCTTCAAGGAGCTTCTTTTGAGCTCCAAATGATTAGGACTTGGTTAATTCTTGGTTCAGCTCCAATTTCAAAATGAGTTTTTCTGGAAGGTGGTTCAGGGTCTTCTGTTAGGCAAGATAGATTCCAAACTGCATGGAAATACAGGGATATTTCTGGCAGGGGACAAGGGAGTGCATTTTAGAGAGATTGAGAATCCTCAGGAGCCTTAGACATGACCTCCATAGATTTGGCCAGATATCCAGCTTTGGAATCAATTTGGTCTGGAGGTAAACCACAAGGGAATGAGTACGGTGATGAAAACTTCTCATGATCCTCAAAATATGACGATTGGAGCCTAAAACTGTTCTTTGTGACAATTTTGCACTTAATTTATTATTTTACATATTTATCTATCCATTTGGATCACAAAAAAAACCAGAGGGTTTCTAACATTGGGTAGGTTTCTTATATCTGGGACTATTCCAAGTAGATTAACTTATAGTTTGATCCTGCTAGAAGACAATTCTAGTAGATGGAGTTTTATTAGAAGACTTATCACAGGAGTGTTTTTCTTAGGTTTCAGTCATATGAGAAAAGGAATGACTATCCATGAAGGCAAGAAAACTGATATCACAAACAGATACTTTTAAGACTAGAAAATGTCCCTTTATTAGTATACATGGATGAAACATATTACCCCATCACAATCTTCCCATTTCAGGTTTGTTTTTCTGAAGGCAAGCAGAAGGGAACTGTATCTGATGATTGTCTCCCTGAGTCAGGTATTCTTCCAAAAGTTTTCCATGCTATATTTTATGTAATTCTTGTGACAATGTTCCATTTTGGCAGATGAAGAAGTTGAGGCTCAGAGATATTAGGTAATTTATTCAAGGTTACACAAGCTAATAAGGGGTGGCCCATGTTTTAAAACTAGGAGTCTCAGTTTTCAAAACGCTACATTACATTATCATACAATAAAAATCACTACAAAAAGATTTTTAATAATATTTTCCTTTTGATAGTGATTCCCTATGGCAATCTTAAATCCACAATATAATTATTATAAGTAATAATCATAAGCATAAGTGTTTATAGCATAAAAATGTTAACAAAAATTGTTAGAGTCATTTTAAAGAACGTTTGCACTCTGCATGGTTCTGGCTCACTTTGTAAATGCAAGAGGGATTGACGACTTTGAAAGTGGTTAAATTTTAGATGCTTATCTACAGCAAACTTTAAAAACTTCTAAGTGAGGTTTTCCCATCAAGGAGGTGACTCAGCACACGTATACATTTCATCTGGGCCTATAGTGCTTGCTATGTATGTACTTCCATCAGAAAATATGTTTTAGAAAAACACAGCTCTGAATGCTGTATTTCAAGAGGCAAAATTCAGTATTTTAGGAGTTAAAAAGACCTGGTTTTGAACATTAAAGTTTACTGGGCTGTGATAATTTTTTTTTTATGTTTGGTGAAATTCAACCTTTAGCAGAATGATATAGCAGCTCTAAATTGTCTAAATTCCCTGACACACAGACTTACACTAAAATACCAATTTTTATCTCAATATTTTAAAAAGTTATTGAAGTAAATTAAACAAGTGCTTAAGTAAGCAAGCATATCTGGCGCCATCCATTCTACTTTACAATAATATGATTTCTGGAGATTTTTGACATTTAACGAGGGGTCTGCAGATACCTGTGACACAGGACAATTTTTCTACCATAAACATTCTAAAAGATAAGATTATGATAACTTTTATAAATGTGGCAATATTTTAGTCACATCTTCAAATGTAAACACAGATTCATGGTCCCCCTGAAATATACATTGCTTTTTACAAATCCTATTGTATAATGTGTTATGTGAAAAAAGGCAGTCATTTGTTCCCATTTCTGGGAAGCTTCTCTGTAGAAAATTAAAAGCAAATGTAGCTTTGTTTTAGGTGCCAAGATTTTCAAGATTGTTAAGAAGATTTACAGTTCTTAAAGCTTTGTTTTTTCCTTATTTTATACCTTGTATTTGAATGACTCCTATGGAGCCAAGTGCTGTTCTTAAAGGTTTACAGGAATAAACTCCTTTAATTCTCCCTATAATCTTATGAGATAGGCACTACAATTTTCATCCTTTTACAATTAGAGAAACTAAGGCACACCCATGGAATAATCTGCCCAATTTACACAGCTTATATGTGAGGAGCCAGGGTTTGAACCCCTGCAGTCATCCTAGGCAATGTCACCTCCCCTAGAGGATGGGAAATTTTCTTCTGACTCTGTGATGTGTTGCTGAGATGACGACTGCATGTGATTTGAGGGGCCACTACAATCTGGCTTGCCATTGCTTGTCCTGCAGAGTTATTGAGCACAGACTTGTCAGAGGACCTGGATTAACACAGGGGAACAAGGAAGGCTTCCTAGAATAATCTTATTGGAAGAAACTTATTGGTAGAAGGCATTATACAAAATAGGACTAAACATGCAATGAATTTAGAGAAAAAAGACCAGTGAGGGAAAATAGGGAGGAAGCTGGTTGAGATTAAGAAAGCCGCCAGACAGCTCTGGGAGGCTGACCTTGAATGAAAGAGAGGGGAAGGAAGGAAGAAGGACTGGAGGGAAGTGTATGGGACTGTCGAGCAGTTCTATGAAGAGTTTAGAAGGCCACTGGGGAGTCGTTAAGGCAAAGTCAACCTTTGGAGGAATCCTACATCTCCTGGGAATGGGTCTCCTTTAATATCCCTGCCACACTCAATCTCTGGCTGGGAGCAACCCACACAATCCCTGATGTGAGAGCAACCCAGTCACTGGCTGAGAGCAGCGGCCTTGGTGCAAACATGGTGGTGGATTTCACAGCACAGTAGCTGAGGACGTTGCTCAATTATACTCCCTGCCCCCAGAATCTGAGAGGCTCATTCTCATGGCTGGTGTGTCCCCCAATACTCCCACTCCACCTCTAGAATAATTCCTAATCTGAGGTTATGTAGCTCTCATCTGAACTCTTTCCCAAGAATTACCTATATCATGGTATTAGCATCAGGTCTACCCCTGAAATCTGAAGAGCCTGGTGCAAGAATAGACAGTGGCCCACACATCCTATTCTTAGCTGACAAATGCACATTCATGATAACCTGGAAAGCCTGATTCAAATGTAGAATTCTCAGACGTCCCAAGTTTTCAGGCAGAACTTGATGGCACAGGGAAAGAGCTATCTTTACTCCTGTCCCACTCCTTTTGCCATCTCCAGCTATATGCTTCACCTCAAGGAGCCTCCTAGGCATGCATATGAACACTGCAGCCCACACATTCATGCCCATTCATAGCATCCTCTCTTCTGCTTGGGTCTAAGGGGTAGGCCCTGCTCATTACAACATGATGTACCTGATAATTTATTTAACTGTATCCTTCACTAGATTATAATGCCTACGAGGGCAGTGCTCAGACTCTTCACCTACAGAAGCTGTGAGATAATAAATGTGTGTTGTTTTAAGCTGCCAAAAACAGCTGCTAAGTTTGTGGTAATATTTTCATGCAGCAATGGATTACTAATATAGGCAGAAACTGTATTAATTTGTTGATATAACACTTAGTGTGCAAATATATATTTCCTAAAGAAATGAATGAATTCATCAATTGTTTATTTTGTATTCACTCGGTATGAAGAGTTGTTTTAAGAGTGTGCAACACAAGCAAAGGCAAGAGGAAAAATCCTATTAAACCAAGAGGTACAGGAGATTAACCATGGAGCTACTGCTAGGAGCAGGTAGCAAAATATGGATGCTGCGTTTTCCAGCAGTGTAAAAAGATTGAAGCTAATGAGGTGTTTATTTGTAGAACATGAGTAAGTTTGAATATCTCGCCTGCTATTGCATTCTTCCTATTAGCCAAGTGTGAGGTGGAGAAAAAGAGAAACAAAACAAATAAAAAATCGACTAGACAAAAGGCTCTAGTTCCAGTGAGTTAATGCTGAATGTCTTCAGTTTTAGTAACTAGGAAGAGTGAACCTCCTAATATACTCCTAATATACCCCTAATATATTGGCTTTGTATGGCTGATCCTTGGTATCTATTCACCTGGAGCATCTTTGCTATTGATACTTGAGAAAAATGAGCAGCCCTAAAGCTAAAAGCCCTCAGCTTTGAAGTTAGGATATTATTCCCCTCAAGGTGTCAACATGCTGAATGAAAGAATTGCTGCATAATATATTTATTTAGATGATTAAGAATTTCCTAAAGATTGATCTGAGTGCCTTATATTTTTATCTTTGACTTTGTTCCTAATCTGAGACATTCTCAAGCAATTATAAGGAAATGCCATGGTTTTATAGCCCAATTTGTGTACTGATCTCTCACAATTGAAGATGTTCAGTTGAAACCTTTGCAGTGGCAGCTGGGTCAAAAATCTGAACTCTGAATAACTGAAGTCAGTGTTCTCATGGGAAAGAGAAATGAAAATATACTTTTGTCAATGAAAGCAGAGAGAAAGAAAAACCCATTGCTTTCTAATGGCATGCTTGCTTTTTTGTAGATATCTGAAAATAACCTAGATATATTGGAAAATGGGGCTTTGACTCCCATTTTAAGTTCAAACATGATGCTCATGGTATCAATTTCAAGGCATTTATTGTGTCAATTTTATGAAGGAGAATGATACCAACTATGCCTTAAATGATAGTAATGATCCACTTATTCAGAGGTGGAATTTCTGACAACCTCTACCCTTGAAAACTCAGCCCAAACTTAGAAGTAAGAAAAAAAAACAGCCTCTTAGGCTGACATAGCGGTTACAAAGGCATGCACTTAACTTCTCGGGCCAGGACTTCTTATTGACTTTCCTTTAATACTCAATTTTAACAAGCTCGGTTATATGGTTATCCAGCTCATAACAGGCAAGAAACTAGAAACTAGAAAAGAGGCAGATCTGGAGGTAGCCTTCAAAATAGCAGTGATAGTTGATAGCCTGATGGGAAAGGCAGAAACAGTAAAACTAAAAGGCATTTGCTTACAACCCAGGCCAATAAGCAGCATACATTATTCAGAAAATGCACAATTATGTTCAGCATCCCCTCTTTAGGAAGTAAATAAGTCACGTGTAGCAGTGTAATACTTTGATATTAAGCTGTGTATTTTTCCAATTCCTTCTAACTCTTCACTTCTTATCATCGAAACAGCAGTGAAAGTTATCTATATTGCTCTGCTATGCAGGGCTGAGATGATACAGAAAGAAAAGAGTAAATTCTAGGCTTTTGAGCTCTTGTGCATACTTTTGTATATCTATAGCATAGATAAAAGTCTTAAAAGCTACAGCTTTCAATTGAAGGAACCAGAAACTCAGGTCAGAAAATTAGATTTCATGAATTCCAGAAGCTTGCCTTTAAATAGTAAGGCCTGAAGCCTGGGAGATTCAGAGCATAGAATTTGGACCTTAACCCCTAGAGTGGGAGGAATGCCTGATGAGATAAATGCCATTTCCTGGTCAGAGAGGGCAACAGAATTAGAGGAGGATGTGACTGGAGCTTAGATACTGCCTGGGTCGTTGAGAAAGGCCCAGTGCCCCCTCCTACTTTGATAAGGGGTAGGGGGTAGTGATTAAAATCTTAGATCAATCTGGAGGGTCTGAAAGCAGCGCCTTTTGCTCCAGGGTATATTAAAGGAACACTGAGAGACTCTTAGATAAGGCACGTGTCCAATGGCACATGAGGATAGTCAGGAGCAATAGTTCAGTAGATCTCCCAGGTCATAAGTTCTTCAGGGTTCTCTAATGTAGTGGGGGAATCCATTGAAAAGAGTTCAGTGACCCTTCCCTTCAGCATCACTCCTCTGAAGTGGATGAGATGAGCCTGCACACTCGACATACTTTCTCCAGTCAGGAGGCCGCGTGTATAGCCCCGGCTGACATGGGCAGGGGCCAGCAGCAATGAGGATAACATAAAGGGCAAGAGGATAAGTGAGGTGCTGCACATGTTAATTAGCTTGGTAGAATCTTTCTGCAACATGCACATGTATGAAAACATCACATTGTGCCCTATAACTATATGCCATTATTATTTGTCAGTTAAAAATAAAAATTTAAAAAAGAAAAGGCGTTAAGTACAAGTGGTGATACACGCCTCTCCCCTGCATGCTCATCTTTCTCCGGAACCCATCAGATATTTGGTGAGAAGGAAAGGAAGAATGTGAAGAGAGAGAGTTCTGAATGGACTGAGCAGTTACTCAGAAGAGATGGAACTTTGACTGGAGAGACTAGGTTGCCTTTAATTGGCAAAGGTGGAGAACAATGGCTCATGTGCTAATGTAAATTTAATTATAAAGAAATAAAGAGCGTTGTAATTTTTGCACATCCAAGTATGTAGTCTAAAAATGTAAAAAGCATCTCATTTAAAATGGTTAAAATGAAAATGGAAAGTTTGGGCATGTAAACGAAAAGACTTCAGTTACAAGGGTTCACTTTTGTAGAACATCTCATCTCACAATGCCACTAACAGCAAAAAGGAAAACAAATCCTCCGTGTATGATATATAACAGCATTTGCCTTTTTATAGCATCCCACTCCTCCTTTTTTTGTGGCAAAGCCCCAAATACATTGCCCTTAAAGACTTTTAAGAGAACAGAAAGGCTTCCAGATGACAGAAGCCTGAAGCACGATGCTGTATGTGACGCGATTAGTGAGAATACTGATTGTGTCCTAGAAAGGAGGCAAGTTGTCATCCATTTTTCCCCTGAAGTTGCAAGGATATGCATCTCAGTTTATCGATTCCCAACGCATGCATATTCTAGAAAGGGAATGCATTTTCTTGGTTCCTCATAGTCCTCCCAACCCTCTTCCGCTCAGCAGCCATTTTCATACATGATTAACACTCAGATAGCATTTTCCACATTAACCTTGTGATGTCTGATAGGGAGGACAGAGATGGATACTGCCTTGCTGAAATGTGTACACATAATCCATAATGAATAACTGCAGCTCCTTGGTGACCATGACGGGCCATCACAAGCAAAGCGAGGTCCAAGTTGAGAAAGGCGCTGAGTCCTAAAGAGCACTATTTCACGATTTGGCTAAGCATGCAATTTAAAACACCGGCAAAGATCTTCCCTGTGTGGCCCAGCACAGGCCTCTGATTGCTGTACCCATTCTGATTTTCTCCCTAAGGAGACTCAGCTATAGCTGTCCTTAATATCCCTTTCCCCTGGGGCATTGACTTAGGTTACACTGAAGGCTGTCTTCAGAGAATTCCCTTTTCCAGTTGTTCTCTGTTGCGGGATATGGATCCTGCTCAGGTATCTTTGTGACCTTTTATATTCTACATGTTCCAACAGAACCCTGGAGGCAGGAAGGTTTGGAACCAAGGTTCTATAGCAAAATCTGTGGGGGTTTCAAATGGATGTGTTATAGAGGCTTGCATTACTTCTGGTGTCTCCCGGGGTTGGAAGACTAGCTTTGAAAAGCTAATCCTGAATGGACACACATTTATTTTTATTTTCCTAAAACAGGTGCAAATAGGACTACAATTAATTTCTTGGACTGATGTGACTTTTCCTCTATCCATGCCTCAATGTATAATGCCTCATGGGCAGTTGAATGTGCTTGTACTTTTACTAAATATTGCCAATGATATTTTCCTGTAGTAGGTTTTAAGGCTTAAGAGTAAGTGATAGTATTGCCTTTGCTGCCATGTGTGTGCTTTCATGCGTTTTGCATACTTATATGGAGACCTTCATGCATTACTGTCTATTGAGAGTTGAAGTCTTCCCTGAGGAAGGTGTTTTGTGGATGACAAATGTCTAATATATCCCTGAGTTTCCCAGTTCTTTGCTATGTCCATAATGGATTCAAATATAAATCAGAGCAGGAATCAAGTATGCTGTTATGTTATTAGTATTAATATGTT
Organism: Homo sapiens; assembly: GCF_000001405.40. Taxonomy (NCBI): domain Eukaryota; kingdom Metazoa; phylum Chordata; class Mammalia; order Primates; family Hominidae; genus Homo; species Homo sapiens. The sequence continues at coordinate 48,960,995 of NC_000014.9, read as the reverse complement.
TATGTAGCATTGTCTCATTTCAATATTTCAAGAATGGTCCAGTGCTAGTTCTAATCCACGATTCACTACTAGTACCTTGTGTTACTTTATACAATGTCAAGTAAACTGTTTCTCATGAGCACTTAAATTTATGAATCACATTGGATTCTTGTGAAAATATAGACTGATACTTTAGGTCTTGGGGAAAGTCTGAGATTCTGCATTTCTAGCAAGTTCCCAGGTGATGCTGATGTTTCATGGACCACACTTTAGTAGTAAGGCTAAAGCAGGCATTGTTGTAAGAGAAGGATTGAGGAAACCGTAAATGTTCCATCTGTTTACATGCAGTATTCTTGCCTTATCTGTAGTAGGGGTTTAGTCTTTATTCCTCTCAACCTCTTCCTATAAAGTTGCTATTATCTTTATTGCATGGTACTTTATTGCATACTACAGTATGTAATAGGAATAGCTCCAATTTCAGCCCTCATTAATGCTGTAGTAAGGTAATAGGGTCCACATAAACTCGTTAGATCTGTATACAAATCTTTGCCTAGGCAAAGTTGGCCTGCCTTGGGATATTTTTGCTCTAATTCTTTTCTTCAACTGATCTGCCCATTGACAATAAGGCTCCTAAGGTCTTTGCCTAGCTTAACAAACAATTGCAAGTAAGAGTTTCAACTCCTCAAGAGCATAGGAGATAAAAGAATGAGCACATTCAGTTCATCAAGGACTTGTTGACTACCGTCTTTATACCAAACTCCATAAGTACCAGGGCTGAAAAGATAAATGAAATATAAGAGATATGACCATATTTATATAACCCTTCAAATTCATATTGTTTATATTGATAAATGACGCATGTATTTACCCAACTCTTAATTAAAGTTACATCTGGCAATAATTTTTATGTGATATTCTATAGAACAACAACTGTAGGAGTAACATCCCTAAAAACAAATATTAGTCCTCAGCCTCATTAAGTGTGTTTCCTCTATTAATCACTCATGGACCACTGAATTTCAGGTTCAATAATTTAACTCAGTACATGAGTTAACCCAGATTTTTTCCTCTTCAGGTAAAGTGAACCTGTTCCCTTTCTCTAAAACTAGGTTTAAATTTATTGACAATTATCTAGTGTGTGTACATGTGTTTATGTATAGTTCAATATGCACATTTGGGGAATACCATAACACCACGGCATACATGGAGTCAAATAAACCCAAAAATTAAGAAAATGAGGGAGAGAAAAAGTTGTACAAAGTTTGAAATTAACTCACTTGTTTTCTACAGATTAGTCCTTCATGATATATTTGGTAAACTTACCAATATTTTCTAATAATATCTACAGTGTTGACAGCTGCTTTGAAGAAAAACTGAAATTGGTATAACTGATGTGTTCTTTTCAAAGAAGCCTTTCTAAATTGAATTCAGTTTCAGTAGAATGTTCTTAATTACTTCCATAGGCAAATCTCTGCTAGATGCTTCTTTATAGAGGAGAAAACACAGGTTCTCTGCTCCAAAAGTGCAAAATTCAGTGATAAAATTACTTTAAGGCAAAATGGAGTAAAGAAGAGGATTTAACAATATGTTATGGGATTCCACAGAGATGGATAGGATATAGCCAGAACTGGGATTGGAATGGTTGATCTGGTAAATTGCATAGAATTCTAATGGGAAGTTTAGGTAAAGAAAGATAGGAAATGATGAGGTCTTGAATCAGGTTGGTGAGAGAGAAAATAGAGGTAAGAAAAGTGAAACAAATTCCTGAGTAAGAATCTACAAGTCTTAGGAATTTATTGAATGTAAGCAGGGAGAAGATATGATTCCAAGATTTCATGTAAGAATGCTTGGATGGATGTTGCTACAATTACAGAATAAAAAAAAAATCAAGAGGAAAAACCAGTTAATTGAAGAGTGTAGAAAGATAATTTAAGGTAGAATTTAAGTTTTTTGGGGGATTGGGCAGAGAAGAGTAGAACGTAGCAGGTGTCAAGCAGGTAGACTTTACAGTTCTTGAGGGCAGTACCTCCAGTGCCACAAATGTAGATTTGGGTGTCTGAATTTCAGGTAGAGTTGAAGCTGTTGTAGTGTGTGAAATCCTTATGGGAAAGTACAAGATAATTCTGAGCAAATACTTACAGGCAAGCTATTAAAGGAGAGGAATTTTTTTTCAGAAGATAAAAATTATTTTCAAGAAGAAAGGGATAGGAAGCGTCAAATTTCAGGATATGAATACATTTTGCTTAGTATGCTGATAGTATCATTGGAGTTGTCTCAGGCTTTTCCTGCTGCTATAAAAAGTATCATAGACTGGGTAACCTATAAATAATAGAAGTTTATTTCTCATAGTTGTAGAGGCTGGGAAGTCCAAGATCAAGGTGCTGGCTGATTCGGCATCTGGTGAGAGCTCACTCTCTGCTTCCTATATGGTTCCTGTGGCTGTGCCCTCACATGGCAGAAGAGACCAAAGAGAAAGGCAGCTCCCTGAAGCCTGTTTCATAAGGGAATTAATCACTTCCCAAAAGACCCCACCTTTTGGTACCAACCCAACGGGGATCAAGTTTCAACATGAATTTTGGAGGGATACAAACATTCAAACCATAACAATCCACTTCTGGCTCCCCCAAAATGCATGTTTTTCTCATATACAGAATGCATTCATTCCATCTCAATAGCCCCAAGAGCCCTAACTTGTTCCAGCATCAACTTTAAGATCTAAGTCTGAAATCTTATCTAAGTATTATCTAAATCCAAAATCCAATGGTGGGACAGGCATAGGTAGGCATTCCATTACAAAAGAAAGAATAAACAAGAATAAAGGGGTAATACGTCCCACTTAAGTCCAAAATCTGACAAGGTAAGCAACATTAAATACTGAGCCTTGAGAATAATTTTTGACTCTGTGACCCAACTTCAAAACACATTGGGATGAGGATTGAGCCTTCAAAGCCCCAGGGGAAGCTGCCCCCATGGCTTTGCTGGGTGTAGTCCATATAGCAGTTCTTATGCACTGGAGTTGCATGCCTGCAGCTCTTCTAGGCTGAGGTCTTGGGGGCTACCCTGCCCCTGTTGCTCCACTAGGCATTGCTCTAGTAGGGGCTCTCTGTGGTGGTCCTGACCCCACAGCGTTGCTAGGCATTGCCCTGGTGGAGACTTTTCGCTGTAGCCCTGTCCCTGTGGCAATTCTCTCCTGGACCTTGAGACACTCTTGGGCATCCTTTGAAATCAAGGCGGATGTCGCCATGCCCCCATGCTCTTTCACCCTGTGTGCCTGCAGAGATAGCACCATGTGGACGCTGCCATGGTTTACTGCTTGTGCCCTCTGGAGGGGCGGCCTGAGTTACATTTGGGCCCACTTGGTCCACACCTGGAGAAGCCTTGGAGTGCTCTGCTAGAATACAGAGAACAGGCACTTGAGATGGCATAGGGCAGTAAGTGCTAAGGTCACACAGGGGCCTAAGGCCCCTCTTTTGACATAGTTCTGTCTCCTAGGCCTTGATACTCTGAGCCTCTGATGAAAGGGACAGGCACCAATAATCTCTGAAATGCCTTTGGGATCATTCTTCTGTTGTCTTGATGAATAGCATTTGGCTTCCCTTTAGCCATATTATCAGACTTTTGCTTGGCCATATATTTGGTGTTCTCTCCTGAATATGACTTTTCATTCTTTACAGCATAGCCTGCTTCTTTTTTTGCCTTTCTGGGCTTCAATCTCTAATACTGGAGTTTGAAGCCTCTAACTCTAGAAGTGATAGGTGCTTTCCTTTTGATTATAAATTCCATATTTATTTTGTTTCTCTCTTCTCACATTTTGCTATTAAGCAGTCAGGAGAAGCCATGCCACACCCTCAACACTTTGCTTAGATTTTTTTTTTTTTCACCAATCTTTCATAAGTTCTGCCTTCCACAAAGCACCCAGGTAGTGGATGTGGTCTGCCTCTCACTCCTTTTCCCACTTCCACACACAACAGTGATAATCCAAGTATTCTTTAGGCCCTGCTGCTGCCCATAAGAGACTTTCCTGCTTTGAATATGGTGCAGTATTCCCATCTTAATCATGTATAAGTGCACAGTACAGTAGTTTTAACTATATGCACAGTAATGTACAAAAATCTCTAGATCATCTTGCATAACTGATACTCTATACCCATTGAAAAAGTCCTCTTTCTCCCTCCTCCAAGCCCCTGGGAACCAGCATTCTACTTTGTGTTTCTAAAAATTTGACTATTTTAGATACCTCATGTAAGTGCAATTATACAGTATTTGTCTTTTTATGACTGGCTTACTTCACTTAGCATAATGTCGTCAGGTTTACTCATATTATGGCTTATGATTTCCTTTTTTAGGGCTGAATAATATTTCATTGTATGGATATATTATATTTACTCTATCCATTTATTCATCTTCTTCATGGCTATTGTGAATAATGCTACAAATCTGTACATGGATGTAAAAATATATCTTTGAGATCCTGTTTTCAATTCTTTTGAATATATACCCAGAAGTAGGATTGCAGAATTGATTATATGATAATTCTATTCTTAGTTTTTCAAGAAACCTTTAAACCATATGTTCCAACGTGGAAATGCAAACTGGTATGGCTGCTATGAAAAACTTATCTTTATCTTCATCAATACTTGTTATTTTCTATTGTGTTTTTATAACGATTTTATTGTGGCCATCCTAATTGATGTGGCAGCATTTTTTACTGTGGTTTGGATTTGCATTGTCCTGGTGATTAGTAATGTGGAACGTCTTTTTTTTTCATTTGCATGTTGGTCATTTGTATAGCTTTTTTGGGGAAATATCTGTTAAGTTTTTTTGGTCTATTTTAAAATTGGGTTATTTGTTTTGTTCTTGAGTTACAGGAGTTTTGCATATATTCTGGATAGTAACTCCTTATCAGATATATTATTTACAAATGTGTTCTTCTAGTCCACAGTTTGCCTTTACACTCTATTAATCATTACCTTAGCTGAGCCGAAGTATTTACATTTGATGTAACCCCATTTGGCTATTCTTTTGTTGCCTATTGCTTTCTTCCTTCTTATAAGATGGGACAGTGATATTTCTGACTCTAAGATGATATTTGAACATTGACCAAGAAAGACATGTTACTGATGTTAAACTTCCTAGGTCCATAATCCTGTTATTATCTCAAAATTTTGGCATTATATAGTTAATTTTCCTTTATAAGAGTTAGTTTATCAGGAGTAAATTCTTCTTTAAGATACTTAGTAGGTTTTTCTTCTGCTTATTTGTCAAGATGGGATAGCTGGCTGTGATGGCAGGTGCCTGTAGTCCCAGCTACTCAGGATGCTGAGGCAGGAGAATCGCTTGAGCCCCAGAGTTCAAGACTGCAGTGAGCCATGATCATGCCACTGCAGTCCAGCCTAGGTGACTGAGCAAAAAACTCTGTCTAGAAAAAAAAAATAAAGATGAGACATATTTCTGCTGAGGGTATGATTGTCAGATAAGGATTGGGTCAGAAGATTGTAAGTACTCTTTCTTTCAACTATAACACATTTTGTTACTTTCTATATACAGCAGCAAAATTCAATCAGGGGAGGAACCATTTCCAAAGTCAATTAATGGGGAAAGACAAATTGTCCAGAAACCACAGAGGAGTTGCCTGTTGTCCCTCTATTGACTGGAGCTGGAAACAAAGCTGCTTAATGCAGTTTAAGAAGTTGTCATTGCAGGCAGGGTTTTGCTCAGTTTACTAAATGTATTGACTGTAGGATATAAATAAATCCCTTAAAAACAGATTTAAATGCTTTGCAATTACAAAAACAGCCATCCATTTTCCCTCTAATCTCAGAAGAGAGGGAGCTATAGCTGGTGCTGCTGTTTGCCTCAAGGAAAGAAGCACACACGGCAACACCTCTGGCTCCCCCGTATCACTTGTGTTTACAACAGCACCCCTTCCATTCACAACTCGATTGATATGAATAGCAAGGACTACTGTCTCCTCTCAGTCACTGTTTACCAATAAGAATAATTAAAAGTTCTGAAGATAAGACAGAACCCTCTAATTATTGTTTCCCATGATCAAAGCAGGTCCAACATCTTGGTTTCCCATCCTGTTGTATGACAAGCATACAGCAAGCTAGGTCTATATAAGCAGGTCATACCCAAGCATGAGTAAGAGGGATTGGTTTAGGCTTGGATGTCCTGGCTAAAGCAATGCCATTGTCAGGGTCAAATGTAAATCAAGATCAGGGACTACACTTTTTGTTTTAATTGGCTGCTGAAAAAAATGGTCAAATATCTCTTGACACTCTTTTAGAAAGTATATCTTTAATTGGGACTAGCCCTCCCACATCGAAAGCTTTGTCATTCTTGCCTGAGTCACAAAGATCTTATTGCTTCCATAAATTTTCCTTCTACTTCCCATGCCATCTGGCTGTTATCATCTTTTCCATGTTGGTTGGCAAACTAAAGATATGAGTGTTATTAAACTTCCACTATCTGCAGGGTGGTAGATAGTAAGTTCAGAGAAGGTTTGAATGATTTAGGTTAGTATATCATCCTTGAGCATAGCCACTCTAAAATGTCCCTATCCAATAAGAAGAGTAAATAATGATTTTATGAGAAAAACTACCTGGAAATTTGAAGACACCACATAAAGAAAAAGAGATTACAATTTTTCATTCCAGTGTCAGAGCGTATTAGATTGGCTGTTGAGATATGAAAGAAAATTAATATTTTACCAGAAACAAAAGGAAATGTGATAAAGAAAATATAACTTGAGGAAATATTTAGTACCTGTTATAAAATCACTTTTCTGATGATGAAAACAATTTATGAAGAACAAATGAAAGAAAATGAGCCCTGCAGTAAAGTAAGAACATAGACAAATCTGCATTGAAACTCTATTAATAAGATGAAGTGTGGTCTGGGTGTCATATAGCTGCCAACAGTGCAATTTTTCTTAGCTCTCAGAATGCTGCTTGAATGCTTGTTAAACCGAACAACCTCTAAATGAAAGTTAGTGGGACTGACAGTGAATGGAAAATAACCCCTTGAGGTGATACAATTCATAGCCCTTAATCGAAGACATTGGCCGCTTGATTTATAACTTAACCCCCACTTTTCATTGCACTTAGAATAAATGTACTTTAGATATTGTTTTTCCAACTTTTATTTCTAAATAAAAAGTTAGATTGTTTTGTAGGGACATGAATGAAGCTGGAAACCATCATTCTCAGTAAACTATCGCAAGGACAAAAAACCAAACACTGCATGTTCTCACTCATAGGTGGGAATTGAACAATGAGAACACATGGACACAGGAAGGGGAACATCACACTCCGGGCCCTGTTGTGGGGAGGGGGGAGGGGGGAGGGATAGCATCAGGAGATATGCCTAATGTTAAATGATGAGTTAATGGGTGCAGCACACCAACATGGCACATGTATACACATGTAACACACCTGCACGTTGTGCACATGTATCCTAAAACTTAAAGTATAATAAAACAAAAAGATTGTTTTGTTTTTCTAACTTTTAACTGGTAAATCGTTATAGATTCACAGGAGGTTGCAAATAAATATATAGGGAAGACCCATGCGTCCTTTCCAAGCTTCCACAAATGTTAACATCTTGCATAATTGTAGCCCAATAACAAAATCAAGAAACTCACATTGGTACAATCTGTGGAGCTTTTTCAGATTTCTTCAGTTGTGTATTCATGGAGGCCTTCACACTTACGAAAATTATTATAATTCTTTAGATGGCCTGGATCTAGAACTTTGAAGCCTCAAAATCAAATTACCTAAAATGGTAAAAAGCATAATTTGATATTTGTTGTCCTGAAAGAAAGGGTACATGTAGTGATGTCATCACTTCAAGTGGTCTAACTCCTGCCAAATCATTACTCAGAATGGACTGCCAGTAAGGCTTTCCTGGTTTGACACAGAGTGGCAGCCAAAATTGTATCCTTTTGTTCATTAGACTAAGTTTATATCAATTAAGAAGGAAAAAGGACAAGCGGTCTTTGATAGCTTCCATGGAAAGGTTTACATAGGATAGCATTTGTCACCCAGTGAAACTATTTTGGTTTTCATTTTTAAAAATGTGCTCAAGTTATTTTGCTGAATGGTATGATGTTATCTATTTTTATTTGCTTATAATTTGGTTGGCTGTTTGTGTTCTGACTGGAGGCTTCAGGTGACCTTGCACATGCTGTGTTTGTTCTCTCCATTCCTATTAACATCATCAAGTGTGTTCAGCCTGGCACACAGTAGGAGAGCCATAAATATTGTTGGAGAGTGAATCATTCTTTCGTCTTCTCTCTTGGCACCACATGCCTGATTTTCCTTTTTTTTCCCCTAAGTTAGCAGCAGCTGTTAAAGTTTTTCTTGCTCCCACCTTCAAGTACTGCAGGGCTGAGACACAGAAGTGACTCCTTTAGGAGAACGAATAAAAGACAACAAATCTCTTCTTAATTCTTGTGCATACAAACAACTTATTATTACAATTTTTTTTTTTTTTTTTTTTGCTGTTCACTTGTTAACTTAGCTGAAAGGCCTCCTTTTGGTTTTTCACTGATTCATTAATTCCTTCCAACTCTGATGCTAAATGTCTATGAGACCTTGGGTAAATCAGTTTACCCTGTTAGTGTTATTTTCTTTTCTAAAAAGGGAGATTAGATAAAATTCTTTCAACTTTACATTCTATCATTTGATGGTTACCTTGTTAATTATAACTCCTCAGAACAAAGATAAGTTCTAAAAATTGTATCACTAATTTAAAATTGTCTTTATTCCATGATTACTATATTTTAAAGTAAATCTGAATAAATTCACACACATCAAGGTAATATATACTTATTGTAAAAAACTTAAATACAAATTTTTAAATGCAGAAAATGAAGTTCTCCACTTCTTTCTTCACGTCCTCATCCCATCCTATTGTTATACCTTCTAGAAATGAACATAAAATAACAATATTGGGTAATTTTATATCATTTATCTAGCAATATATTGCATATACACAACATATAACATGTAGTCCTATTTATTTCCGTAAATGGAGTTATACATTTTATACTTTTTGGGTAGTTTTGCTTTTTTCAGTAAATAACAAATATTAAGAGTTTTTCCATGCCAATACTCTTTTTATCATTGGTATTATATTCCATTGTATGGTTATTCAACAATTTATTTAATCAATTTTCTAATGGTGCATATCTAGGTTGTTTCTATTCTTTTATCCAATATAAGCCATGTGCTTTATAATTTTCAAATGTATATATTGTATGAGCCTAGTAGTTTTAGTGTTAATATTGCTGAAGTTAGAGATTAAAATATTGCTCCTTAAGAAAGAGAAGATTACTTCCTTCAACCCTCTCTGTCCCTCCAATTAATGTTTTCATTCCTCTCCCTAATTCTACCTTCAGGCTCATTTTAAATTACATCTTCTGGCTCTTTTATTCTCCCTTTCTTTCTAATATCACCTGCTGCTACTCATTTAGAGTGAGTAAGAGCCAGGCATCCCTAAATTCCTAAAGGCTTAATATAGTAACATAACAGAAAGTTGTATTATTTAGTTTATTCAGGTTTATTTATAGTTATTAATGCTTATATTTCTCTTATGAAGGCCCCTCAACACTTGTAAAAGTAAGACTGTAACTTGAATTTCCTTTGTTGTTTCCTCCCTAAGCAAGAATTCTTAGTAATAATGGTCTTAAAAAAATACAGAATAAGGTAAGGTAAACCAAGAAAAGTCTGACAGTTGAATAAGCAATAGAATATAGTCCTACCTGTTGCTCTCATCTTAATAATTTTTAGGTTTAAGCTATTGTTAAAAAAGAATCTACTGGAGGCTGAAAACAGAAAATAAAAGAAGCGCAACTGTTGGTGAAGTGTTTTTGTAGATTAGGTTTACATTGTTACATTTATTTTATAACTCATCCCATTAATTCTCCATTTTCCCCCTTTCTAAAAATTTTTGGGAGGAAATGTAATATGATGGTTAAGAGCAAAAGCTGATGTACCAGGCAAGTAAACTGACTATTGTTCTAGGCAAGCACACTGACTATTGTTCTAGGCAAGTAAACTGACTATTGTAAGGTTCATTTTCTTCATCTGTGAATGGAGATAATATAGTTTTCCTCTAGATTTCTAAGGATTAAAGTTAAAATGCTTAACACAGTGACAGAAATATTGTCAGTGCTAAAAGAAACACTTTAAGTGATAAATAATTAAATAAATATTCAGGAATAAATGAGACTTATACATTGCTATTAAGAAGTTCGAAAGCTAGTAGACAGAATACCTACCTCTATATTAATACATCCATCATCTATGTACCTTGTTCTAGAAAGAATTTAAAATCATTAGAAATATAAATGAAGTTCTATTAAAGACAAAGGAAAGAGTAATAATTTTGCCTAGGGAGAAAAGGAGTAGAGTGAGCTAAACAAAAGAAGAGAATTTGCATCAGACTTTGAAAGATAATTTGATTGATTGATAGAGATATATAATGGCAAGAAAAATCATTCTGGATACATAAGAACAAAGCCATGGAGGGTGAAAATACATGGCATTATTAGAAAGATGGAAATACTTCAGTGAGAATGACAAATGGTACTGGAAAGTGGGTTATAAAGTGAATGGTGGTGAGAAAATTAAGGTATTGAGTATGGAAAAGAAATGGTGGTAAAAGAAAGGTAAAATTACCAGAAAGTTTTATTAATATTTGGGAAGACATTAGCATCCTTGTAGATTGAGAGCATAAACTCAAAATAGAGGTAGAGGTTGAGTGAGAAGGTATAAAAAGTGAAGTGGCATCTAGAGAATGTAGGAGAGTATAAAATTAAGAAACATGGGAAAAAGAGTTGGTCCTGGAAAAAGGAGGGGATTTTCTCTTTTTGAGTTGCTAAGCAAGAAAGTAATTAAAGGCAGAGTTAAATTTAGAGGTGGAGGTGAGGAAAATTGGGAATTGGCCAGTGCCATAGTTTGAATGTGTCCCCCAATGTTCATGTTTGGGAAATTTAATACCCAATGTAACAGGGTTGGGGGTTGAGCCCAAGGAGGTGTTTAGGTCATAAGGGCTTCATCCTCATGAATAAGGATGATTACAAAAGGGCTTGAGCCTCCGAGTTTGTCTCTTGCCCTCTCTCCAGCATCTCTCACCATGTGATGCCTCCTGCCATGTTATGATACAGTGAGAGGGCCCTCACTAGAGGCAGCTCCTCCATCTGGGACTTCCCAGCCTCCAGAACCTTGAACCAAATAAACTTCTATGGTTAATGAATTACCCAGTCTGTAATATTTTGTTATCAACAACACAAAACAGACTAAGACAGCATAAAAATACTTTTTATTGTTTTGATGTACTATAAAGTGAAGGCTGTGGGTGTTCCTTTGAGGGCTTAAGGTGATGAAGAGTTTAAAAAGTTATTTGGGAAGTTAACCCAAAATGAGTTTAAAAAGCTATTTGGGAAGTTAACCCAAAATGAGTGAATAGATTAAAACAGCAATGACAATTGACTTGAGGTTATAAATCTCTTGCAGGTAAAGGTCATTTCTTAATCTTATAGATAATCTCCAGCTAGTTTTGACATTTTTTATAAATGCTACTCTTTGAGGAAATCATTCTTCTAACAAATGCTTGTTCAGTACTTACTATATGCTAGGCACTAAAACAATAATTGCTAGTATTTATTGTGTGTTTATACAAAGCACTTTATATCTTTATTTAATCCTCCTAAAAACCTTTGAAGTAAGTACATTTTCTTTTCATATTTCATATAGATGTCATTGAAGTCAGAGAAGTCAAGGTCAGAAAGGCTATGAATTAGCAAAGTAGAATTTGAACCCAGGCAGTCCACCTTCAGAACCTATGCTCTTAGCTTTGTGCTGTACTTACTTGCCCAATGAACAGTGAACAAAACTGATTCCCCCTGTCTTTTGGAGCTTATAGTTTGGAGCAAAAAAACATGTAAAATATGTTCATGAGTAAAATAATTACAAATTGTGACAAATAGTCGGAAGGAAATGATGGGAGTGGTAAGCTAGAGATAGTGGGCCAGAATGGGAGGGAGGCACAGGCAGAGAATCAGCTTTTGAGAGGGTTGTCAAGGAAGCCTCTTCAAAGAGGGTTAATTTAAGGTGAAACCTATGGGTTGAGCAGCCAAGAGAAAAGATGGGGCCAAAATATGCTAGGAAGAGGAAAGAGAGTATCTTGGAGGATTTAGGGCAGGGAAGAGCTTGATGTTTCTGAAGACTTGAAAGAAGACTGGAGCATATTGAGAGAAGAAATGAGAAGCATGAGATGAAGTTGGAGAGATAGGTAGATATCATATCAATTGAAGCTTGAGGGCTATGGTAAGGAGTTAATATTCTATGTTGAGAAACAGTTGAAATTTAATTGGGAAATGACACAATTTGATTTACATTTCAAGTCAATATCTCTGGCTGATTTATGAAGAGAATAGATAGGAATGCTTTAAAGTAGCATCTGGAAGATTGGCAGGGAGCTACCATTGAGGACCAGGAGAAGAGTGATGGTAATCTTGTTCTATTTCAGATCTTCACACCTTCTTGTCTTTCTCTCTAGGATGTTCTTTCCCTTGTTCCTCACTTAAACCCTCACAGGGTTTAAGTCTCAGATCAAGTATGAACACATCAGAAAGACTGTTCTAGACTACCAAAATAGCCCACGTATTTTGCCCATACACCTCACTGTTCATCATATTACTTTGCTTACTTTGTTCATACCATACCACTTATCACACTCTGAAATTATTTTTTGTCTGTTGTCTGAATTATCCAGTAGGCTACAAGGATTCAGATGTTGGGATCTTGTCTATTTTGGGCTTCACCTTATCCCTAGTGCCTATAGTAAATGACACGTAAAATGTACTTAGTAAATATTTGTTAAAGGGATAACAAACTAATTTTAATAGTCAACCTACTTTTTTATCATCCCGTTCACAGGAATATGATGAGTTTATCAAAATGTCTTGTCTAAATTAAAATATGCATTATTGACCCTATTTATAGATTTATCAGTTAGAAACCTTGCTAAGGCAGAAACTATTTTAATTGGATATGATTTTTCTTAATGAGCTCATTAATCAAGTCATGAATGAAATTAAGAGGGGTAATGAACTTCCTGAGACTGTATGTGAAATTTAGTTTGTGTGCATTTACATATTTTGGGAGGATAGCTACTCATCCTATATTTTAGTTATTCATCCCATATTTGGGGGCAAAGGTTTGTGTTATGGAATCAGATTTCTGAAAGGGATTGTTTTGAATCATTCATGAAAGTTTACCAACTTCTGCATTAGTGGTGCTCATGCACTTTCTTTTCATATTAGGGTCCTGCCTGGAATTTAATTTTGTACTAAGTACACCTTACCACTTTTGAAAATGAAAATCACATTATCTACAGTATTCCAGCAAGTTTCCCTTTTTCTCCTCTAAAGATTACCTATAGTAGTTTGTCAAACTCAAGTGAAAGTGTGCCCAGTAACCTGAAACGTAATTCTCAGGTCAAGAGATTTGAACTTATTTATAGACTATCGGCGCTCCCTTACAACCCCTTTTCTCATCTAGAGGTTCAATTTCCAGGTAACCAGTGTTTGTTCTACTCATTTTTGTCTAAATATCTTTTCCCTTGACTGTGAGGACAAAAGCAAAATAGGAGTTGAGGAGTTCAGTTTCTTTTTGTCATCTACCAACAATACACCATCAGCTTCAAACAGCAGGTGTACGCTTTCTTTCTGGATGGGTTTCTTTCTTTGAAGAACCATATTGTAGGTAGCAGACTAAAAAGTATTTGAGTGAGGCTACCAAAAAAGAGGGCAACAGAAGCAGTACTGTTGTAGGCATATATGAAAAACCCCCTGAGGTAAATGATCGATGGATGTGTTGGTGTGTTTTTGACACAGGTCACAGACCTGGCACACAAACAAGATAAGGCGGTGTTTGGGGCCTCCAGCCACTTGGATACAAGCGCATTCACATGACTGTCACCAGCAGATTACCACCAATTATTACTAACTTCCAGGTTGTAAATTGCTCAGCAAACTAAAAAATAAAGCTGTAACAGTTCAAGAAAACTGTTCATCTTTTCCCGTTCTAGCTTTCTCTGCTTCTTGTGGGGGTATACTCTTATTCTATGCTTTCTAGGTGGTATATTTGTTCTCAGTGACATATTCCTGCATTAATGGAGAAATATATATATATATTTATTTATTTGATTATGTGATTTTTATTACTTCTTGTCTGTTCCATACTATTTCTTCGAGGCCTTAGAGAAGAATGTAGCCTTGATGGTGGAGAATGGGTTAAAGTTTGGTGAGAAATAAGATTTAAATGTCAGGAGGATGGGCAGGAGGAGGGGTCTGAACCTAAAGGGTGATCTCCTGGTTGGTGAGACCTGGTGAAAAATGGTGGCTTGGAAAAAATTCAGGCATGTATGACAATCTTTGTGTTTCCTCTTTTATCTTGTTGTAGGGTGATTAGTAATCTTAGCCACTAGTAGTGATGAAAAAAACCTTCGATACCCATGAGAAGAACATGAGTCCACACATTTACCTAAAATTCCTCCAAACCAGGGGCATAATATGACAGGAGCATAACAGAGCAGTTCAGAGCTGGTCCTTTGCCCATACTGCTGACTTGGATCTAAAGCTGTTTACTAGTTGCCTCTCTGTAGTGTGGTGTGACTGACAGTTAATCTGCATGAATGGATCATAGACAATGATTTAAGTATCCTGCAAGACTGGGATTAAGAATTGAACTGTAATTTCCTCTTTTTTTTTCTTCTTGACATCAGATGGACCTTTCCGATGTTCTGTGATCCAAACACAGAGTGACCCATTCTTATTTATGTTAATTACATACCACCAAATGACAGGTGAAATCAGTTTTCCCAATAATCAATGAGTTGTTGCCTGTTTGTTTAGGCAAAAAAGCTACTGCACAGGAGTTTTACTTTTCACTGGGGTGTCATAACATACTACAGCGCTAGTCTTATAGTGCATTGCTTGATCCCTTGTACTTCACAACCACATCGGCCCTTTGAGTCTTTCCCATCAGAGTTCCCCCTCTGTGATGAAAGTCTTTAACAAAATAAAGCAATTTCTATATATTCTTCCTAGAATAGTTCTGCTAGGTTAGTGCAGAATCAGTTACCTACATCTATGGAGGCAAGTGTGCCACTGGGAGGAATATTTCTTAACTTATATCATCCTTGGACAGAGTTAATGATGTTAAACACAGTTTAAAGTATCACACCTTAAATTAAAAGAAATAAAACAAGTGTCTCAACTTGCTGTAAGCAAGCAAACAGCCATCCAGCCCCCTAATCAACCAAATAAACCAACCAACAAACAAAAGAAAGTGGGAAAGAGTGAAAGGAATTACAGAGAGAAACTGAAAGATCTATTTATCCATGATTCCTTTCTGTTCACATTGGTTTTAGAGTGGAGAGTTTGTGTGTTTGAGAGGGTATTTGGAAAACAGTCAAATACGCAGAAACTTGTTTGGCTGTCTGGTTACCCTGGGAGCAAACAAGGCCATGGCAGTAGCATAGATAAAAATAAGAAAGACTAATACTACAGTAGTTTGTTGAAGCTTTGTTGAACGCACTGGGTATATGGTCCTTTGGAAGGTAAAGAACATAGATAGGGCTATTTTAGAGTCTATGGTTTATCTCATTTGATAATACAGCAATTCATATACACACTCCACACACCATACACACTCCACACACCATACACACACACACACACACACACACACACACACACACACACACACTCATTTATTCTCCTATTTCCCTTTTGGAGGCCCTTTGATTTTCATAAATACATTTTTTTCCTCGTAAAGATCTTGAAATGTATTTTATAGGAGTCTGCAGTGGGAAACATTAACACGCTTCAGAATATGACTGAATTTGGCACCTGTAATAAATTTCCAGTGTCATTCTCTGAACCTGATAGACCTTGCAAGAATTTTAATAGCTTCTCCACATACCTGGAAATACAGCTTCAGTGTCTGCCACCTTTAGAAAATAATCATTCTGACATGCTTTATTCACTTACAACTCGCTTGACACATTTTCAGTTACATTTAAATGTGAGCTTCATTTAGTCCCTCATTTCACATAGCAAAGGTTAGGTATTCATTACATACGTTGTTTCCAGAGATAGAAAGACCTAGATCAACAGAATTAGAATGTAATGTGCACATGGTATTCTTGTTAAATCTTCTGTGTTCAAAATATATTTGCAATTAATTACAAATGTCTTTAATGGGATTTCAGGCTAATGGAAATATCAATATTGAATGTATCGTTACTCATCTGTATTTTCTTTTCCAGAAAACAGTCATTGCTTTTGCTTATTTGGGAATATTTTGTACTTGAAAACTAGCAGTTTGCTTATGGAAGGAAAGAACTGAGTCATTATTCAGATCTCGCATTTGAAATCTTCAATCTGAAGTATTTTTCTTTCCATTTTGATTTGAGAAGGCTCAGAAAGATTTCATATTTTGTAAGCATCAGGTAACTCATTCGAAAGCTAGAATGATTTGGCAATGTATTGAGGATACATGTGGGCCAAGAACCCAACTTTCCCCTTTTTATTGAAAGGGAATTTTGGACTTAGGGAAACTCAGAAAGAAGACAGAAGCTCAAGAATTGGCTAGCTTTTCATTTAGTGATGAGTTTGCCATTGCCAAACTCGAGTCCCCAGGATGAATGCGACTCCATGCCTCCGATCCCCTGGGATATGACTTGGCAGATGATTTGGATGCTGTAGGGCTGATGTCTACTTGGTAGATAGTGCTGTGGCCAGGGATTGTGGCTGACATTCAACTTACAATGTGGAGGTGGAGGCAAAGGATGATTTCAGCCTCCTCTAGGCAGAGCATGGTGAGTTGAAGAGAGCCTAAAATAGGGGCTTATCCACTGCCAAGCCCAGACAGCCAAGCTGTTTTCTGAATAGCGTGCAAATGTATCATTTCCCTGTGGTTTCACACAGTCCTTTTCAGAAAAGGAAAGTGGAGGAGGGAGAAAAACATGGAGGATGGGGATACTTAATCTTATCAAATTGCTTTGCAGGGAGCACCAGTTCAGAGCATCAGCCTGTAGCTTGATGGGGAAATGCTCTCTAGAATGAATGTTTACACCATGAGAAGTTCTCCCATAAGTAAGGGAATGATTCTTCCTCCCAGGCATGGTGTAAGAAGGGAGCCTGAAGGAAGATTTTTCATTATAGAGTGACACTTGTTAAACTACATTTGTACTGGGTGAATTTCTCAAAGTGCCTTAATTTTTTATAATCTCTGTTGACCTCCAAAAGAGACCTGTAAAGTTCAGGCAGGCATTTTTCTCAGAGGCAAATGAGGACACCAAAGTAGTCCTTGGAAAACTTGTTTACACTACTTTACTGCTTCCCTGGAGGAACTGTGAAAAAAAAAAAAAAAAAAAAAAAAGAAATGTCCTCATAGTGAACACAGTAGGATCACATCATTTATTCATTGAATTCAGACCCTGGTTTTAGTCCCTTGCTTGCACCGCTGCCCTCCCCACCACCTCACCCTTCTATTCCAACACAAACACATAAAACAGCATGGAATATGGAACGATCTGAGGCCAAGCCATGAAACTTACACACAAAATTGAACTGAAAATGGATCGTAGACCTAAATGCGAAATGCAAAATGATAAAACTTACTGAAGAAAATATAGGAGAAAATCTATGTGATCATGGGTTTGGATATGAATTCTTTAATATAATAACAGAAGCTTGACCTATGAAAGAAAAATTGATAAGTTAGACATTAAAATTAAGACTTTGCTCTGTGAAAGATACTGTCAAGAGACTAAAAAGACAGCTCACTGACTGGGAGAAAATCAAATCACATATTTGATCAAAGACTTGTATTCCCAAAATATACTAGAAAAACCCTTCTAAAAGTCAACAATAAGGAAACAAAAAACTCAAAAAGTTGGCCAAAAATCTGAACAACGCCTCATCAAAGAAGATATTCAGATGGAAAATAAGCATGAAAAGGATGCTCAACCTGATATATGTGTTAAAAGAACAATGAGATACCACTACACATATATTAGAATGTTTGAAATCCAAAAAGCTTACCATATTAATTGCTAGTTGACAAAGATGCAGAGCAACAGGATCTCTCATTCATCACTGGTGGGAATGCCAGGTTAACATCAGCAGTGATAAGTCATGTTTACAGTATGCATGCTTGATATGATGTGGTGAGACTGGCACTCTACCTCTGTGGTTTTCTTTCTAAAGGCCCATAATTCCAATCTAATTATGAGAAAACATCAGATAATACCAACTGACATTCTACTAAATACCTCATCAGTACTACTCAAAACTGGCAAAGTCATTGGAAACAAGGAAATTCTAAGAGACTGTTACAGTCACAAAGAACCTAAGGAGGCATAACAGTTAAATGTAATGTGGGATCCTATATGAGCTCCTGGAACAGAACAAGGATAGTTGGTAAAAATTGAGAAAATATGCATAAATTAAAAACTTCAGTAAATAGTGATATATCAGTATTGCTTCATGAGTTGTGACAAGTGTATCATACTAATAAAAATGTTTACAATGAGAAAAAACTGGATGTGGGGTACATGGGAATTCTCTACAATTGTATTAGTCCGTTTTCACACTGCTATAAAGAACTGCCGGAGACTGGGTAATTTATAAAGAAAAGAGCTTTAACTGACTCACAGTTCCACATGGCTGGGGGGGCCTCAGGAAACTTACAATCATAGCAGAAGGTGAAGGGGAAGCAAGGACCTTCTTCACATGGGGGCAGGAAAGAGAAGAGTGAGCCAAGAAGGAACTTGCCAAACACTTATAAAACCATCAGATCTTGTGAGAACTCATTCACTGTTACAAGAACAGCATGGGGAAAACCGCCCCCATGATCCAATCACCTCCCTCCCTCAACACATGGGGATTACAGGTCCCTCCCTTGAAACTTGGGGATTATCAGAATTACAATCCAAGATGAGACTTAGGTGGGGACACAGCCAAACCATATCAACAATCTTCACAAGTTTTCTGTAAATCTAAAACTATTCTAAAATTAAAAAAATAGAAACAAAGAAAATTTGAGAGATGCTAAAAGTAAAACCAACAGAATAAAGGAATAAGAGCATTTTGGAATTCTCTACCAATCTCTTATCGACTGTCAAACATTGACGTCTGTCACAGCAGCAGAAAAGTTGAAATGATCAGAAGTCTGCATAGATGATTTTTATTTATTCCATTATTCTAGCTAATTGATTCTCAAACTTTGACATGCATAATAACTGTTATCCAGGGTTCTTGATCAAAATCATGTACACTGTATTTTATGCTTGATATAAGGAACCTTCTAGTTAGATTTAGGTGATTTGGTCTGTGTACACTGACTTTGTAATCTAACCCTAAACTGAGATTCTATTCTGCTGTAATTCGTCTTGTTCAAGGGACTTTGGATCCTTTGGTGTGAGTCAGTGATAATGGTGTGTTATGAACAAAGGATTATGATTGATGCAGTTCTTGCACCTATTCAAAAAAGAAAGGAAGGAGCAAGAAAAAAAGGAGGGAGAAAAATCTCAATCCACTGGCCATCAGAGAAATGCAAATCAAAACCACAATGAGATACCATCTCACACCAGTTAGAATGGCAATCATTAAAAAGTCAGGAAACAACAGGTGCTGGAGAGGATGTGGAGAAATAGGAACACTTTTACACTGTTGGTGGGACTGTAAACTAGTTCAACCATTGTGGAAGACAGTGTGGCGATTCCTTAGGGATCTAGAACTAGAAATACCATTTGACCCAGCCATCCCATTACTGGGTATATACCCAAAGGACTATAAATCATGCTGCTATAAAGACACATGCACACATATGTTTATTGCAGCACTATTCACAATAGCAAAGACTTGGAACCAACCCAAATGTCCAACAATGATAGACTGGATTAAGAAAATGTGGCACATATACACCGTGGAATACTATGCAGACATAAAAAATGATGAGTTCATGTCCTTTGTAGGCACATGGAGGAAATTGGAAATCATCATTCTCAGTAAACTATCCCAAGGACAAAAAATCAAACACTGCATGTTCTCACTCATAGGTGGGAATTGAACAATGAGAACACATGGACACAGGAAGGGGAACATCACACTCTGGGGACTGGTGTGGGGTTGGGGGACGGGGGAGGGATAGCATTAGGAGATATACCTAATGCTAAATGACGAATTAATGGGTGCAGCACACCAGCATGGCACATGTATACATATGTAACTAACCTGCACATTGTGCACATGTACCCTAAAACTTAAAGTATAATAACAATAAAATAAAAAATTTAAAAAAAAAAGAAAAATCTCAATCCTCCTACTCTTGTTTCAAGGACAAATTTAAGTGTATCCTCTGACTTCGTTGATTTCCACATTGGGCTAAAGCATTCTGTTCCTCCAAAGGCAGCAGATCTGACATCATTAAAGGCATTGGTATCTGCTTCAAATCTCGAAGCAAGACATCCTTGTCTGAGAAGTCTAGGTGGGGCCTCCAGGGGCAGTGGCTTCTGGTAGCTGAAGAGTGTGTGACAATGAAGACTGGAAAAAGCCAGGTGGAGGGAGCCATGATCCGTTCCTCATTTTCTTGGTCTATTATCTGTGATCCCTGGAGGTGAGACTGAGTTTTTCTATAGAAAATATTATATAATAACTTCTTTCCTTTCATGAAACAAAATTATAGATAATAAATCATATGAACACTCAATTTTTAAATAGAAATGAAAGTATAATTTAAGGGAAATATAATAGGAAAGTAATTTTAGTAAAATAATATACAGTTCTACATATAAATGCATAGGCACAGTTATAGTAGAAGACAAAGAGACAAAACTCTACAAATCTTCAAAATACCTCTGGGGTGGGGCAGTAAGTAATGCCCCATTGAGAACACTGAGGAACCCTATAACCAATGGGACCTGTAGTCTAGGTATTTTAAGGGAATCTATTTAACATTTGATGCCTCTCCTGCTGCTTCTTGAGTGTATATGACACATTTTGGAAATCTTGACTGATGTCAGGTTGTTCTACTTGTTTATCCAAGAGTCCAAGCTTGATCACATTTAATTAACTTACTGTACAAATCCCCGGGTTAGTCCTAAGCAAAATTAAAAGTTACAGACACTTCCTTTTTGTTCTTTTCTTTTCTTTACTGGTGCTCATCCCAGGCCTGTCCTATAGAGTCAGTTTGATGTTTCTCTGTAGTTTCCTAAGCCTTCCCACCTCCATCAGAGGCAGCTGCCCTTTGGGTAATGTGTGAGGGCTGTGCTGGTTATCTGACTGGCTTATCTCAATCTAAGTAGAGGTCAGAGCTGGAAAAGACATTCATTTAATCATTCAATACACAATATTTTTAGGTCCTATTGGCAGGTGTTGTACTAGGTGTTGGAGCTGCAAAGATGAATGAAAGATGGTTTTTTACTTGAAAGTTATTCACAATCATGGCTTGCAGCAGAGTGAGAATAAATGCTTGGTACAGGTAAGCATGAAAGGCTTCTTATAGAAAGCAATGCTTGAGCAGAGTTTTGAAAGATAAGTAGGATTATAAAACTGAAAAAAACTGGATGAGGAACAGCATGTGTCAAGGCACAGAGATCTGTGGCTGGAGCATAGAGTGTGTTCCAGAAGTGGCAGGAAGCCAGAGGCAGGTGGCAGAGGACAATCAGAAAGGGAGCATGCACTGGGTTGGAAAGCCACTTAGTTTAACCCATTCATTTCCTAGACATAGAAACCAAGGTCCTGTTTCTACCTCTATAGAAATGAGTGGGTTAAACTAAGTGGCTTTACCTTAGTTTGGCCGAGGTAATTAAAATGTAATTCATCCTAGGGTCTTAATATTTATTTGTATCTCACTTCTTTTCAAACAAGTTCTCAAGATGACTTACAGAAAAGAATATTTGTATGTGTGTGTATATATATAATGTATATATTTAATTATATACATTATTATATATACCATATAATATCATCTAGCATATAGTATATTATATATACCATATAATATCATCTAGCATATAGTATATTATATATACCATATAATATCATCTAGCATATAGTATATTATATATACCATATAATATCATCTAGCATATAGTATATTATATATACCATATAATATCATCTAGCATATAGTATATTATATATACCATATAATATCATCTAGCATATAGTATATTATATATACTATATAATATCATCTAGCATATAGTATATTAAATATACTATATACTAGTATATAGTATATATAATATACTATATACTAGTATATAGTATATATAATATACTATATACTAGTATATAGTATATACTATATACTAGTATATAGTATATAGTATATTATATATGCTATATACTATATATTATATATGCTATTTAATATATATTATATAAGCTACATAATATATATTATATAGCATATATACTATATATTATATAGTATATATAATATATTATATAGCATATATAATATATAGTATATATGCTATATAATATTATATAGCATATAGCATATATACTATATAATATTATATAGCATATATACTATATATTATATAGTATTTATAATATATAATATATAGCATATATACTATATATATATAAAGGAATAGAAAATAGTTAATACAGACAAATTATATGAGCCAAAAGGTCATTATGTATATTCACTCCACTGCGCTTCTCTCAAGGAGATGGTTTTGGATGAGAGAACCATAAAATTCACATTGGGTCTTCCACTGTTTCCTTGAGACTTTTACCTGCATATAGCAATTTCAGGGAGAATTCTGTGTTCAGTCAGAATTGTCCTGACGTCTTCTGAGTCGTTACTGAAATGGTCCTGCTCTGGTGTGCTGTGGAACGCTGACGCCTCAGTAGGTGGGTGTGTGAGCCGAGCCAGCAGCCCTGAGCTGATTCCATCCTACAGGCTAAAAATAGCCGTAATGATGCTGCCGTTTGTTTTGCCTGCAGCATTTCCTCACAGCTGCTATTGTATACGCCTCCAGATACAGGGGTGCACTATGAAGAGCAGTGATGTTTCAGGATAAGACCTTTGAAAGCCTGGAATGTGGCAATTCATTAAGGTTAATTATAATTCCCCGTGGGTATTTGTGTGGGTTTTCTGGGCTGCTGTGAGTAGTCAGAACCGGAAGAGTCTTCCTTCTCATTTTTGAAATAAGAATATTCTACAGTATGTAGTGCCAATGCCTTCAAAGGTTAGCCAGGTCATCATACCTCTGAAAATGTGTTGCATGGAGTCTCTGATTAATGCTGTCCATTTGTTTAATAGTGTAGCCAAAGGCCACATATACAAACTTGAATATCCTGAGGGCAGTAGCATATCCTGCATTTTAAAAACAGAAACATCAGATATGCCTAAATTACACAGTCATTCTGATATGAAATATGAATGTTATAGATAAATTTATTGTGATCTTTTGGGTAATAAAAAGTGTTTTTGGGGAAGGAAATTGTTATAGTTAGGAAAGAGGCCATTAACTGAAAAGACTGGAAAAAGGCTGTAGAGTGTGTGAAATATATGTGAAAACTGCGTTTTTTTGATGATTTAGAATTGTTTCTGTTTCAGAAGCATTGCAGTTTTTGAATGCTTGCAGGATAAAATGACTTGATCAATTATTATGATAATGACACACTAGTCAGATTATGAGTTTAATTATAATTACCATCTTTATAGAGAGTTAATTAATCATAAAAGAGTACATTATATAATCTTTCTGTTTAATGAAATTCATTATAGAAGCTCCCAAAGGCCTAAATATAGTTTTAAACAAATTAAACCTGTGACTGGGGTTAAGGCTATTAATGCAAATGTGGTCTGGATTAGTCACCAAAAAGAACTGAATAAGACATTAGGCCCCCAAAGTGTTAAAGCAACAGACCCTGATGACATATCCTTTTCCTCTGGTAAGCAGAACACATAATTTAGTGACTTTCTGAGTAGCCTTGAAAAGTAGTGATAAGGCTGAGACTGTGTAATTTAACTAGCACAGATGATCCAAATAGCCATACTCAACACCCTTGCATGGAAAGAGTTAGAGTCATTTACACGTATTGAAGAGGAATCTATTGAGGATGTAAGCTTTGCCCCACTGACTATCAAACCCTCACATTCAGAGGAGCAATAAATGAGAGTAATAAACATAGTACTCTAGGGGTATTGAGATAGAAAAATCTTGGAGAACAAAAGAAAGGGAAGATATAGGCCTATGTTCCTGGCAGAACTAAACCCTGCTGTTCTATGCAGAGGAAATCCTGCATTTTCAGAAGCTCCTAATCAGGATTTGTGCCATTCTATTCCTTTATATAGCTGAACAAATTAGCCCAGTCCCCAGGATTGAAATGAAATGAGTCACAGCTAAAAGAAATCCGGCCAGGGATGACGCAGGAACATAATGAGTAGAGTGTAGAGAGAGACTATGGAAACCTGACTGTTCAGAAACAGATGTGAAAGCTGTGAAACCTGCACCCAGCATGTCAGAGCTTTCTTCCCTGGTTTGGTGTGTGCTCTGTTCCCCTGGGTAGGCCCTTTCAGTGTCACATTTTGGGACAGCTCCATTCATAGGGCTGCTTATATGTGTGTTCATATCTCTTTATGTATTTTTGTTTTATATTAAAAAATAAATATTGTATGATTTGGATAGCAATTCTTTATCTGTTTTGTAGTTTTCCTGTTATTAAAAATTTCGGCTGGGCACGGTGGCTTATGCCTATAATCCCAGCACTTTGGGAGGCTGAGGCGGGTGGATCACGAGGTCAGGAGATCAAGACTATCCTGGCTAAAATGGTGAAACCCCATCTCTACTAAAAATACAAAAAATTAGCTGGGTGTGGTGGCGCGTGCCTGTAGTTCCAGCTACTCAGGAGGCTGAGGCAGGAGAATCGCTTGAACCTGGGATGCAGAGGTTGCAGTGAGCCGAGATTGCACCACTGCACTCCAGCCTGGGCAACAGAGTGAGACTCCATCTCAAAAAAAAAAATTCAAAGTAAACTTTATTCTGTTCATAAGAATAATTCACTCTTGGAAAAATAGAAAATAAAGATTAGCACAAAAAAGATAGTAATAACTAACACCAATGTAGAGCTTACTACGTGCCAGGTACTATTTCTAAATGCTATACGTATAATAAATCATTTGTTTTATAAAGTTCAAAATAGTTGTAAAAATTGCTTTTAATCTAGTCATCCATTGTTTTTTGGGAGGAACAAAATAGGTGTCAAGCAAATATTTAGTAAATGTTCAGGTAAGATGAACATTTTGAGACAATTCGTGTGTATGCTTCCAGACTTTTATTACAAGAATGGGATCATATTGAGGGAAAAGGAAATGGGGAGCTATTATTTAATGGTTATAGACTTTTGCATTTGGGAGGTTGAAAAAGCTCTAGACATGGGTAGTAATGATTGTTGTACAACGCTGTGATATACTTAATACCACTGAAAATGGTTAAATGGTAAATTATGTGTATATATTATCAACAAAAAGAGTCGAAATCTAAAATATTTGAAGAGATTATTCTGAGCCAAATATGAGTGATCAGTGGCCCATAACACAGCCCCAGGGGACCCTGAGTATATGCGCCCAAGGTGGTCGGGCTACAGCTTGGTTTTATGTATTTTAGGGAGACACAAGAGATCTATCAATACATGTAAGAACTAAAGTTATTTTTTAAATAATCAGCTTTATTGAAGTATAATTTAAATATAATACAGTGAAGCAATTTTAATGAGTTTTGACAGAAATATACAGTTGTCTAACTACTGAAATAATGCAGAACATTTCTGTCACTTCATTGTACCTTTATAGTCAATCTGCGACCCCACTTTTTGCTTATGGCAACCCCCAATTTGCTTTCTGTAACTATAGTTTTGCCTTTTTTCAAATTTAGTTTGTAGGGCATAAAAAAGAGCGTAGTTATTTGTGTCTGGCTTCTTTTACTTAGCATAATGTTTTAAAAGATTTATTCAGGTTGCATGTATCAGTAATTCCATTTTATTACTGAATAGTTTTCCATGTATGGATGTGAATCCAATTTGTTTAACTAGTCATCAAGCAGTGTGCATTTGGATAGTTTCCAGTGTTTTGGCTAATATAAATAAAACTTTAAAAAATATTCATGTACAAGTCTTGTATGGATAAATATTTTCATTCCTACTAGGTAAATATATAGTAGTAAGATTGCTAAACTGTGTATAAGTGAATGTTCAAAGTTATATAATAATGATAAACTGCTTCCCAAAGAGGCTGTACCGTTTTGCATTCCCATCAGAAATATGTAAGCATGACAGTTGCTTCATATGCTTACCAGTACTTGGTTATCATCAGTGTTTAAAATTTTAATCATTCTAGTGAGTGTTTAGTGGTATTGAATTGTGTTTTAATTTAAATTTCCCTAGTAACTGTAGATGTTGAGTTTCTCTTCCTAGGTTTCTTGACCATTAGTATATCTTTGTATACAAAGATTTGTTTATCATATATATATCATTATGACATAACTTGATATATTAAAAATGGCTTAGTTTTATTCCGGTTACAAATACTTTAACATTTATTTTATGAATACCTTCCTACAGGCACGACTTCTTTTTTTTTTTTTTTTTTTTTTTTTTTTTTTAGTTTCTGAAGTGTCTTTTGAAGAGGAAGCATTTAAAATTTTCATACAGTCCAATATATCAACTTTCTCTTTGATAATTCATGCCTTTTATATACTAGTTAAAAAAATTTGCTTAATTCAAAATTATAAATAATTTCTCTTAATTTTTTTCCAATTTCAAATTAGAATTTCTTCAAAGTATTTTCTATAATTGCCACTTTATGCTTAGATCTATGAACCATATTAAATCTTTTTTATGTGAGGTAGACAAGTGTTGATGTCTATTTTTAAAATATGAATGTTCAGTTGTTCAGTATCATTTGTAGTAAAGGTTACACTTTCCCCATTGAATTACTTTGGCACCTTTGTAGAAAAATCATTTGACCATTCATGTACGAATCTCTGAATTTTCTACTCTGTATCATTGATCTGCATGTCTGTTCTTACACTGATACCATAGTGTTTTCATCATTCTTGCTTTATAGTAAGCTTTGGAATCAACTAATAAAAGTATTTTAATTTTGTTCCCTTTTTAAGTTTGTTTGGTTATTCTATATTCTATATATAGAATATATTCTATATATAGAATATATTCTATATTCTATATAGAATATATTCTTTGTATTTCTATATGTATTTTGGAATCAGCTTAGTGATTTCTACAAGATAACTTCCTGGGATTTTGATTGAGATTATATAGAATATATGTCACATTAGAGAGAATTGACATTTTAAAAATGTCTTCCCAGCTGTAAATGTGGTATCTCCATTTATTTAATTATTTGTTTATTTTTATTTTATTTCCATAGCTTTAAGGGTACGGGTGGTTTTGGTTACATAAATGAATTGTGTAGTAGTGAAGTCTGGGCTTTTAGTGTACCCGTCACATCAATAGTGCACATTGTACTCAATAGATAACTTTTTATCTTTCACCTCCATCCCTTCCTCCCCTCTTCTGAGTCTCCAATACCCATTATACCATGCTGTATGCCTTTGAGTACTCATAGCTTAGGTTCTAATTATAAGTAAGAACGCATGGTATCTGATTTTCCATTCCTGAGTTCCTTCACTTAGGATAATGGCCTCTAGTTCCATCCAAGTCACTGAAAAAGATGTTATTTCATTTTTTATGACTAATTAGTACTCCATGGTACAGTTTCTTTATCCACTTATGGCTGAGGAGCACTTAAGGTTGATTCTGTATCTTTACAATTGTGAATTGTGCTGTGATAAACATATGTGAGCAGGTGTCTTTTGGATATAATGCCGTCTTATTTTTGAGGGGGTAGGTATCTAGCAGAATCATTGCTGGGTTGAATGGTAGATCTACTTTTAGTTATTTGAGAAATCTTCATAATGTTTTCTGTAGAAGTTGTACTAATTTACATTCCCACCAGCAGTGTATAAGCATTCCCTTTTCACTGCATCGTGCCAATACCTGTTGTTTTGTGACTTTTTAATAATGGCCATTCTTGCAGGAGTAAGGTGGTATATAATTGTGGTTTTAATTTGCATTTCCCTGATGATTAGGGATGTTGAATCTTTTTTCATATGTTTGTTGGTCATTTGTAGATCTTCTTTTGAGAAGTGTCTGTTCATGTCCTTTGCCAACTTTTTAATGGGATTATTTGTTTCTTTCTTGTTGATTTGTTTGAGTTCCTTGTAGATTCTGGATATTAGTCCTTTGTTGGATGTATGGTTTGCAAATATTTTCTCCAGTTCTGTGGTTTGTCTTTTTACTCTATTGATTATTTATTTTGCTGTGCAAAAGCTTTTAAGTTCAAGTAGGTCCCATTTATTTATTTTTGTTATTGTTACATTTGCTTTTGGGGTCTTAGTCATAAATTCTTTGCCTAGGCCAATGTCAGAAGAGCGTTTCCAGGTTATCTTTTACAATTTTTATGGTTTGAGGTATTAGATTTAACTTTTTAATCCATTTTGAGTTAATTTTTGTACACGATGAGAGATAGGGATTCAGATTTATTTTTCTATCCATTTATTTCCCAGCATCATTTATTGAATACGTTTCCTCAAGGTATGTTTTTGTCTGCTTTGTCAAAGATCAATTTGTTGTACTTGTCTATTTGTTGTGTTTGTTTTTTCTAATACTGTAAAAAATGACATTGGTGTTTTGTTAGGAATTGCATTGAATCTGAAGATTGCTTTGGGCAGTATGGTCATTTTTATGACATTGGTTCTTCCTATCCATGAGCATGTGATGTGTTTCCATTTATTTGTGTCATTTACAATTTCTTTCATCAGTGTTTTGTAGTTCTCCTTGCAGTGATCTTTCATGTCCTTGATTAAGTATTTTCCCAGATATTTTACTTTTTTTGCAGCTATTGTAAATGGGTAGCATTCTTGATTTGGTTCTCATGTTGGTTCTTATTGGTACATGGCAGTACTACTGCTTCATACATAATGATTTTGTAACCTGGGACTTTATTGAATTCATTTATTAAACCTAGGATATTTTGGAGGCATCTTTAGGGTTTTGTAGATATAAGTTTATATTATTGGCCAACAGAGAGTTTGGCTTCCTCTTTTCCAATGTGGACGACTTTTATTTCTTTCTCTTGCCTGATTGCTCCAAGATTTCCAGCACTATGTTGAATAGAAGTGGTGAAAGTGAACATCCTTGTCCTGTTCCAGATCTTAGAGGGAATGCTTTCAACTTTTCCGCATTCACTATGATGTTGGCTGTGGGTTCGTCATATATAGTTTTTATTAGTTTGAGATATGTTCCTTTTATGCCTCTAGACTCTAGTTTGTTTTAATCATAAAGGGATGCTGAATTTTGTCAAATGCTTTTCCCGCATCTATTAAGATGGTCATACGATTTTTGTTTTTAATTCTGTTTATGTGGTGAATCACATTTATTGACTTGCTTCTTTTATTTGTCTCAGTAATGTTTTGTAGGTTTCATTGTACAGGATTTACAAACATAAAACTTATTTCTATGTCATGTTTTAAGCTGTTCTGAAACTATTGTTATCTTAATTCAATTTCTAGTTGTCCACTATATGTGTAGAGAGTTACTATTGATCTTCCCTTATTGACATTGTTTCTTGCAAATTTGGTAAATCTACTTATTAATTCTATTACACTCAGTTACTATTTTGTATATTCCTAAGGATTTTATACAGAGGTAATCATGCCATGCACAAATAAAAAGAAGCTAAGACCTCCAGTATATATTTTTGCCTTGTTCTTGAAATTCGAGGGAAAGCATTCAGTATTTCACCATTACATATAATATTAGCAGTAGGATTTTTTTAACACGTTTCCTATATGGGGTTAAATATTTCACTTTTTATTCCTATGTGATGAGGATTTTTTAAATATCACGAATGGATGTTGAATTTTTTCAAAATCTTTTCTGCATTTATCGAGAAGTTTGTATGGTTTCTTTTTAGGTCTTTTAAAATGGTGAGATACATTGATTGGCTTTTACATTTTTAAGCAACTTTGCATTCTTGGAATAAAACACACTGGGCCATGAGACATTACACTTTAAAAATATCACTGGATTCAATTTGTAAAGAATTTGTTAAGAATTTTTGTGTCTATGTTCATGAGGAATATTGGTCTATAGTTATTATTCTTTTCCTTGCAATACTGTCTGGTTTTGGCATCAGGATTTATCTTAATGTTGCCCCTATTAAATAGGTTAGAAAGAGATGCCTCTTATTTTATTTCCCAGAAGAGTATTATTTCTTTCTTAAATGTTTAATAGAATTTACCTCTAAAACTGTTTACACCTGGAAGTTTCTCTGTGGAAAAGATTTTTATGATGGATTTCTTTCCTAGATATACTGCTATTCAAGTTATGTATTTCTTGTTGAGTTACTTTTGTAATTTCATTTTTAATTATTTCTATGTGGTGAATCACATTTATTGACTTAAATCTCACAAGTTTTAAGAAACTTGTCTATTTTATCTAGGTTGTCAAATTTATAGGCAATTGTTCATAATTTTCTCTTAGTCTTTAAATGTTTGATTCATAGTGATGCCCATAGTGATGTCCCTAATATTGACAATTGGTGACTTTTTCCTTATTTTTTTCTCATCAGTCTGGTTAGATATTTTTTCAGTTTCTTGACATCTCAAAAACGACCTTTCGATTCTATTGATTTTTCTCTATTTTTCCCTGTAAATATCATTAGTTTTTGCTCTTTAAAAAGTTATTTATCATTTCTTTTTGCCATTGATTTTGCATGATCTAAGGTGAAAGCTTAGATAATTTATCTGAAATCTCTTTCCTTTTCTAATATAAGCATTTAATGCTATAAATGTCCTTCTAAGCATCACTCTAGTTGAATTCCTCAATTCTTGAACATTCTATATTCATTTTCATTAGATCAATGTCTTTTCCAATTTCCTTCAAGATGTCTTCTTTCACCCTTGACTATTTAGAAGCATGTTGTATAATTTTCAAACAGTTGAGGATTTTCCAGATACCCTTCCATTACTTATTTCCAGTTTAATTACCTTGTTGTCAGATAGCTTACTGGCCTGATTTCAATTGTATCAATTTTATTGAGACTTGTTTTATAAATGAATAAATCTATCTTAAATGTCATTTATCTTGGTGAATGCATTTAAGAAATAATGTGTAGTCTGGCTTTGCAGTAATGTTCTATGACTTTCAATTAGATAACTTCCTTCATTGTGTTGTTTAAATCTTTTTTTTTAATCTTTACTGAGTCTGGTTTTTGTTCTGTCAGTTACTGAGAAAGGGTATTGAAATATCCCACCATAGTTGTTGTATTAGTCAGGGTTCTCCAGAGGGACAGAACTGATAGAATAGATGTATATATAAAGGGGAGTTTATTAAGGAGTATTAACTTACATGATCATAAGGTTGCACAATAGCTTGTCTGCAAGCTGAGGAGCAAGGGAGCCAGTCCGAGTCCTAAAGCTGATGTTTGAGGGCAGGAAGCATCCAGCATGGAAGAAAGATGTAGGCTGGGAGGCTAGGCCTGTCTAATTGCTCCACGTTCTTCTGCCTGCTTTTTATTCTGGCCGTGCTGGCATCTGGTTAGATGTGCCAACACAGATTGAGAGTGGGGTACCTCTCCCAGTCCACTGACTCAAATGTTAATCTCCTTTGGCAACATTCTCACAGATACACCCGGGAACAATACTTTGCATCCTTCAGTCCAATCAAGTTGACACTCAGTATTAACCATCACAGTTGTGAATGTATATTTTTTCCCCATTTTTTCAGTTTTTGCCTCATGTACTTCGGATTTCTGTGAGGAGCTTATACATTGAGGATTGTTATGGCCTCTTGATGAATTGTGAATCATTATAAAAAGATTAATTTTATCCTAGGTATTATTTTTGTCCTGAAATGTAGCTTATATGATATTAACATAGCTACTTCAGCTTTTGTTTTTGATTCCTGTTTTTGTGGCATATTCCTTTTTGTTCTTTTAACTTATTTATATCTTTATGTTTAAAGTGGGTTTCCTGTTAACAGCTTATATTAGGGTACTCTTTTTAACCAAATATTTCAATCTTTTCCTTTTAATTGGAGTATGTGGGTCATTTACATTTACTATAATAATATCCATCAATGTGAGTTTAATATACTATCTTGCTATTTCTTTCTTCATTTGTCCCAACCTTTTGATTTTTTGTTTGTCCCAACCTTTTTTATACTTTTCTCTTTTCTCTGACTTTTCTGGATTAATTTTTTATTATTCCATTTTTATCTCTACTTTTGACTTAAAATCTGTACTTCCTTGTTTTATTTTAATATTTGTTCTGGTCTTACAATATACATCTTTACCTTATTACTGTCTACCTTCAAAAAATTTGTGACATTTTACTTAGCATGTAGAACCTTAAAACATACACTTCCATTTCCTTTCCTATTCCTTGTGCTATTGTTGGCATGTATTTTACTTCTACATATGTAATAAATGTACACATATATCATTATTTCTGCTTTTAATAATCAATTATCATTTTAAAAGTTTGAAAATGAGAAATACATATTTGTGCTTATTGACAGGATTATCACTTCTGTCACTCTTCATTCCTGTATGTCTGTTCAAATTTTCATCTGATATTATTTTCCTTCTGCCTTGAGAAATTATTTTATTTTATTTTATTATTATACTTTAAGTTCTGGGGTACATGTGCACAATGTGCAGGTTTGTTACATAGGTATACATGTGCTGT
Organism: Homo sapiens; assembly: GCF_000001405.40. NCBI lineage: Eukaryota > Metazoa > Chordata > Mammalia > Primates > Hominidae > Homo > Homo sapiens. Next base: position 48,928,136 of record NC_000014.9, on the reverse strand, counting down.
GTCGTTTTGCTGCACCCATCAACTCATCATTTACATTAGGTATTTCTCTTAATTCTATCCCTCCCCCAGCCCCCTACCCCCTGACAGGACCCGTTGTGTGATGTTCCCCTCCCTGTGTCCACGTGTTCTCATTGTTCAACTCCCACTTATAAGTGAGAACATGCAGTGTTTGGTTTTCTCTTCTTGTGTTACTGTGCTGAGAATGATGGTTTCAAGTTTCATCCACGTCCCTGCAAAGGACATGGACTAATCCTTTTTTTATCACTGCATAGTATTCCATGGTGTATATGTGCCACATTTTCTTTATCCAGTCTATCATTGATGGGCATTTGGGTAGGTTCCATGTCTTTGCTATTGTGAACAGTGCTGCAGTAAACATATGTGTGCATGTGTCTTTATAGTAGAATGACTTATAATCCTTTGGGTATGTACCCAGTAATGGGATGGCTGGGTCAAATGGTATTTCTAGTTCTAGATCCTTGAGGAATCACCACACTGTCTTCCACAATGGTTGAACTAGATTACAGTCCCACCAACAGTGTAAAAGCATTCCTATTTCTCCACATCCTCTCCAGCATCTGTTGCTTTCTGAGTTTTTAAAGATTGCCATTCTGACTGGTGTGAGATGATACCTCACTGTGGTTTTGATTTGCATAAGAAATTATTTTAATATTTATTGTAGTATATCTTAGCCTGCTGGTGGTCAGTTTTAAGTTAAGCTTTTGTTTAAGTAAAGGAGTTTTTAGTGTGCCTTTATTTTTGAAAGATGTTTTTGCTTAATAGGTGATTCCAAGTTGATTTTTTTTCCTTCACTGCTTTAAACTAACTGTGCCTTTGTCCTATTGCTTGCATGGCTTCTGACAAGAAGTCTACTGCCTTTCTTAGATTTGTTCTTTCTGTGTGCAGTGGTGTGCTGTGTTTAACTTGTTACCACCTTGTGAGAGCTGACTGTGTGCCTCAGCCCCAAACTCAGTATTGAAGGACATCAGTCGCAGATAGACAAGGTAGAAGTAGCGACACCCCAGGAATTAGCAAACACTACACATCATGCTCCATCTCCCTGCCCTTCTGCCATACAGCATGTGATTAATCATTTAGTCTGTCATGATATCATTTTTTCTTAGGCTGTTTTTAAGATTTTTCTTTTACTTCTGGTATTCAGCAACTTTCTTATGATATGGCCTTGTGAGTTTTCTTTACCTTTCTTTTACTTCAGGTTTGTCGAGATTCTTAGAGCTGAGGTTTCATTTTTAAAAAACCAGATTTGGGTTTTTTTCAAACATTATTTCTTTAACTTTTTTTTCTGTATCCTCTTCTTTCTCTCTTCGCCTCTGGACGTCTAATTACAAGTATGTTAGTCTACCTGATATTCTCCTACAAATTACTGATGCTGTCACTTTTCCCTTAGCATATTTTCTCTGTGTTTCTCCAAGTTCACTATGCATTTTGTATATTATCCATTTCTTCCCTCATTATGTTCAGATTTTTCTCTACCTTCTTGAACCTATGACAAATATTTATGGTAGCCCTTTAAATGTATGTTAATGCTAATTCTATGATCTGTTATTTCTGTGTTTGATTCTATGGATTGATACTTAGTAATGAGTCATATGTTCCTTTTTTTCTGTGTACCTAGTAATGTTCATTAGATGATGGTCTGATGGTCATTGTGGATTGTATGTTCTTGGTTTCTGTGTTCAGTTGTTTTTTTTCTTGTTGTTGTTGTTTGTTTGTTTGTTTTGAGACAGTGTCTCAGTTTGTTACCCAGGCTGGAGTGCAGTGGTGTGACCATGGCTTACTGCAACCTCACCCTTGCCAGGCTCAGGCGATCCTTCCATCCCATCATCCCTAGTAGCTGGGATTACAGGTGCACATCAGCATGCCCAGGTACTTTTTGTATTTTTGTAGAGACAAGAGTTTCATCATGTTGCCCAGGCTGGTCTCAAACTCCTGGGCTCAAGTGATCCGCCCCCCTCGGCTTCCCAAAAGGCTGCAGTTATAGGTGTGAGCCACTGCACTTGGCTTTGGTTGTATTCTTTAAACTGTGTTGTGCTTTATTCTAACATGTTACATTATTCAAAATCGATTAGATCATCTGAAGCTTTATTTTAAATTTAGGGTGAGTCCAGAGCAGACTCTAATATAGGCAGAATTTAGCCCCATTATTAAGGAGATATCTTTCTCAGAATTTTAGCCAATGTCCTTCATATTAGGAGGTGTTTCCATGTTGTCTGAATGATTTTAAGCCCAGTATAAACTCTGCTTATTACTTTTTAGTGGTTATTTCCTTGGTCTTGGGTAGTTTTCCCTCATACATGAGCAGATCAGTATTTAAGTATCCAGAGCTCTCTCTGTGCAGTTCATGCCTATCTGGTGTTTTATTATTTTTTAAATTTTGTATTAAAAAAATTTTTTGTGGGGGACAGAGTCTCACTCTGTTGCCCAGGCGAGAGTGCAGTAGCACAATCTCGGCTTACTGCAACCTCTGCCTCCTAGGCTCAAGCAATTCTGTCTCAGCCTCCGAAGTAGCTGGGAATACAGGCATGCACCACTACACCTGGCTAATTTTTTGACATTTTTAGTAGAGAAGGGGTTTTGCTATATTGGCCAGGATGGTCTCGAACTCCCGGCCTCCAGTGATCCACCCTCCCAAAGTGCTGGGATTAAAGGAGTGAGCTACTGCGCCTGGCCCTGTCTGGTGTTTTAGATGGCAAATTCTAGCTGCCTTGGCATCCGCAAACTCCAATCTCTGTTTTTTTCAACTTAATGAAACTTTGGACTCTAATTGGGTCCCCTTCCTTGGATTGCAGCCTAGAAACTGACTCCAGGCAGCAGACTGGTGCAATCCTAGGGCGTATGTTGCTTTTTCTCTTTATTTAGGGATCACAGCCTTGTACGGCCTGTTCATTTTGTAGTTATAAATCCCATCTCATTTCCATCATCACAATTGGAATCAGAAGTTAAAAATTACTATCAATTTGGTTATGAATACTGTGAAGCAAATTATCTTTATTGTATGTTCATCTGTTATTGTAGATCGTAAATGGTTTCCTAATCATTAGCATCTGTTGAAAGTACTAACTGCTGCAGTGTTTAGTCCTTACCTACTTGTTCTTCAGAGCCTACCAGTCATTTAATAAATATTCATTAAATGCTGGAGTATGCCCAGTGCAATATCCAATGGGTTTGAGCAGCAAAGTATTTATTCGTCATGTGTTTTCTAAAGCATATTGTCAACACTTTTTATAAAGAAAATTTGAAATCAAAATTTCTTTTTCTGTTTAAATTTAAACTTTCATTTTACCATTGTTTTCACTCTTCTTTTATACTTGAGTCATCACTTCTGCCCCTTGAAGGGGAAAAAGGCAGAGCTGGTTATTGAGTATAAATTTCTACTCTCTTTGGAGAAAGGGACATAAACTATGGAGAAATCTATTTCCACTTATGATTGTAAAATTTGGAAGGAAATGGAAAAGACATATTGTTAAATAGACACATTCTGATTTATTTCTTTGGAAAAAGCTCTGAAAGCATCATGAGTCTCATAGACGAAGGAAAGAACCCTGGCATGGCTGGCCATGGCAGGAAAATCTGTCAATGTTCGGAAATCATAATTTCTTTTCGTAGGTGTTAAGTCAAACTTTCTGTGCTTGGATACTTTGTAGTAAGTGGAAGTAGGTAATGTAAAATGTAGCTCTTTCTTCTATAATTTTTTTTCATACTTCTCATTAGCCTAACAAATCTGCTCTGTCTCTGGGCCTTTTGCTTTTTTAGCCATCTCATTATTTTCCATCCTTGGAAATTCATTTCTTTTTTGGTTTTATGACAAGGCTTGTATAATTCACCTTTGAAATTGATGTGAAAACTGTATCTCCTCTCGATTGCTTCCTAGGGCATTGCCCACTTGCTTCTAGTTCCCTAGACTTAGTCTCCTGTTATAATATTGATAAAACACATACACATGTTTGAAGCAACCCAAGGGATCATGGCTAACTACACACATCAGCATAGAATCCCCCAAAGTGTGCTTACGGTAGAGAGTATTTCTTTGATAAAATAAATAATGATAAGGAGAATATATATGCTCTGAGTTGTGTCCCTAGGATAAAAGGCTAAATAAAACACAGTGAATAAATTACTTAGTCTGGTGTTCCTGGTTCCCCAGGATCTGATTTCAGTCTCTTCCAGGTTTCTCTTTAACTGCCTCCTCACATGTACCAGCACTACAGCCTACAGCTAAATCTTACTTTGTCTGTTTTCCAATCTTGGGCCTTTGCTTCATTTTCTTTGAAGAACGTTTTCACTTACTTCCATGAAAGTGAAATGGAGCAACTCCAATACAGTCTTGCTCTCAAAGCCTTCCCTTTTTCATTAGTTAAAATTTCTCAAAATTATAGGCAATAGATCTCAATTACAACTATGATGTCTTTTCATATCATGTAGTAGAATTTTTCTAAGCTTTAGAAATTATTTTCATTTAAAACACGTGAGTTTTCAATATGTTTCCATAGTTTTTTAAAATCTATTCAAGATTATTTTTCTCCTTGAAGAAAAGCAGAACAAAATAAGCATCTTTGTGTTTGCTTTGTTTTAAGCCAAAGTCTAGTATTATAAACTTCAACTTTCACCATAAACTGCCACCATGAACTAATAAAGCACTAATTTTTTCTTGTTGAAATTATATTTACAGACACTTTTTATTTCTGTAAGATGAAATTGTAGGAAGGTGAAGAAAGACTTGCAGGAACTTATTTTTTTTTCCAGAGTTTTATCACCAGCTGTGTGGTTAGTTAGGTCTGGTAGGTTTGTTGCTATTTTCTGTATTTCATTTTGTTTCAATTTAAAAATTTATGTATTTCTTTCATACAAGAAATATTTATTGACTGAGATCTCATGGAACAAAATAAGTAATATATAAAAGCATTTTTAAATTTTTCATTTTCGTATGTATACATTAACCTTGTAGTCTGCTTGAAGCATACGTATCTGCCCCCCACCGTTAAGATGATGACACAGGAATGAAAGGAGAATAAGAGGGTTACTTGTTAGTGTTTGACAGTCAAAAAGAATTTTGCAGGATGGTAATTGGTGTAAATTCAAACATGAGAGAGAAAGAGAGAGAAATGAGGAGAGATTTCTAAATTCCTTTCTTTCATCCTTTAGGGTCATGTACGGTTTGGATGCTGGATTGAATGCTGGGCTGTCTGTCATTGGGTCCCTTCTGTCATGAACAATAAAGAGGCATGTAGGGAGGAAAATGCAGAATAGAAGCTAGCTTAATATGGCAAAGGTTCAGAGGGACCTGTGGGGGTAACAGAATTGAAGAAAACCAGGCGACACTGCAGGATCCTGAGCTAGATCAGAGGAATTGGGTTATAAGATCTGCAGTTACTGAGTGTAGCTATGAAGACCAGCAGGCCAAGTAGCAATCCATGATGCAAGAGCCATCCTTCGGACACCCAGAGAGCCATAACACCACCCCATATCTCCTCGCCTCTAGATCACATAGACCATACCTATCCCCATGAGCTATACCATGAAGCCATCTTAAAATTGATCAGGAGATGGGAACAACAATGGGAAATGAAACAGTTTTGACTAAAAAGTCTTAGCATTATCTAAACGGGAATATTTGGGTAGCATGTCAGATTGAGTTTATCAGAGTGGACATTTAGTGTTTTTGTTTATTTTTTTGTTGATGTACTGCACAGTTAGGATTCATGAGGAAAAGCAGATTAGTTAGGGCAGAATTAAAGGAATCGCCATACTATTTTTCACAGAGGTTGTAGGAATTTACATTCCCATCAGCAGTGTATAAGCATTCCTCCTTCACCACATCCACTCTGGATTATTTTCTACAAAGAAGAGAAGTAGGAACAATGTTGCAACTCTGTCACACTTACTGTGACAATTGCTTAAACCAGGATGATGACAGTGGGGAAGAAGAGAAACAGACACACTTGTAAGTTCTTTCTTCTGCTCTATTCTTAAAACCCCATCGCTGTTTCACCTTGTCAACTTTCCTCTCTCCTAGCTTTGCCCTATAAATGGCTGTTACTCTTTTCATTTCTGGAGCATAATAGAAGTAGAAGGGAGAAGGGTTACTGTAATTTTAACAAAATTGCCTAAAATTGAATATTAGACATCACAGTTGTTAGGGACCTTTGGCTATTTGGTCACGAGGGCTTCTTCACTGGTGTCTTCTCCTTAGGCTCTGCTCGGCTGACATTTCCAGGAGCTCTTCTATGTCTTAGCTTCCATCTTAGATGAGGCTCTGATGGCTACCTCTGATGAATACCAAAAATAACCCCTTACTGAGCTTTCTTAAACTTTATCGACTCCTGAGATGAATGTCAGGGATTGCCTAAAACAAAGAAACAGTCTGTTGCAGCCATTTAAAAGCATTTTCCCATTAATGTTACATAAAGTGGGGACAGATAATAGCTATGTAGCAGGATCTTTGTTAGGATAAAAGGTGATGTGACTCAAAGTAGCTTGATGATGGTGGAAATGAAAATGGTGCTGCTGTTCTGTTATGCTAATGTGCCACATTCTATGCTTGTCAAATCAGAGGAGGCCAAGATATATCTTGCAGGTTGTTCTCATTTGGTAGAGATGCCTTAGCGATTGCCAGAACCCCAGAAGTAACCATGTAGACTTGTGGTTCTGAGCTTCAGTGAAATAAATTTGTAGGTGGCTAGTTCTGCTATTCTTCTTCTTCTTTTTATTTATTTTTATTTTTTGAGACGGAGTCTCGCTCTGTCGCCCAGGCTGGAGTGCAGTGGCGCAATCTCGGATCACTGCAAGCTCCCCCTCCTGGGTTCATGCCATTCTCCTACCTCAGCCTCCTGAGTAGCTGGGACTACAGGTGCTTGCCACTATGCCCGGCTAATTTTTTATATTTTTAGTAGAGACGGGGTTTTACCGTGTTAGCCAGGATGGTCTCGATCTCCTGACCTCGTGATCCATCCGCCTTGGCCTCCCAAAGTGCTGGGATTACAGGCGTGAGCCACTGCGCCCGGTCAGTGCTATTCTTCTTTTTAAGGACCCCCCCCACCCAATTTACCCATGAAGCTGGAGGACACAGCTTATTGTACTCCGATGCTTTCAAGAGGATACATTCTCTTGCTATGATGCTACTGAGCTATTTATAATACCTGGGAAACATATATATATATTTTTTTTTATTACTTTCTAACGGGCTTATCTACAGTCATGCAGCACGTAACAACATTTCAGTTAACAATGGACTCTATATTATGGTGGTCCCATCAGATAATAAGAAAGCTGAAAAAGTTTTATCCCTATGACATCATTGCCGTCATAATGTCTTAGTGCAGTGCATTACTCACATGTTTATGCTGCTGGTGTAAACAGACTGCACTGCCAGTCATATGAAAGTACATCACACACAGTTATGTAGAGTGTATATTATACTTGATAATGGTAACAAATGACTATGATACTGGTTTATATATTTATATACTATATCAATATTTTAGAATGTACTATTTCTACTCATAAAAATGTAACTGTAAAACAACCTCAAGCAGGTCTCTCAGGAGGTATTCCAGAAGAAGGTATTGTTATCACAGGCTAACAGCTCCATGCATATTCTTGTCCCTGAAGACCTTTCAGAGGGACAAGACATGGAGATGGAAGACAGTGATATTAATGACCGTGACTCCGTGTAGACCTAGGCTACTGTGTGTGTTTGTGTCTTAGTTTTTAACAAAAAAAGTTTAAAAAGTAAAAAAAAAAAAAACAAACATAAAAAATTTAAAAAATAGTAAATAATATAATATATAGGATAGGGATATAAAAAAGAAACTATTCTTATACATGTATACAATGTATTTGTATTGTAAGCTAAGTGTTATTACAAAAAAGTCAAAAAGTTAAAAAAATTAAGAATTTATAAAGTAAAAAAGTTACAATAAACAACAGTTAATTCATTATTGAAGAAAGAAATTTTAAAAAATAAATTTCATGTAGTCTATCTGTATAGTGCTTATATGGTCTACAGTAGTGTACAGTAATAGCACAGGCCTTCACATTTACTCACCATTCACTCACTGATTTCACCCAGAGCAATTTCTAGTCCTGCAAGCTCCATTTATGGTAAGTGTCCTATACAGGTGTACCATTTTTTACCTTTTATACCATATTTTTATTGTATATTTTCGATGTTTATTTTATTTTTTTGAGAATGTATTTTCTTTCTTTTATTTATTTGTAATGTTTTTAAATATAAAAAATTATTAAAAATACCACATGTACCCCAGTAAGCTTTTGGGGTTTACAAGTAGTTTTTGGTTACATGGATGAATTATATAGTGGTGAATTGTGAGACCTTAGTGCACCCATTAGCCAAGTAGTGTACGTTGTACTCAATAAGTAGTCTTTAATCTTACACCCTCATTTCCAACATCCTCCCTCTGAGTCTCCAAAGTCCATTATATCATGCTGTATGCCTTCGTGTGCTCATAGCTTAGCTTCCACTATGAGTGATGACACATGGTATTAGTTTGTTCATTCTTAAATTACTTCACCTAGAATAATGGCCTCCAGCTATATCCAAGTTGCTACAAAAGACATTATTTCATTCCTTTTTATGGCTGAATAGTCTTCCGTGGTGTATATATACCAAATTTTCTTTATCCACTCGTTGGTCAGTGGGCACTTAGGTTGGTTCCGTATCTTGGCAATTGTGAATTGTACTGCAATAAACCTACATGTGCATGTGTTTTTTTCATATAATAACTTCTTTTCCTTTGCGTTGATACTCAGTAGTGGGATTGCTGGATTGAATGGTAGATCTACTTTTAGTTCTTAAAGGGATCGCCATACTATTTTCCACAGAGGTTGTATGAATTTACATTCCCATCAGCACTGTATAAACATTCCTCTTTAACCACATCCATGCCAACATCTATGGTTTTTTGACTTTTTAATAATGACCATTCTTGCAGGAATAAGGTGGTATATAATTGTGGTTTTAATTTGCATTTCCTTTATGATTAGAGATGTTAAGCATTTTTTTCATATGTTTATTGGCCATTTGTATATCTTCTTTTGAGAAATGTCTGTGCATATCCTTTGCCCACTTTCTGATGGGATTATTTGTTCTTTTCTTGCTAATTTGTTTGAGTTCCTTGTAAATTCTGGATAGCAGTCTTTTGTTAGATGTAAACATTGCAAATATTTTTTCCCATTCTGTAGGTTGTCTTTTTACTCTGTTGATTATTTCTTTTGCTGAGCAGAAGCTTTTAATTTAGTCAGGTCCCATATATTTGTTTTTGTTTTTGTTGCATTTGCTCTTGGGGTTTTAGTCATGAATTCTTTGCCTAGCCCAATGTCCAGAAGAATTTTTCCAGGGTTATCTTCTAGAATTTTTATGGTTTCAGGTCTTACATTTAGGTCTTTGATCCATCTTGAGTTCATTTTTTTATAAGATGAGAGGTAGTGATCCAGTTTCATTCTTCTTCATGTGGCTAGCCAGTTTTCCCTGCATCATTTATTAAATAGGCTGTCCTTTCTCCAATTTGTGTTTTTGTGTGCTTTGTAGATGAGTTGGTTGTAAATATTTGGCTTTATTTCTGGATTCTCTATTTTGTTCCATTGGTCTATGTGTCTACTTTTATACCAATACTATGCTGTTTTGTTTATGATAGTCTTGTAGTATAACTTGAAGTCTGATAATGTGATACCGGCAGATTTGTTCTTTCTGCTAAGGAGTGCTTTGGCTATTTGGGATCTTTTTTGGTTCCATATGAATTTTAAGATGCTTTTTCAAATTCTGTGAAAAATAATGTTGATATTTTGATAGGAATTGCAATGTATCTGTAGATTGCTTTGGGGAGTATGGTCATTTTTTACAATATTGATTCTTCCAATCCATGAGCATAGGATGTGTTTCCATTTGTTTGTGTCACCTACAATTTCTTTCATTAGTGTTTTGTAGTTCTCCTTGTAGTGATCTTTTACCTTTTTGGTTAAGTATATTCCTAGGTATCTTCTTCTTCTTATTATTATTATAATATTTGGCAACTTCTGCAAAAGAGATTAGGTTCTTGATTTGATTCTCAGCTTGGTCATTGTTCGTATATAGCAGTGGTACTGATTTGTGTGCATTGACTTAGTAACTTGAGATTTTACTGAATTTGTTTATTAAATCTAGGAGTCTTTTGGGTTTTCTAAGTATACGATAACATCATCAGCAAATATCGATAGTCTGACTTCCTCCTTTCCAATTTGAATGCCCTTTATTTCTTTCTCTTGCCTGCTTGCTCTGGCTAGGACTTCTGGTACTATGTTGAATAGAAGTGGTGTCTTGTCTTGTTCCAATGCCCAGTGGGAATGCTTTCAACTTTTCCCCATTCAGTATAATGTTGGCTGTGGGTTTGTCACATATGGCTTTTATTAATTTGGGGTGAGTACCTTCTATGCCTAGTTTGTTGAAGGTTTTCGTCTTAAAGGGATGTTGGATTTTATCAAATGATTTTTCTGGATCTATTAAGAAGAACATATGGGGTTTTTTGTTGTTGTTTTACTTTGTTTTGTTTTGAGGTGAAGTCTTACTCTCACCCAGGCTGGAGTGCAGTGGCGCAGTCTTGGATCGCTGCTACCTCTGCCTCCTGGGTTCAAGCAATTCTCCTGCCTCAGCCTCCCAAGTAGCTGGGACTACAGGTGCCCTCCACCACGTCCGGCTAATTTTTGTATTTTTAATAGAGTTGGGGTTTCATCATATTGGCCAGGCTGGTCTCAGACTCCTGACCTTGTGATCTGCCCGCCTCAGCCTCCCAAAGTGCTGGGATTACAGGCATGAGCCACCATGCCTGGCCTAACCTATGGTTTTTATTTTTAATTCTGTTTATGTAATGTGTCACATTTATTGACTTGCATATGTTAAACCATTCTTTCATCCCTGGGATGAAACCCACTTGATCATCATGTATTATATTTTTGATGTATGGTTGGATTTAGTTAGCTGTTATTTTGTTGAAGATTTTTGCATCTATGTTCACCAGGGTTATTGTCTGTAGTTTTCTTTCTTTTTTTTAAATGCCTTTTCCTGTTTATGTATCGTGGTGATACTGGCTTCATAGAATGATTTAGGCAGCATTCCCTTTTTCTCAATCTTTTGGAAGAGCTTCAGTAGGATTGGTACCAATTCTTTGAATGTCTGGTAGAATTCACCTGTGAATCCATCTGGCCTTGGGCTTTTTTTGTTGTCTTTTTATTATTACTATTATTATTACTATTACTGATTCAGTCTTACTGCTCTTTATTGGTCTGTTCAGGATTTCTATTTCTCTCAGGAGGTTTTGTGTGTTTCCAGGAACTTATCAATTTTCTCTAGGTTTTCTAGTTTGTATACATAGAGGCATTGATAGTAGTCTCGAATGATCTTTTGTATTTCTCTGGTGTTGGTTCTAATGTCTCCCATTTCATTTCTAATTGACCTTATTTGAATCTTCTCTCTTCTTTTCTTGGTTAATCTAACAATTGTCTATCAACTTTGTTTATCTTTTCAGAGAATCAGCTTTTTGTTTCATTGATCTTTTGTATAGTTTTGTTTCAATATCATTTAGTTTTACTCTGATCTTTATTATTTCTTTTCTTCGGCTAATGATATGGTTTGGCTCTGTGTTCCCACCCAATTCTCATCTTGAGTTGTAATCCCCACATGTTGAGGGAGGGAGCTGGTAAGAGGTGATTGGATCATGGGGTGGTTTCCCCAATGCTACTCTTGTGATAGTGAAGGAGTTATCATGAGGCCTGATGGTTTAAAAGTGTCAGTTTCCCCTGCGCTCTCTTTGTCTCCTGATGCCACGTAAGACATGCCTTGCTTCCCCTTTGCCTTCCGCCATGATTGTAAGTTTCCTAAGGCTTCTCCAGCCATGTGGAATTGTGAACCAATAAACGTTTTTTGGTTATAAATTACCTAGTCTCATGTATCTTTAAAGCACTGTGAAAACAGACTAATACAGCTAGCTTTGGGTTTAGTTTGTGAATAATTCTCTAGTTCTTTGAGGTGTGACATTAAGTTGTCATTTTTTTTTAATGACAACCTTTTGATGTAGGCATTTTGGACTTATAAAATTTCCTCTTAGCATTGCTTTTGCTTTGTCCTGGAGGTTTTGATAACTTGTGTCACTTAATTTATTCATTTCAAATAATTTTTTTGATTTGTATCTCAATTTCATTGTTACCTGAAAATTCATTCAGGAGTAGATTGTTTAATTTCCATGTATTTGTATGGTTTTGGGAGTGCCTTTGGAGTTGATTTCTAGTTTTATTCCATTGTGGTCTGAGAAAATACTTCACATGATTTTTGTTTATAAAAATTTATTGAGACTTGTCTTGTGACTTATCATATGGTCTGTCTTGGAGAATGTTCCATGTGCCAATGAGAAGAGTGTATATTTTGCAGTTCTTGGGTAGAATGCTCTGTAAATATCTGTTAGATCTAGAGTGCACTTTTGTTCTAGAATGTACTTTAAGCCCATTGTTTCTCGGTTAATTTTCTCTCTTGATGATATGTCTAATGCTATCAGTGGAGTATTGAAGTCCCCCACTCTTATTGTGTTGCTATCTCATTACTTAGGTATTGTAGTGATTGTTTTATGAATCTGGTAGATCCAGTATTAGGTGCATATAAATTTAGGATTGTAATATCTTCTTTTTGCATTGATCCTTTTGTCATTACATAATGACCTTCTTGTCTTTTTTAAAAAAAACCTTCCCGTCTTTTTAAAAAAACTGTTGTTTCTTTGAAGTCTATGTCTAGATACACAAATAATATTGTCTTCCAATTTTTTATAGTGTTTCGGTACAGTAATATGCTGTACATGTTTGTAGCCTAGAAGCGATGGGCTATACCATATAGCCTAGGTGTATAGTAGGCTATACCACCTAGGTTCATGTAAGTACACTCTATGATGTTCACACAGTGAGAGAATTGCCTAATGACTCATTTTTCAGACCGTATGCCCATCATTAAGTAATACATGACTGTATTTCTTTTGCTAAGAGTGCCCTTCCCATGTATGAGACATCTACATTTCTGCTCAGCTAATCTCAGTTCAACTACTGCCTATCCTTTTCTGAAACTCCACTTTCTATCTTCTCTGCTGCACTTTGAGCTATTTCTCGTATAATATGAGTGTGTCTTATAAATATTACCATTATAGGACTTTTTGCTTTGTGCTGTAATTCCCTGCTTTGTATTCCTGCTAAATTTAAACTCTCCAAAGGCACCATTTACATTTTTGGATCTTCACACCTCACTTAGTGCTTGGTATTTATTGGACACTTAAAACTTATTGAATGAATAAAGGAATAAGTATGCAGTTGTAACTGGTGCATCCTGCACTGTTTTTGGTCATGACAGGTTAAGTTCATAAGTTATTTATTAACAAGACCCTAGATAATCTTGACTTTCTCTTCCACTCCCCTTTTTTCTTATCTTTCTTATCTTTCTTCCTACTCTCTACCTAGCTCACTCTGCTGAGCTCAGCCACACTGTCTTCTTTGCTGTTCCTCAAGCATCTCAGGCCTGCTTCCTGCCTTAGGGCCTTTGCAGTGTTTGCTCTCGGCACTTTTCCCACATGTCTGAATGGCTTGTTCCTCACCTCCTTCAAGTCTCTGGTCATAAATCACCTTCTCAATTATTGCAACCCTTTCTCCTTCCCTATACTACAGATCTTCTTATCCTGTTCTATTTTCTTCTTTTTGTTTTCCATAGCATTAACCATTTCCTAATATGCAAATATACTAGTGTCTGTTGTCTCTTTCTCTTTTCTGGAATGTGTGCTTCAGGAGGGCTGGTGTCTTTGTCTGCTTTCTTCACTGATCGTCTTCACTAATACCTCCCCAGTGGTGTAGAATAGAACAATACTTAATGCATTGGAGACACTCAATGAATATTTGTTGAATAATGAATGTATTAATATTCAAATATGTTTCTTAGGGGATCCCATATTCAGTTGTTATATTAATAGCATAGTATAAATTACTTCATTTGCTTTTCTAATTGATATGTAGGAACAGAGAAAATAATAGAAGGGTAGTACCTTTCAACGGAATGGAAAATGGGAAGGTTTGGATATTGTTTTATGTTCAAAATAGGTAAATCCAGGAAAGATTTCACTGTGGGAATCAATCGGCGACCCATGTATAGCTATAAAATATGGCAGTGTGGAATTAGAATAGAAGTGGTGTCAAGAGCAGGAGTTCAATCATTTGTAAACCAAATCTAGGTGTTTTGGTTTTTTTTTCCCCCCACAAGTTTGCTTAGGGTAAATCCTAAATAAAATAATTGCTCTCATTGTAATTTTCATCTGAATAGATTAGTTGCATTTTACATATTGGCATAGTGAAGACTGAGGATGTTCATTTCCACTATGACAAGCACAAAATATTTATCAGTTTGATGAACGTATAGAATATTATAAAAACTTATTCCAGAGCAAATGAACTCTACACAGTAAAGAGTGCCTTAGCCAACATGAAAACAGAGATCAGTGTTTTTGACCAAACTTGACTTAATTTAGACAAAGTTGAGATAAAATAATTAATTTATACTATGTAACACCCATGGTATTTAAGAGAAAACATGATTAAAATCTATTATGTGTTGGGATGTGTGTGTGTGTGTGTGTGTGTGTGTGTGTGTGTGTGTGTGTATGAACTGTCCACTGTTATATTGTCATGGATAGTTACAACTACTTCAATATAACAACATTTCTTTTGTTCTTTAGAGTCCATTTTTTGTCATTCTTTACGTTTATAAGAATTGAGTAAAGATTTACTATTTGACACTTAGGAGTCTTTCCTTGTCCTCTGTAGTATATCAAGCATACAACACAGAAAACCATATTTGAGATATGAAATTGACTAGTCTTTATATCTAAGATAAATGGAAGGAAATATATCAAAATATATTTAAATAGGCTGTGCTGTGTGCTGATCTATTGTGTTTTGACTTCCAAAAAGTTATATGTTTATCCTACAGATTTGAGAACTGTATTAATGCTGCAGGTTTCAGATGCGTAATAGTGTGCATTCCCCTTGGATTAACTTTGCTAATACATCTTATTCAAGACTAAACAATAATAATGCTACATGGTTTTCATCACCATTGCAGAGGTAAAGATTAATGTGAGGATATTAAGGAAGAAAGGATTGTATCTTGGATTGTTAAAAGTTCATATTTATTTTCTATCTTGTTAATAAAAAGAAGGACTTTGAAGAAATTTATCTTTATGCTTCAAGCCATAAGCTGATGACATAATAAAGACACGAAGATACATTTTCCTCTGAGGTGTAATGCTAAATATTTGGATAGGTACATCAAATATATTTTCTTTTCTCCTTTAAATATTGATTGTAGAAACCACATTTGTAAAGTGCATGCAGAAGCATTTGGAAAATAAATCTTAAGACCATAATTTCTCATTCTGTGGAAGGAAAGGCTAAACAAGAGTTTCGGGGTTCTATTATTAATAGTCAGAGTTTATGTGCATGTAAAACAGTGAGTGCTATGGTGACCATAATCTGCTTGACAATTCTTTAGCATAAACAATGTGTGTGCATTGATTAGCTTTAATCTCTACCTGAGCGGTAGTCAGTTGCCCTAATCCAGTATTCACACTCCGGAGGTGGTCAACTAACATTTAATTAGCAAGGCCACACTCCAAAAGCACTATTTTAAGTGCTTTAGCTTTCTTTATTCCTAGCACCAAATATTAGCTAATTAGCACATTAGCAATGGGTGTTCATTGGCAGAATTAATGGCTTGTTAATTAGCATAATGGATATTAATGAGTTATGGGGGTGAAAGTAGTGGTTTAAAAATATTAGATTGGCTAAAATATTTTAGACATCTCATTTGCTCTTAAACAAGATATAAAACTTGTAGTGAGTCTTGCATCCTTTCCTTTTTCAGAATGGCACCTGAGGCTTGCTTCTAAAATGGTCTCGTGTGCTATCATGACTTTAGAGGATTCTGATTGCCTGAGGTTCTCTATCAGATTAACTGAATTCTGCCTCTAGAATATTTTTATACATATCCCCTCCATCCAAGAGAAATTTTGTGCAATGCATGGTAAAAGCACTTAAAAAGTCAGTGAGCTTAGACTTCACTAAACTTACAGAACAGATTTGAAGGTCATTTTATATTTGCTAGTAAATGTGTGTATTTGTATGGATGGACATATTTGCTTTCTCTATGATCTTGTTGTGAGCATAAAAGGATACCTAAGTCATTCAACCTTCCATTTACATATTTACCTGTTGCTATGGTCTGAATGTTTGTGTCTCTCCAAAACTGGTAGGCTGCAATTCTGATCCCTGAAGTGATGATATTAGGAGATGGGGACCTTTCGGGAGGTGTTTCGGTCATGAAGGCAGAGCCCTCTTCAATGGGATTAGTGTCCTTATAAAATACGCCCTAGAGAGCTCATTCACTCTTCTATCATGAGAGGACACAGTAAGAATGTGGCATCTATGAACCAGGAAATAGGCCTTCACCAGATTTCTAGTCTTTTTAGCACCTTGCTTTTGGACTTCTCAGCCCTAGAACTGTGAGAAATAAATTCCTGTTGTTTATAAACTACCCAGTCTATGGTATTTTGTTATACCAGCCTGAATGGACTAAGACACTTGTTCGCTCATTTAATTTAATAACTAATTCGATGAATAATTGTTAGATATCTACTATGTACTTGGCATTGTATTCTTTGCTGGGCATTTTAAAATGGAAAAGATGGAGTCCTCATAAGGACTTTATGTTTAGGGGAAATGTACAAACACACTCAGTTACTTATAGATAAGTGCAAAGTGTAACATACAGAGCATTATAGAGGGCACCTTACCCAATTAATGAGGATCAGGGACTTAGTAACAATTTATTTATTTATTTAATTTTTTTTTTTAGACAGAGTTTCGCTCTTGTTGCCCAGGCTGGAGTGCAATGACGCGATCTTGGCTCACTGCAACCTCTGCTCCCAGGTTCAAGTGATTCTCTTTCCTCATCTCCCAAGTAGCTGTGATTACATGTGCCACCATGCCTCACTAATTTTTTGTATTTTTAGTAGATGGGGTTTCACCTTGTTGGCCAGGCTGGTCTTGAATTCCTGACCTCAGGTGATCCACCTGTCTTGGCCTCTCAAAGTGCTGGGATTACAGGCATGAGCCCTCATGCCTGGCCAGGAACTTAGTAACAATTTAGATGATCATACCAAACAAGTTGTATTTGGTTTGTTGAGAGAATGAGAACAGAATGGGTTAAAACATAAAAGTGAGCTAGGGGTTGGAGATGAGAGACATCCTGGTGTTCACAGGGCAACCTTTTGAGTAATGGGGCCAAAGAGATGGGCTAGGACCCGGTCCTGGAGGTTTGTGTGCTGTCCGTGTTAGGGAGCCTGGGCTTTAACTTTGGGCTCTGTGGAGAATTTGAAGTATTTTTAGCTATGGAGTCTCGTGTCACATTTACATTTTGGTTAGATGTTTGACAGTTGTGTGAAGGCAAACTTGTAGGAGGACACTTATTTAAAAAGCTATTGCAATGACTAAGGCATCAAATTATAGTAGAAATTAATGGGGGGATGATTTGAGAAATATATAAGAGAGAAAAATTACAATTTGGGTGGTAATTAATGAATGAGAAAAGCTGTGGAGGGTATCTAGCAGGTGATAACTGAAACTATGAGATAGCCAAGGCATCCCAGGGTTGGTATTGAATAAAATGAGCAGCAGTAGGTAAAATAATAATTACTAAAGATCCCTGCTTTTAAGATGTGACAGAAGAAGGACAAAGAAAGAAGGGAAAGCATAATAGACAGTGATCAAATTATCCATAACATTCCCCTCAGCTGGACTGAACTTTAGACAGGTTCTTTCTAAAGAACCCTATCTATAGGCCCCTGACTTCCCTTTACTTAGAACATTTACTTTAGAAAACTTGCAACTGTAAATTCTGCCTCTGTCCCTTTGAGAGTAAATCTTCTACAATCCAGGAATGGCTTTCTTCTTTTAAAAATTTATTTATTACACTTTAAGCTCTGGGATACTTGTGCAGAACTTGCAGGTTTGTTACATAGATATACATGTGCCATGGTGGTTTGCTGCACCCATCAACCTGTCATCTAGGTTTTAAGTCCCACATGCATTAGGTATTTGTCCTAATGCTGTCCCTCCCCTTGCTCCCCACCCCCCAACAGGCCTTGGTGTGTGATGTTACCAGGAATGTCTTTCTTAAGAGTCTGTGGATTATCCCTTTGAAATATCACCTAAGGAGATGGCGACCCTGTCTCCCATATCTGCGGGAGCATAGGAGACTAACTTTAATAAACACTAGTGGGCAAACACAGATAGCCTGATTACACTGAGCTACTCCTACAACATCCTCCAGTAGTTTTCCATTAGTTCCCACCAGCTTTTAAAAATCTTCCTGCTTTCTGTTTCAGCAGAGTCAAAATTAATCTTTCTCCTCTATGGCAATAGTTTTGAATAGTCCTGCTGGCTTGATTCTGTTTGGTACAATTTTTCCTTGACAAGAGGTAGAATAAAATGTAAAAATGAGTATGTTCACAGAGACACAGCAGGAGGGGAGGCTAATGAAGTGATTAACACTATCAAAAACTAAAAAAAAAAAAAAGACAAGCTGAAATGTTAATGTTAGTGGATTTATGAAGTAAGAGTTTGGGTTAGAGTTAACTGTCAGACAGGAAGCACTTGTTAAGTTTTGTTGACTGAAGACAATAATGAATTAGTGAATGGGAGGTGAGGAATTGGAAACATAACATGAAGATTTATTTTTGACAAGATTGGATAAGACATGGAAAAATTATCTCGGCAGTATCTAGAGCTGCATGAAAAGCTCAAGAAGAGTTGTCCTGATATAAAATATTTGAACTTGTTCTCAGGTGAGGGGAAAGACACAGGAGAGAGAGAGAAGAAAAGAAGTTGCATATAGAAAATGAATGATAACAGAGGGAACAAAATCCTGAAGGAGGGGAAGAAAGAAGGAGAAAGGGACAAGATCTGGGGAGAGAATTTGGCCTTGAGCAGGAAGAACACCATTTGATCTTTAAAACAAGCAAGAATGACTAATGGTATAGATAAGGAGGGTTTGAAGTTGAAGGTCATCTTGCATGGTGCTGGAATGGGATTTTTTTGATTAAATTAAAATCAAAAGATCAACTGCTGTGATAGAAGGCGTGGGCCTTCGGTAGTTTCTTAATGGGAATATTTTTTGATGATCACAAAATCTTTGGTGTGGCCCTTATAGGAAGTAACTGAGTGAACAGAAGTGAGGATCACTGGAGTAAAGACAACTCAAGTTATAATATGAGGTTGCTGGAGGTTACATTTTCTAGGGGTTACAGTAAATACAGGGTGGAAAATAAACCTTGAAAGAATCTAGAGAACTTAATGAATGAGGACAAGTTTGCATGTAACAGATAAATAAATCTCAGAGTTAAATAAAGTATCTTGCAATATTATTAACTAACATAAAGTATGCCAGAAAGTGCTTTAAATGTTTAATATCCATTAACTCATTTAATTCCCAGGTGATGTCTAACTGAGTCTGAGGAAGCTGATGAAACTTTGGAGATTTCTGGAGTGATGAGGGCTCTCCTAAGGATGAGAGTTTGCAGGAGTTTGGATGAGGGTCCTCACCTTATATTTTACCATTAAAGAGTATATGTCTCATGAAAATTGTTAAAGTTATTGAAACTATTAATACAAAGGCTTGCCTATGCATATTTATTCTCCCATTTTCATTTTAAATTATTTTATGTCATTGTAAATCAAATGCTTTTAAAATCAAATATATGCCTTTGCAAAATAAGAAAATAGACTTGAAGTTCTGAGCATTTTTCATTGGGATCCCTGATGAGATACCATTTGGAAGCATAGCTGTTTTCATTAGAGTTACATCTTTTGTTCACTTATTTCTGCTGTGGTGATTACACAGAATCAGCTGTGATGATCCTGTGTGGGAAACATCACACAGGAGAGGAACATTTGTAAGGAGTAAAGCGTGAAGTATCTTAATCAACTGAGTGGAATAATTGGGAGATCATTTGTTAGTAAGAATTTGAAATGTTAGAGTCCTGGGGTGACTGGGAAGAGATGCTTTTGGAGCCATAATAAGTACTATTTAACATGTTGGGGAGCATTTTTAAACCAGGATGTTAAAAATTTATCTTTTATTTTTGTACCTTGTCATTTAAAAGGAGAATGCAAAGTTATTGTTTCATCTCAAAGAATAAATATAAAGATCAAAACCTATGACAAATGTTTACACAGGTAATCTTGATCTTTTATATGTAATACTTCTTTCCTTTGGATGAATATGCATATATGTACAGCTCCCATGTAAACATAATTTTATAGATTTATCTGGGTGATTAGATCTTTACCTGACTTTTGTCCTATTTCCTGGATATTTACTTACTTCTTCCATTTAGGTCTGTCAGTCCTCTGCTTCAATATTAATTCACCATCAAAAAACACTTATTGAAAGCCTTTTATGTATCTGGTCCTGTACTTGGTACCAGGTTGCAAAGATGTATCTTTGAATTCTTGGACTTCTGAGTCTAGTGGCGGAAATATACAGGATTCCCAAAATATGATGTGAAATTGCTAAGTAGGGGAATGTTGCTCTGTGCTCTGGAGCACAGAGGAGAGGAGCCACCGATTTATCCTGGGAAAGTAAAGAAACTATTGGCTTTTAAATAAGGTAATTATATTTTCTTGCTTGCCTTGATAGTCAGGTTTAAACTTGTTGTCTCAGGGAAATTATAAATAGTTCCTTCTTTTACTATCAAAAGTATTCTGGTACGAAATGTAAATTACATAGTCATCCTACTCTGAAAGGATGAGACTAAAAATGTTGGTTGGATCTAGGTTATCAAAACATGTATTTCCAAGTAAGCAGTTTGAATTATATTCTACGGAATTTGGGTTTCAGCAAGGAGTGATGTCTTAGAAAGATAGCTCAGGGGGCAGTGTGGAGAACAGATTGGAAGAGGATGCCTGAAGAAAATAGTTTAAGTGGTTATTGTAATTGTCCACATGTCAGGAAACAAGGGCCTGAATTAAGAGAGTGATTCTGAGGTTAGAAGAAAAGGAGATCAGGGTCGTAATTATACAACCATAACTTGGTTGTATAATACGGTTATACCACCATAACTTTGGAATTCCTCAACTACTTATTTAAGACAGTTGTTTGAGTATAGCTAGCTGATAGTAAATTTTTTGCAGGTTTATCTTATAGAACACCAAATTCAACTCAATACAATATTTAAAAAATATGCAAAGTTTTATGATTTTTAGCTATCAGGATAGACAAGTTGCTTAGTAAAGAATGACCAAAAGCAAGATAATTCAAACGTATTTAATCCGTAACTTTAAAGGTTTATCAATTTGTTGATTTCCTTCCTACATGCTTGTATGTAGAAGCCTCACCATTTACCACTGTCAATAGTTTTCACTGGCACTGAGTAGGCTGTTTAACTTATTTATGGGAGTTATAAATCCAGCTGTTTTCATTTTCCATTACCCAAGTTCCTCTAGTAACCAGTCACATTCAGTGCTGACTTAATGATTCACACTGAACTAAAACTGCTTTTGCTTTTACTCAGATGAGTTTCAATTACTTAATACCATCTAATTTACCACCTTTTACATCTTTTCATTCCATATCCATCCTCTTCCAATCCATACCCCAACATGATTCTTGCTTAAAAATGTAGCAATCACAGTTTTTCTGAACGTAATCACCTAATTCAGATGTTATGTCAAAATTCACCAAGCAGATGAGTGCATTTTAGAGACTCCAGATTCCAACAGGTTAACCAGAAGCAATTCTCATAACATACGTGATACCTGAGGATTTTAATGTATATTTTTAATTTGAATCACAGGAAATTTAATTGAGTTCTCTTGTGAGCTAGATGATCATATTTTAAAACAATTTTAAAATAGAATTTATATTTTGAGTAGTTTTATATTCACAGCAAAATTGAGCAGAAAGTTCAGAGATTTCCCTTATATCCTCTACCCCTCCACATGCATGGTCTCCCTGTTATCAACATCCCTGACCAGAGTGACACATTTGTTACAATTGATGAACCTACACTGACACATCATTATCATCCAGAGTCCATAGTTCACAGTGGGGTTCACTTTTGCTGTTGTACTTTCTACAGGTTTAGACACATATCCACCATGGTAGTGTCATACAACATGGTCTCACTGCTCTAAAAGAAACCCCTCTGCTCTGCCTATTCATTCTTCCCTCCCGTTTCCCCTTAACAACTGATTCTCTATTCAATGTCTCCATAGTTTTGCCTTTTCCAGAATGTTAAAATAAAGCTCTTTTTCATCACTCAGGTCTTATCTCAAATGTCTTCCCGTGAGAGAGATCTTTCCCTAAATAGCCCCTCATACCTTTACTCAGCTACTTGAACTTATATAAGCCTTTTATGTATTTATGTATTTATTTATTTTTCCAAGGCAAGTTTCAGAGCAGGGGTGAAAGTTTATTTAAAAAGCTTTAAAACTGTGAGGAAAGGAAAGAAAGCAAGGAAAGCACACTTGGAAGAAGGCCAAGCAACCACCTGAGAAACCAAGTGTGCCCTTTTATTTATTTATTTTTAATAATACTTACCACCAGCTAAAATTATCTTGTATATTTATTTATCACCTGCCTCCTCCCAGCAAATTTCTATGAAGGGAGGAAACTTGACTGCTTTGTTCACAGCTGTATCTCCAGTGCTCAAACAATGCCTGTTAAATGGCAGGGGCTCACTGAGTATTTACTGAATGACTGAGTACCTATCTTTGCAAGGGTGTTGTAAGTGAAGCACTTGACATTGGTCTTATTAAATATTTAATTATTGGTCTTATTAAATATTTAATTATTGTTTGCTCTTAAAATATATCAAGTCGTTATTCCAATGCAGAAATTAACCAAATTACTCAGAAGTTTAAATAAAAAACTTGGTAAATAAACCCCCCACTCACTAGCTTACTTGACATATGCCATCTGTTTCTTTTTGGAATCCTGATTGATATATACTTTTTGTTCACCAGACGAAAGATTGCTCATTAGTTTTAACATTCAGAATTTTGCTTTCTCCAATATAAATTTTTAGGAGCTGTTCTTTCCACATCCAGGTAGGAATTACTACTCTTTCCTTTGTCGTTCCTGTGTTTCTTATATACATTCATCACGGCATCTTCAATGCTTTATTTCATCTTGGAGTATCAATAATCTTTAGTAGACCATGTCCTTGAGGAGAGGGCTTGTGTCTTACTTGTCTTGATATCTGTAACGCTAAGTGCAGTACTGATCTCTTAGTGACTAAGTGACTACTGAATCATTGCTGGTTGTGTGAATGACTCTGAAGTGTGTCAAGTACTATATGCAGTCCAAGAGTTTGTATCTTTATCATGATTTTCAATACCTCAAATCTAGGTTCACAATGTGGACTTCAGGAATCTTAGTGAATCAGCACTTACTTTGAGAAGGTGATTGTCTTAGTCCATTTTGACTGCTATAACAGGATACCGCAAATTTGGTAACGTATAAATAAGAGAAATTTATTTCTCACAGTCTGGAGGCTTGGAAGTCCAACATCAAGGTGCCAGCAAGTGTGGGCTCTGGTCTCTTGCTTCCCACATGGCACCTTGAACCCTGAGTCCTCTGGAGGGAAGGAGCATCATATTGTTACATGGCAGAAGAAGAGAAATCTGCTACTGCAAGCCCTTTTTATAGTAGCATTAATCCATTCATGAGGGCCAAACACATGCTAAAAGGCCCTATTTCCCAATATCCCCTTCCTTGGAATTGAGTTTATGACACTTGAATTTTAGGGAGCACCTTAAAACTATAACAGGAAAAATTGGCATGACTCAGTGCTCCAGTATAGCTAAAGAGGGCAAAGGAAGTGGGTCAGGCTAATTATGTGGTTCCAAACTGTGGGATTAACAAGCACTGGGATAATTAATAGCAATGATAAAGGTAAGTAGGTAAATATCACTGCAGAGAGTTTGAGTAGATAACAATTTTTAAAATTTCCATTCCAAATCAATTTTAATAACTGCATACATGTCTTTTGAGATGGTGAACAAAATAAATTTTAACAGTATTTTTGTGTCAAAATATTGGTCTTTCTGATTCAAAGTTAGGTTCTGGTGCTTTTCAGAAAGTGTAAGCTTTGTCTTCTTCCTGAAACTGAAACATCAAAGAACAAACAATCATGATGGACTGTGTTTTATAAAGGGAATATGTTAAGAGTAATTACAAATTATGCTCTACTATCATATTAAGTACTGTGAGATATTTTAGACAGATTATATCTTTGCCATCCATATGCAAGCTAACAACTATTTAAACATACTTTGGATATGTAATTAATAACTTAAAGACCCTAGTGTTAGTAGAAATATGCATTGTTCTTCATTTCTTCTGTGGTGGTATTAGAAGAGTAAATTAAAATTCACGTACATGGCCAAATAATAAAAAAAAAAGCAGTTCCATTACTGGTTTAAATGTCTCCTAAGACAAATTTAAATAACATATAATTCAAATAACTCTACTTAGTCATACTAAGTCTTCAATGAGAGCCTTGTTACTGGCTTCACATCTGCTAGGCCTGGTGTACATTAATCTGTATAGATTATCTTATTCTTTCTTCAGGGAATGAATGCCATAAGACCAAAATCTAACAAGCTTGTGAGAACTTTCTTAATTACTCAGTGAAAGTTTTGGAGTTAATAGATCAAAGAACTTTGAATGTCAGTCAGATCTGTGTCTTGGAGACCTCAAAAACAGCTGTTCTTAAGCATGGGGAAGTAGGAAGCCACTTATGTGGTAAGTTTTGGGAGAGGAAAGGGGAAAGCCTGCCTGTCAACCCATATCTTCCCCATGATATCTTCCATAAACTATTATCTAAAATTTCTCATTAGCATCACTTATTTTGAATTAAAATAATTTAGACTCTGTTTTTGTTTTTGTTTGTTTGTTTGTTTTTGTTTTTCTTTTGTTTTGTTTTTGAGATGGAGTCTCGCTCTGTCACCCAGGCTGGAGTGTAGTGGCATGATCTGGGCTCACTGCAAGCTCCGCCTCCCTGGTTCACACCATTCTCCTGCCTCAGCCTCCCAAGTAGCTGGGACTACAGGTGCCCGCCACCACGCCTGGCTAATTTTTTGTATTTTTAGTAGAGTTGGGGTTTCACTGTGTCAGCCAGGATGGTCTCGATCTCCTGACCTCGTTATCTGCCAGCCTCAGCCTCTCAAAGTGCTGGGATTACAGGCATGAGCCACCGCGTCTGGCCAAATAGACTCTGTTTTAAACATTCAGTCTCAGATAGTGAAATCCTATTAATCAATAAACAGTGATGAACTCATAAACACAGATTAGTTTATAAGTGAGCGTGGTGCCTCATAGAATTCCATCCCTCATCCTTCACTCTTTCCACTTCTATTTTTGTGTTTTAGTATTATTTCCCATTTCTGTAAAATATTAGTATTTTCTAAATGTACCCTACAAAGCACCTATGTCAGGATCACCTCTGGTGCTTGCTGAAATAAAAACTGCTGGGGCACCTGCCGCATCTGCTATACCAGAGACTCTAAAGGTATTATTGTGGAAGATGCATTGAAATGCTTTTTTGCTTTCTAAGCAATCATTGACCTATGTGTTGATGGCTCTTATTGTATATCTTGGGGTCCTAACAATGACTATCCTCTGAAGAAGGTCTGAGGCAAGAGATGTGGAGAATTCAGTTATGTGGGGGAGTCAACAAAAGATGGAGTAAAAGGATTAGACAATTGCTGAATGTTTCCGGATGCTCACCTTAGATACTGTGTGGTTTCATGACTCTTTTTTTTTTTTTTTTTTCATGACAGCCCACCATTAAAATGCCTTTTAATAATAACATTCAAGACCTCTCTGGGGTAACAGTCCACAGCAGGGCTGCTGGTAGGGGCAGAGGATAAGTATTATTCCACATTCACAAGATGAGTCATCACTCAATGTAGAATCTTTGTAGTGTATGTGTATGGCAGTTATATTGAAAAACATATTAGAAAAAGAATGCTCTATTCAAAACAATACATTTGTAATGGGAGTCCCTGTGGCTTTCAAGCTAAAGATCTGTTTGGGGCAGTTTTCTCCTTGCAGTCCTAATACAAACTGTGTAGGAAACTTCCCTGTGTTGTCAGAGGTGAAGATGAGCCTCATTAGGCACAGGCCCTCAAGTGCTAACCACAGTCTCTGTAGACAGGTCTAAGACATTAGCTAATGGCCCCTTTGCCAAGTGGAACTGAACAACTTTCATCCATAAGAATGCTTGAAAACACGGAGTGTTGCTGTCTCAGGTCACTAGTGTTAAAAAAAAAAAAGAAAAGAAAGAAAATGAAATTCTTATCCTCCACCCACAACTTTAAGAATATTGTTTACTTATATCTTTTAGAAATTATTTACTTCTTATTATCTGTCAAATTTCTGGGAGTGGGAAGGTTCTTTTCAGTTATTTTCTTGCATGGAATTTCCCTTTTTAAAAGTTTTAATAACAATTGGATGAGGTCAGAATAGTATGAAAACACCACAAGTTTGGGATTTTGAAAAGTAAAATTGAAATTCTAAAGATTTTGGTATGGTCTGAATGAAAATTAGATTGATAGGTGACTTGTGTTTCATAAAAATTGGTACTTTGGTGAAGAGTGCTTTTGTTGTGCCATGTGTTGACAAACCAGCTAGAGATTTGTCAAATATCTATCTCACTGTTGAAAGCCACTGCCTAAGTGAATGTCTATGATGGGTTCACTTTGAAAAACAATAAGGCTGATTTAGTAAAACCAAATTCCCAGTATATAAGTAATTTTTTTAATCAGTTACTTGACTAAATCACCCATTCTTTACTAAATTGATTTGACTATAGACAGAATTTGAATATCAAAACCATCCCCCATCTCATTGGTGAAGACATTATTTGCCCTTGTAATCTTAATGAAACTCTATAGAAATTTCCTTTTTCCTCAACTGGTATGTCATAGGTTTAGGCTAAGATTTCAAATTCCAGCCTGAAGTGAAGATTTTTTTTCACCCCCTCCCAAACTTATATGTGCCGCAAGAGGGAGGATTTTAATGAAAGCGTCTTTTCAGCCTTAGCTATTTCATCCAGCCTGACACTAGACTACTCGTTATTGGCAAGTTCAAACATTTTAAATCATGAAAGATTTACATGAGTGATGTAAGGTTTGAAATGTTTTATGGCATGTTCATTCACACTAAATCAGCCGTTGCCTTTTTAGACTTTTCTTTCAAGACACTTATGCAAATCCAAAATGACAGGAATAGATTTAAAATGATTTTCAGCATCTGAAGATTAGCAAAAAAAAGACAGACTTAGTAAGTACTTCACTTTTTCTGAGGATGAAAACTTCCAGACATTGTGGGTTGGAGCAGACTGGAATGAGAATAGATAAACAGATTAAAGCTATTAATTTCACCTTTGTTATTAAAGCACTCAGTGCCTTACTCTCAGGATGCCTCCTCATTCTCTCCATGGGCATTTGGAAGGAATAGCATCTTTGGCCTACATACTGCTCTACTCAAATGTTTTATCCTCTGTGTTCTCCACATTGTGCTGTATTGAACTAGCATAGCAGAGTTTTGCATATTAAGCAAAAGCTTTGTGGCAAAGGACTGAATTGTTATTTGATGAATTTGACACAGCTCCCACAGAAGTTGACTTTTATGAGTCAACTTTTATTATTATGTATTTTCTTGCAGTTTAATACATATGTAATTAATTGCATTATCAAGAAGCATAACTTGTTTATTGGTGCCCCTTCATAGTTTTCAGCCATTTTATTTCTATTTTCTCATATTAACTACTTCTATCAACAGACTCCAGGGGTGTAAATGACACAAGTGTTGGTGTTTAGTCATCAGATTACTTGAAAATTTGGTGGAGAATATAGAAAAGGAAATAAGTAATCATAGTAAAACACTGTAAGTACTATGGAGAAGAATTACAGTTATGGTGATTATGACAGATTGTATTTTCCAAAGCTGGCTGCATCAATATCTTCTATCCTACATGCTGTTCTGAAATTTGACCTTGACTTCTATCAAGAGGTGGAGTCTAATTCTGCTTCCCTTGATTCTGGTCTGGCCACAGTGTCTTGCCTGTATCTGCTAACGTAAGACAGAAGTGATGCTGTGGGATTGCTGAGGCTAGGTCAGAAGTGTGACAGCTTCTGCCTCGTACCCTTTGAACCCTTGCTTTCTTCATGGTGTGTCTTGGAGTGTTTCCTCTTTGAACCCAACAGCCTACACTTCCCCTTTACCAAGGGAAATGAGGTCCCTGCTCAAGACCCTGTGCCTCTGGGTGTTACTACACTTTGGAGTGTCTTCCTTGGAATTTTCTAAGACACCCTCGGTGACTGGAACTAGCTGGGGCTGGCAATGTTGTCCGCACAGAATACCAGCTATGGTCTGAATGTGTCCCCCTAAAATACATGTGTTGAAATTTTAACCCCCAGGGATGATTTTAAGAAGTGGGGCCTTTGGGAGATCTACCTTCCTATACCTAGTCATTCACAGAGATTTCTATATAATGAGTGTTTGTGTCCCGCCAAAGTTTTACGTTAAAATCTAACCTCCAATGTGATGGTATTTGGAAGTGAGGCCTTTGGAAGGTGATTAGGTCGTAAGGGCTCTGCCCTCATGGATAGAATTAGGGCCCTTATAAAAGAGGCCTGAAAGAGCTTGTGCGATCTTTCTACCAGGTGAGGACACACGAAGAGGCATCTGTTTTATGAGCCAGAACACTCACCAAATACAAAATCTGCTGGCGACTTGGTCCTGTCATCCTCCAGAGCTGTGAGATGGACCTCCATCCCTGTTTATCTAATTCTCTCCCCAATTCATGAGATTGACCAGATACTTAAGGAGTCACGCCTAATGGAAATTACCTAGGAGCTCTGTGGCTGGGCCCATTCCCAGGAGAGTTGCTTGATGTGCAATATACTCTTGCTGGCCAATGCTATACTTCTCTTATGGGTATTATGTGAGACTGGGCTTCCAAAATGGTGCTGACATGCTGATTTGAGGTGACTTAATCTCATATTGGACACGAGAGGAGTCTAGGGCTTAGGGCTAGTGACAGTCCGTCACTGATTCCTGGGATTGAGTTGCCATCCATGTTGCAAATGCAGGGCACACTCCAGTCTACAGCCTTGTGAGTCTTACGCTGGGATGAATAAGTGATGGGCATTTCTTGTGCCAATGGAACTGCTTTTGTCTACAGCAATAAATAAAAAATTATGAGAGAGTTACCCACTATGTGTGTTTGCCTAGATGGACAGACAGACAGACACATACATAAAAAAGGAAAGAAAAATCTAAACCATTATCAATTGATAAAGAAATCAGCAAATCAAGACTCAGAGGTCTCTACAAGGTTGAATGATGAGTAAAGTATAGGTAACTGGGTCAGACAGCTGGAAGGAGAAGACCTCGGAACTTAGAAGAATGTTTGCATTTATTATTTCGGTATCAAGGGATGCCAGACTTCGGTGTGGACATAGACATAGATGGCTGAAGTGAAATGAAGTGGAAATCACTGATGTTTCTAAGGAAGTACAGGGACTCACAGAGGTGGCTTTGAATGTAAGTAACATTTAAAATAGAAACCCAAATTAATTATACATAACTGGACATTTATGTATCTCCTAAAACCCAGAAAAAGGATGCTTCTCCTGTGTCTGTCTTAAAAAAAATTTAAGGGAGCTGCAACCAATTAGCCAGAATCCTGAAATTCAATATGAAAAAAAGCTCTAAGGGATTTTATTTGTGGGTCAATAAATACAAATATGTCAGCTATGCTTTTATTTATGATTTCAATAATATTTCTGTATCTAGAAATAAAAATAAACTTGAGAATTACGTTTTATTCCCAATGTGATTTTTACAGTTTGTATCCTGAATATATATTTTTTGCAACAAAGCTCATTTCTGCTGACCTAACTTCTACCTCGAGGTCAATGTAACATTTTAATTCACAAGTAAATCATTCTTTGTCTGTAGAAACTTTTGATAACTTAAAGAATCCTTATTGTTTTAAATCATTTTTGCATTGAACAGTGCATATATTGTGATAATGCTATTTTTATTAAGAAAAATGAAATCATATCCAAGTTTAATTTCATTTGATAGCTAATAATAAGTAATTAAGCACAATCTGGGAATGAATCAGAATTTCAGTTCTTCGACCAACCTCCAATTCTTCATTTTCTTTTTCAGTAATGTGGCGGTAACACTACCTATATATGTTATAGAATTGACAGAAACAACAATAAAAATAACATAATTTGGTTCTTTCATCTAGAAAGTACTCAGATACACACCTTATTACATCTAGGGAGGCATAGTTCCTGTCTTTTATGACCTAATGGCTGATAATTCTGTGGCTAACAGCTCAAAGATGGAAATAATTGAAAGTGATCTCTATACATTAGAGAAATGATCTACTGAAACCAAGATACATTATGGTTGGAAAAATTCTTAGGCAGAATAACTACAAAATAAATAAAGACTTTCAAAGCCCAAGTATAACATAAAAATACTTAGGAAATGCAATAAGATACAAACTATAAATGAGCCAGCAACACAGGGTTATATCCAGAAAAGTAAAAGGGATACAATTAATTATGAAGTGCATGATAGTCCTCTAGCCTTACCAGTGAACACAATCTTGCTGATTAGTCAAAAGTCTTATTTTTATTTCTGCATTTTAAATAGGATTGAAAAAAATAGGCTAGAGGAGGACTTAAATTTTTGGAGAGATTTAAATTTAGTGTGACCATATATTTCAGTTTACACTTATTATTCTGGCATAACTATGTGTGAATGATAAATTATATGGTCCCCTTGGATGATAAAAATCTTTATGAAGAAGATATTCAGCAGCTTTTCTCTATCTCCCAATCATTTAACATAAAGAAGTAAAGAAGCTGAGAAAAGGATTAAATGCTCTTTCTCTAGCTGTAGTCTGACCTAGACTAGACTCTTGTGTGGTACTTCTTTAGGGAAAAACCCTCAATGGCTTCATATATACCCTTAGATAAAGTTCAAAATGTGTAGCATGGATTACCAGGCTCTTCATTAACCTGCCTTTTCCTGCTTACTTCCCTAGGCTCATCTCTTTATACTTCTTCCCTCAATCTATGCTCCTTGGACATTTTTCAAACCATCGCCCTCTTGTCTGGAGGCTTGGGCCAACAAACATGTCCTACTGGAATAATCTCTCATTCTACACCTCCCAGCCTGCACTTCCCTTTATTAACTACTAGCTGCCCTATGGCCTCAGTTCAGATATGACTTCTTCCAGAAAGAAGTCTTAGACCACTAACACCTGGATTAGGTGTTTTCCGTTCTAGGTCCTTCTATAGCACTTTCTGCTTACCATAACTGTGGCATTTGTCCTGACATGTTGATTCCCTGGTTACTTTGCTGTATGCCTAGTTATAGACTGAACATTCTTCAGGGATGGGGCCTGGTATATACTCAATGTGTAGCTGAGTGCTTTGTGCATAAGAAACAATTAATGAGTGCATGCTGAATTGGTCTGTTGAATTAAAGACTCCCCAGTGTCAAGATTCTCTTGTTTTTACACAAATAGTTGGTCAGGTCAGTAAAAAAATAAAAATTTGAGCTATAATCTGTAATTCTGGGTTGATTAATCATAGAAGCTTCTATACTTTTCAAGTCTGTCTGTATGTTTCCAGTCCGAACTTTAACTGCTCCAGGCAATGTTTGTGAGACTTGTCCTTAAAACTCTGGGAATGGGCACGCCACAACTCTTTGGTAATGTTATTGCATTGTTATAAGCATATTTGATATTAGGAAATTCACAAGAATTACCTTTTTTAAAAATACTAGATCTTCATTAATTCTTCATGTATTTTAGACAGTTTTTTCCTCAAGAAAGGCAGATGATTTTCAGTGTAACAGTGCAACTGTTATTAGAAAAGGCCAATTTTTGTATGGCAAATGGATGTCATATACTGAAGTATATGTGTTGGCATATATATCCAAGAATATATTATTCTATGAGGAACTAACTCTAAAAAGCATCACTATGTTTCTCCTTATGAATAATTTAAAAAAATGTTTGACTTTAAAATTTTGATGTATTAATATCTTTCCTTCATATATATATCATTTGTTCTCTTACAAACTATGTTAATATTTTTTAACTCATTTGGATAAAGAGAGCTAATTCAGGTATTGATGACTGCTTTCATACATATATTTATATATTCTCACTACAGGTATTTTCTTTAATTATAAATAATTGTCAGTCATAGAGTCTTACTATGTGCTGTAAGATGCTGACTTAAGTGTGCTTCATGAGTTAAGTCAAATAACTCTCAAAATAATCCTAAGAGGTGCGCATATTGTTACACCCATTTTTTAAGTAATCAAATTAAATCCCTGGGAGATTGTATAAATTTGTAACAAATTCACATTAGATCTGGAATTTGAACATAGGTAGACCGGCTTCAAAGTCTCAACACTTAATTATTCTGCTATTAATTTTATGGGGTTAAATAGAAATATTTCTATTAATAGGCTAATCAGAGAAGTTTCTTAATTAGAAGTGGAACAAATCATCTGAACATGGTAGACTAACCTATGAACTGTAGTACAGGAATCTTACTATGGACAATCAGTGATCTCATGGCATGGTGAACCAGCTTGCCACTTTCAGAGGATAAACCAACACATGGTGCAGGTAGACATTATAGATGGAATAAAAAGGAGCATTTCCAAACACATGTTAATCCATCTATTAATCTATTAATTTAATAAATGTCATTAACATTTTATTACATAATATCTCTAAGTTCTAACAGTAAGCACTGTGAAAAATACAAAATATAAAATGTGGCCCATCCCTAATGGTCTCTATTTAAAAGTAGCACTTTAAGTACAATCAAAGTAAGCACTTTAGGATACTGTTAACATTTTGCTTGGATTAGGATGACGGTATTGATAATTTGGACAACAAGGCTTAATAGGCCCCAAAAGGTACAGCACTGAATAATTTTGCCTCCATGAAGTAATTATCAGAGTTAAGTACAGCTTTCTAGGTAATATTTAGGCCAACTAATTTTGAGAATCATGGAGATACAAATGTTACATTTTTTTGTTATGTGTCACATGATATAATAGGGTTCTTAATTTTGGGAGGAAGGGCATTTATCCCTTTGGCAGTCTACTGAGGCCTCTTAGAAGTATCTGTTCCTGAAATGCTCTTTAAAATCAATGAAATTTCAAACATAGAATTACAAAGAAAGCCAATGAATTGAAATGCACTTATATTCATGAATCTCTTGAGGGTCCCCCAGTTAATAACCCTGGTGGCTGGGGTTGAAGAACGTTTGGCAGAGTAGAAGTGAGATATAATCACGGTGGGTGTTATGGGTTGAAATGTGTTTCCTCAAAATTCAAATGTTGAAGTCCTAATTCCTAATGACTCAGGATGTAACCTTATTTTGAAATAGGGTTGTCACACATATAAGTAGTTAAGACAAAGTCATACTTGAGTAGAGTGGACCCCTATCCAACATGACTGGTGTCCTTATAAAAAGGACCACATGCACAGGAAGAACACTGTGTGAAGGCTGGATTTATGCTGCCACAAGCTAAGGTGCACCCCTAGCCAAGAAGCTTAGGAGAGAGGCCTGTAATAGATCCTTGCCTAGAGCTTTCAGAGAGAGCATGGGCCTGCCAACACCTTGATCCTGGACTTCTAATCTGTAGAACTGGGAGATGATACATTTCTGTTGTTTAAGCCATTCAGTTTGTGCTCTTTGTTATGGCAGCCCTTATAAACTAACACAGTAGAGAAGAAAGATGATCCTTTCCAAATTTCTTGATTAGGCTAATAGATTGTTATAACAGAGAAGTAACAGGTACATTAAAATTTGGTTGCCCAGAAACATTCTGAATGGTGAGGGATAATTGTGAAGTAAAGAAATGAAAGGTTAGGGAAACAACGTTGTTTATGGAAAATGGGTTTTAGCGTTAGAAAGACCTGGGTCCAAAATCTAACTCTGCTGTTTATTAGCCGTGCCACCTACAATATATTAATCTCTCTGAGCCTTAGTGTTCTCATGTGTTGAATGGTAATGATAATAAATTTCTAGCTTATATAGTTAAGAAAATAAAAGACATAAAGTCTGAAAATAAAACAGAATGCCTTAAAACAGGGCTATGTACTGTGCTAAGTATTCAATAAATGAAACTCTTGCTAGTATCTATTATTATTATTCCCCAGTTAGTGTTTACACTTATAATAGTTCCCCTATAGGAAGAGAGCAAACCAGTTTTGTTATTGCTTTTCCCCTTTTACACTAGATATGAGAATCTTGCAACGTCCTTGGTTTGATGGCTATCAGAGAGTTATGGATATATCATTATGAGCCTCACTAGGATATTTATTGGTAGAAGAAATTTATAGTTTTGTGAGTGAAGTGATTTAATTTTTAAAATAAATGTTTTAGTTTATTTACAATCCAGTGTAGCACTGACTCATCCAAGATAACAGGTTAACCAAATCAAACATTTCCAGTCTAGAAAGGTCTACTCATAAAACATTTTTCTTTGTGCCCCAGAACATTTTATTTCATATATGAAGAAGGACAATAGTCAAACCCAGAATATAATTTTTTGATACAAAGGTAATGCTTTTTCATTTTAGAATTTTTAAAAATATTAAGAAGAAAATAAAATCACTATTCAACACAAAAGCCATATATTTAAAAAACCTATTAACACATTGATATATATATATATATATGTGTGTGTATATTTGTGGCTAAAAAATGTAGTAATAAATGTGGCTCAGTTTGTCCAAATTGTTTTGTATTTTTTCTTCTTTAAAAAGTTTTATCCTGACAATGTTTATTATTTTTCAAGAATATAACAATAATTTCAACATGTGTCCATATGTTTATATACTCCATAATTTATTAACCAATCTCATATTTTGTATAATTACATTGTTTTAAAGCATTAAAAATCATTGGAGTTAATATTCTTGAGCATGATTCTTTGTGAATCTCTCTCATTATTTCCTTAGAAGAAATTCCTGGAAATCGAATTACTGATAGACCATAGGAACTCTACTTTCAGGTGACATATGTAAAAATAAAATCTAATAAGTCTGATTTGGGATTCATTTTCACATAGAACTTATTTTGATTAAGGTCAGTGAAAAATAAAACTCTGGTTAAAGAGCCGAAAGATTTACGGATACTTGGAAACCAAATATCAGCCTTCCTGTTTAGTGCTCCACAGACAAGGCCTTTGGTTACACCTGCAACCCAACCTCATCATAATTATCATTGTTTCATTACAGTCTTCATCAAGGTTTTTAGTAGCTAACATTTGTGAAATGCTGTAATATGTGTTTTATGTATCATTTTAATAAATCCTATCAGTAGCCCTATTTAGTGGGTATTACCATGTCCATTTTGCATAGGAAAAGAGAAGTTTAATAAATATTAAGTAAATTTCCAGTGTTCCAAAGTAAATAGCACAATGAGTTGAAAGTCAAGCCCACTGCTGTCTGATTTTGGAGCTCAGGCTCTTACTCACTAAGCCCCACAATCTCTCCAAACTTTTAAGGATTCCCAGGATTTTCAAACCTATTCACTATGGCAGATCTTTCCCATCCCCCATGTTCCTGATGCTTCCTGGAAAAGACACTGTGTTCTATACCCTTTCACTCTATTACCTTAGGACTAATTCAGAATTTACGTAATTAGAATTTATTTTAAAACATCACTGGACTGATTCAGAATTTACGTAATTAGAGTTTATTTTGAAACATCACTTATGATGCTTGGGGCAGAGAAAATAGGTTTTTATTTTTAGTGAAGAGCACGAAGAGCATATGTGGTTGCTAAAATCTTGTAAACTTGACAGCCAACCTCATTGTAATTCCCAGAAAGCAATGTCAAAAAGAAATAATATCCAGAAGATCAGACATGTTATCTAGAAATAGTCCCTTTACAATGACTAAAGGCAGGCAAAGGAAAAAACATACATTTAAAGGAAAGCATTTACGTAATCTTTTGAATTTTTAAAATATGTTATGAAATATACAGATATTTCTCAACACTGCTAAAGCTACAAATGAAGTTGTTCAATTTGACATAAAAAGTTAAGTGGAGACTTTGGATAACAGTCTACCTTTTAAAAATTATTTCAGTATTGTTAGACAAACTTATCTAAATTCAATTTTTGAAAAATATATTTTATCCAAGACTTGGAAAATAGACTAAAAGAAATGGAATGCAAAAGTTTGCAATAGGCCTTAACACATTGAGCCTTTCTCCTGTTTATAAAGTTTATGATCTATGAGGCTGCTTTTCTAAATTCATTCAGATTTAAAATGTAACATTTAAGTTGTATTTGAGGGGTTGTTTGTTTCTGCATATCGAGAAAATGAAGACAGATGGATTTCTGGAGATCTCATTGATGTATTTATCACAATATAAAGGAAAGAGAAGGAGAGGGAGAGAGGAAGAGAGCAAGAGGTGGAATGAGAGTGAGAGCACGAAAGAGAGCAAGTTACTTGCAATTTTTCTTTTTGGGTCTCTTCCTGTTTGCAAACCAGAAAGAAAGGTTCTGCATGGTTAAACTTTGGTTGTTCCTCAATGTCTACTGAAAAATTCAAATCTGCTTGAGTTAGACGTTTTGTGTTGTGGAATCGAGGGAATGATTTTTCCTTTTGCTAAATCTAAGCTTCTTCAGGACATTCAGGTTTTTATGCTGACTATATGGTTTGATGCTGAACAGTGGTTAGGCTCATGAGAAAAGAAGAGGTAGAAAGAGCACCCATTACAATGTCTGGCATAGAAGTTGATATTTTCTTTATCCCCCTTACATAGTAGGTGAAGCGAGGGGGAAAGTTCTGGAGAAATTTGCCATTACTTAAGATGAAGAGCAGAGATACCTTAAGGTGAAGAGCAGAACTGGAGCTGATGGAAATAAATAGAAAGATGCTTCCTCTTGTCTCTTTTCATCTCACAAACCATCAAGAATTTAGGTTGAAAGGGACTGTTATCTGATATTCTTTGGTTAAGTCACAAATCAGTGTTATGTGTAAGTATATCTCAGGCTTTGCAAAAATCAGACATGAAAATGCACACTGATAAATTACCTTCTTCTTATATACTTAAGAGGATTCCTGTAATGATAGGCTCAAAGTGGTGCTGAGAGACAATTCTCCACAGGTGTCTCGACGTTTCTAAACATTTTGTGGGTGAGGCCCTAATAGATCTTTGTCCTAGACCGTCTTTACAAGGATATCTGAATAGTGAAAAATAATCTTCCTCCAGAGAAAAGAGGAGGCATACTTGCTGCACATTATAAAAGATTCATGTTCTTTAAGCTCAGAGTTTCTTGTTATGCAACTCACTTCCTCACTACATCTGTAACATTCATCTGAGTCCATTCACATCACCCCATGAGACTTGGGAGGAAAAGGGAATTGCTACAAATATGCTGATGGTCATGCTGTTTGCTGTGCCTTAAGTAATAAAAGTCCTCTGTTTTAATCCCAGGAGTCTCATGTCTTTTGCCAGCATCCACAAAACTGGCAGCCTAACTTGTTAAACTCTAAGACCCTTCACTGTTCGTAGGGATAGTTTTTAAATAAACACTTCTTGAGTAACTAAACAATTTTCCTGGCCAATTTATAGAACTTGATTTACATAAAGTTGAATTACAACTTTTAAATAATATTAATATATGTTGGAAAAATCAAGGTGTATCCATTTTGACTGGATTCATCATCTTGGCCCTCAGAGTTGTTAAAAAATATTATTCCGATGCTTTTTAAAATGATGAGGAAGACTTTATTCAAGACTATTGCAATATTGCAGTGGGGGGCAGAGATCAAGCTCAACTCCAAATACAACAAAGACAGCTGAAGATTTATAGCCAACAAGCAGAATGAGGGGCTCAGTGGATGGAAATTAATAAGAGATGACATCAAGAGTATAAGAATTCTTGCTAAACCAAATTACTAGGATTTTTGCTGAAGGCAGGACAAGGGCAGACATCAAGGGTAGCGGAACAAGGAATTTGATCAGATGTCAAGGGTGATCATATACTAAAAGTGTGGGAATTCTTGCTAAACTGACTTGGCAGGATTTTTGCTAAGACTGGGCTAGGCATACTAAAGACAGGACAGAGGCCAAGGTTGAGGTGTAGTAGAAAGGAAGGCTTAGAGGAGCCTAACTAAGATTTGGTCAAGGAGAGAGTCTGTCTGAGTTCAAAGGTTATGTGTAGAAAAATTCTTATTTGTGTGGATGGAAGGCAGTAGGGCTGTGGATGCTGTGTGTTTCCTCTATAGAAAAATATATCTATACTCATTCCTTTGTAACGTAGGGTTTCTGTTGGCTTTATAGGGAGTAGATGTTTATTGCAGTTGCAGCTCGGATGACACTCCACCCAGGAAACCTGTCTAGATCAACCAAGCCAGAAATATTTCTTGTTTCCAGGAATACCTACAGCTCTCTATTTCTAAACCTATATTTGGGGACTCATAACTTACTGCTGTGTACTATAGCTTGCAGTATAGGACTTCTAATTTGTATTATGTAAAACTTTATGTATTATGTATTATGTAAAACTTTATTATCTTTTCTAGATTTGAAATTCATTAGATCTTTAGTCATTTTCTGATGTATATTTGTAAATCCAGAAACGCTTTACACAATTCCTTAGCCATAGCAAGCATCAAAACTCCCATTTCCCCTTTCCCCCATTTTTACACACACACACACACACACCCCCACACCCACACACACGTGCATATATATGCACATTTAATTCATTTTAAACGTTTGCGTTTAAGAATTTAAGATCATATAGGCTGTAACAGTCAATGCATTGCATTTAGGAAAATGATGATGAGTGATAGCCATTACAATATTCTCTCTTTTTTTTTTTTTTTTTTGAGACGGAGTCTCGCTCTGTCGCCCAGGCTGGAGTGCAGTGGCGCGACCTCGGCTCACTGCAAGCTCTACCTCCAGGGTTCACGCCATTCTCCTGCCTCAGCCTCCCGAGTAGCTGGGACTACAGGCGCCCGCCACCACGCGCGGCTAATTTTTTGTATTTTTAGTAGAGACGGGGTTTCACCGTGTTAGCCAGGGTGGTCTCAATCTCCTGACCTTGTGATCCACCTGCCTTGGCCTCCCAAAGTGCTGGGATTATAGGCGTGAGCCACCGCGCCTGGCCCCTACAATATTCATGTTTAATGCACCACTTGGCAAATACTAGTAAGACATTACAAAATTCTAAAAGGCATAATTAGAGTTACAAGGTTTGCTTTTTGAATTAGCAG
The DNA here is from genome assembly GCF_000001405.40 of Homo sapiens. Classification (NCBI taxonomy): domain Eukaryota; kingdom Metazoa; phylum Chordata; class Mammalia; order Primates; family Hominidae; genus Homo; species Homo sapiens. The sequence continues at coordinate 48,888,675 of NC_000014.9, read as the reverse complement.
TTAATGATTGGACGGTCTTTGATATTTCCAAAGCAGCTGGATGCAGCCTTATGCGAATTAACCACAAAGGGGGTTTGATTTCAGTTTTTACTATTTTAGCTTTGTTTAAAATGTATGTTTGTTTCTCCTAACCACAGTCTGTCAGGGTCAATTTCTATTAGGTACTCTGAAGCTAGGGGCCATGTTTTTTTCGTATATGTGTAATTTATGATGCATATCATTTCCTAATAAATGTTTGATTAGTGCAATGGGAAGTTTTGGATTTCCTTTTTTAATTGTGAATGGTGCTTTTTATCTAGTTATAAAAGAAATACATATTCAGTGTAAAAATTTGGAAAGATTTCGTTTAAATACACAAAGCACCTCATATAATAAAACCAAGATGACAACTTGTACAACTTTTAACATATTAATGGACCTATTTTATTATTGGGGGTAATCGCATGTGTTTCAGAACTTTCATTACTATATATATTTAAAAAATGAAGTCATTGTGTATGCTGTTTGTAATACAATTTGCATTTGGTTAATAGTATGTTCTGAATACTTTCCTATGATATTAAGTATTCGTTTACAAGATGCATAGTATTCCACTGTATGGATGTAGCACAATTTCTTTAATTACCTACTCTTAGAGGTTTAATTTATTTTTAATTTAGTTGTTAAAATACTGTTTTGAAGAATATCATCATTGTAAAATATTTGTGCATATACCTTGTAATTACCTTATAACCCCAGAAGTGAAATTTCTGGATCAAATAGACATATATATTAGGTTTCAGAATGAAGATACTGATTTAAACTTCTATTAACATTGCTAATCACTGATACAATATTTTATATCTATATTTTATAGATATTATATTTTATATTTTATATCTATAATATTTTATATCTATAAAATACATATATATGTATTATATACACATATATAACATAATATATATGTATTATATACACATACATAACATAATATATATGTATTATATACACATATATAACATAATATATATGTATTATATACACATATATAACATATATATGTTATATATACACGTTATATATATGTTATATACACATATAACATATATGTATTATATATACACATATAACATGTATGTATTATATATACACATATAATATATATGTATTATATATACACATATATACTATATATGTATTATAACACATATACTATATATGTATTATATAACACATATATACTATATATGTATTATATAACACATATATACTATATATGTATTATATAACACATATATAATACATGTATTATATATACACATATATAATATGTATGTATTTTATATACACATATAATATATATGTATTTTATATACACATATATAATATATATGTATTTTATATACACATATATAATATATATGTATTTTATACCTACAGGCAAACATATTATATATATTTGTAGGCAAGGATAGAAAATAACATACACAATCAAATATATTAGATTCACTTGTCTACTTCTTGTTCAGACTTACAAAATACATATTGTACTATCTTTTTTTTGTACATGAATATCAGACTACCCATTCACTTTCTTCTTAAACAAGACTGATGAATCTAATTTACCAAATAATTTAAAAAATATCAATATTCAATAAGATATTTCAAAGACATTTAGGCTAATCAGTTCTGCTTTAAACTAACATAAAAAGTTTATATATTTTTATTTTGATGTGACTACTCTGGATATTTAATTTGTTATCAGTAATTGTTATTTGCATGTGATATTCTATTAAATAATATATGTAAAGTACTGTCTTGTAAATTTTAGGTTGACTCTTATTTACACAAGTAACCTACAACAAAGTCTCTGAATTACAAAGCATTTAACAAACTCAGCTGATGATCCAAATACATTAAAGGTAAAAAAACAAGTAGGTTAAAAGTAAAAGTATGGCCGGGCATAATGGCTCACTCCTGTAATCCCAGCACTTTGGGAGGCCGAGGCGGGCCGAGGCTGAGGTCAGGAGTTCGAGACAAGCCTGGTCAACATGGCAAAACCCTGTCTCTACTAAAAATGCAAAAGTTAGCTGGGTGTGGTGGCATGCACCTATAATCCCAGCTACTTGGGAGGCTGAGGCAGGAGAATTGCTTGAGCTGGGAGGCGGAGGCTGCAGTGAGCCCACATCGAGCCACTGCACTCTAGCCTGGGCGACAGAGCGAGATTCTATCTCAAAAAATAAATAAATAAGTAAATAAATAAAAATAAAGATCAAACACAATATTTAGTAAACAAAATAGGAAACAAAACTATGTGTATTTTTAATTTTAAGTATGTTAAATGAAAAGGCAGGTACATAATTTGGGACTCAATTTGTAAGAAAATATGATTATATATGCAAAAAAAGTTTCAAGGGAGGAACATTAAAATGTTAACATCCATGCAATAAAAAAGGGATAGGAAAATATATACCATGCTAATAGTAATAAAAAGATAGTAGCTATATTATTATCAGAAAGATTAGATCTCAGAGCAAAGAATGTTAGCAGAAATAAAGGATATAGCTTCATAATAATAAAATGGTTATTTAATCAAGAGTATACACAATCCTAAACAATCAGGCACCTAATAGCAGAGTTTCAAAAATATGAAGGAAAAACTGATAGGACTGAAAGGTGAGATAAACACATCCTCAGTTATAGTCAGAGATTTCAATACCTTTCAATAATTGATAGACTAACTAGAGAAACATCATTAGGATTTAGAGTTGAACAATAATGACAACCAAATAGACATAATTGACATTTTTAGAACACAGCCACTTACAACAGCAGAATACACATTATTTTCACACGTATGTGAAACATTTACCAAGATAGACCATGTTCTGGGCCATAAAATAAGTCTTAATAAGTTTAAAAATACTCAAACCATACAAAACATATTTTAAAATCATAGTGGAATTAAATTAGTAATCAGTAACAGAAAGGTCACTGGAAAATTCCTAAATATTTGGAAACTAAATAATATACTTCTAAATAACTCATGAGTAAAATATAAATACAAAAGGAAATTAGAAAGTATTTTGCACTTAGTGAGAATTAAACACAAATATATCAAAATTTGTGAGTTACCAGTAAACAGTAATTAGGGAGAAATTTACAGTATTAAACATATTTATTTGAAAAAATTCTCAAATCAGTTACCTCAGTTTCCATTTTAAGAAACTAGTAAAAAAAGGAGCACTCTCCCGCTATTGTGGAAGAAAGAGAATAATATCAGAGTAGCAATCAGTGAAATAGAAAACAAAAACACAATAAAAATACAATGAAATCAAATGCTCCTTCTTTGCAAACATCTATAAAATTGATAAATCTGTAGCCAGATTGATTAGAAAGCAAAGCAAGAAAACAGAAATTGCCCATATATGGAATAATATAAAGATTCTACAGATATTAAAAAGATAATAAGAAAATATTATGAACAAATTTTTATAAATAATTTGATAGCTTAGATACCTATGAAAGACATAAACTACTGAAGTTTGTTTAAAAAGATATAGTTAATATATCTGATATAAATAGCTCTGTTAAAGGAGCTGAATAGGTAGTTAAAAACCATTTTACAAAGATAATTCCAGGTCCAGATGACTTCACTGGTGAATTCTTGGCCTCTTCTAGAAAATTGAAGAAAAGAAAATACGAGAGAAAAACTGATTTTTGACAGAGGTGCAAAGGTGATTCAGAGGAGAAAAGTTAGTATTTTCAACAGATGGTGCTAGGAAACTGCAAACCTGAATGCAAAAAAAAAAAAAAAAAATCAATAACCTAAATGTAAAACTATGAAACTTCTAGAAGAATTAACAGAAATAAAGCTTTGTCAATGTGGGTAAGGTAAACATTTCTTAGATGTGGTCAAAATCACGACCAAAATCATCGTTCATAAAATAATAATTTTATAGTTTGGACTTCATAAAATTAAAAACTGCTTTTTGAACAACATTGTTAAAAGAATAAAAGAGCAAGCACAGATTGGGAGAAAAAATTTGGAAATATTCATATACCTGATAAAGGATTTGTTTCAGAATATATAAAGAAGGTTCAAAGCTTAATAATTAATAATAAGCAAATAAAAACTCTCTATAAAATGGACAAAGATTTTAACGTCCCCTTTACCTAATAAGATATACAATGGGAAATAGGCACAGGAAAAGATGCTTAGCATCATTAGTCACTAGGTAAATGCAATTTAAACCAAAATGAAATACCATTAAACATTTATTAGAATGGCTGAAATGAGAAACACTGACTATACTAAGTGTTAATGAGAATGTAGAGAAAGTAGACTTTCACACCCTGCTAGTGGGGATGTAAAATGGCACAATCAATTTTTTGGAAAAGAGCTTGGCATATACCTACATACGATTCAATCGTTCTACTCTAGACATTGACCTGCCTTCCCACAAAAAAAGCATATGTCCATACAGATACTTGTAGATATTCAGCACAGCTTTATCTGTAATAGCCAAAATCTGGAAAGAATCCAAAATTCCACAGAGGAATGGATAAATGATTTGTAGTATATCTATGCCATGGAATACTACTCAGGAATAAAGAAGGGATGATCTACTGTTATATACAACAAAATAGATGATACAGAAAACAATTGTACTGAGGGAAGGAAGCCGGACTAAAACAAAAAAAGAGTACATATTGTGTGATTTTATTTATAGAAAATTCTAGAAACTGTAAACTAATCTATTGTAGTGAAAAGCAAGTCAATGTTTACCTGGGGAAGATGAGGCAGAAACTTGAGGGAAAGATAATAATGGGGCACGAGGAAACTTTTGGGGGCAAAGGATATGTTCATTATTTTGATTGAAGTGACAGTTTTAAGGATGTATCCATAAGTCAAAATCTTTCTGATGGTACACTTTTAGGTATGCGTTCTTTTTTATGTCAAAGTCAGTTATACTTCAATATGAAATAATAAAAAGAATTATGTTTATTTTGATTTGAGTAATTGCTTTAGGTATTTATTTTATCAGTCAGTAATTGTTATTTGCATCTGATGTTGTGCGGAGTCTAATAGTGCAAAGTACTATCTTATAATTTTATTTAAATCCATTTTAAATAAGTAACACTTCACTAAAATATAAAATGTCTCTATAATAGACAATTTTGAAGACTTTAATGATCTGATATAATGAAGAAAATGATGTGAGGACATGCTTAACTTTTAGATGTCTCTTTGCTGTTTGTACTTTAAATTGACATTTATTTCTTTTGGGATCTAAAAACATTTTGAATGTGAATATGTCCTGGACAAGTGCTTGAAAGTCATTAAGGTCATGCATGTATTATACAGTTATGACTAGAATATTCTTGTGCTTGGTGAATGTATATTATGTAGGAGGGGGAAAATATCTCAAGGTTCCTATTTGGCAAATATGAAGAATGGAGTGACTCTTCAAAATATCTGATGCCTGTAGTCCCAGCTACTCAGGAGGCTGAAGCAGTAGGATTGCTTATGCCCAGGAGTTCAAGGATGCAGGGAGCCATGATGGAGCCATTGCAGTCCAGCCTGGGGGACAGAGCAAGACTCTGTCTATATGTATCCAGATGGATATCTGGAGGATGGTGGGGTATTTCTCATGAGGTGTGATTACAAACAGACGCATCTAGGTCAATCTCTTCAGCTCTGCACATAACAAGGGTGAGGCACTGACCAGCCTGCTGCTGTCTCTCACTTCTGACATGAAGAAAATCAAAATCCTCAGTGCCAGGCTAAGGCAGCTAGGTTAGTATGATGGGTCTTTCTTGACTATTCTTGACATACCAGTTTAGGTTCTTCTATTCCAGTCCACCTTGATGGTTGGGTAAAATATGATTTTCTTCTGTCATATTTAACTTTACTTGGATCAAGCATATACATAAAAGTTACATAAAGTGTGAATCCTATTTTGAGAAACTGGGCTGTCAACCTCTGTTAGATTGAGTGAATGCCCACAATTTGTTAGGCACATGTGGAAACAAAAATCTTTTAAGATTTGTACTTGTAGAAATGTCTGAGGCATATTTTTCTGAATATGTTATTATTCTCTTCTTGATAAAGTACTGATGGTGACAATAGCATTTCTGTGTGTGGATGAGGCTAAAAAGAAAAAGTACAACTGTCATCTCTACATCATGTACAGTTGATATTTGCCATTTGCTTTATTCTAGTAGCTGCAATTTTAGTATCTTGTTACCATTTACTCTGAGCTGTGGCTGAAGAAATTTCTTTTTTTCTTTTTTTTTTTTTTTGAGACAGAGTCTCACTCTGTCACCCAGGCTGGAGTGCAGTGGTGTGATCTTGGCTCACTGCAACCTGCACCTCCCAGGTTCAAGCAATTCTCCTGCCTCAGCCTCCCGAGTGAGTAGCTGGGATTACAGGCGCCTGCCACCATGCCCCGCTAATTTTTGTATTTTTAGTAGAGGTGGGGTTTCACCATGTTGGCCAGGCTGGTCTCAAACTCCTGACCTCAGGTGATCCACCCGCCTCGGCCTCCCAAAGTGCTGGGATTACAGGCGTGAGCCACTGCACCTGGCCCAAGAATTTTCTTTATAGTTGGAGGTCATTTTGATTTGTCTATCACTGTTTTCCACAATCACATCAAGTTATTTGAAAATGTTAATCAGTCACTCATAGAAAGCCTTTCTTCAATCTCTCTTGTTTGCAATGACCTCACTTGGGATTACTTACACAATAACTGTCACACTACCCTGCTGTTCATTTTCTTTGAAATTCTCAATAACATCTTGAGGAGCTGTGTGGCGTGATCTGAACTCTTCACTGCTGAAATGGGCTAGTTTCCAGACATCCATTACAGCTCATCTTTCCACAGAAAGTGGTATTAAGAGAATGCTAATGATCCTGAAATTGTTATCTGTTGTAGGTCCAGGTCTCACAGCTGAATAAAAGGCAAGTGATGCTGGTGATTTATAAACTAAATTAGTTCTGTAACTTCTTGTTGGGGCTATGCTGTTAGATTTCCAAAGGACATGCTAAATTTATTATTTCAACATGAACTCATAGTCACATTTAACTTTTCTTTTATTCAACAAATATTTCTTTCTTTCTTTCTTTTGTTTTTTTTTTGTTTTTTTGAGATGGAGTTTCACTTTTGTTGCCCATGCTGGAGTGCAATGGTGTGATCTCAGCTCACTGCAACCTCTGTCTCCCAGGTTCAAGCAATTCTCCTGCCTCAGCCTTCCAGGTAGCTGGGATTACAGGCACGCACTGCCATACTTGGCTAATTTTTGTATTTTTAGTAGAGACGGGGTTTCACCATGTTGGTCAGGCGTGTCTCGATCTCCTGACCTCAGGTGATCTGCCTGCCTTGGCCTCCCAAAATGCTGGGATTACAGGCGTGAGCCACCATGCCTGGCCTCAACAAATATTTCTTAATTGATAGTTTGGGTCAGGTACTAGGGCTTCAGTGAAGAATAAGGCAAAACTTTCATTTATCATAGGAAGATCATCTAGTAATCCTTTAATCTGGAAAATATCTTGCACAGTTTATCTTATAGGTTAAACTGTGTCTCCCCACACACAAAAAAATATATGTTGGGGTCCCAACCCACAGTATCTCAGAATGGGACCTTATTTGAAAATAGGGTCACTGCATTATAATTTTGCTTGATAAAATATTCTTGGAGTCTAATTTGTTCTTTGAGCACTTTGAAAATGTCATTCCACTCCCTCCTGGCCTGTATGGTTTCTGTTGAGAAGTCTGTTGTCAGATTAATTGGAGTTCTCTCACATGTTACTTGCTTCTTAGCTCTTGCTGTTTTTTAGGATCTTCTCTTTGCCCTTGACTTTTGAGTGTTTGATTATTATGTGCTTGGGAATAGTCTTATTTGGGTTGAATCTGTTAGGTGTTCTAAGACCTTTTGGTACCTGGATGTTTGTGTCTTTCTCAAGTTTGAGAAGTTTTCTGTTATTATTTCTTTGCAAATGTAATTAGTTAAGATGAGATCATACTGGAGTAGGGTGGACCCTAATAAAATATGACTGTTGCAGTTATAAAAAAGATGACTGTATGAAAACATAGAGACACGGAGAGAACACATAGTGATGACAATGGCAGAGATTGGAATTACGCAGCTACAAGCCAAGGAATGCAAAAGATTGCCAGAAAACCACCAGAAGTTAGGAGGAGGCAAGGAAGGATTCCCTACAAGTTTCAGAGGGATCATAGCTTGGCCAATAGCTTGGTTTTTTATGTTAGCCTCCAGAACTGTGAGACAATATATTTCTGTTAAGTCATCCACTCTGCGGTATTTTGTTATGGCAGTCTTAGGAAATTGATACAACGTGTGTTTAATATTTTTATTAGATTGAATTTTTGCCCCCTTGGATCATTGTTAATCTGTAGTTTCCAGTCATCTTTGGTTACTTACTTACTTCTTTGAGAATTTGATAAAATAAATGTAGCTTCAAAAGAGAAAGTCAGTGCTAAATTTCTAACCTCTTGAAGTTAGAAAGGATTTCCCAACGTCTCTGATTCAACCTTCTATTTAATGTGGTAGTTTCCCTCCATAACATAAATGCTATGTTGTGTTCCCAGCCAGAGTACTTATAAAAATGGGTCATCATTACCTTACAGAGTGGTACATTACATTTAAATCTTAAAAGTTGTGATAAATATACATAGCATAAAATATATCATCTTAGTTATTTTTAAGTGTAAATTTCAGTAGCGTTAAGTATATTTGCATTGTTGTGCAATCTCCAGAAATTTTTCCTCTTCCAAAACTGAAACTCTAAACCTATTAAACAACAACTCCCATTTCCTATCTGAAAGCTCTGTTAGAAAGTTCTTTTTTCTAGTGGACCTAAATTATCTTCTAGCTACTGAACTGAGATCATTCTAATTCTGCCTATTGGAGTTGATCCAATTGGCATAAAGCCCATTCTGCAAAAACAAACAAACAAACAAACAAAAAACCCTGTAAACTATTGTTGTTGTTGTTGTTTTCTTGTTTGCCTTCCAGAGATGCACAGTGTATAATATCTTCGTGTTTAACCCAGCAGCAATTCCTTCTGCCTTGTGTCTAATATTCTTTGGATTTTTAGTTCCTTTTTAATTTTATCCAGCTCCACAATAATTACTTGGGTGTATTTAACTCTTTTCTCATCCTGTCCTTTGGTTTTCATAAACCTCTTTCAACTTGTCCAAGTTATACCATAGAGGAACATTCTGAAGACCTTCAGGATGTACCTGTAATGTTTCTAATTTGGGATTGAAAGGGAGTGAGCAATCATTATTTTATGTCCCTATGCCTCTGTAAACTAAACTATACAGAGTGCTGCTATGCAATAAAGTCCTTTTAACAAAACTGCAAATCTTTAAAAGAGCTCTAAACTAAAATATTTAAAGTGTTATCAACCTAAACTGTGCAAGTACATAAAGATAATTCTTAAATAGTTGCTAGCTGGATACTGAATTATCAGAAATATTGATCATCAAAAGATAAAAGTCTTCATATATAAACAAATTTAAAAGTCACTTGTTAGTACTGCCCATTTTTTTTTTTTCTCAACACAGAGTCTTGCTCTGTCACCCAGGCTGGAGTGCAGTGGTGCGATCTCGGCTCACTGCAACCTCCGCTTTCCGGGTTCAAGCAATTCTCCTGCCTCAGCCTCCTGAGTAGCTGGGATTACAGGCGCCCGCCACTACACCTGGCTAATTTTTGTATTTACAGTAGAGACGGAGTTTCACCATGTTGGCCAGGCTGGTCTCGAACTCCTGACCTCGTGATCCACCCACCTTGGTCTCCCAAAGTGCTGGGATTGCAGGCGTGAGCCACTGCGCCCGGCCAAGCACTGCCCATTTTAACTACTTGTGACATTGGGAGAGTCACGTAAACTCCTTGAGTGTCTGGTTCCCTCTTCATAATTTAGGAGATTTAAACTAATAACCCAATATATATTTCACCCTCAAATAATCAGATACCTGGATTATTTTCAATGGTATATAATATTGTGAATAAGTAGAAAGTAAGGAAATGATTATATAACTATGAAATATTTACCATTACTAAGTGAAGCCAGTTAAACTAAGTTTCTAATAAACCTTCTAATAGGTCATTGCTTCATTAGTTTGAATATTTATTTATGAAAAAATTCACTGAGGCATGAAGCACAATGTGGGCGAGACCAACAACAAGAATTCTGCCTTTTCGGCCGGGCGCAATGGCTCACGCCTGTAATCCCAGCATTTTGGGAGGCTGAGACAGGCGGATCACCTGAGGTCAGGAGTTCAAGACCAGCCTCAACATGGAGAAACCCCGTCTCTGCTAAAAATACAAAATTAGCCGGGCGTGGTGGTGGAGGCCTGTAATCCCAGCTACTTGGGAGGCTGAGGCAGGAGAATTGCTTGACCCTGGGAGGCAGAGGTTGCGGTGAGCCGAGATCGCGCCATTGTACTCCATCCTGGGCAACAAGAGCGAAACTCCATCTCAAAAAAAAAAAAAAAAAAGAATTCTGCCTTTTCATCTTAACCTTGTGTGGACTTTACAATTGTCACTTGTATAGAACCATCAGGCTATGCCTTTAGGAGAACTGTACTATTACATTGGACTAAACTCGGAATCATGTCGAGGTCTCTAGTATTCATGTCCTTAATAGAATTACCTTCTTTCTCTGGCTTCCTATTCCACTTCGTTCCCTTCTTATAGAATTTACTGCCTTTCTTTGCCTTGTGTTATGCACAGATTTTGCAAGTGCCAAACTCCTTACTAGATTAGGGGATGCAAACTCTGCTTTTATTATTTTTATATTGTCCACTGCCCTTAAAACTGACTTGGCAGATAGTCACTTTGTACACAGTTGTTGAATTAAATCCATTTGCTTTTACTTATGTCTCCCAGATTAGAATGACAATTTTTGGACATGTACGAGATTCCTGATTTGTGAGATCAAACCAAATGCAGAATGGCATTTTCAATAGCCAAAGTGTTCAGGCAAAGGTGGCTGTGATGACTAGGATGGCCTGTGGCTGCCCTCTAATCAAGGGCTTCAGTTGAGAGGTTACCACTGCTTGTGGCCTTGAGCTTGACAACACCAAGGCTTTTCAAAGTTTATCTTTTTCACTGTGTTTTTCTTATAATAAGATACTATCCCAAACTTTTAATATTATTTTATGAGGTTATCAAGTTTTGGCATCTTAGTTGTGGAATGATTTTAACTTAATTTAAGAATTTAGATATGTCTGCATCTTTTTAGTAGGGATGTAGGGGAAGGTATAAGGCAATATTGTTCAATAGTTTTAAGTCAGAAAATGAACGAAAACAAAATGTATCACTGAAATTATAGGCCAATCTAGGGAATTACCCTACTAGAAATCTGGCCTAGATCCTAAATTAAACTCCAATTAACAGATCTGCTGGTTCTTGGTTTTATGGTTTGACTGAAGAATAAGGTGATAATTTGCATGTGCTATTAAACTGAAAGAATGGCCAGACAATTAGAATGAAGAATTAGAATGTCTGAGCAGTTGCCACTACTTCTCAGAATGCACCCACGCTGAGTACCAAGCCAAGTGCCTGCAAATTACTGTCACTACAATTGAAAGCACAATTAAATTGCCTTTGAGTACTAAGAAAACCTTGAACTGCTGTGTGTTCTCCAAATCAATAAATGGCAGAAATCCTCTTGACTATTTTCACTGTCTGAAAAAGAGGAATAAATCAGAGCTACAATTATTGAGATAAAAGGTAACTCTTAACAGCTGAACTGGGTTTAAGGAAAGCACAAAGGAATCAGAGGTGCAAATTAAATTTCCATAATGATAAAAAATTTGCATGATATCAAACAGTGAGATACCCTATTAGCTGATAAATAACCTCATTGCTCTGTACCTTAGTGTACCTTTCTCACATTTTATGATAATTATTTCTTGCCTGGGGACATTTGTTAAGAAAAACATTCAACACTCTCCAACAGAAAGGTCACAGATACACTTTTCTAATTAAATTTTAGGATGAATCAAATACATTCTTTGATTTGTGCTGTTTCTATAGAATTTTGATGATATGATTTGAAGTTGGTTTGTGGCAATTACAAGAATGCTAAAAAAGTCAAATAAAGAGAAAGAGAATAATTGTATAATTAGTATATTTTGATGCAGCTTTTATGGATGCATTATTAATGAAAACATGCATAAGTAGTTCTTTTTGGAAACTTTGATATATGCAAATATTAAAAATTAATAGTTCTTGGACAAGAAGACCAAAGTGCTCATTAAGCAATCTTTCTAGTTCTTCTTTTCTCTTTGTGCCATGTCATTTCTTTTCTGTCCATTTTATTCCTTAGAAAGGATAAATGCTAAATATTAAAGATATTTTCCAAAGCAAAGATGAGAATTCAGGGGAAGGGATTCGTTTCTATCCTTCAATTTGTTCATCAAATATTTTAAAGAAAGATCAATTTTACATTTAGTTTAAGATAGTTAATAGGGTCATCTTGCTTAATGAAAGAGACAAGGTACAACGTGATGCCCCAAACTATATCCTATGTTAGAATAATAAAAGCCATAATAAAACATTGTTCAAAGAACAATAATAATCACTATTGTTAAAATAATAGTTAACTTTTACTGGGAATGCATGTGTCAGACACTACGCATAGATTGAAATATATATTTATCTTAATAATAGCTTTTTGAGCTCCTATTATTATATCTGTTTTATAAATGATCAGACAAGGGTACTGTGTGTGTATGTATGCATGCATATAGGTGCATGCATAGGATCAGGCTATTATTTTGATCACGTCTTTGCATGTCCCCCAGCCTACAGAAAAAATGCAGCTGAGTAAGGTGATGATTCCTACCTCCACTGATTTGGAAAGATTGTTTAACAAACTCTTATGTGAATAATTCAGATTTCAAGATATATGTAAGTGTGATTATTTTATTGGGGTTACACATACACATACATACACACACAAACCTATATGCACTGTAACCCAATTTAGATTCCCTTAGGTGAGAGAAGTAACATAAATGTATTCTGCGTGTTTGGATTTCCCTGTATAAGATATATGATATTATTCTAATCTAATTCCGGTTATTAGAAAACCTTGAAACACCAAAACATGCTTAATATATTACCGGTTTACCACCAGATACTAATATTTGCTTGCATAATATTCAGATAAAATTTGATATCTTCTAGAGCTAACAATGACATGGCAGCTTTGACTCATGCCATGAAACGGTTCTGATGAAGCACTATCATGAGTTTCTTCCACGACATCTAATAATCAATTTTATAGGCGGGGCTCAAGATAAACCTCCCAATATTCTATTTTACACAAAAGGGAGCTGTATTGAGGTAAGATCGCAAAGTATTTATACAAATAGCAGGTTCTTTAGGATGAGGACTTATTTTAGAAGTCTTTGGAATGCCTTAATGCAGGATAGACCAACCATCTCATCAGTGAACTTAGATTTAGAAGTGAGACAGATGCAAGTTGAAGTTGACTCCTAGTGAGGAACAAAGAATTTGGGCTATAAATGATCAAATCTCCACGGCTTAGACAATATGTGACTGCAGTGGGAAAAAGGATGGACATACAGTGCAAACAAAAGAAAAAAAGTACAGAAGAAGTCAAGCTTTCGAAAAGTAGAGCTAAATTAGAAATTTTAAGAAGACAAGGATGCAGTAAATTATGTAACAAAAACTGCAATTAAATGTAATTTATAGTGACATAAAACTAGCTTTCCGCTTAGCAAAGACCAGCTGTACAAAATATCTCATAAAGCCCAAGGTAGTGCTGATGCTTTGTGATGCATTCTAATTGTCTTCTGAATCCTTCTTTGGGTGCTTTAATTAACCTTTGTAACCTAATCCTCAGCCTAATCCTTAACCATAGCTGAGCTGCTACAGAATTATGGTCCTGTTCAGCAGTGGGTCACCAAATTGAATGATGTGAGTTTGCTAATTCCAGGCTTTTTCTCCTTCCAGAGACTGTGGAGCGAATGAATCATGAAGAAATTTGGTGATTCTGAAATGTTGCAAATTTTCAGTAACTCTTAGTTCTCTTCTTGAATAATTTCCCTTTCCCCAGATAATGCATATTATTTATAAATACCTACCAGGAAAGTCAGTCTTAATAAGTTTATTATATATTAATTACAAACTCTTTTTAGAAAGGTTCTAGTGGAATATTTGGAGGCATTTTAGGATGACATGAGACAATGCTGTATGAATGCTCATCCTTACTGTTGGAGCTGTTCAAGCCTTCATAGATTTGTCCCTGCTTCATGGCACATGCAGTGCATGAGGAAACAGTCAGAACTAATCAGAGTAAATCACTAATCTCTAGGTGGCATGGGCATTTTGGAGAGCCAAATTCATAAACAACTGGAATAAGACTTTAATTGGAATAAGACTTTAAATTACTTTCAGAGGATAATATTACATATATTATAAAAACAGGTAAGAAAACTAGCATATTTATCAATTTCCATTTCATTTTTCCTCCTGAATGTACTTTTGAACATCAGATAGCATTGAAAATTTATTTCCATTATATCTTGGTATTGGTAACTTCATGATAGAAATATGAAAAACCTGGTGATGTATATAATTGATATCTTGTTAAGTAAAAGGAGAGTCACGTGTGTCTGATTTTGGCTAGTACATGCTTAATACATGGCTAGAGTCAACTTCCCAGTTTCTGCCTGTGACTAAACTGTGTCCCACTGCCAGGTATCATCCTTCATGTTCTTTCCCTGTCTGCCAGCTTGATGTTCACATCCAGTTGAAGGTGTAGAGTTAGGTACAGAGTATCTGTCATTATGGGTTCCAAAATTATTAAGCAGAGCAAAACTCTACTACCTGAAATGACACTGGAGTGTTAATGTGAGTTAGGAATAAATTATTGTATATTAAACTACTGAAGTGAAGTTTTGTAAAGCAGCCAGTGTTACCTTAACTAACATGGAAGGTGATATAAGCATGATAAAGTACAATTAAATTTTAAAATAAACAGGGGAGGAATGTAAGAATATGTTTTTAAAAGTAATGAAAACATTAAGAAATAAATACATAGAGCAAACAATAATGTTAAATAAAGAATTAATGTCCAGGTGTGGTGGTTCATGCCTGTAATCCCAGCACTTTGGGAGGCCGAGGCTGGTGGGTCACTTGAGGTCAGGAGTTCGAGACTAGCCTGGCCAACATGGCAAAACCCCGTCTCTACTAAAAATACAAAAATTAGGCCAGCATGGTGGCACGTGCCTATAACCCCACTTACTTGGGAGGCTGAGGAAGGAGAACTGCATGAACCCGGGAGGCAGAGGTTGTAATGACCTGAGATCAGGCCACTGCACTTCAACCTGGGTGACAGGGTAAGACTCCGTTTAAAAAAAAAAAAAAAAAAAACATAAAATAGATGGAGGAAATAAAATGAAGTACATTGCAAATATGAAAGGACTGATGATTTTCAATAAAAGGCAGGCTGCTATATAGCATTGAAACAAAACCTAGCTGTATGCTATTTACAATAAATCAAGTACAAAAATTTTGAAGAAAGATTAACAATAAAGAAGCCCTGACAGACACACAGTAGTGGAAACAGGGGTGGCAGTATTAATGACAAGATTAAATTTAAGATTAAGAGCAGTAAACAAGATGAAAAAGAACAATGAATGACACCAAAAAACATTTTATTTTGTTGTATTTTTTTGACAGAGTCTTGCTCTGTTGTCCAGGCTGGAGTGCAATGGCACGATCTGGGCTCACTGCAACCTCTGCCTCCCGGGTTCAAGCAATTCTCCTGCCTCAGCCTCCCAAGTAGCTGGGATTACAGGCATCTGCTACCATGCCCAGCTAATTTTTTGTATTTTTAGTAGAAACGGGCTTTCAGTATGTTGGCTTGGCTGGTTTCAAACTCCTGACATTAGGTGATCCACCCGCCTCGGCCTCCCAAAGTGCTGGGATTACAGGCATGAGTCACCATGCCTGGCCCCAAAAAACATATTTTAAAACAAGATGCAATAGTAATAAATTAGCATGAAATGTACTTGGCTATGAAGAAAACCTTTCCATTTTTTTTAAATGGGCAATTTTACCATTTTATTCTCTACTCATAAGTCAGTATAATTGAAATAATTAATTATAAATTGATCGAAATACTTTAACTACTTAAAGTTAGAAAACACAGGCCTAAATAACCCTTGTAGCAATGAGGAAACTCAAAAAAGAAACTGTGAACCATGCAAAAAACAATAAAAAGGAAACTACTTCATATATGTGGAATCTAGAGCAAGCTGAATGCAAAGGGTACTCTGTAGCCAAAAGGCTTATTAGAGAAGAGAGAAAACAAATAGAGAAATCAATGACTCATCTTAAGAATTAAAAATAAGAAATGCACTGACTAGGAATTGAAATCATATTATGTAAATTCCATGACTATAGAGATTTAGTCCATTTCTTTAGATTTGTAATCTCAGCTCTTAGAATAGTGCCCAGTTTATAAGAGGCCTTTAGGAAACACGTGTTGAACAAGTAAACTATAGGAATCTCAATAATAAATACAGCTGCAAGTCACTGAGCATTTACCATGGACTAGTCACTGTGCTTAACATGAATTATTTCATTCACTCAGCAATCCTATAAAGGTATCACATTTTTATATCTGAGAAAATGGAAGCTTAAAGAGATTAAATGAAAATTGCCTATTTTAGGCAAGCTAGCAAGTGTCAGGGCTGGGATTGGAACCCATGGGAACTCAAGTATGTTTTACTTTAAAAAAATCATAAACAAAATAACTGTTTTACTTAGAAATAACAGAACTTGAATAACCTTGCAAAGAGAGAATTACATTTTTCTTACAACTGGGGAAAATCAAATTTTAACATGTCCAGCCACATGCAATTATGAAGCTACAAAAGTCCAGGTGTCTCGTCAAGACAGGTTGAGCTTAGCTATATGCTGAATTATTATACAATCCCTCTGTGAGGAGCAGTGGGTTAATTAACAAACTCATTCGGTAGACTATATTAGTTTCCTGTGGCTGCTATAACAAACTTGCTGCAAACTCGTGGCTTAAAACAACAGAGATGTATTCTCACAGTTCTGAATGCCAGAAGTTGGAAATCATATTTGGCAGGGGTTCTTTCAGTCCAAAGGCTCTAGGGGAGACTCCATTTCCACGTTGCCTTCCCCTGTTCCCTTGTGTGTGTGTGTGTGTATTAGCTCCTTTTGTTTCTCTGTTTTTTTAATTTTTATTTTTATTTATCTTTTTAAATTTTGAGACGGAGTTTCGTTCTTGTTGCCCAGGCTGGAGTTCAATGGCATGATCGTGGCTCACTGCAACCTCCACCACCTGGGTTCAAGCGATGCTCTTGTCTCAGCCTCCTGAGTAGCTGGGACTACAGGCACCGGCCACCATGCCCAGCTAATTTTTTGTATTTTTAGTAAAGACGGGTTTCACCATGTTGGCCAGGCTGGTCTTGAACTCCTGACCTCAGGTGATCCACCCGCCTCAGCCTCCCAAAGTGCTGGGATTACAGGCATGAGCCACAGTGCCCAGACTGCTTCTCTTTTGTTAAAAGATTTGTTATGGCATTTAGGGCCACCCTGGATAACCCAAGGCAATCTCCTCATCTCAAGATCTTTAACTTAATTACATTTGCAAAGACCCTTTATCCAAATAAGGCAACATTTACAGGTTCTAGGGACTAGAATCTGATATTTTTGGTTGACTATTATTCAATTTACTGCGAGACCTACCAGGAGAGAGCTACAGGCTTTGTGGAGGAAGCAGGAGCATATCAATTTGAATAGTGCAGATAAAACCTGAGAAAATAGGGGAATCATTTGGACTCAGGTTTGTATGGGATTTTTGATAGAAAAGTTGAGCAAGGATCTGGTGTTAGCAATGGCTAAAATAAATTTTGGGACAATGAGGAGGTCTTTCGGGTAGAATCTGGTAAGTATTACTTAGGAAAGTCAATATTCATATATTGTTAAATGATTATTATCAAATAATTATTTTTTAAAAACTGGCTGTGCATAAATTGCCAAATGCAGGGCTTCATTCTCCAATAAAACTCCATTCTCTGGCAGATGTGAAAGTAGCAGTTCAGAAATTCCAAATGTTCCTCCATACGCACATTGAGAAAGCCATTTGTCTCTCTGTATTAGAACTCAAAACACGTATTATTAACAAGGGGTCTCTAAGATCCCCAAGAGTGGAATGTGATCCAAAGTTACAGAATACCTTTAGGAAAATTGAAATAACATCTAGGGATTTGAGAACTAGGGCGTCTGTTCTTGAAAGATTATCAATCTTCACTGATGCTGCTTTATTCTAAATATAAATCCTCATTTACCCAAGTTCTTTGCTCAATGATTTCAGCTCAGTCCTATGTGTCACAGCAGCTGAGCACTTGGGGCTTAGGGTGACTCGGGTAACTTTATTTTTGCAGAAGGTGTATTTACTCTGCTGGGGGATATCATCATTTTTCTTCATTCTCCCTGACATTTTGTCCATTATATTCTGAGTTTGCCTATAGGATAGAAATAAATGGCTCAGTCTTCTTTAAAAGCAAAGTACGAATTGAATAAATTTAGAAGCTGCTTGGTGCTCCAGATGCTGATCGAAGAGTGTCTTGCTTCAACTTATTCAGTCTCCCTTTATTCCTAAAGGAGACTGTCTATTTATTTTGGTTTATGGAAAGAGCTCTTGGCATCATGGATAGAGCCAGCATTATTATGAGTAATAGTTGGGCATAACTAAAGCCGAGTAAAGACAGTATTGAAAATCTGATTTAAAATTTCTGTTTTATAAGGTAAAAACAAAAGCCCTATATCAGGAAAATTATATTTGTAACTGAGCACTTTAATGTTTAAAAAACCTACTCTTGTAGGTGCATTTCTGAGTGTAGTCTCAGTGTAGAGTGGTCTTCAGCATTTTCCTGTTTTGCTTCACGGGGGAATCATAATTCTCAGGAAAATGGTTCTCAGCCACCAGTCAAGATGGAGGGTTATTTCACAGCAGCAATTTCACAGGGAAAACCTTTTGGTCTACAAGGATCAGAGTACTCTTACAGGAAGTGGAATTCAAGAGTACTCTTCAAAGCACCTTCTAGTCTTTCTTATCCCTCCTTAGCTTCTGAAGAATGTTAAGGACCCTGCTGCTTCTTTGAATTTTCCCAAGGTGTGCTTCTCACCTTGAGGCTTGGGTCTCACCTGGGTTCCATCAATCAGGTAGTAAAGAAGTTGATCAGAAAGAGAAAACTTATATCGCAGCTCCCCTCTGACTCTAATTTATGTACTTGGACATTTCCTGCTGTCCTGGCCTACTACCTAACAGCCATAGGCATGATCTGAAAATTAAAAAAAAAACTAAATAAAATGAATAAAATTAGATAGCTGCAGATTTGGGTGAAAGAAATTTTGTAATATTAACAATACCTCAACATAAACACATTCAATTAGGGTTTTATAAGTCAATTCCAGATTTCCATCTGTGTGGTAGGCCAAATTCTAAAATAGCTCACAAGATTGCTGGCCTCTGGAGTTCACACACCTTCTTCCAGTTAATCAATCAAGCACTCATCTAGGTGCTGCTGTGAATGGGTTTTGAAGATATAATTAAGGTTTACTTTAAGGAAGGGAGACCATCTGGGGGAATTTCACTTAATTACACGAGCCCTTTAAATCTGAGCCTGAAGGTCAGAGACAGAGAAGTCATGGAGATTTGAAGCTAGGGAGGGATTTGATGTGAGGGAGATTTTTCACAGATTGCATTGAGGATAGAAGGGTCCATGCAGCCAAGAATGTAGGCAGTGTCTAGGTGTGAGAGCAATTCCTGGCTAACAGCCAGCCAGGAGAAAGGGCCTCAATCCTATAGCACAAGGAACTGAGTTCTGCCAATGACCTCAGTGAGCTTGGCAGCAGATTTTTCTCGAGCCTCCAGGCAAGAAGTCAGCCTTGAAGACACCTTAATTTTAGTCTTCCGACACCTTGAGCAGAGAATTCAACGTCGTCACTTCTGACTCACAGAAGTGTGAACTAATTGGTGTTATTTTAAGCTCCCTAAATTCATGGTAACTTCCTATACAACAATGGATAACAAACACATTTTCTTTTTCTCTGGAGTTGCATGTAAGTTCTAATAGGCTAATGTAGCATTAAGGTGTCAGGAGGGGAGGGAATTCAGAAGATGATACAAGGTACTCAGAGGCAGGCAGTCCAAGTTGCAAACCCACTGCTGCATCGGCTACTCCCCCATCTCTCTCTGGTCAGTAGGCTTTCCACACTGGCCTCTGTTGTATATTCTCCCTATTTTCCAGTTATATTGGTTCATGCTGGTATCTGCTACTGTGTTCCTCTGTCCTCACCACCTCCCTCTTTAGGATGATCCCTTGGGCACCTTCTCTGTGAGGCTGCCTTCAGGAGCAAATTCCTGGAATCCTTATGCAGGCATTTCCAAACCATTGTTCCTCATCATTCTGGACGTAGAATTTTTCTATAAGGATGGAAAAATTCCCAGAGCTTTCTTGGGGAAAAAAATTGTTCTCTGTGCTCTCAAAACTCCAGACTTCTTTGGGGTTCTCTCATTTTTAGCTCTACATTTCTCTAACCTACTATACTAGATGTTTGAGTTTGGAGAGGGGCAGGGTATAGATTTCCTCCTTTAGAGATTGACATCAACACCTAGTTTTGTGGCTTCCCTCCTCAACACTTTGCAGGAAAACTTTATATCCCTTGAAAAGAAACATATGTGTATAACAATCATATGGTTAGGCTCTGTGTCCCCACCAAAATCTCATCTTGAATTATAATCCTAACAATTCCCGTTTGTCAAGAAAGAGACCAGGTGGAGGTAGTTGAATCATGGGGGTGGTTTCGCTCATGCTGTTCTCGTGATAGTGAGTGAATTCTCATGAGATCTGATGGTTTTATAAGGGGCTCTTTCCCCTTCACTTAGCACTTCTTCTTGCTGCCTTGTGAAGAAAGTACCCTGCTTTCTCTTTCTGCCATGATTGTAAGTTTCCTGAGGCCTCCCCAGTCATGCTGAACTGTGAGCCAATTAAGCCTCTTTCCTTTATAAATTATCCAGTCTCAGGCAGTTCTTTATAGCAGTATGAAAACGGACTAATAAAGCAAGTATTCTTTTAGTTATATTTGGCTCATACCTAGGCTTTGGCATATTAAATTGAGACCCAATTATTTGACTCTTCATCTCTGGTTTTGCTGTGACAACTCTACTAAGGTAATGAGTGCTGCATAAGGGTGATGGGATATAGAAGAACTATAGGGAAGAGAGAAACAAATCAACTAATGCTTCAGATATTTCCTCACCACCCACAAGTTTTTAGAGTAACTTAAGGTGGAGCTATTTAAAGAGGACGTGATTGTCTAGTTCTCAATTAAAATTAAGAATAATGACTGAGGAACCAGAAGTATTCTCTCTGGAATAGGGCATCTAAAATAAAATTGTTTTAGAAAGGTAAAGAATGAGTTTAATTAGCATACTGTTACATATTTTTCATATTTGATTAATATTTTCAAATATGTAATTTGAAAATAAAATATTTTAAGATTTTTTCAGATAGCAATCCAACATTTAATTTTTGAAAGTACAATTAATAAAAATATAGGTTTGGAAAATTCTGAGGAAATTGGACTGAATGTTCTGATTTTTGGTATATTGGGTTCTATATTCTGATTTTTGGTATATTGGGTTCTATATTTTTGTCTAACCTCAAAGAATATTTTTATTAAATAGTATTGTTTAACAAGGTAATTCAAGGATTTGTAGAACAATAAAATACTAGGACTCTCAGGGGACTTAAGAGTAGTTTTAATTTTCAACTCTCAATGACAGACTGTGTATACCTAACAGCCTTGTTTATAAAAGACGTTTATTTATTAAATTCCAGCCTGTGTTGTAAGTCAGTGGGACTTTATGTTTAGGTCAAAGACTTATAATTTATTTATAAAAAAATTATAAAACTAAATGTTTTAGATTTGAATCTTAAACATTTGTCTTTAGGACAGTAAACTAGTTTAACATATTACTCTGATGAAAAACCTTTTTACATTTCTAATTTGAAAATTCGCTTTATGTTAATGTAATGTTTCCAAGAAAATTGATGTAGGGAAGGGATCATGATGATACTGTGGTCAGAAACACAGGTGTTTTTAACTATTGCAAAGTTGGTGATTGCTCAGGCTTAAGTGATTTCATAAGTCTGTATTACATACAAAGGACAACTGATAAATGTTATAATTTACTAATTAAAAGTATGATTTCTGTAAATGATAAGGGATAATATATGTGAGTAGCAAGTATTAGGAATGCCATTTTATTCAAGTTTTGGTCAGTAATAACTGGGGGAAATTCAGGTTAAACATATCAGATATGCCATTGGAAATGAAGCAGTTGGTTTAGTGTACTGCTACTTACTTGTCTGGGTGTTTTATGCTATTTGGTAGTTATTTAGCAGACATCAGGGTGTACAGGAAGAACATGGGTCTAGAAATTAGGAAAAATGTATTCATATTCTTAACATTGCAAATACTAGCAACCCAGCCTGTATAGGTTAAACAAACAGTGAAGTACAAGAAGCTTCAGTTGCAGACAGTTTCTACTGATGTCAACATTTATTCTCTTTCCATTTCCCTCTCCACTTTATCTCAGCTAACTTTTGATCTCAGAGCAGAATCACTGTCAGGAGAGGAGTAACTTTTAAAGAATTCTCATGGCCTTTCTTGAGCTACAAATCCACCCTTTTACCAATCATTCCACCTGGAGATGGAGTGAGGTACCCTGACTGGCTGCCTGAGTCACATTGCTCCTGGATGTTGGAGGGACACAGACCCACCTAATTTATAGCTGTATCCAAATAGCATTGAGAGGGGGAGATGAGGTTCCCAAAGAGAAAAATTCTTGATTAATTAAATCTTCTCTGTGTTTTATTACAGTTTTCATTAACTAGAAGTGTGACCTACACCAAATCATTTAAATTGTCTGGCCCTTGGTTTCTTCACTTATAAAATAATGTGTTGTGCTGTATGATTTACATTTATCAATTTGTCCATCCATTCATTCTTCAGTCAGTAACTGCTCTCTGCCAGGCATGGTGCTAGTTATTAAGAATTCGAGGATTAAATATGATCAGTTCCTCCCTCTGATGGCGTAATGTGGAGGATAGACATACATTAAATGATGGCAATGGGATCTTATATAGAGTTGTGTGAAATACTAATAGTGACAGTTCTCATTCACTGTCATCTATTATGTGCTAGATTCTCGTCTGGATGCTTTATGTATCTTATGGTATTTGTCCCTCCTATTATACAAGGCAGTTACTGAAATGTAGTACTTTAAAAATGAGGAAAGTGTGCTTAGAAGGATTTAGTAAGCTACTCAGAAACCAATGGTCAGTGGTAGAGGCTCACACTTTTGAATTAATACTGAGCTCTAGATTCTCTTGTTATTTTCACTACACTGTAAGCAGAGAAGAAACAACTGCCTCTACGGGCAAGGATCAGGGACACCTTTGTTGCAGAGGTGATGTTACAACTTAGTGGAAAGGAAAGAACTCGCCAAATGGAGAAGAAAAAAGAAAGCACAAAAATTTGTGACTATTTGGGGTACAGTGGTCAAGTGTTCTTTCTTGCAGGGTTGAGTCATAGGCTAAAAGGGAAACAGAGGGAGATACTGCTAAGAGTTGGCTACAGACATGTGAAAGGCTTTGGATGAAGGACATTTGGACTGGACTTGTAGGTAGTAGACATTCTATGGAGGGGTTAAAGACAGGACTTTGAAGAATATTTTGATTTAGAAATATTACCTGAGGTTCTTTAGGTGCTAATATTTTATAATCTGGTGTCACATGCAGTTATATATTTTTAAGGTAATTTAAAAACAGGAGTGTGAAATATTAGCATGTAGAACAAATAAAGGATTTATTACTCATAATTTTTAAGTTTTAAATTCCATCTTGTCTTTCATATGAGTTAACATGTTTTTCCTTTTTTTTCCCCACACTAATTCTCTTCTTGGATAGAGTTCCTAAGCACACAAATGCAGAAATTTGGATTTCACATTGTTACCTGGACACCATGATTCTTATTTTGCGTAAATTAAAAACTTAGAAAGCTCTTGCTTGTTTGTGGTTATGTCTACAAATGAGCATTTCAATTCAGTGCCATTTTGATAGAGTATCTTTGTGTTCATCAGTAAATAGAATGATTGAAGCATCTTGGAGATTATCTTCTCCATGGGAAAAGATGACATGAGCCAAGAATGAACAGAAGCTGTGCTTATCCTATAGACTGTAATTACATTGGGCTTATTTATTTTTACAATGTGGACTATGGTAAATTAAACAAAATGGGCAAATCCACTTACTGTATATTAACAAAGCTGCTAAATTATTTTGAGTCATTTTTGTTTGGGATTTAATTGTGTTTTCATGTTAAATCATTAATTTAAAAATTCCTCCTAGTACTTATGATGATGTCTCATTGTTATTTTAATAATTTCTTTGAATGAATCACATGAAAATTGTACTTGCATTATTATGGCTTTTCTTTTTGTGATTCTTTTTAAATATTTCAACTTTTATTTTAGATTCAAGAGCACATGGGTAGGTTTATTACTTGGGTATATTGCGTGATACTGAGATTTCAGGTATGATTGATCCCATAACTCAGGTACTAAGCATAGTACCCGAAAGTTAGTTGTCCCCTAACCCTTGTCCCCTTCTTTCCCTCTGCCCTCCAGTGGTCCCCAGTGTCCTATTATTGCCATCTTTTTGTCCATGAGCACTCATTGTTTAACTCCTACTATTAGTGAGAACATGTGGTATTTAGTTTTCTGCTCCTGTGTTAATTCACTTAGAATAATGGCTTCCAGCAACATCCATGTTGCTGCAAAGATGATTTCATTCTTTTTTATGGCTGCATAGTATTCCATGAATGCATATATACCACATTCTCTCTATACAATCCTCTGTTGATGGGCACCTAGGTTGATTCTGTGTCTTTGCTATTGTAAATAGTGCTGTGATGAACATAAGCATGTGGGTGTCTTTTTGATAGAATGATTTATTTTCTTTTGGATATATACCCAGTAATGGGATTGCCTGGTCTAATGGTAGTCCTGTTTTAAGTTCTTTGAGAAATATCCAAACTGCTTTCCACAGTGGCTAAACTAATTTACATTCCCACTATAGTTATAAGTGTTCCTTTTTCTCTGTAGCCTCACCAGCATCTGTTGTTTTCTGACTCTTTCATAATAGTCATTCCGACTGGTGCGAGATGGCATCTCGTTGTGGTTTTGATTTGCATTTTTCTAATGATTAGTGATGATGAGGATTTTTTCATGTTTGTTTGCTGCTTGTATGTCCTTTTATGAGAAGCATCTGTTCATGTATTTTACCTATTTCTTAATGGGGTTGTTTTTTGCTTGTTCAATAGTTTGTTCCTAACAGATTCTGGATATTAGGCCTTTGTTGAATGCATAGTTTGTGAATATTTTCTCCCATTCTGTAAGTGTCTGTTTACTCTGTTGATAGTTTTTTTGCTGTGCAGAAGCCCTTTAGTTTAATTAGGTCCCACTTGTAAAGTTTTGTTTTTTGCTGCAATTGCTTTTGAGGACTTAGTCATAAATTCTCGCTCAAGGCCGATGTCCAGAATGGTGTTTCCTAGGTTTTCTTCTCAGATTCGTATAGTCTGAGGTCTTATACTTAAATCTTTAATCTATATTGAGTTAGTTTTGTATATGGTAAAAAGTTGAAGTCCAGTTTTATTCTTCTGTCTATGGCTAGTCAATTATCCCAGCACCATTTATTGAATAGGGAGTCCTTTCACTATTGTTTGTTTTTGTCAGCTTTCAAGATTAGATGGCTGTAGGTGTGCAGCTTTATTTCTGAGTTTTCTGTTCTGTTCCATTGATCTATGTGTCTGTTTTTGTACCAGTACCATGCTGTTTTGGTTACTGTAGTCCTATTATACACTTTGAAGTCAAGTGATGTGATGCCTCTGGCTGTGTTCTTTTTGCTTAGGATTGCTTTGGCTATTTGGGCTCTTTCTTAGTTTCACATGATTTCTAGAATTTTTTTTCTAGTTCTGTGAAAAATGGTGTTGGCAGCTTGATAGAAATAGTGTTGAACCTATTGTTGCTTTGGGCAGTTATTGTGACTTTTTTTGAGATGATATTAACCCTCTGGCCTAGTGCTAAAAATGCCTTGCCACTTTAATAGATTAGACAGTGTCTTGATATATTTAATAAAGAATCGTCCTGCAGAATCCTAATATTGCATGAAAGTAAAACCTCATACACTTCCAAAAAGTAAAAGTATAACACAAGTCTATTGTATCTTTATCTATTTTTATGATAGAAGGTATAGTGTCTACTGATATTTTCATTTTATTTTATTTATTTTATTTTATTTTTTTGAGACAGAGTCTCACTCTGTTGCCAGGCTGGAGTGCAGCGGCACGATCTCAGCTCACTGCAACCTCCAACTCCCTGGTTCAAGAGATTCTCCTGCCTCAGACTCCTGAGTAGCTGGGATTACAGGCATGCACCACCATGTCCAGCTAATTTCTGTATTTTTAATAGAGACGGGGTTTCACCACATTGGCCAGAATGGTCTCAATCTCCTGACCTAGTGATCTGCCTGCCTCAGCCTCACAAAGTGCTGGGATTACAGATGTGAGCCACCACACCCGGCCTATTTTCACTTTAAATGGAAGTTTAACTACACTTAAATAACCAAACTCATCAAACTTCCCTTTCTTGATTTTTTTTTTCCTGGACTCTCATTTTTAGATACAGAGGCTGGGAGCCAATTCTGATATTACAAATGTATTACAAGTCATATTATGTAAATGCATTCAGAGTTTAGTTGATATGTTTAGCCCATGAAATGGCCCAATCATATTCGTTTCAAAAAGAAAAATGCCCTTCTTTCCCTCCCGCTACCCTTCTCCTCCTTATTCTCCCCCTTCCTCCAAATTATTGGAATAGGTTTAGCACATATTTGCCCTCATGTCAATAAACCTTACACTCAAATTGGGATTTTTTCTTTCAATTTTTCTATCAATGTACACTGAAAACCAATTCCCACCTAGTGTGGCTCCCAATTTCATTGCATGATTTGTTGTTTGATTTTATTAGATTTACAAATGTGTTCATGATTTTCATGCAATTATATTGGCTCTGTAATTCACTGGTGCTCAATGGGCACATTACTATTTCTCATTGTTGGCTGAAGGAGAGTTTTCACTCTACAATTATGCTTTTTTCATCTTTGCTGGTGTAGGAGTTCAAGTAAGGTGATGGATTATACAGGCTTTGCTTTATTTGTTATCATATAATGTCCTTGCTGACACAAGGCAAGTTTATGCATTTAATAATAAAATTCTCCATTCATTGCCTAAATAGGCTAGGAAAAAATAATCTTTAAAAAATAGTATTGATAAGAGAAAGTCTGAATATGTGGAAATTATTTTTACTTGAGGACATGTTGGGTAAAATTGAGTGAAGAAAATGAATTAAGAAAAACTGGTCTGGAACCTGCTTAAAAACTAGGTGTCATTATTGCATTTTCCCAAGTTAATGCTCATTCAAGGATAAATATGACTCTAAAGAGACTCATGAAAAGGCAATACACATTTTCATTCCTGTTGGTAAAAGTTTCTCAAACTCCAGAAGACTACCTGAAAGGTTCTCAGAATGAATTTTGCAAGATAATTTCCATTTTATTCTGGCAAGTAAAGGGAACTGTCCATCCTAGAAAAGATGATGACATTATGGAATATTGTTTGCTTAATGAAGTAGAAATATTTCAATAAATGTTTCAAATATTTTTATTATTAAACTGCACATATTTAAAGGGTACAATTTTTAAAATGTTAAATATATAATTCCTGTATCAGTTATGATTTGTGAAATATTTTCTCTTGTGGCTTGTCTTTTCCTTTTAACAATGTCTTTCAAAGAGAACATAATTTCGATGAAGTCTAATTTATCAATTTTTCTCTTATGGCTTACACTTTTGGTGTTGTATCTAAGAATTCTTAGCTTAGGCCAAGGCAAGGTTACAAAGCGGTTTCTCCTACATTTTCTTACATATTTTAAAAAGTAATTGTTGGCTCTACATTTTCATGCATAATTCATTTCAAGGGCATTTTTATAAGGTGTGAGGTATAAATTTTTTTTTTGCATATGGATGTCCGATTTTTCCGTAAGTATTTGTTGAATAAACTGCCTTTTCTCTACTGATTTGTCTTTACAACTTTATTGAAAATCAGTTGTTCATATAGATGTATTTCTGGACTCTTCAGTTTCATTGTTGTTTTTCTGTCTTTACAAGAAAACTGCACTGTCTTGACTGCCTCAGGTTTATTAGAACCCTTGAAATCAGGTAGTGTTAGTCCTCTAACTTCGCACTTCTTTCCCAAGTTGTTTTACTATTCTAGGTCCTTTGCAGTTCCATGTAGGTTTTAGAATCAGTTTGTCAATTTCTACCAAAAAGCCCACTGAGATTTGGATTGAGATTGTATTAAACCTATAGATCGATTTGAGAGAATTGTTATCTTAACTATATTGAGTCCTCTGACTCACGAACATGGTGTATCTATTTTTTAGTCTTTTAAATTCTCTGTTCTATTTGTTAGTATTTAAATCTTTCTTACACATATTTTGTCTGTATTTTTACCTATGCCATGTTTTTGTGATTATTGTAAATGGTATTTTAAAATAAAATTTTAATTTCCAACTGTTTGTTGCTAATATATAGAAGTGAAATTAAGTTTTGCATATTAATTTTCTATCCTGCATCCTTGCCAATACCTTTTAAAAGTAGATTACTGTGAGTTTTCTGTGTATTTCAACACTTTTATATGAATAGTTTCATCTGTTGATATGCTTGATGTTTAGGGGCCCTGAACCCTTAGTTGCTTTGTCCAAGGTTGCCTGTGAAGAATTTAACAATTTTATAACAATTAACGTTTAGATCTCTAACAAAAGAAGCATGGTTTTAAAGAATTATGGCTGGAACCCAAATGTAGTTAGGAATTTAAAAGATCATATTTGGCCAGAAACCACGACTAACTTGAAATTTAAAACAGTTTTCTATATATTGTTAATGTTCAATAAATATTAAGTATTAGTACAGTTAAGTGGGTTAAAACTCTTCTTCCCAATATTGATTTACCTTCATAAAACATTTATCTTGTAAAGAAATAGAACAATGCATTGAGAGAATCACGATGTCTCTTTCTTAGATCATTATTTTCTGTTCTTTGTCCTTTGGAATTTTATAAAAGGCTTTAATTAGGATTAGCAACAGTATTCTGCCTTTATCAAAGTGCATTTAATAAAGGTTTTTGGGTTATCTTCTCCTGAATAATTTCAAGTTTTAAAACTTTATTCTTTTAGGATGTTTACAGAGGACTAATCACAGCTAATAAATCATTTTCAGAAGAAATCTGTTAAAAGACAGATTTATATTGAAAGCATTCTTTTGCCTTGCCTACTTAAAGGCATAGGAAGTCAAAATAGCTAACTCTAACTCGCATAGACATTTTCAGGTAAATAGTTTTGGCCTCTCTTAGGGAACCAACTTTATAATAGAAAAGCTTTTTATTTCAATTATTAGGCAACTAGATAAGGATTTCTTTTGAGAACACATTCTTATCCCATAAGTCTGGATTAGACAGCTGTCCCGGGTATAGGAAAGTTCTGTTTTTCTCTTATTATGGTGCAGCTCATTCTGGTTGGCACTGCCTGTTCACATGTTGGTAATTTCTCTGGACTGTCAACTCTGTGTGATCAAAGGCCTCACCTCTCCTTCTTGTTGACTAGCACAGTCTAGAAGACAGAAGACATTTGAAAATGCTACTAAATCATGCTTTCAACATGATTGCATAAATAATTAGGTTCTATGGACAGTGTCAAATCAGTAAGTCATTTAGAGTTGTAGTGACCTTATTTTTATGCATATAAATATTATATAAGCAAATTGTAGTATTAGTGGGTAAACCAAATAGAATCATTTTTTTAAAAAACTTAAGATCATTTTTTTCTGTCCAGGAAATTAAATATATTCAACATGTGATACTAATTCTCAAAACAGAATGTCAGTTAGGAGTGCTTTGTTCTCCTAAATCACCATATTTTTTCCAATCATACCTTACTACAAAGCATGCAAATATCAATCATAAATGCATCTTCAAAAGGAAAGTAGATAAATTTGCAACTAGCTGTATTTATTTGTATTTCGACTTAAGAATAATAAAAATGAAGTTTGAAACTATTATAATGTGGTTTATTCTTATTTGTAGATGTTGTTTATTCATGCCACCCTTCTCCCTTATTACAGAGCTCCAAGTAATGAGGAACAAAGAGTAAATTCCTTCTCCTTGGATTATCTAATATTTAGTCCATCTAATTCTGCTTCAATTATTAATGACTTCTAAACTTTCCAAAGTAAATTGTTTACCCTTTAGAAAAACTTTTTACAGTTTTTGAAAAAAAAGGAGAAAACCCTTCATTTGTATTACACAAGGTCATATATAACTCTAAATCTTAAGCAGGATGCGTACATTTGAATATTTGAATTTATTTGATCCTGAGTTGTCAAAGTAGCAATATTATAGATCACAAAGCCTTGTGACAAAACAGTCTACCAGAAAATTTGGGGTTATCACTTGAGGTTAAGTTCCATATTGTAGAGCAGTGTGGGGGAAAGGGCTTAAAGAGAGATTGTATAGATATTTGTATGT
Source organism: Homo sapiens (assembly GCF_000001405.40). Classification (NCBI taxonomy): domain Eukaryota; kingdom Metazoa; phylum Chordata; class Mammalia; order Primates; family Hominidae; genus Homo; species Homo sapiens. Next base: position 48,857,880 of record NC_000014.9, on the reverse strand, counting down.
ATGTTTTAGTTTGCGTTTCTTCAAAGCAGAACCTGAGACAAGGATTTTGGCACAGAGAGATTATTTAGAAAGTGACTCAAGAAGCAGGAGCTAGAGAGCAGAAAAGTTAAGACAAGGATGCAGAGAAAGCCTATGTGCAGGTGTGTTATCAAAGTTGCTACAGTAAGTAATAAGCATGTGATTCCACTGGAACCTCTGAAGTACACAGAATGCCTCTCAGAATTGGTCAGTTGAAGGACAGGAGACAAAGCATTTATCTCCAGTGTTCTCTCTCTACTGGCTGAAGATTGCCTCAGGGGTCCTGACCACGCCCATGCTGCCAAGCAGCACTTGTGGGCAGATGAACAGGCTCTTAAGAAATCAGTGACACTGAAAGCAGAGTGATACACAGCTTAAACTTCAGATTGGATGCCGATGGTGTGATGTGAGACTGAGCTCAAATAGAACTCTCCACTAGCACTACAGCTAAAATAATAAGTGGAGTGATGTGAAGCACATAGCAGTACCTGCTGTAAAATGAGATTATTACTTTAGGCAACTGTAAGTTCTAACAGAAAGAATTGATAGAGATAAGGTAGGATAGATAACAGGATGGAAGCAGAAACTAGATTTGCAGTTTTCAAGAAATAAATAAATGCTAAATCACTTCAAAGACGACCTTACCTTGTTTTTGTGGAATTTCTCTTTTCAGATTGAACAGATCACCACAGTTGGAATGGCTTACAGTGTGCCCATGAGACTACTTAGTTTACATTAGAAAAATAGAAATTGACTCTAAAAAGTATGTTGAAATAAAAGAGATCATGTACTCTAATGGGGGGAAAAAGGGAAAGGACACATACTAGAGAAGCTGAAGAAGAGTTTAAAGAGAACAGAAAAGCAGAAGAAATTGAAAAGTAGGATTGGAGCGCTAAGGAAAGAAATTGAAGATAATAAAGGCATTATAAAAATGAAACCATATTAGAAGCAAAAGAGTATATGTGATGAAAAATGAGCCAGTGATAATTTATAATGCTAATAAATGCTAATGTTTACTTACTACTTACCAGAAACTCTGCTGAATGCCTTACTCCTACAGGCTCATTGAAATATTGGAAGACTTGCATTTTAGCTGTTACTATTATCCACATTTTACAGATGAGAAAACCGAGGCACAGACATTATGCCCATGCTACATCTTTGTTAGGAGTCCAGGTGGTAAAAAATTATGTATCTCTAAAATTCTTTCAGTTCTGTACCCTCACTGCTAGACAATGTGGAACCAAGAATATGCATGAGGAAATTACATAGACAAGATAAGGAAAGCAAATAGCTATAACGACCAGAGAATGGGGATATAAAATTTGTATGATTTTTATATCTGAATTAGAGATTGGATTAAATACAGAAAAGCAATAAAATTTTCTCTATATAAAAGAACTGAATTTACAAATCTAAGATGAATACTATGTTCCAGGAAAAGTAGCATGAACAACCCTGAGGGGTAGTATTGTATAGATATTAATATTCAAGGTTAAATAAAAAATATTATGGTCATCCATCAGAAAAAGCAGTTACCTTTAGGAGGGAAAAAGGCTAAACTCAGATTCTCCATAGTAATGTGCAATGTCAAGAGACAGTAGATCTTGTCTGTAGATTTCTGAGGTTAAAAATTGTGATTCAAAATTTAATAACTAGCTAAATTTTTGTCCGTGAATAAGGGCAAAAGGCAATCATTTTTGAACAATAAAGAACTTAGAGGGTATGCTACCTGTTAGAGACCACAGAAGAAAAAATCTTAGCTATGAATTCTGTCAACCAATCAACCAACCTATATCAATTAACTTTTGCTATGAAACAAATCTACCTGAAATTTGGTGATCTAAAACAATAACCCTTTGTTTAGTTCATGATTCTGTGTGTGGGCTCAGTTGTTCTGTTCTAGATAACTTGACTGATCTCTCTGGGTCCTCACGCATCTTGCATTCAGCTGCATGTCCCCCAACCACTGGATGAGCTAGGATGGCCTCACTCACACATCTGATGGTTGGCAGGCTGTCAGTTAGGACAATGGTGGGGGTCACATGTTTCTCATCCCTGAGAATAGTCCAGACTTCTTCGCAGGTAAAGATGATAGGATTCCAAAAGCAAAAGATACAACTAGAGCAGAAATCCACTCTGAAACATTCCACTGGTCAAAGCATGTCCCAAGGAATAAGGACAGACTCATCTCTTACGGGAGAAGTTAACAAGTACTGGAGCCAATTTTGCCATCTACCTTATAAAGGAAAGCTTAACACTAGGAAATAGGGAAGCTATAGTATTAACCATCTGTTCATGTTGAATTCATATAAATATTAAGTAAGGGTAAATGTTGCTTTATAATGATAGGGATTAAATTTTACACTGAAGATGAAGTAATTTTTTGTCATTAAAATACAGTATCAAAATACATCAAAACACTTCAGGAAAGGGAAGAAATTTATAAAAACACATAACTGTAGTAAGGAAATTTTAATTCATTTCTTGTAGACTTTATCAGTTAATTTACTTTTAATGAAGATATAGAAACACAAATATACCACTGTAAGGAGATAGAGAATCTGATTTGTACAATTGAGGTGTATCTCATATATTGATTTATGTGGATATGGTGTACATGTATGTGTATATAGTTTAAAATCAGATAATTCGCTTTAATTTCAGGTAATGATAGAATATTAATAAAACTTGACCATATATTTAGATATTTTAAAAGCCTCTATGAAGTAAAAAAAAAAACTTTAAAATATTACAGACCACATTCTTTTATTTTTTTGCAATGTCTTAAAACTAGTGAATTAGTTTGAAAACCTTGATGAAATTCACCGCTTCCCAGGCAAAGTTAACTCTGGAAGAGAAACAGCCTGAATGTGGAAGAAAGTGAGAGCGTGGTCAAAGAGTTACAATGAAAAAACAAACAAGCAAACAAACAAAAACCTAAAACTCCCAGCTTAAGTTTTTTCTCGGGGATTTCTTTAAAAGTTTCAAAGGACAGAATATATACTATTATTTCAGTGTTCTAGAATATAGAAAAGGCTAAAAGTTTTGACATGAGAGAAAAATTTGACACCAACACCTTACAATTATAGATAAAAAGTAAAAAAGACCAAATTTATTAATGAAAATAAACATTAAAATATTAGGAATTAGATTTTAGCAGATTTTTAAATAAATTGTCATCTTTGGATAAAGCAATCTTTGTCAATGTGACACAAAAACCAGAAGCCTCATTTGGAAAATTTAATGAGTTTGATTACAATGTTGGATATTTTCCTTTTGGCCTGTTTTCTGTGGTTTATTAAACTACATAAAACAAATATTCAGAAGAGGATAAGTTATCACTTGTAGAAATAAAAAGACAAAACCTGAAAGTCACAACAGAAGTACTAACTTTCTTTTGAAAATAGTAATTATAAATTAATAAAGGAAATACCAATTTTTAAAATTTTATTTTTAAATTATGGATACACTGGAAGTTGCAAAGATAGCACAGAGTAGTTCCATGTACACTTCACATAGTTTATGCAAGTAATTGCATCTTACATAACTGCAGTTAGCAGAACCAGGATATTGACATTGGTGCAATTTACATGAATAGTTCAATGCCATTTTATCACATGGTATCATTTGTAGAAATTATAATCATCATGTAGACATACATGGGGGTATCAAGATATAGAACATTCTATCACAGCATTCTCTCTTGCTACCTCTGTAGTCCACACAAAATCTTGTACATAAATTTTCATAGCAGATTAGGTTGAAATAGTAAAAAACTAGAAACCACAAAAATGCCCTTGAAGAAGTAATAGTTTGAAACAACTGTGCACATATACCATGGACTACTACTTAGACATAAGAGGGAGTAAACTGCTGCTACATGCAACAACTTGGACAGATCTCAAGGGTATTTTGCTAAATGCAAAAAGGCAATTTCAAGAGGTCACATACTATATGATTGCATTTATATAACATTTTCAAAATGACAAGATTACATAGAGGGAGAACAGATCAGTGACTATTTAGTTTTTAAAATAGATAATAAAAATCAGTGTATTGGGAAAAATGGAAATAATTAGTATGTGAAAATATGAACTACATAAATGCAAATTAAAATAATAATACATGAGTTTTTAAACCCTCAGAGTGTCAAAAATGAGAAGAAATTATAATACCAACTGATAGCAAGTTTTCAGGAAACAAAACTCTTAGATCCTGTAAGTGAAAGCAGATAAGCTCTTAAATTTACAGGCCCAGGACAAGAGTATGAAGGAAAGCTTCCAGGTTTCTGTGGAACCCTTTTTTTTTTGGTCACCCTGTAGTGTTATCCGGTTCCGGAAGGGAACTTGCAACATATGTGTGAACAATCTAAGTCTCTGCATTTAAATTCAATTCCTCCATACCCACCTTCAAACAACATTCCTTGGCCACTCCACAATCCTGGGTGTGTGCACCTGTAATTCACTCTGAGAAAGAGCAGACCCAGCTAAGAAGTCCTTTCAGTACCTGGAAGCAGGGTCAGGGCTGTTTAGACAGGGAATTCTCCAGTTCCAGGTACTTAGATAATGATCTAAAATAGAGTATACAGCTTCTGGCTAGCTAGGCGTCTCTTTAGTTGATATTGTTCGACTATGTCCCCAGCCAAATCTCATCTCGAATTGTATCTCCCATAATTCCCATGTGTCTTAGGAGGGACCCAGTGGGAGGTCATTGAATCATGGGGGTGGGTCTTTCCCAGGCTGTTCTCATGGTAGTGAATAGGTCTCTCAAGATCTGATGGTTTTATAAAGGGGCAGTTCCCTTGCACTATGAGGCCTCCCCAGCCACATGGAATTACCAGTCTCGGGCATGTCTTTATTAGCAGCATGAGAATGGACTGATATATTAGCCCTGGAGTTTTTTTCCCATTCTTGGCAGGGTCAGGATCATAGCTGGAGCAGGACCAGAGAAGGAGCCCTCTGAAGCAGGGGTTAGGACAGGGGCCCTGGTTGCCCAGCTCTAATGGTGGTCTTGAGTAAAAGTACAGATGAAAATTTTAATGAAAGGCCTTTCGTAATATCTATCCAACTTTGAAACTACCCTATTGTCCATCAAGAGTAGTTAAATACAATTTGATACATTCATACAGTGAAGTATCAGGTAGCTATTTCAGATACTAAGATATTGAAATAGGACTATTGTATCCTATAAAGAGTAAAACTCAGTAAAACAATAACAAAAAGATGTAGAACAGTGGGTTTGTGATTTTTTTTTTTTTTTTTTTTTTTTTAGACGGAGTTTTGCTCTGTTGCCCAGGCTGGAGTGCAGTGGCAATCCTGGCTCACTGCAACCTCTGCCTCATGGTTTCAAGCGATTCTCCTGTTCTGCCTCCTGAATAGCTGAGATTACAGGCACACACCACCACACCTGGATAATTTTTGTGTTTTTACTAGAGACAGGGTTTCACCATGTTGGCCAGGCTTGTCTCGAACTCCTAACCTACGTGATCTGCCTGCCTTGGCTTCCCAAAGTGCTGGAATTACAGGCATGAGCGGCCGACCCTGGCTGTGATCTTACTTTATATATATGTATTTTTTTTTCTATTTTTGCCATCTTGGGTAATTAATCTATGATTTCATATGCTACATTCTTTCCATTGCTTATATTTCAGTTATGAATCAACCATGGCTTGCTTGCTTCTTTCTAGATCAGAGATATGTTTAGAAGAATAGAGGTCAGCTAACAGAAGCTACCTCAAAGGAGTGGGAATTTTGAGAGAGAGTATGGAGGACAAGCAGGTTTTTAATACATTATACTCACACATACTTTTTACATGGAACATTAATTATTTTGTTATAAATTATTCATTTTTATTCTAATGAGAATTATTTCATTAATAATGTGCAAGGAGATAAAGTGGGTATTATCTTCATTTTCATTTTACGGTTGAGGAACTGAGGCTCGGAGAGTTTGGGCTTAGCCAGTCATGTGAGAGAGTGTCTTAGTCCAGTTAGGCTGCTGTAACAAAATATCACAGACTGGAAAATTTATAAACAATAGCAACATATTTCTCACAGTTCTGGAGGTTGAGAAGTCCAAGATGAAAGCATTGGCACGTTTGGTGTCTGGTATGGGCCTGATTTCTGCTTCCAAGATGGTACCTTGTGGCTGCATCTTCTGGAGGATTCTCTGTGTCCTCACATGGCATAAGGGCAACAGAGCCAATCTACTCACTCAAGCCCTTTTATAAGGGCCTTAATCCCATCCATGAGGGGTCTACCCTCATGAATTAATCACGTCTTAAAGACTCCACCTCTTAACACTATCACATTGGTGTTAAGTTTCAACATATGAATTTTGAAGAGGATACCATTATTTAACCCAGAACAGAAAGGAAGCCAGGTGAGGCAAATAGATGAGATACTTAAAATAACCTCTTCAAACTAATATGCTGCAGGAATAATTTAATTGGTGAACATTGTCATCAGTAAAGTGTAGACCTGAATTTCAATTCCAGTGGCTCTTGGTCTTAAAGTTCAGTCTAAGTTGCGGTTAAGGGAAGCTTTAGAATTTGGCAGAGTTTTCAGGACATCAGACGAGATGAGTAAGGAGAATGTTTAAAAATATCTCCTTTATTTCTCTCCTTAGGTTTACTTTTTAGGGTATTTCCATCCAATGCTGAGGATACATAAAGCAGGGAAGAGACAGAGCGCTTTCTTCTCTATTCCTGAAGTTACGAAAGAAAGGAAAATGGCCATGATCCAAGACATCATTCTTTTCTGGCTAAACCAAAACCAAACAAAAAGCAACAGTACAACTGTAGGTCTGAAGGTAGTGGGTAGAGATGATGGAAATGGTGAAAAAAAAGTTGAAATTTTGTGGACTGTGAAGACTTATAAGTAAAAACTCTGTTCTCTCTATTGATAGGAAGAATCCATATTTGCTATTTAATTCATCTTTCATGTTGTAAAAGTTTAAACAGTGACTGGAATTTCAGAACAGAAAAGGTTTTATTCAAAAACAGGCATCAATTTTTTTTTTTTTGAGATGGAGTCTCGCTCTGTTGCCAGGCTGGAGTGGAGTGCAGTGGCGCAATCTCGGCTCACTACAACCTCCACCTCCTGGGTTCAAGTGATTCTCCTGCCTCAGCCTCCCGAGTAGCTGGGACTACAGGCTCCACCACCACGCCTGGCTATTTTTGTGTGTGTGTGTGTGTATTTTTAGTAGAGATGGGGTTTCACCATGTTGGCCAGGATGGTCTCTTGGCCTTGTGATCCACCTGCCTCAGCCTCCCAAAGTGCTGGGATTACAGGCCTGAGCCACCGCGCCCAGCCCTGGCATCAAATTTTTAATTGCGGAAGTATGACTTGCTCATTCTAACGCATTTACAAATACAAGCTGTGGTATATGTGCTTGAAATGGAAAAATCACTACATTTTGGCTACAAATTCCTTTGGTCCATTTGCTCTTACATTGTGTGCAAGAGAAACAATGTTTCTAGTCAGAGAGTATATGGCTCATCCTTGAAGGAGAAAAGCCTATAGGAACAGTAACTTATCACCTGAGTGTAGTCTTAATGGTTTCCTATGGATGTGATTTTGTTCTAATCTGCCCTGAAAATTCTAGAAAGAAGTACATTAACTGGTCTCCTGGGATTTGATTTTCTACCCTGTCAACATATTAGTCAATACGTATTAGTCAGTGGCCAGCTTAGACCATTGTGGTGGATAGTATTACTAAATTCACTTACAGTGAATGACTGAGAGTAAAAAATTCATTCTCTTTTATAGTCAGGCATTTGATAATAGGCATTTAAAGACATCACTTTAATTACTGAGGTGGTGGATCAAGTCCATTTTACCCCGACCCCTGCTAGTGTAACATCTGTTAAATTTATCACCTCTCCCCCAATATGACTGTGCAGTGTTGATTAACTAAGCATGTGGTCCTTCCAATTTGGTGACTCAAGAGAGCCCATATATCACTTAGCACATCAGAAAGCTTGTTCAATTGCTTTTGCCTTCATTTATTACCCCACAGGACAGAAATGACTATTAGCTTTCCTGATTAAAACACTGTGACCATGCTTTAAGTTTAATTGTATACATTGCTAGTTAATAGCAAGCACTCCCCTTGGGCATAAACTTTTAAATCTCATTTAGATTGGCTCTGTATTATGATAGGGGTTCCAGCTTGGGGAAAAAAGAACGGTCACCACATCTTTGGTCTTTAGCCATATATAAAGTATTCCAGAAATTTACTGAAAAAGCAAATGCAGGTAAATTTTAAAGATACAATCCCAAGTAAATAATTCTTAGAAAATATTTAATTTAAATTAAAAATAGTATGGTTTTGAAAACCAATATATAAATAAAACAGGTTTATTTATATGGAACATTTAGGCAACTTAAAACTGGAATAAATAATCCTGGAAAATACATGTGATCAATTGCAAACATTGTGATCTTTGAAACTGTTGACTCCCCTCAATGGATAGAAAAAAGACAATGAGTACATACAAGTCTGGAGGAAAAAATTCTGAAACATTAAATAAATTTAAGCCATTTTAATTAAGCAATTAAAAATTCTTGAACATTCTTAAATATTCCCTTCACTCTTCTTACCTTTTAATAAAAGGATAATTTAAAAGAATGTTTTGGGTGTGGTGGCACTTGCCTGTGCTCCTAGCTATTTGAGAGGCGGAAGCAGGAGGATCACCTAAGCCCAGGAGTTTGAGGCTGCAGGGAGCTAGGATTGCTTCAGTGCACTCCAGCCTGGGTGACAGAACGAGGCTGTATCTCAAAAGAAATTTAAAAAAACAATTTATTAATAAATATTGAGAGATTAAATGGAGTTTTGGACACTTTTTTAAACAATCAAGAGTTTCTTAAGGAAATCTTTTTTATTTTTATTAAAAATTTTTCCTTTGTTAAAGAGAGAGGAGGCTCAAGGCAGAGGAAGTTCTGACAATCAAATCTGTACCGTAAGCTAGTATAAGGAGACTCTAGAGAATCCCAAGCATATGCCCAAGGAGTACATTTGCCATTAATCAATTAAGAGTGCTGTATGGAAATGGGGCAGGGGAACAAAATATAGAGAAATCGAATTTAAAATATAATGTAAGCAATCGCATATTGGGAATAAGTGGTCTGTACCCATATTGCAGATACAATAAACATACAGTAATCTACAAAAGAAACAATTTTTATTTGGACAAAATAGTTTTGGTAGAATAGTAGTGGTGGATTAATGAATTGGGTTGCCAGTTTAAAATTTTGGCTCAGTGACCCTCCTTTTGTGTGTAAGAGCTGTTTTTATATCTATTAATTTATTTTTAGAGAGTTACTTTGGGCCAGGCACAGTGGCTCATATCTGTAATCCCAGCACCTTGGGTGGCTGAGGCAGTGGATTACTTGAGGTCAGGAGTTCAAGACTAGTCTGGCCAACATGGTGAAACCCCATCTCTAGTAAAAATACAAAAAGTTAGCTGGGCATGGTGGCATATGCCTGTAATCCCAGTTACTCAGGTGACCAAGGCAGGAGAATAGCTTGATTCCAGGAGGCAGAGATTGTAGTGAGCTGAGATCAAGCCACCACACTCCAGCCTTGGCAACAGAATGAGACTCCATCTCATAAAAAAAAAAAAATCACTTTGGTAATTTTTGCATTAGTATTGCTATATGTTTTACTGCTCCAATGGCACTTATAAATCAAGGCAAGATTATGTTAGATGATAATTGATGTCCTCTAATATAGTCATGCATCTAAAATGGGTACCATTCTAGACACTGGGATATAGTGGTGGACTAAAGCAGCAATATCCCTGACCCCATGGAGTTTTCATTTTGGTGAGGAGGACAGACGATATGCAAATGAACAAATACATATATAGTATACCATGAAAATGAATGAAACAGCATAAGAAGATCTAGAATAGGGGATGTGTGCTCTTTTAGATAATGTCAACAAGCCTCTATGAGCGGGGTCTGCATACACTTAGAGGTCATGTGAAAATTTGTGTGCGGGTGGGAACGCAGTGGGAGTCGGAGAAGAGCCTCTGAGTCACAATGACCAAAGGGCAAAGGCTGTAAGTTGAGAATGTGCCTGGCATGTTAGAAAAAAACACAAGAAAGACAGTAAAGATTGGAGAGAGAAATTGAGAAGAGTGGCAAGATTAAGGTCAGGGACCAGAGCATGGTGTCAGGACATGATGAGCCCTATAAGCCATAGTAAGAAAAATAGAGGCCGGGCGCAGTGGCTCACGCCTGTAATCCCAGCACTTTGGGAGGCCGAGGCAGGTGGATCACAAGATATCGAGACCATACGGGCTAACAAGGTGAAACCCCATCTCTACTTAAAAAATACCAAAAATTAGCCGGGCGTGGTGGCGGGTGCCTGTAGTCCCAGCTACTCGGGAGGCTGAGGCAGGAGAATGGCGTGAACCTGGGAGGTGGAGCTTGCAGTGAGCGGAGATCACACCACTGCACTCCAGCATGGGTGACAGAGCGAGAATCTGTCTCAAAAAAAAAAAAAAGAAAAAAAAATAGATTTGATTCTAAATACAGCTGGTATGACTTTGAGTTGGAGAATACAATAATCAGATGTCATTTTAAACACACAACTCTAGGTGCAGTGTAAAAAAATAGATGTCTGTGGAGTGACAGAACAGCTAAACCAGGTAGGAGAGTGTTGCTGTAACTAAGATAAGCTGGTCATTGGAGCAGTGTGGTGGCATTGGTGAGGTGATTGGGTTTTGAGTTATATTTGGATGTATTTTAATTGCAGAGATCATAGAATTTGCTGGCAGATGAGGTGTTGGGTGCATAGATGAGGAAAAAGGGTTAATAATGACTTCAAAGTTTTGTAGAACAATAGAATGAATGTATGTTGTTCTACAGTTTCTGAAATGAGGAAACTTCAGGGGCCAAGGGGGTGATTCAAGAGCTGTATTTTGGACTTAAGTTTGTCCATTTGACATATAAAGGGAGATATTCAGCATGCTTGCATATATAAAACTTTTGTTCAAGGAAAAAGTCAAGGCTAGATGTAAACTTTGGTTCATCAGTGTGCAGAGACTATATAAAGCCACGGAACTGCTGAGTTCAACTACAGTGTATTTTCAGAAAAGAAGAGTGGAGAATCACGGGCAGAACTATTCTGAATTTGGGAAGGAAAGTAGAACTCATCAATGGATCTAGGAGTGGTCAGTGAAAACCAAGTTTAAATAATTATAACCTGAAATCAAATGATTTCAGGTGGATTTCAGGTAGCTATCCTGAGATACATAGGAAGAGATGGTTTGCTTGTCGGAACAGAAGGTACATTTTATGTCACTGGACTCTGTGTCCTGTGTTTTCAGTTTGATGGAAAGGTATGGAGAAGGCTAGTGTTTGTGTCTCCAGTTTGCCATGAAAATAATGAATTCTTTCCTCTGAAGTTGCCTGAATCATTTACTGCAAAGGCAGTAATTTAAATAGTAGCATCAATACTATTCAATAGGAAGAAACCCTACTTAAACTTTGGCTATTGTGTGAAAAGTAAAGTGTAGGGACACCAAGCATGGACTCAGGGAAGCCCATTAGGAGTCCTTTGCAATGTTCTAGGTTAGATATGATGGTGGCTTAGGCTACAGTGACAGTGGCATTCTAAAAGGACTAGAAGCCAGCTGGCTAGCCAACCTTGAACCAAGGTGCCTTATTCTAATGCTGATTTGGCTTAGTAGTTTAAGCACCTAAAGGAGTTCTTTTAATGCAGGCTTTAGTAAATATCATTATTTATTAGGAAGAGTTAAGTTACTCTTTGGACTAAATCACCCATAAATTACCAAAAAGTTGTTTTAAAAATACTTCCACACAGTGCAGTGTAATTGTATATTTTCTGTAGTTACGGCTCCAGTTTAGCCCTATCCCTTTTCTCTAGGAAACTAGGGATACCCTTTCTTTCAAGAGAGGCTCTTGGAAGATTCTGCTTTGGTACTTGGTACTGGTCTAGGCATCCTCTTCGTTTGTTATTTGATTCTGTAACTTTCTCCAGATTGCTTTAGTAACCCATGGCAGTCAGCGTTGCATTGATTCATGTCTCGTGCACTTCTTTACATCACAATGGATATAAAGAGTTCTTCAGGTTGGGAGCAGTGGCTCCCTTCTGTAATTCCAGCATTTTGGGAGGCTGAGATGGGAGAATCCCTTTAGCCAGAAGTTTGAGACCAGCCTGGGCAACATAGCCAGACCTTGTCTCTACTAAAAATAATTTTAAAAAGTTAACTAGAAATGGTGGTGCAAGCCTGTAGTCTCAGCTACTAGGGAGGTGGAGGCAGGAGGATTGCTTGAGCCCTGGAGTTTGAGGATGCAGTGAGCCACTGCTATACTTCAGATTGGGTGACAGTAAGATCCTGTCTCAAAAAAAAACAAAAACAAGATTCAGTGTTTTGAATGTTTTAACTGAATTTGTTACTCTAGTTATTTCTCTTATTTACTATTGTGCAATGGTAAAATTCACTAAAATGTCTGTGCATTTTATAAAAATGCCTATCAGAGGTGAGAGGAATTATAGACGACTGTATTAGAGTTCTCCATAGGGACAGAATTAATAGGATATATATTTATATGAAAGAGAGTTTATTAAGAAGTATTGGTTTACACGATCACAAGGTGAAGTGCCCTGATAGGCCATCTGCAAAATGAGGAACAAGGAAGCCAGTAGTGGCTCAGTCTAAGTCCAAAAGCCTTAAAAGCAGGGAAGAATGGTGCAGCTTTTAGTCTGTGGCCGAAGGCTCGAGAGCCCATGGCAAACCACTGGTGTAAGTCCAAGAGTCCAAAGGTGGAAGAACCTGGAGGCTGATGTTCAAGGGCAGGAAGCATCCAGCATAGGAGAAAGAAGAAACCTGGAAGACTCAGCAAGCCATCTTCTTCCACCTTCTGCTGCCTGCTTTTCTAGTTGCTCTGGCAGCCAATTGGATAGTGCCCAGCCACACTGAGGGTGGATCTTCCTCTCCCAGTCCACTGGCTCAAACGTTAATATCCACTGGCAATATCCTCACAGACACACCCAGAAATAATACTTTGCATCCTTCAATCCAATGAAATTGACACTTAAAATTAATCATCACAATGAGAAAGAAGAGCTTTGTGATTGGCTGATTGATTGATTGTTCTATGTATCTATCGTCAATGTGTTTGACATATATTTACATATATACAATGTGTGTGTGTGTATAAAACTCTGCATACTACCCAGCACAAAATCAACTATCAAAATTATTACCTATCTAGCTGATAAAGTGCAACTGAATTCACAATCCCAGTGTGAAGTGATAAATACCTCTTCTTTTTTCACCTAGCATAGTTTCACAATAAATTATTCAGTAGCCAGATAGGTAGATAAAGATAAAATGTAAAATCATAAAATGACTTTAACACCTTTACTCTTTTATGTACATGCCTTTACCTATATCTTTGTTTCTCTTTATTAGTCCCAGATATATAGGAGGCCAAGTCAATAAGTAGGTGGAATATAGACCAAAATGTCAGACTGTTTTTACCTGTTATCTTCTGGTAAATTCTTCACTTTTAGAGGAAATACCAGGTGTATCCAATGACTTGTTTAGTAACAAATATATAAACATTGTCAAAACTCAGTTCATGAAAATCTGGTTTCAGGCCTAGAATAAAAGCATGTAGATAAAACCAAGGACTTGGATATAACTAGAATATATTATGCATTAGGGCACTTCTTTAATAATATATAAAACCAGTTAGGAACTACAGCAATTTTGCTTAATAAAAATGAAGAATCAAAGAAATGGAGAAATAAACTTATAACAAATGTTCCACCACACTAGAAATCAGACAAACCTTAAATAATAATGAAAAATCAAATAAAAACTTTATCAAAATGACTAAAATTTTAAAAATACCCAGGTTTTGAGGATATGAGAAAATGATTATTAAGTTAACTTTTCTGGAGAACAAGTTGGTAATATAAATTAAAACCCCTTGAGAACATGTCTCTTTTTTATCTGATAATTTGACGTATAGGAAATGTGTTAATTATATTTAAAGCAAGTCATCTATTAATGCCCACCATATGCTATTGGTTTTAAAATCCCTCTCACAAACTCAAAGTAGAAGGTGGTAAGGTATTAAAACGATGTTGTCAGAGGATATCTAAATATATGTAAAAGTATGCCCAAAACACTACATAAGGGAAGACTGTGTGTGCATAATTGTGCATGTGAGAATGTGTCTGGCTGAGCAAGAAAGAGAGAAAGGAGAGCATGAGCTAGTGGTTGAGAGTTTTGGCCTTGAGGCTAGACTGCTTAGATTAATATTCTAGTTCCATCATTTTCTAACTGTATCTGGGGCAAGTTATTTAATATCCCTGTGCCTCAATTTCCTCATTCATACAGTGGGAAAAAATAACACCTTTTTCTTCAGATGTTTGGGAGGATTAAGTAAGTTTATGCATATGAAGCATTTAAAAGAATGACTGGCTCCAAATAAGAACCCCAAAATATTATTTATTTTTACTTTTATAACCAAAATGTTAACCTTGGGTATTCATTTATTCAGCAAATATTTATTGAGAACACACTTTAGGTCATGAACTTTGTCAGCAGTGGGAATGCTGGCCAAGTTCTCATCTTCAGGGTGCTTACATTCTAGTGTATATAAACAACATGGAGATAAACACATGAATATACAATATAAAGTTCAGTAGTGATACGTGTTAGAGTTTAAGAAATGGCAGGGTAAAAAGGAGAAAGGGTGGTGGTAAAGGTGTTTCTTTAGAGGAAGTTATCAGGAAGGACCTTGCTGAGGAGGCGATGTTTGAGCAGAGACCTGAACAAAGTGTAAGTATTTGGGTAAATAACAATCCAAGTCAAGGGAACAGCCAGGAATGTCCTGTGGTGGGAATGTACTTGGCATGCTGGAGAAATTGCTGCTGGATTCTGGGCTGGAGTGGAATGAGCTAGGGGAAGAGTGGTGGGAAATTAGTGAGAAAGAGTGAGCCTGGGACCAGGTTGTTTAGGCTATATAGGCATGGGGAGTCATTTAGACTTCATTTTAGGTATGCCAAACAGACATTAGAAGGTGGTGAACAGATTAACAATTATAAAAGGTCACATTAATTGCTTTGTACAAAATGGACTACCCTGGGGAAAAAGTAGTGGGACAATGGATTATGAAATGATTCTCTTTTGGTTCATCTCTATTTTCCAAAACACAGTGGTCAGGTATTCCTTTATAAGAAACTAAAAAATAATTTTTTAAAAATTAGGCACATGGGATAATTACTATTTTCACCATTTTCCACAGCTTCCAAAAGGGCTTGACTTTTGTAACGATATATACATATTTCTGGTTTTTTTTCCTAATCAACTCTTAAACGATATTTTTAGTGATTTATCCTTTGTGAGACATAGAAAGCAGTTCACTGTTTTATTTTCCTTTTTTGAGACATCAGTCTATCATTATACAAGGGCATCTTCATATCCACAGCAGAAAACATATCACTTTTCATACCCTTCTCCATTGGTTTTGTTTTAAAGACCCTAACACAACAAGTGCCATTGTTGTCAAAAATACCTTTCCTTCATTGTGCACTTTAAGCTTCATTCAATGCGAGCAAGCCATTGTTGATTTTCTAGACCAACAGAAACTATGATAGTTACTGCTGAAAATAACACCTTTGAGCTAGTATATCATTACTGAATGACTCTGGCAAAAAAAAAAAAAATCTTTCATGTTGGCAATGAAACATGGTATTTCACAAAGATGGGACTCCTCTTACTTTCCGCCACATTGGCTGTAAGAAGGATGGATGGCTGTGCTTGATCGCTACTTGAAGCATGCAGTTCATGAGGGATAATGTGAGCACTTAGGCATTTACCATCATGGAGAGTGTGTCTTTCTCATTGTCATTTTTTTTGAACAGTGACTTCATATCTGACATTGATGCCATTAGCCAGAATTCTTAGGAACAACTAAAACGTACTCAGTTTGGAAAAAAGTCTCATTTATGGCCCCCTGTCCTTTATATGTTTAAAAATCGAAAGTGTAAATGAATAAAAAGAAAATGGAATGTTATGATCTCAGACACTTTATATGAAATGCTATGGTTTTAAGTATATATAACAGTATTAAGCTGAAATATTTTTAAAGTAATGACAAAAAGTGGTTAGGAGTTTAAATTCAGGTGAATATAAGAGTATATTTGGGAAGAATTATCTGTTTAACTACTGTTTTTTACATAACAAATATGGCCAGGAGCTGTGGCTTACACCTGTGATCCCTGAAATTTGGGAGGTAGAAGTAGGAGGATCCCTTGAGCCCAGTATTTCCAGACCATCCTTGGCAACATAGCGAGATCCCATCTCTAATTTAAAAAATAAAAAACAAAAACATATGCAGCCGTTGCCCTATCAAAGTCAACCCCATATGATGACATTATTTATAACTGTTATAGAACTCAGATTACACAGGTAGGATTTATTGAAATGCTTCTGAAAAACTATGTGACGCAAATCAGCTACATAATTTTTCTTCATCAAAGAAGATATTCCTGAAGGTGCATACTTCCATCATTGGTTTCTTGTAGATAAAGATCTATTATAAGTGCTATGCTTGCCTTCAGTCAAACACTTTGCATAATATTTAGAGTATCTCAGCCACTCTGTGATTGGAGCTAAAGCATCTTCCTTAAGATTCATTTTTGTTCTTTCCTTGAAGAGACTGAGTAAGTCGCTATTATTTTCTCAGTGGTTTAGGAACCCAGCTATGCCTACAACCACACGTTCTCTCAATATACCCTAAATACACAAAGGTCCCTTAGACTCATGTATTATGTTCAAATAGATAATTAGAGTAATCAAAATCTACTCACAGCCTGTGCAGAATCATTTTTGACTGAAGGTGTTAGCAACTGACTGTTTCTATTTAGACCAAGAGAGAACATGAACTTATCACTAGTGGCAATTCTTGCTGCAAAGTCTTTGCTCTTGTGCATACTTAAAGTTTATCACACGTCAGGGAAGAGCTACTGTATAAGCCATGCTAATAACTATTTGGGAAATTTGGTAATCCATTTGAAGGGAACAACCTTGTTCTTACTAATTTCTAAATTTATTTTAACTTCCCTTGACTCAGATTAGAATAGGAATCTTGCTGTCTATTGATTATGTCAGTAGTAAATTATTTTCTCTTTAGAATTCTTTCTTTTTTTTTTTTTTTTTGAGATGGAGTCTTACTCTGTTGCCCAGGCTAGAGTGCAGTGGCGCGATCTCAGCTCAGTGCAACCTCCACCTCCTGGGTTCAAGCGAGTCTCCTGCCTCAGCCTCCTGAGTAGCTGGGACTACAGGCGTGTGCCACCATGTCCAGCTAATTTTTGTATTTTTAGTAAATATGGGGTTTCACCATTTTGGCCAGGCTGGTGTCGATCTCTTGACCTCGTGATCCGCCCACCTCAGCCTCCCAAAGTGCTGGGATTACAGGCGTGAGCCACTGTGCCTGGCCTAGAATTCATTTTTAAAGACTTTACTTTTATTAAACTAAATACTGCTGGTTAACTAATGTCTCTTGGATTTTATAGACTCAGGAGAGCAGGATCTAACATAAATTAATCATGACTTAATTGACTGAACTAATTCAAGTTCCCTCCAGTCCACTGCACAACAATATTCTTGTCTTCCCAATGAAGGCTAAATGGTACATTGCTCTAGGAGTATCAACTTCTGTATCTCTAGCACTGCATTTTTTACTGAGATTCCGTTTTAATATTCTTAAAATTATATACAAATGTCTACAGAGTTAGGAATACTAAATTAATTAACCTTACATATAATCTACATTACAGCTGGCCAATTCCTTTCTATTATTTATTCCATTCATGGACTAATATTTTAATTTGGTCATACCGTTAAACACATACACATCAATAAGAACAAAATTTATTTGATTGTAACTTTCATCTGTTTTCTCAAAGAGAATTTTAAATGTGCATTGAATTCCTAATGCTTCTACTATATTGCTATTAGAAAACAAAAATTATTTAGAAAAATTAACAAAGTTAACAATTATTATGGTTTTTTCAAAACATGATTAGGTAGAAGGCAAATATGATAAAGTTGGTGAAGTAATTGTCAAAAAACTGTTTGCTGGTCTTAGTTTTCTAAGTATCATATTCAAGAAGCAAGTGTAGTAGAATATAAAAATAAACACCAAGATTTTTATATTTTTAACTTTTATGTATTTTTCTTAAAAAGTACCTGCTAAAATTTATAACAACTGTAAAGCTAAAAAATTATCCAGTTTCACTGGTGGAAGAGAACTATGTAAAGACAGAAATTATATTTGATATTATCTTTTTTTCTCCGAATCAGTAATTTCATTCATTAAAAAAGCATGAGGGACAAAAAAGTACAGAAGAATAATTATTTACTAGAGATTGGCATAGCTGTGCAAAAGCTGGATTTCATAATTTTTTTGTTTTTTTGTCTTGTTTATTTTTGTTTTGTCTTATTATATTTTCATTTTATTTATTTATTGGTTTGTTTGTTTGCTTGGTTCTATTTTGTCACCCAGAGTCCTCTCTCAACAACACAAGTTAGTTCTCCTTTAGAGCTGAAATACAACTATGAGTCACTTGATATTGTGACTTCAGGGATGTCATGTATTCCTCAGTGACTGTGATCATAACCACCAAATGGTAACAGGAATTGACTGCAATCAAGTCCCCAAAAGTCAAGGACTAAATGATAGCATCATAATTTGCAGAAAATACAAAAAGTGTTTAAGATTTAGTAGGATCGCTTTGTATATTTCATAATGTGTTTAGTAATCTTGTTAAAATAGTCTACAATATTAAAGAGAGATATGTAATCAGATAATAAGTATTTGAGTTTTATTTCTGCTACTTGCCATGTGAGCTTGGACAAACCTAATCCATTAAAGCCTGCTTTTCATCAATAGTAAAGTGAGATTATATGTACCTTATGTTAGTAATGGTAAAATGAAATAACATGTAAAAGCACTTTAAAAACAGAAAAACATTATTTATTGTGAAGACTTTTTTTTTTGCCTTTGACATGATAACTAACATTTAATTTCACATATACACTAGTAATATAATTACCCTCTTTGAGATTTGTCTCATTTAATTTTAGTGAACAAAAAGCAAACTTGACATTTTGTGAATTAGCATGTTTCTTGTGAATTTTCCTTCAAGGATTTTCTGAATGTGTATGTATAAGTAAAAGGCAGGTAAGACCTGCTACCTAAATTATTGGAGTCATGATTGTTAGCACATACAGGAAATTTGTGGAGGTAGCATTATTAAATGTGTTCCCAACTTCTCCTTTCTGCTTAGCTTTAAATATTGCACCTGTGAGACTTCTATATTTAAGGTCTGCAAATATTAAAGAAGAAAGATCAGACTGAACCTGTTGACCCTTTACTGATTTTTGTTGAACCACAATTGCTAGTCTCATTGAAGCATAACTTCTTTCAATTTCCCAAGACCATAGATGGAAAGACCTTTCTTTCCTGGGGAATGATAGAAGACAGGGTCAGGCAGCAGGATGGTGGATTCTTAACCAGTTCCTTGATACTGAGGACTTACTGAGCAGCAGTTTTAAAATAGTTACGTTTTCCCACAATTGTATTTCCTCTAAGTTAAATTTCTAAGTAGTCAGATAATATTAAGCTTATATTAAAAAGCCAATGTGGTTTTGATTTACATTTACCTGATGATTAGTGATGTTGAGAATTTTTCATATACTCTTTGGCCATTTGTATGTCTTTGAGAAATGTCTACTTGTGTCCTTTGTTCATTTTTTAAGGGGAGTATTATTTTTTATTTTTATTTTCTATTTTTGCTGTGAAGTTCCTTGCATATTCTGGATATTAGTCCTTGAATGAATAGTTTGCTAATATTTTCTCCCATTCTACAGGTTGTCTCTTTATTCTGTTGTTTCCTTTGCTGTGCAGAAGCTTTTTGGTTTAATGCGGTCACATTTGTCTATTTTTGTTTTTGTTGCCTGTGCTTTTGATGTCTTAGCCATAAAATATTTGTCTAGATTAATGTCCTGACACATTTTCCATATGTTTTTGTCTAGTAGAGGTTTTATAGTTTTGGGTCTTGTATCGAAGTCTTTAATCCATTTTGAGTTAATTTTTGTGTATGATAAGAGATGGGTTTAGTTTCACTCTTCTGCATGTTGATATCCAGTTTCTTCAGAATAATTTATTGAAGAGGGTGTCTTTCCCCCAATGTATGTCCTTGGCACCTTTGTTGAAAATCAGTTGGCTGTAAATATGTGGATTTATTTCTGGGTTCTGTATTATGTTCTTTTGGTCTATGTACCTATTTTTATACCAATACCATGCTGTTTTGGTTACTTTAAATATCATCTCACCTCATTTAGAATGGTTGTAATAGAAAAGACGAAATAATAGCAAATGCTGGCAAGGATGCAGAGGAAAGGTAACTCTTACACATGGTTGGTGGGAATGTACATTATCAGAGCCATTATGGATAACAGATAAATGTTTTTCAAAATACTGAAAATAGAACTACCATATGATCCAACTATCCCTCTACTTGGTATTCACCCAAAGGAAAGGAAAGGAAATCCATGTATCAAAGAGGTACTTGCACCCATGTTTATTGAGGCACTATTCACAATAGCCAAGATATGGAAGCAACTTAAGTATCCATCAAGACATGAATGGATAAAGAACATACGGAATAGATATGGATAAAAAACATAAGATAATACTAGTTAGCCATAACAAAGAATACAATCTTGTCATTTGCAGCAACATGGATGGAACTGGAGATCAATAAGTTAAATAAGCTAGGCACAGAAAGACAAATAGCACATGTTTTCATTCTGATATGGGAGCTAAAAATGTTGATCTCATGGAGGTGTAGATTAGAATGATAGTTACTAGAGGCTGGCAAGAGTGTGTGGGGGGAGGGGAGGGAGTGAAGAGGGGTTGGTTAATGGGTATAAACATAGCTAGAAGGATTAAGTTCTATTGCTTGATAGCAGAGTGGGGTAACTATAGTCAATTTATTGTAGATTTCAAAATATTTACAAGCAAGATTTGAACTATTTGCAACACAAAGAAATGATATTTGAGGTGACAGATATCCTAAATGCCCTGACTTGATCACTATAGCTTGTATGCATGTATCAAAATATCACAGTACCCCATAAATATGTACAATCATTACATATTGATAAAAATTAAAATGAAGACAAGATTAGAGGAGAGATGTACCTAGAAAAAAACCAGTGTGGTACACAATAGATGATTACTTAATGTGAAGTTTCTAAGGTAGCACATGAAAACTTTTGAGGAAATGGTTAGGTGAAAGTGGAAAAAATGCTCTTTAAAATAAAATAAAAATTGTAATCTGTTATAAACTATGGTTTCTTAGATAATAATGGAACCAAAATTGAATGTTTAACTTCTTCATCTTAGGATAAAAATTTATTCAGTTTTCTTTCTTCCACATGATTCCCTAAAATTGAATTGATCAATTTCAAGGTTAGATACATATGTGACTTCAGACTTTTTAAAAGCTTGAGTTACTTACAAAATTTAGATTCTATCCATTTGTTAACAACTGGAAAATTAAGTCCTTGTATCTCAAACACATAAAAAAACTGATTAATGTATTTGCCACGCTCTTGCTGTCATATAATAAGCTGAATCATATAAAAATATATTTGTAGTTAAAAACATGACCAAATCTTGGCAGTTTTGTATGTTTAAACCTATTCTCTTTGTTTCTCCTTTCTAATCTTGTTTTGTGAAGGGCATGGTCTTTCTTCAGATGTGGTACAAAGAGCATTAGACAATATACGTGTCATTAATATCCTTAGATCTATGAATACTTTTTCAGTTGTTTTTACTTGGGTTCTTAAAAGTATATTATGTAAAAGGGGGTTTATATTAATGACAATTAGAGATAATTCAATTTTGCTGTCTTCTAGTGTTTATATGAAATATTCTTGGTTAAATATATTTAAGGTACATTGTTTCCAACACTCAATATAATACCCAATAATTAGCATTAGTGAAATCTTATTTTAGGATTCTATATAATACACAATTTAATATATAGTATATTATTGTATATAAACAGCTTGATTCTATTTGCTTTTTTTGTTTTTACTAAAAGACAATCAAAGAGAGTGAAACTACTTCTCTGGAAGCTTTTTAGAGGAAATATAAATGTATGTGCCACAGTAACCACCTAATTAAATAATAACTTCAATAATCTTGAAGTACATTTACCTAATATTGTTCCTAGGAGTATTTCATTATAAGGTTTAAAATTTTATATGTCCATTTTGGTTATAGGTCATTAATTGCTGATAGTGATTATTATATCTTATAATTTGGTAAGATTTCATTTCCTAAGAACACTTACTCTTTTTAGTAAAACAATATGACATACTTGATAAATATGAAAATCTAAATTAAAATTGGCCAGTTTCAGATTATTCTAATTTATTTTATCAAAACATTCTTGAAATATTTGGTAGAAAATATTTAAAGTTGTCATTTAGCTGTCAGAATATGTTTTTTCTTCTCCTTAATGAAATATAATTAAAATGAAAATATTCCCAATTGAAAGGAAAAGACATTTCGATTTAAAAAATATTTTATTAAGTTAAAATTAAGTTTTAGGTTTCATTACATGTGACTGCATTAAAGCACACTTCAGCATTTATATCCACTTTCAAGTTAGGTACAGAATACTTCAGGTTTTTATACTTATAAATTGACTCTGTGCCAAATCATGAGACACCAACACAATTTTAGTATGACTAAAAGGTTTTTGAGAAGCTATTACAATGGCTTACATTAGGTATGGAGGGAAAAATACAAATGATTTCTAAATTGATATTACTTTCTATTTCACCATGAATTAAATTGTAGATTAGAAAAATAGTATCTCAAGTTTTGAAATGCTTGTTAGAAGTAATAGCACTTATTATTGTTGATAAATTCCAGAGAAGATAAAAAGGATAAGAAAAAGAAAATAAATTCAGGCAAATATTAGCTGGGTTTTGGTTTAGGAACACCCTTTTCTGGCTTTGCATTCACAAATTTAGGAACTTATTGCATATTTGGTTTTAGACATGCTGTGCTTAAGATGCTTGGTACTAGGTCAGGCGCGGTGGCTCACGCCTGTAATCCCAGCACTTTGGGAGGCTGAGACGGGTAGATCACCATGTCAGGAGTTTGAGACCAACCTGGCCAATATGG
Source organism: Homo sapiens (assembly GCF_000001405.40). Lineage (NCBI taxonomy): Eukaryota > Metazoa > Chordata > Mammalia > Primates > Hominidae > Homo > Homo sapiens. Next base: position 48,834,595 of record NC_000014.9, on the reverse strand, counting down.
TGAAACCCCGCCTCTACTAAAAATACAAAAATTAGCCGGGCGTGGCGGTGTGTGCCTGTAATCCCAGATACTCAGGAGGCTGAGGCAGGATAATTGCTTGAATCCGGGAGGCAGAGGTTGTAGTGAGCCAAGATAGCGGCACTGCACTGGAGCCTGGGAGACAGAGCGAGACTCCATCTCCAACAAACAAACAAAAAAATGCTTGGTACTAGATATTCAGACAACCACGTAGCAATGTAGAACAAGCAGTTGGATATAGTGACATAATAATAATAATAGGTCATAATAATAAAAACATTTACTTGACATTTCCTTTCAACTGTGGATCTTAAAACTTTGAGTCACCTCAACAGTATTTATGAGGTTGGTACTATTATTACCCCATTTTACAGATGAAGAGACTGAGACACAGATGAGCAGCTTGTTCGTAGTCACACTGAGCTGGGATTTGAACCATGTCAGTTGGGCTCCATAGCCTACACGTTTTTTTTTTTCTTTGGTTGTGGGGACGGAATCTTGCTCTGTTACTGGTCTGGAGTACAGTGGCGTGATCTTGGCTCATGGCAATCTCTGCCTCCCAGGTTCTAGCGATTCCCCTGCCTCAGCCTCCCCAGTAGCTGGGACTACAGGGGCACACCACCACGCCTGGCTAATTTTTTGTATTTTAGTAGAGACAAGGTTTCACCATGTTGGCCAGGATGGTCTCAATCTCCTGACCTCGTGATCTGCCCACATTAGCCTCCCAAAGTGCTGGGATTACAGGCATGAGTCACGGCACCTGGCCTCGCCTACACTTTTAACCACCATATACAGACAGCTCTGACAGGGGAAGGAGGTTGAGATGAAGATATTTGTGAATAGACATTGATCCACATACCGTCTTCATCTGTACCCATGTACATCCTCTTCCTTCTTGTCAAAATAAAACTCTCCTCTGTGTCCATAGGAAGCCAATTTTTTTCTACTTGTGGGTTATTAGATACTTTGGTCAACTTAAGGATTTTGATCATGTAATCACAGCTTAGTTTGTCTCATAATCAATTTCATTTCTTCCATCTGAAAATCACCACCAAAATTAAAACAATGAGAATATCTTCCTCTTAAAAATGAGTCCTAGTCCCCACATCTTCTTTTAGCTCTTAACCCCATTTCTCTGCTCTTCTACAAACATATATTCTAGCACACTGTCTCTAATTGTCTGTCCTCCCATTTTCTTTTCTATCCACTTCAGTTAAACTTTTGTTCATTAATCCATTGAAATTGCTTTTGTCAAAGTCACCAATATTGTCAATCTTGATAAGTCCAATCCAATGGGCAATTCTTTTTTTTCAACTTTGAAATTCCCAGCAGGATTTACATAGTTGATTACTCTTTCTTCTTGAAATTTCACTTCCTTTACTTGTCTCTTGGAAGACCATTCTTTCTTCCTTTTATCCTATTTCTTAATCTCTTCTGCTGAATTGTCCTTTTCCCAACCTTTAAATAACAAAAATAATTCAACCTTTCATGTCCACACCTTCTCCTTATGTGATCTGACATAGTTCCTTGGATTTTCATACCATCCTATATGCATGACTATCCAGTTTGGATATCTAGTCCTAACCTCTCAGCTTCACAATGATGTACCTGACTCTCTTACCTTTTCACCAACTGCGTGTGGATATGCAGTAGGCATACTAAAGCTAATTTATCCCAAGTGTCCCTCTCAATTTTGGCTCCATCCCACACCTCCTGTCATCCTGCTACTCTTCTGGCCTTTAACATCTCAGTAAATGATGCCATCATTGATACAGTTATTAAAGAAAAATAGAAGTTACTGTTGACTTCCATTTTTCATGTATCCAATTCATCAGCAATTCTTGTGAACCCTATATTTCCCAAACTTCATTACTTTTCATCTTCTCTATGACTACTACCTTCATGATTACTAGTCTTCTAAATGGTCCCTTTGTCTCTAATCTTTCCCCTATACCAACTGGTTATTTTATTGCTATAATCTTCTAATAATTTTCTCTTATAATAAAAATCCAAATTATGTTCCACAGCCTATGAAGTCATAAATGATATGGCCCCTGCCTACTCTCATGTCTTACTGTGCTATTCTCTACCCAGTTTCCTTTCTCTGCCCACTTTAGCTTTTCTATTTTTTTCTCTGACAATCCATACTTATTCTCATCTTAGACATTTATATTTACTGTTATTTTTGGAAGTCTCCTTTAGTTTTCGTTGGATTGTAAGGCTGAATTGTTTTCATGTTTCAACTCTCTGTTGAAATTATTTCTTAGTGGGGCCTACACTGACTAAAATTACCCACTCACTCCACGTTGTTATCCATTTCTTACCTTCTAGACGCTTAATCATTGTCTTGTGTTTTTATTGATTCATTTATTCAGTTATTGCTTGTTTCTCTACTACTATTTTATTGGCTCTGACAGAGCAGTTGTGCTTGGTCTTGGATTTAATAAATGGTCAATAAACATTTGCAGGGAATTATTTCATTAATATTTTACAATTCACAAAGGATTTTTATGCCTGTAAACTCATTATCCAATTAACAAGTATTAGTAAGGAAGGCAATATGTAAATGCAGTTTAAAAGATTATCTATTTCAACTGTCATTGTCTGCTATTATGAAAACTTGAGCTTAGAGATATTTGATTTGCCCAAATCATAAGGAAGCATTGAGATGGAGTTTACCCCTAAACAATCTAACATTAAATTATTCAATGCCTTCCTTATATTTCTCTTTTGACAGTTTAAAGTGTGACACATTTTAGAAAATGCAACAATAGCATCCAAAAATTACTTCAAGTTAAATACATTCAGTATGAAAATTGACAAAATTAAGCTTCTGAAGAAGTAATTCACTTGAGATAATAGATCAACTTAGCACCCTTCAGAATACGATGGTCCTCAGTCTCTACATCTGAAGAGAGTAAAAGGTCAAAATTAATCCAAGGGTACCAGGATATCTTCCATCACTCACTGAGGTGATCAGAATATATATAGATCCAGATCTTACCAATTTTTATGTGCTGTTATTGTGCTGGTTACTTTTGCCCTTGTTATCTAATTTAATGCTCACAATCATTTGTTTAAATTTTATAATTTTCGTTTGAGAGAATGTCTTGTGCAGTGAGTGAGCTTTATAAGAGTTGTACCAAATTCTCTGGACCCATAATTAATTGCTCTGTACATTGTACTTTTTTTTTTGTTTGTGTGTTTGTTTGAGATGGAGTCTCACTCTGTCACCCAGGCTGGAGTGCAATGGCGTGATCTCAGCACACTGCAACCTCCATCTCCTGGGTTCAAGTGATTCTCCTGCCTCAGCCTCCCAAGTAACTGGGATTACAGGCGCCCATCACCATGCCCAGCTGATTTTTGTATTTTTAGAAGAGATGGGGTTTGACCATGTTGGTCAGGCTGGTCTAGAACTCCTGACTTCAGGTGATCCACCCACCTCGGCCTCCCAAAGTGCTGGGATTACAGGCGTGAGCCACCGTGCCTAGCCTGTACATTGTACTTTAATGTCTATGTACTGTCAGGAAAATTTCTGTGCAATATAATTAGTGGAAATAAATTTGGCATCTTGATAACTGTATTGCAATGTGTCATAATATTGTTCTAGTATTCCTCTTCTCAAGACCCAAACCATGGATTTATCCTTTATTTACTATCCTTAATTTCTCCCCACCACTCACATTTAATTCATCAATAAATCATGATTGTTCTACCTCTAAATTGTGTCTTTAATTGGCTCACTTCTCACCATCTTCACTGTCATTGTGCTAGTTCAAACCCATTATCTTTAAACTGAATTGGCATCTTTAACCCTACTCTTACCACCTTACAAGCCATTCTTTGCAAATACATTCTCAAGGGCTAGTATTACTTTGCCATAAAACTGGACAAGGACAGTAAGAAAAATAAAAATTATAAGTTATTAATTATGCAAAGAATAGCTTGTAAAGCCGTGAGAATAGGAACAAAGTTGCCAAAGTGTTTTAAAATGATCTTTTAAAAAGGGAAATTAGGTCATAACAATCTGTTAAAACATAAATATAAACAAAAAGCAAAATAATAAAAAATGTATAGTAACTTGCTACTGTGTTCAGGATCAAAACAAACCTTGGCCTACAAGGCATGATGTGATCTGACTCCTACGTACTCCATCATCTTCAGGGCCCCTCTTCTTCCCTGGGTTCCTGCTCTTACTCAAACATGCCAATCTCTTTGGTCTTTGTATTCATTATAGACTTTTCTTTCAAATGCATTCCCAGTTCCTTCCTTCCTTCCTTCCTTCCTTCCTTCCTTCCTTCCTTCCTTCCTTCCTTTCTTTCTTTCTTTCTTTCTTTCTTTCTTTCTTTCTTTCTTTCTTTCTTTCTTTCTTTCTCTTTCTCTCTCTCTCTCTCCCTCCCCCCTCTCCCCTCTCCCCCCTCTCTCCCCTCTCTCCCCTCTCTCCCCTCTCTCCCCTCTCTCCCCTCTCTCCCCTCTCTCCCCTTCCTTCCTTCCTTCCTTCCTTCCTTCCTTCCTTCCTTCCTTCCTTCCTTCCTTCCTTCCTTCCACGGAGTCTCACTCTGTGGCCTAGGGCTGGAGTTCAGTGGCATGATCTTGGCTCACTGCAACCTCTGCCTCCCAGGTTCAAGCAATTCTCATGCCTCAGCCTCCTGAGTAGCTGAGATTACAGGCACAGGCCACCACGCCCAGCTAATTTTTTGTATTTTTAGTAGAGATATGGCTTCGCCATGTTGCCCAGGCTGGTCTTGAACTCAGGCAATCCATCTGCCTTGGCTTCCCAAAGTGCTAGAATTCCAGGTGTGAGCTGCTGTGCCTGGCCAGTAGTTTATTTTCTCATGACTGGTTCATTTTCATAATTTTGGTATCAGAAATATATTTTCAGAGATATCTTTGATAACCACTTCAGATAGTATGCTCCTTCCCCTCTATTTGGCATTGTCTTTATTTCTTTACTTGTCTATTTTCGAACTTTCCTCATGAAAGAATGTAAGCTCTGGGAATCAGGACCTTCCTGTTGCTATTTACAAGTGTGTTGTCATGTCCCAGAATAGTGCTGAATATTTATTTCTGGAATTAGTCAATAAAGATGAGAAGAATACAACTGAAATAAAAAAATGACAGAACATAAAAATGCGTTAGTTTGCCTCCTTCACTTATTCAACTTAAGACATAAGACTGAGTACCTGTTATTAATATATGACAGACAATGAAGAGGAAAGAAGACATTGATTCCTAAGGAATAATTGTGGTACTTAAGACAGAAATATGCCTTAATTGAAGAATAACAATCATCCATCTAGCCATGCTTGTAAAAAATCTCTTAAAAAATCTTTCTTTTTTATTAATTCAAAAATCTTACAATTGATCTTCCCTACCAAGAGTGAATTTTATTAGAAAATTACTCATATTGGTAATCTAGCCAGATATGTCTTCTATTGTATATAAATTGATGATATAATTTCAGATCACTTCAAATTTAATTGTATTCAACTGAAAAATATATTTTTCACAAAGATATAGTAGCTAAGATAAACTCAACCTGGAGCTGATTATTTGAAAAGATAAATTCACCACCACCTAGCAAGAATGATTAAGAGATGAAAAAACAGTATTCAGTATAAAAAGGGGACATAGATTATGTTACATTTTACTTGTTCACATTATCAACAAAATGAGCAAATTTATACGAATAAAGCTGAAAGATTAGATAAAAAATGTTCCGAAAAACACTTAAAATATCAAAATAGCCTCAGAGAAGAAGTAAAAACTAAAACCTACAACTACTGAATAAATGGAATCTTTGTTCCATATTCTGTGCCCACCTTCCACCTTTCAAAATCCTGGGTTTAGAAGGGATTACAAGGGCACTTTGCAAAACCTTAAAGAAAAGATAATGCCAATGTCATATATACTACTCTATAGATTAAAGAGCAATTGGTCTTCCAAATCCTTCTGAAGGGTTAGTATTTCTTTGCCATAAAACTGGACAAGGACAGTAAGAAAAATAAAAATTATATGTTATGAACATAGAGGTAAAAATACTATGAAATTATTTACAAAATCTATCAAATAATACGTAGATAAAATGCATCAGAAGCAAGTAGGATTTAACATCAATATGCAAGAATTTGTTGAATATTTTAAAATATATTTATTTTAAATGCTATAAACCCCAAAATAACCATAATAATTAAGGCACAAGTATTAGAAACATTTAATGTCAAGAAAAAGAAAGGATACTAGTTACAATGGCTTCTATTCAATATTTAACTTGAGGTGTCCAATAAAGCAACATTTTTAAAAGAGGAGATACAATTATAAAAAAGGAAAAATAAAATTTTATTATTTGCTGATAAAATGATTGCTGAATTGAAAAAAATCCAATAGTATCAACAGATAAAGTAGTACCAAGAGCAATTCTCTATGCAGTAAAAAACCAATTGGGAAAGTGTATTAAAAAAATACTTTTCCCAGTAGCATTTAAGTATAAAACCTACAAAGTGTAAGACCCACATGGTGGAATATATACACAGTATGCTATGCATATATGCATTAGTGAGATATATATATATATACACACACACACATATATATATCTAAATATTATGTAAATACTAATGAAAACTGTGCTTATGTATGGGGAGATGCAGTGTTATTAGAATGACAATTCCTCTCATAAAAATGTATATATTCTGACAATTTTCATTAAAAATTCCAAGAATATTTGTTGGAATTACGTATGGAAGAGTAACGAGGTTTAATAGTGCCATTTAAAAAAATATTTTTATGAAAGTATAACATAGAAAAATGTATACAAATTGTTATGGTAAAGCTCAATGCATTGTCACTAAATAAACTGAGAGAGTCACTACACAGACTGAGTGACAAATGTTATCAGCACATCATCAGCCACCCTCACATTCTTCTCCATTGGAAATTCATTTTTTTTTGTTTCATGTTTGGTGTTATTAGAAACACTATTATAATGATCTTGTGCATATTTTGGGTGCACACACACAAACACACACTTTTCTTTTTTGTATACTTCTAGAAATAGAATAGGATTTTGAGGTCATAAGAACGTGTATGTTCAACTTCAGTTTGTACTGCCTGACACATTCCCAGAATAGCTTTGCTAAGTTATAGACACTTTTGCAAAGTTTCTATTCATGGACACACCAATGCTTCATATTGTCAATTGCTTTATCATAGCCAGTTTGGCAGGGATGTAGTTGTATATCATTATGGTATTACTTTATGCTTCCTAATGAATAGTGGAGTTGGCAACATTTTCTTACTGATGATTTACACCTGCTATTTTGTAGAGTATCTTCCTAGATATTTTCATCTATTTTTTGTTGTCTTTTTTTTCTTATTGATTTATGTATGTTTTTCTGGACAAAAGTCCTTTGTCAATTTTATATGCTGTAAATATCTTCTCCATTGCTAGCCTCCTTTTTCATTGTCTTAATGATGTCTTTTGATGAACATTCTTCCTTTTAATAAAGTCTAACTTATCAATATTTTTCTTTATGATCAGTGTTTCTGGTGATATATTTTGACAATCTCTATTTACGTGTATTCGTTTCCTGTACCTGCTAGAACACATTCTCAAAAATTTGGTGGCTTAAAAAAATGGAATTTTTTTCTCTCGCAGTTCTGAAGCCAAAAGCCCAAAATTAGTATCACTGGGTGGAAATCAAAGAATTGGTAGGGCCACATACTCTCTGGAGGTTTCGAGGGAGAATCCCTTCCTTGCTTCCTCCAGCTTCTGATGGCTACTGTTGTTCTGTGACTTGTGGCTGCATCACTATGCTCACCACCTCTTCACATTGCCTTCACCTCTTCTGTCTGTTTAGTCAGCATCTCCCTCAACCTTCCTTTCATAAGAATACATGTAATTGCATTTAGTGTGCACTCATTATCCTGGACAATTTCTCCATCTAAAGATCCTTAATTACATCTAAAACATTGCTTTTTCCAAATAAGATAACATTTACAGATTTCAAGGATTAGGAGGCCATTATTCAGCCTAGTACACAGAGTTAATGAAGATAGTCTCCTGATATTTTCCAGAATGATTGTTGTTTCACGTTTTTATTTGCAAACTATCTAGAATTGAGGGGGTGTGTGTGTTTGGTACAGGGTAGGATACAATACTTTTTGAATTTCAATGTTTACTAAAATGTAAGTGCCATCTCTGTCATAAATTATTCATACTTGTATGGTTGTTTCTAAACTTTCCTTAGCTTCTTCTGGTTGTTTATCTTTGCATCATTAGGATGCCATCTGGATTACTGTAGTGCTAACATAAGTCCTCATATCTGGATGTGTGCATCCTCCAACTATGTTCCTCTTCTCCAAGACTGTCTTTGATATTTTTGATACAGTCAGTTTATCGGTCTCCCTCACTATACCTTCTAACTTTCCCCGTGCACACGAAACTTGCTGAGATTTACATTGTGATTATAATGCATTGAGATTTGAGAACAATTTGATGAAGAATTCTCAATTGCATGATAATGAATCTTCAAATTATTAAATGTGATAATTTCTTTTTTCAATTTTTTAAAAAAATTTTATTTTATTGTATATATTTAAGCTGTATAACATGATTTTTTAATATACATAATGAAATAATTACTGTAGTCAATAAATTAACATATTCATGCCTTTACCTAGTTGCTTTGTGTATAACATGGTACTGTATACTGGAAAATTGCCAAAAGAGTAGATTTCAGGTGTTCTTAAATGTGATAATTCCATTTATTTTGGTTTTTGATTTCTCTTGATATTTCATAGTTTCAGTGAAGATGTCTTTAATTAGATTTTTGCCTAGATACACGTTTTCTGATAAATCATAAAAGGCTTGTTGAATTTTAAATATCATTTTCCATTTTTCAGTTTTTGTTATATTTAAATACAACTGATTTGCATATGTTGATCTCATATCCCTGGAACTCATTAAATAGTAATTATTTGTAGACAATCAATAATTTTGATTGTCTATGAACAAGTCATTTCTAATGATATTTTTTTTTTCTTCCCTGGAGCTTTCTTAAGTGTTTTTGATGTGTTCTTCCCTTATTGTTCTGGATTTGGATCCTAGTACAGTATTAAAAGAAGTGTTGATCGTATGACATTCTTATCTTGTTTTGAGTTTCAGGAGAAATCTTTTGATATTTCATCATTATGTGTAGAGTTGAAAGTATTTTGCAGAAAATCTTTATCAAATTAAGAAAGTTTGTTTTTAATACTACTTTAAGAGGTTTTAAAATTTTATGAATGGAAGTTGAATTATATTTTAATTACTTTTTAGAGGATGTGAAGTCAAGTGAGTTCTTTATTTTTTCCCTTTCTACTTTTCTATTTATTTATTTATTTATTTAGAGACAAGGTCTCACTCTGTCACCCAGGCTAGAGTGCAGTGGCATGGCCATAGCTTACTGCAGCCTCAAACTCTCGGGCTTAAGCTATCCTCCCACCTCAGCCTCCCGAGTAACTAGGACCACAGGTGTGCCCCACAACACCTGGCAAATTTTTATTTTATTTTTTTGTAGGGACCTGGTCTCACTATTGCTCAGGCTAGTCAACTCCTAGGTTCAAGTGATCCTCCCACTTTGGCCTCCCAAAGTGCTGGAATTGGAAGTGTGAACCACTGCATCTGGCCTTCTACTTTTATTTTAGATTCAGGAGATACATATGCAGGTTTGTTACATGGGTAATTTTTATGTTACTGAGGCTTGGTGCCCAAAATGATCCTGTCACTCAGGTAGTGAGCACAGTGCATGATAAATAGCCTTCCAAACCATACCCTCTTCCCATCCTCCTCCATCAAGCAGGTCCTTTTGTCTATTCTGCCTCAATTTGTGTCCATGCGTATTCAATATTTAGTTCCCAATTGCAAGTGAGAACGTGTGGTATTTGGTTTTCTGTTCCTGCATTAGTTCACTTAGTATAATGGCCTCCAGCTGCATCTATGTTGCAGCAAAGGACATGATTTTTTTTTTATGTGTATGTAGTATTCCATGATGTATATGTTCCAAATTTTCTTTATCCCCTCCATTATTATTGGGCATTTCCATTGATTCCATGTCTTTACTATTGTGAATAGTGCTGCAATAAACATATGAATGCATGTATCTTTTTAGTAGAACAATTTATTTTTCTTTGGGTATATACACAGCAGTACAATTGCTGGGTTGAATGGTAGTTCTGTTTTAAGTTCTTTGAGAAATCTCCAAACCGCTTTCAACAGTGGCTGAACTAGTTTACGTTCCCTCTAGCAGTGTATAAGTTTTCCCTTTTCTCTGCAGTCTTGCCAGCATCCATTGTGTTTAGACTTTTTTTTTTTTTTTTTTTTTTTTTTTGAGACAGAGTGTCGCTCTGTCACCCAGGCTAGAGTGCAGTGGGTTGATCTCGGCTCACTGCAACCTCCACCTCCCAGGTTCAAGTGATTCTCCTGCCTCAGCCTCCCAAGTAGCTGAGGCTACAGGTGTGTTCCACCATGCCTGGCTAACTTTTTTTTTTTTTTTTTGTATTTTGGTAGAGAGGGGGTTTCACCATGTTGCCCAGGCTGGTCTCAAACTCCTGAGCTCAGGCAATCCGCCCACCTCAGCCTCCCAAAGTGCTAACATTATAGGCATGAGCCACTGTGCCCGAACATTTTCATACTTTTTAATAATAGCCATTCTGATTGGTATGAGATGAATCTCATTATGGTTTTAATTTGCATTTCTCTAATGATTAGTGATGATGAGCATTTTGTAATATATTTGTTGACTGCATGTATGTCTTCTTTTGAGAAGTGTCTGATCATGTACTTTGCTCATTTTAATGGGGTTGTCTTTTGCTTATAAATTGTTTAACTTCCTTATAGATTCTGGATATTAGAACTTTCTTGAATGACTACATTATTTTCTCTCATTCTGTAAGTTGTCTGTTTACCCTGTTGATAGTTTCTTTTGCTGTGCAAAAGTTCTTTAGTTTAATTAGGTCTCACCTGTCAATTTTTATTTTTGTTGCAATTGCTTTTGGGTACTTAGTCATAAATTCTTTGCCAAGTCAGATGTCCAGAATGGTTTCCCATAGGTTTTCCCTTTGAGTTTTTAATAGTTTTAGGTATTACATTTAAGTCTTTAATCCATCTTGTGTTAAATTTTGTGTATGATGAATCGAAGGGGTCTAGTTTCAATCTTCTGTATGTGACTAGCCAGCTTTCCCAGCACCATTTTTTGACTAGGGAGTTTATATGGTTTGAATATATGCCCTTGCCACATCTCATGTTAAATTGCAATCCCCAATGTTGGAAGTGGGGCCTGGTGGGAGGTGCGTGAGTTATGAAGGCAGGTTCCCTATGGCCTGGTGCTGTCCTTGTGATAGTGAGTGATTTCTTGTGAGATCTGGTTGTTGTAAAGTGTGACATCTCCCCTTCACACTCTCTTGCTTCTGCTCCAGCTATGTGAGATGCCTGTTCCCCATTCACCTTCCACAATGTTGAAAGGTTCCTAAAGCCTCCCCAGAAGCAGACGCCAGCACTATGCTTCCTATACAGCCTGTAGAACTATGAGACAATTGAACTTATTTTCTTATAAATTACCCAGTCTCAGGTCTTTCTGTATAGCAAAGCAAGAATGGCCTAATATAGTAGTCCTTTCCCCCTTGCTTATTTTTGTCAACTTTGTCAAAGATGAGGCAGTTGTAGGTATGTGGCTTTATTTCTGGGTTCTCTATCCTGTTCCATTGGTCTATGTCACACTGTTTTTGTACCAGTACAATGTTGTTTTGGTTACTGTAGCTGCGTTGAATAGTTTGAAATCAGTAGTGTGATGCCTTCAGCTTTGTTCTTTTTGTTTAGGATTACTTTGGCTATTCAGGATCTTTTTTGATTCCATATGAATTTTAAAAATTTTTGCTAGTTCTGTTAAAAATTAACATTGGTAGTTTAATAGAAATAGCATTGAATCTAGGTTGGGAGTGGTGGCTCACGCCTGTAATCCCAGCACTTTGGGAGGCTCAGGCAGGCAGATCACGAGGTCAAGAGATCGAGACCATCCTGGCCAACATGGTGAAACCCTGACTCTACTAAAAATACAAAAATTAGCTGGGCGTGCACCTGTAGTCCCAGCTACTTGGGAGGCCTGGTGACAGAGGGAGACTCCGTCTCAAAAAAAAAAAAAAAAAAAAGAAAAAGAAAAGAAAAAGAAAAAGAAATAGCATGGAAGCTTTTCCGTTTGTTTATATCACCTCTGATTTATTTCATCAGTGTTTTGTAATTCTCATTGTGGAGATCTTTCACCTCCTTGGTAAGCTGTATTACTAGATATTTGATTCTCTTTTGTGGCTGTGGTGAATGGGATTTCATTCTTGATTTGGCTCTCAGCTTGGACATTATTGGTGTACACAAATGCTACTGCTTCTGGTACACTGATTTTTGTATCCTAAAAGTTTGCTAAAGTAGTTTATCAGTTCTGAGAGCTTTCTGGTGGAACCTATGGGTTTTCTAGGTATAGCATCCATACTATCTGCAAAGAGAGATGGTTTGACTTCTGCTGTTTCTATTTGGATGCCTTTTATTTTTTTCTCTTGCCTGATTGCTGTGGGTAGGATTTCCAATACTATGTTGAATAGGAGTGGTGAGAGTGGGCATCCTTTTCTTGTTCCAGTTCTCAAGGAGAATGCTTCCAGCTTTTGCCCATTCAGTATGATGTTGCCTGTGGGTTTGTCATAGATGGCTCTTATTATTTTGAGGTATGTTCCTTTGATGCCTAATTTCTTTAGGGTTTTTAACATGAAGAGATATTGAATATTATCAAAGGCTTTTCTGTGTCTATTGAGATGATCATGGGGTTTTTGTTTTTACTTCTGTTTATGTGAAGAATCACATTTATTGATTTCTATATGCTGAATCAACCTTGCATCCCAGGAATAAAGTCTATTTGATCATGATAAATTAACTGCTGGATTTGGTTTGCTAGTATTTTGTTGATGATTTTTGTGTCTGTTCATCAGGGATATTGGCATGAAGTTTTCCTTTTTTTGTTGTGTCTCTGTCAGGTTTTGGTATCAGAATGATGCTGGCTTTATAGAATGTGTTAGGGATGAGTTCCTCTTCAATTTTTTGGAATAATTTTGGTAGGATTGGTACTAACTCTTCTTTGTACATCTGGTAGAATTCAGCTGTGAATCCATCTTGTCTGGGGCTTTTTTTTTTTTTTTTTTTTTTTTTTTTTGGTTGGTAAGGTTTTTATCACTGATTCAATTTCAGAGCTCATTAATGGTATGTTCAGCATTTCAGTATTTTTCCTGATTCAATCTTGTGAGGCTTTGTATTTTCAGGAGTTTATCCATTTATTCTAGATTTTCAAGTTTGTGTGCATAGAGGTGTTCATAATCTCTTAGAATTTTTTGCATTTCTGTGGGGTTAGTTGTAATGTCACCCTTTTCGTTTCTGATTGTATTTATTTGACTTCTCTTTTTTAAAAATTAATCTAGCTAGCAGTCATCCATCTTGTTTAGTTTTTCGAAATACCAACTTTTGATTTCATTGATCTTTTGTGTGGATTTTTACATCTCAATTTTGTTTAGTTTAGTTCTAATTTTGGTCATTTCTTTTCTTCTTCTGGCTTTGGGGTTGGTTTGCTCCTGTTTTTCTAGTTACTCTAGGTGTGAAATTAGTTAGTTTGTAATCTTTCCAACTTCTTGAGGTAGGTATTTAGTGCTCAAAACTTTCCTCTTATACTGCTTTAGCTGTGTCTCAAATATTCTTGTATGTTGCATCTCTGTTTTTGTTAGATTCAAAGAATTTTTTTTATTTCTGCCTTAATTTCTTTCTTTACCTCAAAGTCATTCAGAAACAGGTTGTTTAGCTTCCATGTAACTGTGTGGTTTTGATAGATCTTCTTGGTGTTGATTCCTATTTTTATTGTACTGTAGTCTGAGAGTGTGGTTGGTAAGATTTTGATTATTTTTTAAATTTGTTGAGACTTGCTTTATGGCTGCATATGTGGTCAATCTTAGAGAATGTGCAAGTGCAGATGAGAAGAACGCATATTCTGTTGCGTGGATTATTTTGTAGGTATGTGTTAGGTCCAAATAGTCAAATGTCTTTGGTTAAAAAATTTGTATGTTCATCTGTTGATTCTTCCTCTACTGTTGTTTTCTTTTCTTTGTGTGGCTTGTAATGTTTCGGTGAGCTTAGTGAGATCTCAGTTTTCTCAACTGTGAGGCCATCCCTACAGGCTGTCTTTACTACTCCAAGGGGTTCTATGGATTTAATAATATACATAAAGGAGTTCTGTGTCTCTATGCAGGTAGCTGCTTTCTATCTGGTTACAGGTGGGAGGCCTGTGGCCTAAACTACCAGTGATTACACTTCTCTGCCCCCAAACTGCTAAAATAAATTTGCTTGAAATTTCTATACAAAAGGGAAAAGTTTTTTTTTTTTTTTTATAAATTCAAACATAAAGTTATTTCTACAGGAAAAAATTATAAGTTAAATATTCATAAAATTAAGTAACTTGAAAATCTCACTATACTTCAGAGCTAACAAACTGAATATAAGTCTACTTTGCATTTTAAGTCATAAAAAATGAAATGCATCTTAAAATAATTAGATCCCCAATGTTTGCTGTTTTTTAAGGTGACCATTTTACTAAAAAACATAGCTGTCAAAGTGACTGGAAAATCATATCATGTTTTCATGTTATTATATTCTTTGAACATAACTATTTAGAATTTTGGGTACAATGCAGAAGGATTTCATGAAAATTTGAGGCTTTCCCCATCCCACAAGTACATGCTTGAAGTCCTAAACATCTTTCCATAGAAGCATCAAAGTGTAGCTTTAACCTAGTGATTCAAGTAGAAGCACTTAAAGATGTAACAGTTGAAGCAGTTTCAATGGTTTGTGATCCAAACAATCAGTTTCTGAACATTACTACTTTATCCACGTAATGGAATCCATCTTTGATTTATTCTCTTACTTTTTCTCTTTCCCTTTTGGGTTTCCTTTTTGTGGCCTGAGATCATCAGTTTTTTGGTTCAATCAAAATACTTCCATTATGGTTGCACTGAAGAACATATTGGTTTGTAGTGACTGGCCTAGCTTTATCACCTCTTAACCTACTAAAGACAGCATGATAAAGGTCTTGCAGTTTCTGCTTCATTATGTTAATAGCTTTGTTACATTGGGCACTCTCTCTCTCAAGGGTTTTCTTATTTTTGAATATTTTATTTAGGATTAAAAAAAATTTGTGTCCATGAGAGAGAACCTGTAACATTGCTCTGTTTTATTGTAATGTCCTTTTTTGGTATAATATTAAATTTATACCACTATCATGAAACTGGTAGAATAGTATTCCCTCTTTTAGTTTTCTCTGAGAGAAATTGTATGAGATTGATATTATTTACTTTTTCTTAAATGTTTTGAGAATTCATGTTTAAATCTGTCTGGGTTAGAGTTTTATTTGTGCAGGAAAAATTTTATTGCTGATTAAATTATTTTATAAAATTTTGTACTGTTCAACTTTTTTGTTATTTTATGGGCCCAGTTTGGTAAAATGAATTTTTCAAGATGTTTGTCCATTCTACTTAAATTTTTACTATTTATGAGCCTAACATTTTTTCATATAACCTCTTGCATCTTAATTATATGATCTGAAGTTATTTTTATTCCTGATATTTGTTTTGTATTTTCTATAATTTTTAAATTGATTAATTTTGTAACATGTATATTGTTATTATTTAGACTTTAGGTTTTTCAATTCTCTGTATTTTACAGTTACCTTGTATTTTTAAAGTATTATTTTTTCTTTTGTCTTTGAGTTTAATGTTGCTTTACTTCTCTAATTTATTGAGGCAGATCCCTAAATGTATGATTTTCGAGCTTCTTGTTTTCTAATGCATACATTTAAGGCTATGTATTCCCCTTTACAAACAGATTTAGGTTTATCCCACCGTGTGGCATTTTCATATTTTTACTATTATGTATTCAATTTAAAGTATTTTCTATTTATTGTTATTGCTTTCTAGCTTAATCCTGCAGAAGTCAACTAATATTCTCTGTATAATTTCAATCCTTTGAAATTTACTGAGGCTTGTTTTATGATTTGGCATATGGTCAACTTTGCAATGTACCTATATGTACATAAAACAATTTTAATTTGTAGATGTTTATTTTAGTGTATAGTGTTCTGTATGTGTAATTAGTTTAATTTAAAGTCTTGTTGAGGCCAGGTGGGTGGCTCATGCCTATAATCCCAGCACTTTGGGAGGCCTAGATGGGTGAATCTCTTGAGGTCAGGAGTTCGAGACCAGCATGGCCAACATGGTGAAACCCCGTTTCTATTAAAAATACAAAAATTAGCTGGACATGGTGGCATGTGTCTGTAATCCCAGCTACTCAGGAGGCTAAGTCAGGAAAATCGCTTGAACCTGGGATGCAGAGGTTGCAGTGAGCCGAGACTGTGCCACTGCATTCCAGCCTGGGTGACAGAGCAAGATGCTGTCTCAATAAAAATAAAATGAAGTCGTGTTTAAAGTTATTGTTGTATTCTTAATTTTAATTTGACTGATTTATTTGTTACTAAAAGAGATTTGTTAAAAATCTTTTAGGTTGGGCATGGTGGCTCATGCCTGTAATCCTAGCACTTTGGGAGACTGAGGTGGGAGGATAACTTGAGCCAAGGAGTTCGAGACCAGCCTAGGCAAGATGGCGAGACTCTGTCTCTACAAAGAATACAAAAATAAATTGGCCATGGTGGAATGTGACTGTAGTCCCAGCTACTTAGAAGGCTGAGATGGGACTGCTTGAGCTTAAGAATTTGAGGTGGCAAGTGAGCTAATCACGCACAGCACTCCAGCCTGGGATGACAAAGCGAGACCCTGTCTCTAGAAAAAAACTTTTTGTATATAATTGTAGGTTTTCAATTTGTTCTTGATTTTCTGTCAATGTTTCCTTTATATGATTTGAGGCTATCTTATTTGATACAAACAAACTGAGTATTGTCATATATTCTTGATTTACTGAGCCTTTTATCATCATGAAGAAGCTCTCTCTAGACCTGGCTATACTTTGATATGGTCTGGCTGTATCCCCACCCAAATCTCATCTTGAATTGTAGCTCCCATAATTCTCCTATGTTGTGGGAGGGACCCAGTGGGAGACAATTAAATCGTGGGGGCAATAGTGGTAGTGAGTAAGTCTCATGAGATCTGATGGTTTTTTAAGGGCAAACCTCTTTTGTTTGGCTCTCATTTTTCTCTTGTCTGTCATCATGTGAAGCATGCCTTTCACCTTCTGCTATGAGTGTGAGGCCTCCCCAGCCACATGGAACTGTAAGTCCATTAAACCTCTTTTTCCTTATAAATTACCCAGTTTTGGGTATGACTTTGTCAGCAGCATGAGAACAGACTAATACATACTTCTTACTTTAAGTTACAATTTTTCTTTGTGTCCCTCTGTTGCCCAGGCTGGAGTACAATGGTGTGATCTTAGCTCACTCAACCTCCGCCTCCCGGGTTCAAGCAATTCTCCTGCCTCAGCCTCCTGAGTAGCTGGGATTACAGGTGCACATCATGACACCCAGCTAATTTTTGTATTTCTTGTAGAGGCAGGGTTTTGCCATATTGGCCAGGGTGGTCCCAAACTCCTGGCCTCAAGTGATCGGCCTGCTTTGGCCTCCCAAAGTGATGGGATTACAGGCATGAGCCACCGCGCCCAGCCTTACATGGTATAACTTTTCTATTTACTTTTAACCTTTTAGTGTACTTATATATGTTGTGCTTCTTGCAAGCAGTATATAATTGAATTTTACTTTGTTTCCTGCATGATAATTGGTTTCTGTGATAATGTATTATTGTTTCAATTTAATTTTAATACATTTACTGATATGTAACATGTTAAATTTGGTTTCATTTTTTCTATTTTCCTTTTTCTTTTACTTTCTTCCCTTCAGTTGAACCAGTCAGTTGTTTTAAAAATTATTCCTGCTTTCTCCTCTGTTGTTTGATTCTTTATCACTACTACAGGAACACTTACTATCCCATGTTTCAGATAAAGCCAGAGCTTTAGAACACTATTCAATTCCCAATTATGTGGTTTACTTGTAGAATATATATGTATTTTAATTTTTATTGATATATAATAGATGTATATATTTTGAAGGTACATGTGAAAATTTAATATATTCATTATTTATAAAGATCAAATCACTGTAATTGGGATATTTATTACCTTGATTATTTGTCTTTTCTTTATGTTAGATATATTCAAATTATTTTCTTCTAGTTATTTTGAAATATGTAACAGATATCACAAACTATAGTTCTCCTACTAACCTATCAAATATGAGGTCTTATTTCTTCTATCAAACTATATATTTGTACCCATTAATCAACCTCTTTTCATCTCCCACTTCCTTCTACCCTTCCTGGCTTCTGATAACCACCAATCTACTCTCTATCTTCATGAGATCCACTTTATTAGCTCCCACGTGCTAGTGAGAACATACAATATTTGTCTTTCTGTGCTTGACTTATTTCACTTAACACGGTAACTTCCAGTTTCACCCATGTTGCTGCAAATGGCGAGATATAATTAATTTTTATGGCTGATTTTCCATTTTGTATATATACCATGATTTCTTTATCCATTCATTCATTAATATACACAGGTTGATTCTGTATGTTGGCTATTCTGAATAGTGCTGCAATAAACATGGGTGTGTAGATACCTCTTCATTATATTGATTTCCTCTTTTCTGGGTGTATATCCAATAGTAGAATTGCTAGATTGCATGGTACTTCTATTTTTAGTTTTTTTGAGGAATCTCTATACTTTTCTCCATCATGGC
Organism: Homo sapiens; assembly: GCF_000001405.40. NCBI lineage: Eukaryota > Metazoa > Chordata > Mammalia > Primates > Hominidae > Homo > Homo sapiens. The sequence continues at coordinate 48,815,723 of NC_000014.9, read as the reverse complement.
TATCCGGGTTTACATTCCCATCAGCATAACCTCAGCAGCATCTGCAATTCCATGTCTTTTAGATAAATGCCATTTTAACTGGGGTGAGATGGTATCTCATTGTAGATTTGATTTGCATTTCTTTGATTGGTGATGTTGAACAATTTTTCATATGCCTGTTGGCCATTTGTGTGCCGCCTTTTGAGAAATGTCTATTCTAGTCTTTTGCCCCCCTTTTTTTTAATCAGACTTTTTTTTTTCTTTTACTGAGTTGTTTGAGCTTTTTATATATTCTGGTTTTTAATTCTTTGTCAGATGGGTAGTTGGTGGATATATTCTCCCATTCTGCGGGCTGTCTCTTCACTTTGTTTGTTGTTTTCATTGTTGCACAGAAGCTTTGTAGCTTGATGTAATCCTTTGTCTTCTTTTGCTTCCATTCTCTGTGCTTTTGAAATTTTATTGAAATCTTTGCCCAGACCAATGTCCTGTAGAGTATACCCAATATTGTCATCTAGTTGTTTCATAGTTTGAGGTCTTAAATTTAAGTCTTTTATCCAATTTCTATTTTATTTTTGTGTATGATGAGAGATACGTGTCTACTTTCATTCTTCTGCATATGGTTATTCAGTTTTCCCAGCACTACTTGCTGAATAGATTGTCCTTTCCCCAACGGTATGTTCTTGGCAGCTTTGTTGAAAATGAGTTAACTGTAAATGCATGGACATATTTATTTTTCACTTTCTCGTTAGGGTCAATCACTGGTGCCTTGATTTGTCTGTTTGATGAGGTCATGGTTCCTTGTTTGTGTTGTTTCTTATGGATGTATGTCTATGTCTTATCTTTGAAATATTATTTATTTCAATCTTCTCTGTCTGGCTTTGTTTTATTTTTTATTGCATGTGTTTTCTTAGAGATTCTTTGTAATTTACCTATTGATTTTATCTTAGTTTTCCTCTAGGTTTATGCCTCCTTTTTCAGCACTAGATGGCTCCTTAAACCCGGGTTTGACTTATTAGAGTAAACAATCAAAGTGCTGCCTGTACTGAATGGGGTTGGTATCGAAGGGCATTTTCCAGTAGTTTGGGAAGGCTGGCTAGGGGTTCATGTCCAGGGGATCTTTGGGACAAACTTCCTGCAGCATAGTGCTGCTGAACAGCCACTCTTATTTGGCTTCTCCTCAGTCCAAGTTGCAGAGCAGAGATGCCAGGGATGAGGGTGATAGTTTTGCCTCTTCCCTTTATCTTTGGCTGTCCTTAGGGTTATTTCTCCCTTCAAGTGTTCCCTATGATTCCCATGGGTTGAGGCAGGGACAGATCGCTACCAGAAAACCCGAGATAATGGAGAAGCTGGTTGTCTACCTCAATCTGACTTTTTCTGGTATAGAGGCAGTGAGTCGGGGGAAGTTTTTCACATACATTTTGCTGGGCAGATTGGGAGCAGGTGTGTCACAGATATGGATGTCCAATTCTTTTACTGTTTGCCCTGATTTTTTTTCACTTCTCTATGGCCCTGGAAACTGCCTAATCCTCATATTTGCATTCTAAGATATTATTGGTATTAATCTTGGCACTGTATATTTGTTTTTAGTTTTCGGTGTGGGGTAGGGAAAATGAAGCCAGGTTGTTTCTATGCTGCCATTTTGAAATTGAAAGTATCATTTGTAGAATATTTTAATTTTATATATATCTTTTCACCAGTCACTTAAAAATACAGTCAATTTGAATTTATATTTTCTCTCACAAATACTATACTTACTTTTGTTCTTTCATACATTCCCTATTACTATCTGCTGTAATTTCCTTTGCCTTAAAAGCATCTTATGGTATTTCTTTTGCTGTTAATCAGGTGATGCTGAATTATGTGAGTTTTGTTTGTCTAAAAATGTCTTAAGTTCATTTTCATTTTTGAACAATACTTTTGCTTGGTGTAGAATTCTTGATTGGCTGTTCCGTAGTTTTACCATTCAAAGACATAATGTGATTGTTTTCTGGCTTTCATTGTTTCCATTGATTTGTTAGCTGCCAGACTCCTTTGAAGGTAATATGCCTTTTCTCTGGCTGCTCTTAATATTTTCTTTTGGTCTTTCATTATCATCAGTTTTATTATTATCATTCTGTGTATCACTTTATATTTATCCTGCTTGGAATTTGTAGCACTTCTTGAGCCTATAACCTGGTGTCTTTAACCAGTTTAAAAATATTCTTAGCAATTATATTTTCAATTATTACCATTCTTTCCTTTTTCCTTTTGGCCTCTAATTAAATATGGTTTAGACCTTTTTATCATTTTGCACAGTGAATGTTTCTCAACATCTTTTCTGTTAATGTTCGTCATTTTTTCTTTTTGTTACTCAGTATGCATAAATTTTTCAGGTCCGTCTTCTAATTCTCTAATTATCTTCAATGTATATGATTATTAAAACAAAGTATTTAGCTTTTAATTTCAGCTACTGTATTTTTCATTGTGAGAAGGCCCATTTTATTCTTGTCTTACTTTCTAGTTATTGTCTAAATATTCTTCATTTTGTGCTTTAATTTCATGACAAAATGAATTATTTTTATATCTACATGTTAATTTTATTATTTGGTTCTCCTGTCATTTTGTTTCTGTTGTCCATTTTCTCTCTTTTCCTTACTTTTGGTCAGTTCATGTCTTTTTTCTGCCTTTTATAATGTTGATTGTTTGATATAAAAATAGAGATATTTTGAATATGTAGACATTGTTCTTTGAAGGAGGATTTTTATTTGCTTTTTTTTTTTCTGACAGAGTAGGAGTAGTTCAGACCAATTCAATCAATGATTGAGATAACTTTTTTTTTTTGAGACATAGTTTTGTTCTTGTTGCCTCAGGTGATCCACACGCCTTGGCCTCCCAAAGTGCTGGGATTACAGGCATGAGCCACCATGCCCGCCCCTGGATAACCGCCCCTGGATAACTTTTAAAATATATATATTTTTTGCTTAAGTTTGTTCATTTGAAAAAATGATAATGTGCTTATTATATAGAATTTCTTAGGTAAAAAGCTTTAATATGTAATTGTGGCTTGACAAAAATAAACACTTTATGTTAGTATAATTTATCTATTGTAAATTTTTCTGGCAATAATGTGAATTAAAGTTAACCTCAATTTTATTTATTTTCTCAATATGTATGAACCGACACAAAAAAATCTAATATAAAGAACTAAAAGAAGTGTTAAAATTATTTTAATGATACTTTTAGAATTCCCTATAAGAAAGAGAAATGAATAAAATACATATTTTACCTCAAATGTCTTATTTCTTTGCTTTAGTTTTTATTTATCACTTTATAAAGCAATATTGCTGGGAGTCTAGGATTGTTCATAAGAAAAGAAGATGAGATTCCTGTGTCAAAGGCATAAAAGGAATAATGATAATAAATAAGATTACAATTTGGACTCTCTCTTTTCTCTTTTTGGGAACACTAGGAATTATTGTTCAGTAGGCTGAACATTAATGTTGAAATAACTCTGGATTGATAATACACATAAGGACATGTACTGTGTACGTATATTAATCTTCACAGTTGCTTCCAAAAGCAGTATAATGCAAAGTGAATGAGAAGTTATCCTCAGTATGTCTGGGTCAGAAGGATAAAAAACCAATACCACAGGAGAGGGCTGAAACTCAGGAGAGCAACACAATAGTCCATCCAGTACCTTATTGATGGAAGTTATAACTTTGAAAACTGTTTAGAGCCCTAAAGAAAACTATGTTTATTTTATAAAGAATTAGTGTAGTTACATAATTCTTTTAACTTTAAAAAACATTCCCAGGAAGACTTTCCATAGTTCTTATGTAGCCCTCCTTTTATTTGTAGGAGACTAAGGCTATTTTTGAGTGGATTAATCAGCTAGCAACAAATGCATAGTATCTTTAAAGAATATTCCGAATATACCAATATGTTAGTATACTCTGGGAGAGGAATACAGAGAGAGAAATACATTTCTTCCACAATCCAATTTATACATGAGTAAATCAAGAATTTGTTAGTTCATAACACTAACCGGAGGTCAGGGTCTGGATTCAATGTGAATGCAAATTGCTTCAGACACTAAAAATAAATACCATAAAGGAAGTAACTAAACTAACGTTAGGTCTGTCAGTAAGCTGAGGGCTGTAGTTTCTACTCGGAGTTAGGGCAGTAGTTGTGAGCACTTCAGGGAACACCCTGACTTATCCCAGTGTAGAATACTGTGGCAAGCATACCATAGGCTCTCAGTATAAGTTCAATGCACAGATGAGTGAATGGCACTATCCTAGACCCCAAATGCAGCTAAAGTAGGCTTCCAGATGATTGCTTTTTAAATGGCTTCATCTGAAATTATATTTTAGATATGGGGATTTAAGTTGAATCCCAAGATCATTTTTAAAATCCCTTTTATAAACTCTGTGTTTCCTAGATTCAATGCAAAGTCTTTAGAAGATTCTTGGCTATAGGAAACATTTTTAAGTGGTTTCTTATGGATATATTTGCTATGAGTCCTTTAGAATTGTATAAACCTTTAGTATTAGAGATAATGGCCTGTAATGACTAATAAAGATAAGTCAAATCATTGGGCTAGGTAAATCTTGCTTATTTCATGTCAGAGCAATGTTCCCTGTGGTTTTGAATAGTTATAAATATATTTTTCCAAGTTAAGTAGAGCAGACTATCATATTTACTATGACCTATTTTCTGCATTTGGGTCAAAAGCGTGCACATCAAAGTTACCTCTAATGCGGAATGAAAATGTCTGACCTGTGCAAAAAGTATTCATGCATTCAATGATTAGAAATGCAATGGCAGTTGGCCCAGCGCGTGACAGGAGGGCCGTAGTTATGGTTAGTAGATGAGACACTGATTTTAGGTGGCTTCAATAAAAATATATAAGAGATTGTGGATTGCATGAAGCACTGTCTACTGTCTGCCCTTGACCAGGTAGACATAATTACAAGTTTGTAGAAACCTCACTACATAGGAGATGAACTTTGAATCCAACTCTTCTAAAAATACATGATTCAGAGGAGATACACTGAAATTTAAAATTTTCTGACCGGATTTAATAGAGAATTTATATGCCAAAATTATAAATTAGAGATTATATCAAAGCTAAGGTTTTGCTACTTCTAAAAGCATAGCCTCCAGTAGTATAACTATGGGAATGTTTATATTTATTTCTTTTGCTGAACCTATTGCTTGATACTCACATAGCAAATTTTGCCAGCTTTTCCTTCAACATCTATATGGAGTCTGACTGCTTCTCAACGCTTTCACCACCATCACCATCTTGGCCAAAGCAATGCTATTTCTCTTTTGGTCGTTGCCATCACCTCCTAATTGGCCTTATTCTTTCCATTTTTTTGCCAATAGCTCTCCACTCATCTTTTGTCTATTCCTTATTCAAAGCAATTCTTGTAAAGTAAATCGGATTACAATATACCCTGTTCACGATCCTCCAGTGCTTTCCATCTCACTCAGGTAAAACCCGAAGCTCTAACCAGGGCATACGTGCCCCTGCACTCTCTGGTCTTATCCCCACAACTCTGTCCTCCTCCTTTTGTGCTTTAGCCTCACTGGCCTCCTTGATGTTCCTCAAAAGCACCACGCAAACTTCAACCTGAGAGCTTTTCTGTCAGCCTAAGAGATGATTCCCCATATACAACCCTGTAAAGATAAACAAAACCAGACACTGGCTAAAGCAACAAGGAATTATTTTATTCAGAAATGACTACTGCAATAGGGAAGAGGGCCCAGCATGACCTAAACTCAACTCAACTTTACCGAAACAAAAAGCAGGAGACATTTAAAGACTGGAGTGGACTAAGGGAAAGACTCTTGGGGGTCTTAAGGTGTTTGGCCCATCAACTGGGTGTGCTAATTAGATCTTACCCATAAGAGAAACAAACTTCTCATATCTTTATGACAGTAGGCAGTGGTGCAAGTTAAGCAAAGTTAAGTACTTTCCCACAGTGAGAACAAGGGAGAAAGTGATCTCAGTGAATGATTGCATGTCAAAGAAACAGCTCTTAGGTCCTTGAGAAGACAGTTCTCTGGGGTAGTAGATTTACTGCCTAAAGGGGTAGGAAAAATATTTCTAATTGCAAGCTTTCTAAAGTAACTGCTCTAAGAGAAGGTTAGGGCCTATTTGCCTATTACCAGGTTTTGGCTGGAAAGAATAGTAAATTCTCCTGGCAGCATTGAGTGTTTTCAGGCAGGCACTTAAGGGGGAAGTCATCACCCTAGTGATGTGGTCTTGAGCTGTTAGAAACTATACTGATGTTTGTTCAAGTCTCTTAAACAGTGTGCGTATATAGGGGATGGGATGCAGTAGATGAAAATAATTTGTACTGAGAGTCTGCAGGTTTTATGGGATAAGGTTGAGGTCTAGTCAAGAAGAGGCCTCAGAGAAGCTTGTCTAGAGTTTGTCCAAGGAGAGAATCTTTGTCATCTCCACCCAATGGCACTCTCTTATTCACTGAGATATTCACTCCAATCTAATCACCAATCCAGAAAGGCTTTCCATGTCTATTCTACCTAAAACAACACCTGTTCATCACTTTCTATATCCTCAAACTAGTTTTATTTTTCATAGAAGAGATATTTGTTTATTTGTCTGTCACTTTACATTAGTATGTAAATTCCATGAAGGGATTTATCTTATTCATTACAAAATAGTAGGGAATCAATAAATATTTGTTGATAAAATTTGATGATTTTAAAACATTTAGAATTAATTGTTCCTATGACTTTCACCTGGAGTATAAAGATAAGTAAGATAGTCTCAGTCTTTAAAGAGCTCCTGGCTTGGTAGAAGAAATAATCATGAAGAAAAACCATTACACAATAGAGAGAACCTTGTGGAAAATTAACTAAGTACAAAATCCTACGGGAATTCTGAAAATCGAGCAATAATATTTTTGGGAGAAAAAAACATATCAAGAAAAACTGTTAAAGGAGTTGAGTATTTGATTAGAGTATTCAAGGAAGAGAATACATATGTTTGAATATATTTCTAATACAATTTGACATCTTTTTCCAAATGTATTGGCGATTTGTGAATATGGACATTTTAATCTTTCCTTTTAAACAAGCTTGTACTACAGAAAGTTGACAACTGGTAACACAATGGAATTACAGGCCTCAATTTTATTCTCAAGGCAATTTTCTTTCCTTTTTCACCTTACCACAGGGACTTGATATTTAGTAAGGGAACATGCCCACATTTCTGGTAAGTTTGGGGGTAACCTAAAGTTACATGTTTCTTTTCTTTTTCTTTCTCAAATTACCACACGGTTGAGTCAAACATAACTGTATTGCTATTGGCACACATAAGAAGGGAATCCATTCAGGACCCAATTCCTATTACAGTTCCATCCACACTCTTCAAAGTACCAGCATCTCTATGTCTCTCTCTGTCTCTCTCTCTCTCTCTCTCTTTTTTTTGTGTGTGTGTGTGTGTGTGAGATGGGGTCTGGCTCTGTCTCCCAGGCTGGAGTGCAATGGCGTGATCTAGGCTCACTGCAACCTCCGCTTCCCAGGTTCAAGTGATTCTCCTGTCTCAACCTCTTGAGTAGTTGGGATTACAAGCATATGCTACCACGCTTGGCTAGTTTTGTATTTTTAGTAGAGACAGGATTTCACCATGTTGGCCAGGCTGGTCTTGAACTCCTGACCTCAGATGATCTGCCCATCTCTGCCTCCCAAAGTGCTGGGATTACAGATGTGAGCCAGTGCTTCCGTCCCCAGCATCTCTTAATATAAGAAAATATTCATAATGCAGAAAAATAACCTAAAATTCACATTCATACAAATTTATTGTACATATGCACATTAATACTGAATGAAAAAGATGCTATTTCCAACAGACATATAGACAGGAATTTACAAGAACATGTATTTTATAGGGCTTTCATTTAATAGAATGTATTATATTTATAGCATCAAAGTAGTATTAATTGAGTCTTTTATCTGGGAAATGAAAATAGTGATCACATAGAATGAAATGGTATGATGGCAGTCATTAAAATGGAATTCTGTATACACTGGAGGATTATTTAAGGTACAATACTAATTATGGGTCAAATTTTCATCTTAGACAATGAAATAAATGTTATTAGTTTGACTGAAGTCGTCTGTAGTAATCAAGGAGGACAAACTTTTTTTTAATACATTTTAAAATAAACAATCTTTCCAGACAGTCATTTACCATAAAACATCTCACTAGTTATTTTCTTAGCACTGGTAAGATGATACTAATGATATATAGTGATACTTCATTCTGACATAGGTCATTAAGCCATTCAGATTCATTTAAAGTAATGTTGTCACAATGACTTCAGTCATTGAATTTCAATGATAAACTTTGTTCAAACAACATAATTGATCATTAATGTTCTCATTTGCTTCAGGCTCACTGTAGGTTATGAAAAAAATACTCTAAAATCATTACCAGGAAATGAGAGGTTAAACTCTTCAGCAGTACAGTTGATCACAGTTGAGAGATCCTTTTCACAATAATAAAATGACAAGGCTAGAGCAAAGAACAATTGATTTAGAGCACAGGAGAGCTGAGTTTTATAAACAGATTTCAACAACATGCTAAATATTCTTCATAGCTCACTAATTATAAACTTGGGAAACTACTTGCTCCATCCCTGTATCTGTGAGAAATGATGTGAACAAATGGGTTAATTTATATGTAGTGGTTTTCATTATTCTCAAAAAAGAGAATCCTGGCATAAATTCAAAACACCAATGTTCCCAAATAATTAGTTTCGCTATCCCCTGGAGTAAGAATATTCATGTGTCATTATCAAAACAGACATTCAGAAGCTATTTAGTACTGCTATAAAAATAAGTTCTACTGATTCCAATACACCCCAACTCGTTTTGAACTGAACTGCCTTGTGTTTTTTAAATACTTGGATTTTCTTTTGTAAAACATAGCTTATAATTTTCTAAGAATTAGTTCCTAGAAGATATTTTAAATACTGAATAATTCTTATCCAAGACCAAATAACAGCTTTAACATACTAATAACGTATAAACACATCTTCAATAAACCGATTTCCAAGGTTTTGTTCAATATTTGAAGAAACCTTTCTCACTAAAGCCTAGAAATATTTTGAGTGGGCCTTTAGCCTAGTTGCCAAATTCATTGTTTTCAGTCTTTGTAAACAACATTTTAAAATATCTGTCTATTCTATTGGGTGTTTATGCCTTTCCTTACTTGGCCATTTTCTTACTGTTAGTATGAGATTATCCCTTATTTTATCCTTTCAGAATATGTACATAATAAATATCTTTGTGCATAGTTTTCTTATTTTTAAGATTCTTTCCTTAGAACAGATTTTTGGAAGTGGGATTTTACTGGGTCCAGGAGACTTAGCATTTTAAAGGCTTTTAAATACATACTGCTAAATTGTTTTCCAAAAAACTTGTACCAATTTACACGACCATGACGAATATGAGAATGCCTGTTTTTACTGTAGCCTCATCACATTATCAAAATTCAAACAATAAGAATATGTTTTATGAGATTAAACCAAACCAAAACAGAAACTAGCGACTCTTAGTTTATACATAAGTGACCTGTTGACACAATTGAGGGATTATACTATTCAGAAGATTTGAGTTTAACTGTGGTGTACTGCACATATGCATTTATCTCAGCCCCTTTCTTAAATCTGGGTAAAGTGGGAGTACGAAAATAAATATGGTATAAGCCAACAAAATATTGGATAGGAAATGACAACATATGTTTTAGAAGTCAGTAAATGGTATGAGCTAGGAAGAGAACACCAAAGCAAAGCCAGGCAGGTACATTGGAGTGTACCAGGTTTGGCTGGCGTGGGATGGGACGTGGACTCAAATGAGAAGGATGAATTGAAAGTGTTTGCAAGACATTTTCCCCCCAAGCCCCTCCCTAAACCTGTACTGTAGGGGTTCAGTCAGGATGGTGGGGAAAATTGTAAAATAAAAATAAACCTTCTTGGAAGGCCAAAGGTTTTTGCAAAAGCCTCAGGATAAAGTTATGGCTGAAGGCAGCCTAATCCTCTTTGAGCTATAGCCCGGGTAATTAACATAGGAATGTACAGGAGTCTATCTAAATAGCTTGTTTACTCATGTAGTCCTAAGACTAACCTTTGACTAGCTGTGCGTGCGTGATTGCTCTCTACTCCGGGGTCAGCAATGGTAATTACCTTCTACTGCTGTTTACTTAAGACTTTTGTCATTTAATGTGTGCTAAATAAATACCCAGAGAGCCAGCGAGTCCAGTCCGTGGCTGCTGACTCTTTACAGCACTCTACTTGGAGTCTGTAAGCCGCCCGGACTTTCAGCCGGACTGACAAGTGGAGTATCTGTGTCAGTGTACGTTACTCATCCGTCGTTGGGTCAGGGTCTGCGGGATGGACCCCCGCAATGTACAGTGAAACAGCTGCCTCGTTCACCCCTGCAAGAGAAGAGAGGTTTATTTGGTGGAGAAATTGAACTAGAGGCTCCATACTGAAGGACACCCAAAGCATAGCAGGAGAGCAAGAGAGGCTGGCACTAAAATAGAGCTAGTAAGTGAAAGTTTAAATCTTCTTCATACATAATACTATAAAATTGTTAATGTCTTAAGTCGATAAGAAATGGGAGTATAACTTTATAACCAGGTGGGTTAGTGTCAGAAAAAAAAAACAGCCAAAAATTTTAGAAGAGAGGGATTCAGGAAAAGGGGAGGTGAGGAAGAGAATTGTTTTTCATTATAGTTAGACTTTAAAAGTGTACGTGTATTACTTTGATAAAAAAAATTCACAGAAAATAAAACATGGTAATAAAGGCTACCTGCCTAAATAAATGGACCAATGTTTATAATACTGTGGCTAGCTTCTTACTCTTGAGACTTAAGGGCAGGGAGGAGAGCCATCAAACAGCAAGCTGCCTGGGCTTCTGTGGAGCAGAGGGAATGGGAAACTTGAAGCCAATGAGTTAACCAGGTGAGACAACATGCATATATAGGGGCATAATTAATTGTTTAATACTGAAACCCACTGGAATAATCACTAGAAATAGCAACTCAGCAGTTCCTGGAATAAAGCTCTCTCTCTTTTTTTAGGTAGGCAGGCTCAAGTTAATGATTTTCTACATCACTCATATTTTTTTCCTGATGTCCTTATTTTGGCTCAGCCTCAGCAAATGTTTATCAAACATCCTACCTAAAATAAGTGGGGCTTCTCCTCTAATTGCCATTTTATTTGCTTGTGCATTTCATCATGACATTATTTTGATAATGTGAAGGTCCTATACATGGAGCAACCAGGAATGGTATATGGGCAGAACAGCATTGATCTTTAATTCCCATAATGCCCTAGAAACTATTTCTCTTAAACTGAAGAGAATTCTAACTATTCTGCAATTCTGCTCACTCCCTGTTTTATTTTTCTTTCCCTCTCCAAGGTTCAACTGACCTGCACTGTTTTTGGCTGATTTACTAATTTTACTCATTCTGGTTCTGTAAGAGAACTGGGACGCTACTCCAAACTCCTTATAAAGTAGATTTCTCTTAAAAAAAATTCCCACTCTACACTTTAAATTTGTCATTTCAATGCAGATTGTTGTAAAAAAATATTTAAAATTAAATCTGCGTATTCCAGATATCTGTCTCCAGCATTTTTATGCACTTGAGTGTACATAAGAATTCTCCTGAGGAGCTTATTAAAAATACAGGCGCCTGCTCTCCTGCTAACTTCTTTTCAGTAGATCTGCAGTGGAGCCTGCAGTTTGTATTTGCAACAAGTACTCTGATGCCAGTGTACCGTGTTTTGAAAAACATTAGTTCACACATAATTTCTCTTTTGTGTGTGAAAAGATGACCAGATATTTCCTATCTAGAAAATATGGCAATACCTAAAAATATGCAATTTATCTAGCATGAATATGTGAGGATATCAAATCCATGGGGGTAATAGAAATAAACATTTTAATTTCCAAAATACTGAGATATAAAGTCAGTCTGAGAAGAAAATAATACTAGTTATCAGGAAACTCTATAAAATCCTTTAAAATAAAGAGGAAAATAAGGATTATTTGATGTTTATAAATCAAGTTAATATTTGCCTAACATATAAAATATGGTTGGGGATTTAAGATAACTCAGTGTAATAGACTTTTTTAAAAGATAATCTTCATTTTCATGAAAGCGATTAAGAGAAAAATACTACTGGTGCTAATTAAAGTAATTTGAAAGATACAAAATGGGAAGAATGCATAATATAAGTTAATTTTCATGATTAAGGATAATTTAACATGCTGCTACCAATTATGATGTATATTATGTCTGGTTGGACACAGGAAATTTTTCTTCATGTTTCTCACTTGTCTTGAAATATCTTAATCCTCTTCTTTAAAAACCAGTGAGTCTTTCTGGCTAAATTTACAGAAATGGAGCAGAGTGATTTTGTTAATCATGCAAGTTACCTCTTTTGTTGAACTGTCAGCACAGTCTATGAGCCAGCCCAGCAAAAATGACCCACACATTTGGTTCTTTTCTGATTAATTCCCTAGGGAACTCTGCATTTGACCATAAGTGAGAACTGGAAATCTCAGAATTATCAAAGCACTCTGATTAGACATCAGCTTTATATATTTTTGTGTAGGTTTGAAATCATATCACTTTCAGTCTTCAATCTGTAGCAACTGAAATTCAGTGCTGAATTCTACTCTGTTGATATGCTTGCTTTATGTCATGAACAACTAATATGAAGGTTCTAAATTTTATAATTCAATTTTTATGTCAAGATGCTTGACCTCCTATCTGCTCTTAGGAATGTATCTGAGGGCTTTCCATCTCTCATATTCTTATTCTTAAGTGCATCTGTGGATCCCAGTACTATAGAATAGAAATTTTTGTTTTTGCACAGCTCAAGAGGATGTTTAATTAACATTATCTGGATAGTAGTTCTGTTTTTCTAGTTTATCTAAAACAAAGATCAGAGAAGCAATAAATAAAATAGACGCTAGAAAAAAAATACAAAAGATCAATAAAATTGAGGGGCTTTTTTTTTGGAAAAGCTTAATAAAATGGACAAACCCTTAATAGAGAAAAAAAAGAAGACTCAAAATCAGAAATGAAAGAGAAGATATTGCAAGAGATAACACAGAAATACAAGGAATCATAAGAGACTACTATGGCCAAATATATTACAACCAATTGGAGAACGTAGAAGGAATTCACAAATTCCTAGAAACATATAACCTACCAAGACTGAATCACAAGGAAATAGGAAATCTGAACAGACCAATACAGAGTAGGGAGATTTAATTAGTAATTAAAGGTTTTCTATCAAAGAAAAGCCCAGGAACAGGAGGCTATTTGGCTCAATTCTACGAAATATATGAAGAATTAATGCCAATCTTTCTCAAACACTTCCGAAAATTTGAACCAGAAGGAATACTTCCAAACTCAGTTTACAAGGTCAGCATCACTTTGATACCAAAGCCAGGCAAAGACACGGCAAGAAAAGGAAACTACAGGCTAATATCACTAATGAACATAGAAGCAAAAATCCTCAATAAAATACTCGGAAAATATATTCCACAGTATATTAAAAGGATCATTAATCAAGATCAAGTAAGATTTATCCATGGGGTGCAAGGATGGCTCAACGTACGCAAATCAATAAACATGATTTGCCATATTAACAGAATGAAGGACAAAAACCATGTGATCCTCTCAATAGATGCAGAAAAAGCATTTGACAAAATTCCACAGTCTTTCAAGATTAAAACTCTCAACAAATAAAATATAGAAGGACTGTATCTCAAAACAGTAATGACAAGCCCACAGCTAACAACATACCCAACAATTGAATAGTTGAAGGCTTTTCTTCTAAGATCAGTAATAAGGCAAGGATGCCCACTCTCACCACTTCTATTCAGCATACTACTGGACATCTTAGCCAGAGCAATTAGGCAAGAGAAATAAATAAATTGCATCTAAGTATAAAATAATTATGTAATTGTCTCTGTTTGCTGATGACATGATCTTGTAATGTGGGAAATCTTAAAGACTCTACTGTAAAACTATTTGAAATAAAAAATTCAATAAAGTTGCAGGTTACAAAATCAACTTACAAAAGTCAGTAATACTTCTATACATTAATAAGAACTACCTAAAAAAGAAGTAAAGAAAACAATTCCATTTGTAGCAGCATAAGAAAAATGCTTAAAAGTAAATTTAACCAAGGAAGTAAAAGATCTATACACTGAAAATTGTAAACATCGATGAAATAAATTGATGACACAAATAAATAAAAAAACTCATATTCTTGGATTGGAATAATTAATATTGTTAAAATGTCTACACTACCTAAATAAATCTACAGATGTAATACCTTACAAAATTCCAATGTCATTATTCACGAACATAGAAAAAACTATCTTAAAATTAATATTAAACCACAAAAGATCCAAAATAGCCAAAGCCATCTTGAGCAAAAATGAACTAAGCTGGAGGCAACACACTACAGATTTCAAAATATACTACAAAGCTATAATTATAAAAACCATATGGTACTGGCATAAAAACAAACACATGAAACAATAGAATAGGATATAGAGCCCAGAAATAAACCCACACATTTATGGTCAGTTGATTTGTGACAAAGGTTCCAAGAACACACAGTGGGACAAAGAGAATCTCTTCAGTAAGTTTTGGGAAAATGGGGTATCTCCATACAGGAGAATGAAATTAGACTCTTATCTCACTCTTTCTACAAAAGTCAACTCAAAATGAATTAAAGACTTAAATATAAGGCCCGAAACTGTAAAACTACTAGAAGAAAATATAAGGTAAAAGCTCTATGACATTGATCTGGCCAGTGATTTTTTGGAAAAGATCCCAAAAGCATAGTAAACAAAAGCAAAAATAGACAATTGGAATTGCATCAAGCTAAAAAGCTTCTGCACAGAAAAAGGAAACAACAGAGTGAAGGGACAATCTACATACTGATAAAAATATTTTCAAATTATACATTGGATAAATGGCCGATATTCAAAATATACAAGGAACTCAAATTACTCCATATTAGGACAACAAATAACTCTATCAAAAATTGGCAAAGGAATCTGAATAGACAGTTTTCAAAAGAAAACATACAAAAGGCCAACAGACATATGAAAAAATGCTCAACATCTCTTATCAGAGATCCAAATTAGACCACAATGAGACATCACTTCACACCTGTTGGATTAGTTATTATAAAAAAGATGATAAATAAGGTTGTCAAAAATGTGAAGAAAAGGGAAGCCTTGTACACTGTTGGTGGTATTGTAAATTAGTACACATATTTTGGTAAACAATATGGAGGTTCTTCAAAAAAACTAAAAACAGAATCACCATAAGACCTAGTAATTGCACTTCTGGTTTATAGTCAAAGGGACTAATATTAATATGTCAAAGAGATGTCTGCATTCCCATGCTCACTGCAACATTACTTACAATAGCTAAGAAATGAAAACAATCAACTTGCCCAACAGTGAAGGAATAGATTTTTAAAAAACCTATATATACAATAGAATACAATTCAGCCTCAAAAAACCAGAAAATTCTCTCATTTTTGACAACATGGGTGAACCTAGAGGATAGAACCAGCTTTATGCTAAGTAAAATAAATCAGACACAGAAAGACAAGTATAATCTTGTACGAGGAATCTAAGAAAGTCAAACTTGTAGAAGTATAGATCAGAATGGTGGTTCCCAGAGGTTGGGGGGGTAAGGGGAGATTGACGGGGAAAGGAAAGACATTAGTGAAAGGGACCTGAATTTCAGTCAGACAGGAGAAATAAGTTCTGGTGATCTATTGCACAACATAGAGTTAATAATAGTGTATTGTGTATTTAAAGATAACTAACAATTTAAAATGTTCTCACCCCCAAAATGATAAATATTTGAGGTGATGGATATGTTACTTAGCCTGATTGATCATTCCACAATGTATGCAATGTATCAAAACTAAAAATTTAACCTCTATACATGTATCAAAACTAAAAAATTAAACTCTATTTTAAAAATGAAAAAAAAAAAACCCAGATTGCTGGTATAACGTTTCTGAGATTAAATAGCTGTGTAGTAGCTGTGTTGGTAGCATGATCTGTTGTGAAATTTGAGACTCTTGCTAAAAAATGCCATTTTTATAACAAGGAATTAATTCTTTGGTCATCAGACAATTCCTTAAAGTAGGTGAGCCAGTTTTACTTTATGAATTTATCTTTAGTTTTCTTACATGAAAAGCTGGGATTCTAACAACGTCTGCTCAGGCTTTTCTGTGGTGCATATGTTTTGAGGGAATGCAAGAACTGAACCAAGGCTGAAATCATGATGTCGATACTGTCAGAGTGGGCTCTACTGTTTTTCCTTTTGTTTCTTCAGTTTTTCTATCATTCTTTAAGATTTTTTTTTTAATCTTGCATTCAGTTCTCAAAGCAAATAAAACAGTATTTTCTAAATAGGTAATAGCTAATAATGCTGGTGTGACAATGAAAGCAAATCGTAAATTCTGCAATATCATCCTGATGAATAGAACCAGCTTTGCAAACCCAACATATTTACATTTTATAAAAGAGGTTTTTATTACTTGAGAACTACCATTTGTAGCTTTTCTGGTACAGCTAATTGGTAAAGAAATATTCTGTAATGGACATTTCCTAACATCTCTGACTGATGCTCCAAAACAGTACACAGTCTCTTTAGTTTTCAGGGCAACATTGATAATTCAACACACTATGGCTGCTTTGGTTTCAAAGGAACCTCCTAGAATGAGTGTCCTTCATTGTCTACTTTTTGCATCTTATAAATAATTCCTTAAGGGATTTTTTTGTTTTGTTTTTATTATATTTTAAGTTCTGGGGTACAAGTACAGAACGTGCAGGTTTGTTACATAGGTATACACTTGCCATGGTGGTTTGCTGCACCCGTCAACCCATCACCTACATTAGGTATTTCTCCTAATGTTATCCCTCCCCTAAGCCCCCACCCTGCTACAGGCCCCAGTGTGTGATGTTCCCCTCCCTGTGTCCATGTGTTCTCATTGTTCAACTCTCACTTATGAGTGAGAACATGCGGTGTTTGGTTTTCTGTTCTTGTGATAGTTTGCTGAGAATGATGGTTTCCAGTTTCATTCATGTCCCTGCAAAGGACATGAACTCATCCTTTTTATGGCTGCATAGTATTCCATGGTGTATATGTGCCACATTTTCTTTATCTAGTCTATCATTGATGGACATTTGGGTTGGCTCCAAGGCTTTGCTATTGTGAATAGTGCCACAATAAACATACATGTGCATATGTCTTTATAGTAGAATGATTTATAATCCTTTGGGTATGTACGCACTAATGGGATTGCTGGTTCAAATGGTACTTCTAGTTCTAGATCCTTGAGGAATCACCACACTGTCTTCCACAATGGTTGAACTATTTTACACTCCCACCAACGGTGTGAAAGTATTCCTATTTCTCCACATCCTCTCCAGCATCTGTTGTTTCCTGACTTTTTAATGATCGCCATTCTACCTGGTATGAGATGGTATCTCGTTATGGTTTTGATTTGCATTTCTCTAATGCCCAGTGATGATGAGCTTTTTTTCCTTGTGTTTGTTGGCTGCATAAATATTTTCTTTGAGAAGTGTATGTTCCTATCCTTCGCCCACTTTTTGATAGTTTTTTTTCTTGTAAATTTAAGTTCTTCGTTGATTCTAATATCAGCCCTTTGTCAGATGGATAGAATGCAAAAATTTTCTCCCATTCTGTAGGTTGCCTGTTCACTCTGATGATAATTTATTTTGCTGTGCAGAAGCTCTTTAGTTTAATTAGATCCCATTTGTCTATTTTTGCTGTGGCTGCCATTGCTTTTGGTGTTTTAGTCATGAACTCTTTGCCCATGCCTAAATCCTGAATGGAATTGCCTAAGTTTTCTTCTAGGGTTTTTATGGTTTTAGGTCTTATGTTTCAGTCTTTTATGCATCTTGAGTTAACTTTTGTTTAAGGTGTAAGGAAAGGATCCAGTTTCAGTTTTCTGCATATGGCTAGCTGGTTTTCCCAATACCATTTATTAAATAGGGAATACTATCCCCATTGCTTGCTTTTGTCAGGTTTGTCAAAGATCAGATGGTTTGTAGATGTGTGGCATTATTTCTGAGGCCTCTGTTCCGTTCCATTGGTCTATGTATCTGTTTTGATGCCAATACAATGCTGTTTTTGTTACTGTAGCCTTGTAGTATAGTTTGAAGTCAGGTAGCCTGATGCCTCCAGCTTTGTTCTTTTTGCTTAGAATTGTCTTGGCTTTGTGGACAATTTTTTGCTTCCATATGAAATTTAAAGTAGTTTTTTTCCAATTCTGTGAAGAAAGTCAGTGGTAACTTAATGGGGATAACACTGAATCTATAAATTACTTTTGGCAGTATGACCATTCTTTTTTTTTTCTTTTTTTTATTATTATACTTTTAAGTTCTAGGGTACTTGTGCACAACGTGCAGGTTTGTTACATATGTATACATGTGCCATGTTGGTGTGCTGCACCCATTAACTCATCATTTACTTTAGGTATATCTCCTAACGCTATCCCTCTCCCCTCCCCCCACCCCACAACAGGCCCCAGTGTGTGATGTGCCCCTTCCTGTGTCCAAGTGTTCTCATTGTTCAATTCCCACCTATGAGTGAGAACATGCGATGCCATTCTGATGATATTGATTCTTCCTATCCATGAGCATGGAATATTTCTTTCCATTTGTTTGTGTCCTCTCTTATTTCCTTGAGCAGTGGTTTGTAGTTCTCCTTGAAAAGGTCTTTCATATCCCTTGTAAGTTGGATTCCTAGGTATTTATTTCTCTTTGTAGCAATTGTGAATGGGAGTTCACTCATGATTTGGCTCTCTGTCTGTTATTGGTATATAGGAATGCTTGTGATTTTGCACACTGATTTTGTATCCGGAAACTTTGCTGAAGTTGCTTATTAGCTTAAAGAGATTTTGGGCTGAGGCGATGGGGTTTTCTCAATATACAATCATGTCATCTGCAAACAGAGACAATTTGAGTTCCTCTTTTCCTAACTGAATACACTTTATTTCTTTCTCTTGCCTGATTGCTCTGGCCAGAATTTCCAATACTGTGTTGAATAGGAGTGGTGAGAGAGGGCATCCTTGTCTTGCACTGGTTTTCAAAGGGAATCATTCCAGTTTTTGCCCATTCAGTATGATATTGTCTGTGGGTTTGTCATAAATAGCTCTTATTATTTTCAGATACCTTACATCAATACCTAGTTTATTGAGAGTTTTTAGCATGAAGGGGTGTTGAATTTTATCGAAGGCCTTTTCTGCATCTATTGAGATAATCATGTGGTTTTTGTCATCGGTTCTGTTTATGTGATGGATTACATTTATTGATTTGCATATGTTGAACCAGCCTCACATCCCCAGGATGAAGCCAACTTGATCATGGTAGATAAGCTTTTTGATGTACTGCTGGATTCGGATTGCTAGTACTTTATTGAGGATTTTGGCATTGATTTTCATCAGGGATATTGACCTGACATTTTATTTTTTTGTTGTGTCTCTGCCAGGTTTTGGTATTAGGATGATGCTGGCTTCATAAAATGAATTAGGGAGGATTCCCTCTTTTTCTATTGTTTGGAATAGTTTCAGAAGGAATGGTACCAGCTCCTCCTTGTACCTCTGATAGAATTCAGCTGTGAATCTTTCTGGTCCTGGACTTTTTTGGTTGGTAGGCTATTAATTCCTGCCTCAATTTCAGAACTTGTTATTGCTCTATTCAGGGATTCAGCTTCTTCCTGGTTTAGTCTTGGGAGGGTGCATCTCTCCAGGAATTTATCCATTTCTTCTACATTTTCTAGCTTATTTTTGTAGAGGTGTTTATAATATTCTCTGATGGTAGTTTGTATTTCTGTGGGATTGGTGGTGATATCCTCTTTATTTTTTTTTATTGCGTCTGTTTGATTATTCTCTTTTTCTTCTTTATTAGTCTGGCTAGCGGTCTATTTTGCTGATCTTTTAAAAAAAACTAGCTCGTGGATTCACTGATTTTTTTGAAGGGTTTATCGTGTCTCTATCTCCCTCATTTCTGCTCTCATCTTAGTTATTTCTTGCCTTCTTCTAGCTTTTGATTTTTTTTTTCCTTCTGCTTCTCTAGTTCTTTCAAATGTGATGTTAGGGTGTCAATTTTAGATCTTTCCTGCTTTCTCTTGTGGGCATTTAGTGCTATAAATTTCCCTCTACACACTGCTTTCAATGTGGCCCAGAGATTCTGGCATGTTGTGTCTTTGTTCCCATTGGTTTCAAAGAACATCTGTATTTCTGCCTTCATTTCGTTATTTGCCCAGTAGTCATTCGTGAGCAGGTTGTTCAGTTCCATGTAGTTTTTTGGTTTTGAGAGAGTTTCTTAATCCTGAGTTCTAATTTGATTGCACTGTGGTCTGAGAGATGGTTTGTTATGATTTCTGGTCTTTTGCATTTGCTGAGGAGTGTTTTACCTCCAATTATGTGGTCAATTTTAGAATAAGTGCAATGTGGTGCTGAGAAGAATGTATATTCTCTTGGTATGGGGTGGAGAGTTCTGTAGACGTCTATTAGGTCTGCCTGGTCCAGAGCTGAGTTCAAGCCCTGGATATGCTTGTTGACTTTCTGTCTCGTTGATTTGTCTAATATTGACAGTGGGGTGTTAAAGTCTCCCACTATTATTGTGTGGGAGTCTAAGTTTCTTTGTAGGTGTCTATGAACTTTCTTTATGAATCTGGTTGCTCCTGTATTGGGTGCATATATATTTAGGATAGCTAGCTCTTCTTGTTGCATTGATCTCTTTACCATTATGTAATGCCCTTCTTTGTCTCTTCTGATCTTTTTTGGCTTAAAGTCTGTTTTATCAGAGACTAGTATTGCAACCCCTGCTTTATTTTCCTTTCCATTTGCTTGGTAACTATTCCTTCATCCATTTATTTTGAGCCTGTGTATGTCTTTGCATGTGAGATGGGTCTCCTGAATATAGTACACTGATGGGTCTTGACTCTTTATCCTATTTGCCAGTCTGTGTCTTTTAACTGGGGCATTTAGCCCACTTACATTTAAGGTTAATATTGTTATATGTTAATTTGATCCTGCCATTATGATACTAGCTGGTTATTTTACCCTTTAGTTGATGCAGCATCTTTATAGTGTCGATGGTCTTTACGATTTGGTATGTTTTTACAGTAGCTGGTACCAGTTGATTCTTTCCATGTTTAGTGCTTCCTTCAGGAGCTCTTGTAAGGCAGGGCTTGTGGTGACAAAATCTCTCAGCATTTCCTTGTTCGTAAAGGATTTTATTTCTCTTTTGCTTGTAAAGCTTATTTTGGCTGGATATGAAATTCTGGGTTGAAAATTATTTTCTTTAAGAATGTTGAATATTGGTTCCCACTCTCTTCTGGCTTGTAGGGTTTCTGCAGAGTCATCTGCTGTTAGTCCGATGGGCTTCCCTTTGTGGGTAACCCAACCTTTCTTTCTGGCTGCCCTTAATATTTTTTCTTCATTTCAACTTTGGTGAATCTGATGATTATGTGTCTTGGGGTTGCTCTTCTTCAGAGTATCTTTGTATTGTTCTCTGTATTACCTGAATTTGAATGTTGGCCTGCCTTGCTAGGTTGGGGAAGTTCTCCTGGATAATATCTTGAAGAGTGTTTTCCAGTTTGGTTCCATTCTCCCCGTCACTTTCAGGTACACCAATCAAATGTAGATTTGGTCTTTTCTCATAGTCCCATATTTCTTGGAGGCTTTGTTTCTTTTCACTCTTTTTTCTCTAATCTTGTCTTCTCCCTTCATTTCATTGAGTTGATCTTCAATCTCTGATAGCCAAATTGATCAAGTGAAAGCATATTGATACTTGTTTATGCTTCCCGAAGTTCTTGTGCTGTGTTTTTCAGCTCTATCAGGTCATTTGTGTTCTTCTGTAAGCTGGTTATTGTAGTTAGCAATTCGTCTAACCTTTTATCAAGGTTCTTATCTTCCTTGCATTGGGTTAGAACATGCTCCTTTAGCTTGGAGGAGTTTGTTATTACCCACCTTCTTAAAACTCTTTCAATATGTCAATTCGTCAAACTCATTCTCTGTTCGGTTTTGTTCCCTTGTTGGCAAGAAGTTGTGATCCTTTGGAAGAGAAGGGGCGTTCTGGTGTTTGGAATTGTCAGCCGTTTTGCACTGGTTTCTCCCCATCTTCATGGATTTATCTATCTTTGGTCTTTGAAGTCAGTGACCTTTGGCTGGAGTCTCTACGTGGATGTCCTCTTTGTTGATGTTGATACTACTCCTTTTTGTTTGTTAGTTTTCCTCCTAACAGTCAGGCCCCTCTGCTGCAGGTCTCCTGGAGTTTGTGGGAGGTCCACTCCAGACCCTGTTTTCCTGGGTATCACCAGCAGAGGCTGCAGAACAGCAAAGATTGCTGCCTGTTCCTTCCTCTGGAAGCGTTGTCCTGGAGGGGCACATGCCAGATGCCAGCCAGAGCTCTCCTGTATGAGGTGTCCGTCGGCCTCTACTGAGAGGTGTCTCCCAGTCAGGATACACGAGGTTCAGGGACCCATTTGAGGAGGCAGTCTGTCCCTTATCAGAGTTTGAATGCTGTGCTGGGAGATCTGCTGTTCTCTTCAGAGCTGCCAGGCAGGGACGTTTAAGTCTGCTGAAGCTGTGCCCCCAACCGCCCCTTTCCCCGAGGTGCTCTGTCCCAGGGAGGTGGGGGTTTTATCTACAAGTCCCTGACTGAGGCTGCTGCCTTTTTTTCAGAAATGCCCTGCCCAGAGAGGAGGGAATCTGTATAGACAGTGTGGCTGCAGTGGCCCTGGTGAGCTGTGGTGATCTCAGCCCAGTTTGAACTTCCTGGTAGCTTTGTTTACACTGTGAGGGTAAAACTGCCTACTCAAGCCTCAGCAATGGAGGACATTCCTCCCCCCACCAAGCTCTAGAGAGTCCCAGGTCCAGCTCAGACTGCTGTGCTAGCAGGGAGAATTTCAAGCCAGTGGATCTTAGCTTGCTGGGCTCCGTGGGGGTGGAACCTGCCAGGCCAGACAACTTGGCTCTCTGGCTTCAGCCTCCTTTCCAGAGGAGTGAATGGTTCTGTCTTGCTGGCATTCCGGGTGCCACTGGGGTATGAAAAAAAACTCCTGGGGCTAGCTCGGTGTCTGCCCAAACAGCTGCCCAGTTTTGTGCTGGAAACCCAGGGCCCTGGTGGTGTGGAAACCCAGTGGGCACTGGAGCAAATCTCCTGGTCTGTGGGTTTCAAAGACCTTTGGAAAAGCTCAGTATCTGGGCCCGAGTGCATGGTACAGTCCCTACTGACTTCCCTTGGCTTGGAGAGGGAGTTCCCCGACCCCCTGGGCTTCCTGAGTGAGGTGATGCCCCACCTTGCTTCGGCTTGCCCTCCTTGGGCTGCACCTACTGTCCAGCCATTCCCAGTGAGATGAATCGGGTACCTCAGTTGGAAATGCAGAAATTACCCTCCTTCTGTGTTGTTCTCGCTGGGAGCTGCGGGTTGGAGCTGTTCCTATTCTGCCATTTTGCCAGCAAGGAATTGTTTTAAAAAGATATTATTTAAATGTAGTAAAGGACACAATATTCAGTGTGCAGCTCAATGGAGTTTTATGTAGGTACGTATTATACCCTTGTAACCAGCACTGAGATAAAGATATAGAATATCTCTCATGCCCAAGAGATTACTTACTGCTAGTGGGACTTTTAGTAACATGGGTTAGATTTGTCTCCTTTTGAGCTTCCTATAAGGTGGAATCAAATTCCAACACTCTTTTGTGTTTGACTCAGCATAATATTTTTGATACAGCTAGGTTTTATAAATATCAGAAGTGTGCTCTTTTATTACTGTTATTTTTGTAGTCCATTGATTAAATATACCATAATTTGGTTACTTAGTCTCCTGTTGTAGACTTTTGGATTGTTTCCAGTTTGTGGCTATTATGAATAAAGTAATTCTGAATATTCTTATATGTGTGATTTGTAGACATTTGTTTTATGTTATCTTGTGAAAATACCTAGACTTGAATTACCATTATGTAGTAAGTGTATGTATTACTCTGTATGAAAATGCCAAGCTATATTTTCAAAATGGTTATACTGTTTGCATCAACACTGGTAATGTATGAATATCCAGTTTCTTCACATCTTTGCTTATGTTAGAATTTGTCTTTTTCATTTGAACTTTTCTGGTTTATATGTTGATATGTTATTGTTATTTTAATTTTCACTCCCATAAGGTAATAAGTTTTTTTTTTCTAATATGAATACTGGGTATTTGGAAATCCCCTTTTGTGAAATACTGGTTTCTATTCTTTTTTTTTTTTCATTTTCTAATTGGATTGTCTGTCTCTTTGTTACTGAGATATAGGAAGTATTTATATGTCCTGGAAATGAATGCTTTCTTAACTATATACATTGAAAATGTGTGCGACCAGTGCTGCATGCTTATTTGCTTTCTTCATGATGTGTTCTGACAAAAATAAGTCAACTTTAACGATGCCCAATACAGTCATTATAAAATTTAGTGCTTTTTGTTTATTTAAGGAATCTTTGCCAGCCTCCCGTTTGTAAAGTTATTCTCTGTGGTTTATTTTTGTTGCTGTTCTTTAGTATAAGCTTAAATGTTTCACTTTCACATTTAAGTCAAGGATCCACTTTAAATTAATTTTATTGTAAGATGTGAGGTAGGGGTCAAGACTCATTTTTTCCTACATAAGGATATTCAATTGCTCCATTTATTGAAAAAAAATATTTCCCCATTAGATTGCAATGATACTTGCACTGAAAATCAAGAAAGTGTATATGCATGGATGTGTCCCTGGGCTGTTAATCTGTTCCATTTCATATTTAGCTATCTTTTAACGCTCACTTTATGTCTTCATTATTGTAACTTTATATTAAGTCTTCAAATTTGGTAATGTAAATTCTTCAAATATTTCTTCTCTTTCAATATTTGCTTAGATATTTCACATATGTACTATTTCAATGTAAATTTACAATCAACCTGTCAAATTTCAAAATGCATTAGCAAGTTTTGGTCAGTATCGCATTGCAAAGATAAGTCTGGGGAGAATTGACATATGAAAAATTGACAAATGTTGAGTTTTCTAATGCACGAACTTTAACTCCTTTCTTTCCTTCTTTTCTTCCTTCCTTCTTCCCTCCTTTCATCCTTCCCTCTTTCCCTATTATTTTTATTGTTTTTTCATTAAAATTTTTTCTCAGCAATGTTTTTATGATCTTATAAATTTTAATATTTTAATATTTATTTTAATTGTGTTTCCTTAGTATATATATAAAGACAAATATATTTTCTGTGAAAAATAGATTCATGTTGTAAACAGTGACTTTCCTAAATTTACTTATTAATTTTAACCGTTTATTTTGTAGATTCAATTGGATTTTGTAAATTCCAAATGAAACCATCGATAAAGATAGTTAAACTCCTTCGTTTTTGATTTTATGCCTTTTGTTTCCTTTTTGTGCATTAATGTTGAGTAAATTCAACATTTGTTGAACAAATAGTACAAACTTTAGAAGTAAAAGTATACAGTATTTCATGATAGAATATGATGTCAGCTGTAGATTTTTCTAAGCATCCTCTTTCAGAAAAAGGTAGTTTTCTACTTTTCTTAATTTTTGGAGAGATTTTTTGGTATTGTGAATGGGTGATTTTCTGTTTTGGTGGAGAAGTTCATAGGTTTATTTTTCTTTTTGTGTTAATGTTTTGAATTTAATTGATATTTTTTCAAAAAACAAATTAATATATATCTCTAGAATAAGTTCCATGTGGTCTTGATGTATTAATCTTTTATATATCTGTATATCCATTTGATGTTTGTTTAGGATTTTGGCTTCTGTGATCATGATAGATACTCACTCATAATTGGTCTTTCTATTATTCTCTTTGTCAGGTTTTGGTACTGAGATTATTTGGCTTCATAAAATAATTTGTGATTCTAACCTCTGAAAAATTTGTAGAAGATATTATTTTTTTCCTTAAAATATTAGGAAGAACTCACCAGTGCAGCTATTTACACCTTTTATTTTAAAGAATTTGAATGACATTGGTTTTTAAACATGAATTTAAGCATATATTTATCTATATATGTAGATATAGATTATATATATTATATAGTCAAAGTTTATATTTACTCTTTCATTAGTTTAGCAAATTGTGTTTTTCAAGAAATTTGTCTATATTATCCAGATTTTTAATCTCTTGTGATAACCTTGTTTATAATATTTTGTTATTTTTCCTTTCGATGTCCCTAACACCGATAGTGATCAGCACCTTTTCTTTTCTGGTGTTGGTAATTGAGCTCTATGGCTAGAGGTGCATCAGTTTTATTAATCTTCTCAAAGATCTTTTGCTTTTTAAATTTGCTCTATTGTTTGTTGTCCATTTCATTAATTTCTCAGCTCATGTGTATTATTTCTTTCCATCTGTTTTCTTTTACATTAAAATGCTCATCACCTTCTACCTTCTTAAGGTTGAAACTTGAATCATTGATTTAAAATCTTTATTTTTTTCTTTAATATAACCATATAAAGCTATAAAAATTTCCTGTACAGCAAGTCCTCAAATAATGTTTCTTTATAACATTGATGAGGGACGAAAAATCAGTTCCCAGCCAGTGCTACCTCTGCCCAAAGCCGTGTGTGTTAGAAGAATGGGCATGTCTATGTGGTCCCAGTCTGAGTGAGTGTGGGTGTGTGGGAGTGTGCCTTGTGCTGGGATGGGCTCCTGTCCAGGGTTGGTTGCTGCATTGAGCACTGAGCTGCCAGGATAAGCTCCAGCTTCCTGCACCTCTGAACTGGAATAAGTTGGTAAATAATCATTATACTTGTATTTATTAATCTTTCTTAAGTGTATGTGTAGCTCATTTATTTCAGTGTTTAATGTTAGGGGTGTTTGGTCTTTATTTGGAAGTTCGGTGATGCTTTTGTGACTGGAAATATGCCACAGGAACTTAACTTTTGTTTATATCAGTTAGCCCATGGTAAAACTAGTTTTATTTTATCTTGTTTTGCTTAAAGTTGCAGTTTCCAAGAACAGATTAATGATGTTAAGTAAGGACTTAACTGTTCTGATTGCTTTGGCTTCATCCTTAAAATTTCGATCTGCTATGTTTTCATTATCATTGAGTTCAAAATATTTTCTAATTTCCCATGTGATTAAATTTTAAAATTTTACCCAAGGATTAAAGTGTTTTCATTTGTTTTCACGAATGTGGAGATGTTCTAGTTATTTTTTTCCTTATTGACTTCTAATTTAATTCTACTGTATTCATACAATCTATTCTGTCTTGTTTTCAGCCTTTGAAATGTGTTGAAACATAATTCATGGTTCATAATATTTTGGTAAATGTTCTATATGCACTTGAAAAATATACGTATTCTGTATTTGTGGGAGCAGTGTTCTGTAAATGTTGATTAGGTTAAATTGGTTAAATATGTTGCTTGAGTATTCTATGACTGTCTTCTTTTTCTATAAGTTACTGAAATAAGTACTTTAAAGTCTTCTATTTACATTGTAGATTTGTTATCTCATTTTAGTTCGTCAATTTTTGCTTAATATATTTTAATGTTATCAATTATATGTATATATTTAATGGTATGTCATTAATGTTACATATTTCTGTTAAATTAGCTATCGTTATGAAATGTCCTTCTTTATCCCTATTACTCTTACCTTAAGGTCTACTTTTGTGCTATGTTAATATTACATGTTAACAATAATTTAAAATATAATAATATATTAGATGTAAATATAGCCAAACCAGCTTTATTTTTGCTTGCCTATATATAAACACACACACATATACACACAGTGTTGGAGTGTATGATCTTGCTGTTTTATTTGTGACATCGTTTATTTACTCACTTTTTTCTTTCTTGTTTTTGTTTGTATTAATTACATATTTTTCAAAGTCATTTCAATGTACTTTTTCTATTATCTGACTTGCTATGACTATAACTATCATTCTTTTACTAGGTACTTCAGATATTACAAAAGACGTCTGTAACTTATTTTACCATGTACCTTAAATTAGACCTCTTACCAAGTCCAGTACAATGTGAAAACTTCGAAACAGTTTTTAAATTTACTTAATTCCTCTTGCTCTTTTATTCACTATTGTTATATATTTTACTTCCAGATATGTTGTAAACACCAGAGTGAATTGTTCACACTGTCACTTTAAGCAGTTAGCAGTCTTTTCATATTTATCCTCTGTGCATTTGCTTTTTATGTTCTGTGCTTCCATTCTTCTACCTGAGATAGATTTCTCGCACTATTGTGCATTCGTTTACAAGAACTGTTAGTTGTCGTCACTTCAAAAGAATTGGAGAGCTAGGTATTAATTTTTTACTTTATACTCTTCCAAAAAAAGAGTGGCTTTATATATGACTTTTTGCTATTTTCTGAAATGTTCAAATAAAATATGAATATATCATGGGCTATAAAGCTTAAAATATATAACATTTAAATATATTTGGTGTATTAAAATTATAAAAAGTATTAGTGTAAGCTTTGCTAATGTTGTAAACCTTTTCTCTACCTGATTACATAGATAGCAACCTATGCAGATAGACGTCAAATGTTAAAAACCAATGAGAAATTTGAGATGGCCAATAGAAAGACAACATAATTCTTTATTGTGTGTTTGTCATTCCTGTTAGAAAAAAAAACACATAAAATCTGTATTATACATATTTTCCAAAGATGAATATGTAGTTAACTTGTTTGAATTATACACACACACACATACACACACACACACACAGACACACACACACACACAAGTACAGATACAGAGGTGACCAGTACCTAATATTATTTGGTCTTTTTAATTTATAGATGTTATCAGTGTGTATTTATTGCAAAATCTTATTGTAAAATAAGAGCTAACAAACTCCATAGCTGAACACACTTCAATGAGATAGCCCTGTAGATCAACATTTTTGGGAGTAGACAGGAAACGGTATTATGGATTCTCTGTCAGACTCTGTATATTTAATAGTCTTTTGGGAACTACTTCATACTGTGTAATTATAGAACCGTCAACACCATTCTCTTGAGAATGTGCCATAACTATTCTATAGAACAATTTCCTTTTATTCCTCTGTATCTAGGATGAAGTACTTGATTTCTAAGGAAACTATGGGCTTTTCTCAAGGCCCAGTTTACTCAACAACTCAAAGCTAAAACTGAATAAAGTTTATTTTATTTTTATCTTAAATGTTTGTGTTTCCTCTTCATAGCCAGAATATAAGCATTTTCACTCACCAAAACCTGAGAAAAGCAATAGGTTTACTGTATATTTTATCATTTAAAAATAATAGTTTCAAAAAAATTAAAAACTCAGAAATACAGAAATGCATATTATGTACAACTTAAAATAGTCAAGATAATATTATATTTAGTTTATTCTATTTTTTCCTGATAAAATGTTAAATATAAAATTGAATCCTTTTTGACTTTCTAGATCCTCCCACCTAATCCTATTCTCTCTCTTTACATAATTTCTCCTATTGAGATATCTTATGTATCCTTTCCATAGAACACCTAAAATGTGTTCTACAAATTTTCCAACGAGAAAATATGTGAGATAACACATATAATCTGTATTATACATATTTTCCAAAGATGAATATATAGCTAACTTGTTTGAATTATACACACACACACACACACACACACACACACACAAATACAGATACAGAGGTGACTGGTACCTAATGTTATTTGGTCTCTTTAATTCATAGATTTTATCAGTTTTTATTTATTGCCTGTAACTTTCCTTTTTACAGTTATAATCTTAAGATCTGTCTATATGATTATACAGATAAAGTTTCCTTCTTCTGCTTCCTCACTTCTTGGAGAGTCCTTGGAGACCAGCAAACCTTTAGAACTTTGGGCATGGGATAGAACAGGGTTGATTAAGTGTTCCTTCTTGTTCGATAGAGTGCTTGGCAAGTCATGAAAATCAGTCTTTCTTAGAAGAATGGGTGTTCTGAAGCCAGTGCAGTTCTAATTGTAAACTTATTTATTTTATAAGCATCCCAGTATGGAAGATGAATAACACAGAATGTCTTCCCTCAGAAAACATAATATAACCTGATATTTTCCAAAAAAGGGTTATGTAAATAGAGCCATAGGGGTTCTAAAGTGAAGAATTTACAGAGGCTGTGACATTTTTATTGTTGAAAAGAATGTATGCTATTTTACCTCACAAAAATAAAAAAAAGTTATTTTAAATGGATGATAGAATATATTGCATATCAAAGTTTGCAAAATTTAGAAAAAGAGGAAAGATTGGCAGATTCATGGTGGGTTCAAAAATTTAGTTTGAAACCAGCTTGTTAAAGACTTTTAAATATTTATTTTTTACCTCTGAAGTTTTTGAACTTTATCCTGAAAGCCTATAGTTTAGTTAGAATTTTAAATATGGAAAACTGTCATAATTGGGCCTCAGTATTAAATATTATTTTGGTAGCAATTAGATGAAGAATTGGCACAAGAATGGACTATTTGCCAACAGCCTAGTTAGGATACAATTGCAGTAGTCCAGGAAAAGTATAAAGGCCTGAAGTGAATATGGCATTATAATGGAGTTATAATGAGGACAATACTTAAGAAATGATAAATAGGTTGGTAATGGTTTGGGAGGATTATTGTGAGGATTGAAATGGGTGTCCATTAAGCAGTATAAAATAATTCCTAATCAGCACTAAGGATCCAGTTGAACTAGAATAAATACATTTGTAGTGGATCCAATTTTTCGTGCTCCCTCTACCCCTGCTTGACTGCGCTCATCAGCATGAGAGCAAGGAAACAGAAAGGAGATGTTTGAATTTTTCTTGGTCCAAGGATAAGTGGAACAACTACAGAGAAAAATATGATAGACAAATAACTGGTATGTGCTGAAGTGTTTTGCCGTGAATTTATGGCTAAATAAAAATGGAAATTAATGCAAGTGAGAGGATAGGATGACTGGATGAAGTGAGAGTTACACTTGTAGAAGATTCTAATCGTAATTAATAATAGATCTAATAACATATTAAATTAATTAATCATTAATTACATTATAGAGTTTCAGATTTTCCAGGTGACATTCAGACCAGGGTCATGACATAGGGATAACAATTGTTTGAGGTTAAAAGATCACTGTACACATTGTTAGAGAATTAGAAGTATCACCAACACAGACTGAAATGCTTTCAGAATTTTTTTTTAAATTTTATTATTATTACACTTTAAGTTTTAGGGTACATGTGCACAATGTGCAGGTTTGTTACACATGTATACATGTGCCATGTTGGTGTGCTGCACCCATTAACTCGTCATTTAACATTAGGTATATCTCCTAATGCTATCCCTCCCCCCTCCCCCCACCCCACAACAGTCCCCGGAGTGTGATGTCCCCCTTCCTGTGTCCATGTGTTCTCATTGTTCAATTCCCACCTATGAGTGAGAACATGCGGTGTTTGGTTTTTTGTCCTTGGGATAGTTTGCTGAGAATGATGGTTTCCAGTTTCATCCATGTCCCTACAAAGGACCTGAACTCATCATTTTTATGGCTGCATAGTATTCCATGGTGTATATATACCACATTTTCTTAATCCATTCTATCATTGTTGGACATTTGGGTTGCAAGAGGAAAGGAAAACTGTTATCCAGGTGCCTAGGTTATCAGCGAATGACAGGGAACAGTCGGGAGATGTAATCCCATGCCAACAAAACAGAAATGTAAAAGTAAATTTGTAAATCTAAAAAGGGTAAGCATTGTTGGAGAAAGGAGATAACATGGCCTTGAAATAGCAATGGGGAATGAGGACACCAGAGATAAATCTGAGATGCAAGAAAACTTTCCTGATTTTGTGCCCTTGCATAATAAATATATCTCCACTGAAAGGGGGTTTCTTCTGCTCCCCGAGGCTAAGTTCTAGGTCTCCTCTGGATCTCCGTCTCACTCAACTCCCTAAAGATCTTGCTACATCAATTCTTCCATACATTCTTTGTACTTTTCCAATGGCCTTTTTTTTTGGAGTATAAAATAATTATCATTCTCTTACAATACAAAATAATATTCCTTCAATTCTTTTACACTTTCTAGTTACTACTTGTCTCCACCACTTCACGGCTAAGCTTCTTAAAAAAATAGTCTATACTCTTCCACCTCACATTTAGGTTCTCTAGAATCTGGCTACTTCCTACAGTAACCAAGGAACCTGATCTTCCAAGGTCACCAGTGACATCCCAGTTTCTAAATTCGTTGTGTTCATTCTCCTGAATATGTTTTCATGCCTGCCTGGAAAAGACAAGATTGATCTTGACACTTGACAATTTCTTCTGTATTAGACCTTACTCTTTTTTGATATTGATACACTAAGTCACTGTCACTCCCAATTTCCCCTCTACTTTTCATAGAAATCCTTCTCAGTCTCCTTCATGGAATTTTCTTCACGTGATCCCATAATGTAGCCTGAAAAGTTGGTGTTACTCAGGTCCTTAATTGGCCATATTATTTTCTTGCTATTTACTTCCAAAGTAAGGACAGCACAGAACTCCAAATACTGAGGCACTAATAACTTCAGGATGTAACGGAGATTACTTTCCTGAACTCTGAACTCATATGTTCAAGTATATATAAATTTCTTACTTGGAGGTTTCTCAGTTACCTTGACTTCTAGACTGAATTGAAGTAATTATTTTGTCCATCTTACCACACTTTAATCTTAATCTGAGTTTTCTCTTATGACAGAGCATTACTATCCACCTAATATCCCAAGCCACTAAGCCAGAAACATGGGAGTTGTCCTAGTCTGCCCTGAGTCTCACTCTAAGAATCACCAGGTACCTTTCATTCATCTTCATCAATATCCCTAGTATCTACCCTCTTGTTTTTATTATGTTATTGTATCATTAAAATTGCTTTGGGGAAAATTTCCATACTCATACTTTTTGCCTTTGCTACAAATAAAGGAGTTCTAACCTTTGCAACCTTGTTTCTAATTGGAAATTCTTTTTTTCATTCCTAGTTTACCCCTTTTCAGTTCTCCATAGGGGCTATTTCAAATTTTCACTAGTTTTTTAATGATTTATTTATTTACATTTTTACTACCACAGTCAAGAAGGTTGGCCTCAATCACGTAGTTTGCCTGTTAACAAATGCATATATTTAATTGTATGGTGAAAGATGTTATGTGGTAAAAGATCTGAATGTAAAACTATCTTTCCCTTCAATAATTTAAAAAAAATAAGTAGTTTCTTTGGAGAAAACACAGAATAATGCTAAATGTTATTTGCTTAATTACATAAGCCATTAGACTTTATTATATTAGAAAACTCAAAAACAGTTGAAGTAAGTACTAATATTTGAACTTAACAAATTTTAATATAAAGGTAAGGAGAAAAAGTAAGGAGAAAAGAAGAGCAATAATTTCTATTTAAGTGTAAAGAAAATGTCACCAAGTGGATGAAATGTCTCTTGCTTCAGCTTTCATGCTGACCTCATGATAATCAGACTTAGTAACTTTGAAAAGAAAGGCTTAGAACTTGCACAAAGACTGTAAACCTATTTTGATTTTAGCTGCAAAATGGAACCATTTTGTTAGTCAGTGATTACAGCAGACAAATAGTAGTGGCCTCTTCAGATTAAAGTATTGACTCTAACCTGTCACGAATTGCCCCTCTAAATGTAGCCTTTACATTGGAATTGAAGATATTTTTGATACTCTGCAGATGACATGTAACGATGCCACTCTATCTCACTGTTTCTCATTACAATGATTCTGACATTTGACATGAATTATAGACATTATAACACTAGAGGCCTGCACGCGTAAACTTGGAGTTGTAAGCACTTAAAATTTTTACACAGACAAGACATTTTGCCTGAAACTGACTGCAGGATTGAGTTTGAGGATTTTATAATAACAGGATATGATCCAGTTAAAGGTGAAAATTCCATCTCTAAGAGTAGGCTTCTTACTGGTATGGTAATTTAAATACATAATGAGAAACATGCACACAAAATGTCCTTTCATGATGACTTTTGAGTGAGAAGAAATGCTGGCTACATTATTATTCTAGAGCTCTGATAATTCTATAAGATTCAGAGGTAGAAATACAGTCTGCAAATTTTAGGTAGAATTTCTACTTTTTAGGCTGAAAATTTCCTTAGCCATTTTATGTCCATTTTAAGCATTTTCCAATTTTGACTTTTCATTTTTAAAGTTCTATGTAAACAATTGTCAAGAGAGTGATTATAAATGAGATTAGGCTAGGAATTCCGGTGGTGAGGAGGGATAAATTCTGTATGAACTTGGTCAATTCATCTTTTTCATTCAGAGCAACAGTTTCCTAGTCTAGAAGCTTGAGCTGATACCATGTTTCCCTCAGGATGGCTTTGGTAATTAAATAAGTTAATGTACATGTAGCACTTTTCCCAGTGTCTGGCACAAACTAATCACTACCAAATAGAAACTAATGAATTAACTTCTTTTCTATTCACCTAGACTAGTTCTAATTATATAGCATTCTTGGAAAAATTGAGAAAATGGTCCATCATATCATTTTCTGTGTTCTGTTTTCACATGATGAATACAGATAGAGAAATATTGTTGAGGATAATTTTTATAGGCTTCCAAACCAGACGCACTAGATTTATACTTCAGCAACCTATGTACTAGCTGTGTGACATAGGGAAAGTTACTTAATCTTTCTGAGCCTCAGTTAATTCATCTATAAACTGGAGATAATATTCTCAGGGTTGCTGTAATAAATCACATAAATGTACACTTGGTTATCATAGTACATGACATAGAGCAAGTTCTCATGACATGTTAGCTATTTTTATAATGATTATTTGTATACTTTTAGAATATTCTGCAAATGCAAAATGATTTTATAATGATTTTTTATAATGATTATTTGTATACTTTTAGAATATTTTGCAAATGCAACTAATAAAGCTAGTGTTAAGTACTAAAAGAAGGATGCTAAAAGAAGTACTTACGCCAAATGGATAATAGGAGTATGAAAAAATTACAAAATGTGCCTTTTGTTTTCAGCCTATTGCATTTTATATAATTTTGATGAGTAAAGATGGTTTGAATTATGAGATTAATTGGTTAGACAAAAATATGTAATGCTATTATATATACCTGGTGAATAATACACATTTAAAAGCCTGTCCACCCCAAAAGTACGTGCATAACCTTAGAAAACTGAACTTGTACAACTGACATGTATATCAAAGTAAGTGCTTTTAGTACATAGAGTTACAAAGTTAATTTTTAGTTTATTGAGACACTCCCTTTGCAAATAGTGATATGGTTTGGCTCTGTGTCCCCACCCAAGTCTGATTTCACATTTTAATCCCCACGTGTCGGGGGAGGGGCCTGGAGGGAGGTTATTGGATCATGGGGGCGGGATTTCCCCCTTGTTGCTCTTGTGATAGTGAGCGAGTTCTCATGAGATCTGTTTGCTTGTGGCACTTCCCCCCTCACTCTTTCGATTTCCTGACACCATGTGAAGAGGGTCCTTGCTTCCCCTTCCCCTTCCACCATGATTGTAAGTTTCCTGAGGCCTCCCAGTCTTGCTTCCTGTGAAGCCTGTGGAACTGTGAGTCAATTAAATCTCTTTTCCTCATAAATGACCAGGTCTCAGGTAGTTTGTTATAGAAGTGTGAAAACAGACTAATGCAAATAGTTCATGAGACTAAATATTTTTCACTTCCGAAGCTCAGTTTACTTTTTTTTTTTTCTTTGTATGTTTGTTTGATTTTTGAGAAGGAGTCTTGCTCTGTCACCAGGCTGGAGCGCAGTGGTGTGATCTCAACCTACTGCAACCTCCTCCTCCCAGGTTCAAGCAATTCTCCTGCCTCAGCCTCCTGAGTAGCTGGGACTACAGGCACGTGCCACCAAGCCCAGCTAATTTTTGTATTTTAGTAGAGATGGGGTTTCGCCATGTTGGCCAGGATGTTCTCGATCTCTTGACCTCATGATCCACCCGCCTCTGCCTCCCAAAGTATTGGGATTACAGGCATGAGCCTCCACGCCTGGCCCGTTGTAGTTGTTTCTAACCTCAAAATGTTGATTACAAATTACTAAAACCTTTTCTGATTTCAAGTCACAGTTGAATTTTTGTATATATTATAGTTTTTTTCTTTTTCTTTTCCTTTTTCTTTTTTTTTTTTTTTGAGATGGAGTCTTGTTCTATCACCAGGCTGGAGTGCAGTGGCGTGATCTTGACTCACTGCAACCTCTGTCTCCTGGGTTGAAGCGATTCCCCTGCCCCAGCCTCCAAAGTAGCTGGGACTACAGGCACGCGCCACCATGCCCAGCTAATTTTTTGTATTTTAGTAGAGACAGACTTTCACCATATTGGCCAGGGTGGTCTCGATCTCCTTACCTCGTGATCTGCCTGCCTCGGCCTCCTAAAGTGCTGGGATTACAGGCATGAGCCACCGCACCCAGCTTATATTATAGTTTTTATTGTTTATTTTATAGAGTGACTTACAAATATTTTTACCTTTGTAAATGGAAGATTTTCTGAATTTAATAAATATTCATTGCATCTCGCATTATTTCACAGTCTGCAAATCAAAGATGATAATAACTTCCTAGTCATTTTTGAAAATTTAACCTCATCTTGATTTGTCAAAAGATTGAATAAAATGATCCCTGTTAGAATGTTGAGAGCTAAGAGTTATATAATTCTAAAAAGTTTGATTAATTGTCCTTAAGTGATGAGATAGGTAAATTTTTTATAGACCAGGCTTGATATCTCATTAGTGGTGAACAGTAGAAAAAACTCTGAAAATTGTGTAAAGGTCTTGGATTTCTCAAATAAAACTAATCCAAGAATGTTGAGTTTCATGCTCAGAATTTTCCTGTGCCCTGTGCTTTTTACGTCATTTTATTCTATATTTTATCGTTTTAATTTGAAATAATTTCAGACTTATTGAGAGGTTAAAGAATAATATAAAGTATTCCTTGAAAACCTTTATCCAGATTCCCCAAATGTTAACACTATGTTTACTTTTCCTTCTTACTTCCTGTTTCTTCCTCTTCTCTGTCTCTCTTTCTACACACACACACACACACACACACACACACACACACACAGAGTTGAGGAAATATAATTACAACAACATATCTTTCTAGTCCAGAAAAATCTCCCAACAAAGGTAGAAGAGAAATAAAATTTAATTATTGAATAAGCATTAATCTGGAATGTGATGCATATCACAGGCAATCTGCTAAGAGAGTGCCTAGACTGAAAGAAATCTCTCTCATTTATTATAGCCCAGCAGATACAATCTATTTGTAACCTGGAGCTGAGGTCTGTCCAAGGTACCTTCTTACTCTCTCACAAATACCAGGAGATAGGGGAGTTATCTTCCTAGATGACTACATTTCAAAGAGTTAATTCCCAGTTATTTGAGAAAAACATTCCTGGGTCTTCAAGCTGGTAGGAGCCTTATTTTGCTTCTAAAAAGCTTTACATACATTTCAGAGTCAGAGAACGTTTATAATAACAATTGTTCTAAAGCACATGCTATAAGAAAATAGAGGAGTGTTCTCTACTCTTATTTTTAACAGGGAGAATTAAGCCTCTTATTTTTAATTCATATTTGCCCTTCCCATGAGTGCACACACACACACACGAACACACACACATTATTATAACTTTTATTTTGAGTCATTTGAAAGTTCAGGCATCTATGATATATTTACTACTTTGCTTAATCCTAGAATATACAGAAATTTGTGTGAGAATTATTAACCTATATCACTGTAAAAAAACTACAGTTCAATATTTGTTTCTGGTTTTATAAAAATTATGTTTAAAAGTTAGTTTCTCTTTCCCCTTTAGGTAGGTTGTATTATTCATGTGAAATATGGTTTAATTTGTTTTTGTGTTTGTAGAGTTTTCCCTAGCCCAATTAATTTTTTAAAAGTTTCTTGAGTGTATCAAACATTAACATGTGTATTACTCTGTTCTCACACTGCTATAAAGAACTACCTGAGACTGAGTAATTTATAAAGAAAAGAGGTTTAGTTGACTCACAGTTCCACAGGCTGTATAGAAAGCATGACTGAGAGGCCTCAGGAAACTTACAATTATGGCAAAAAGTGAAGGGGAAACAAGCACATCTTCATGTGGCAGCAGGAGAGAGACAAAGGTAGGAAGTGACACACACTTTCAAACCATCAGATCTCATGAGAACTCTCTCACTATCATGAAAACAGCAAGGAGGAAAATCGTCCCCAGGATTCAACCTCCTCCCACAAGGTCTATCCCCCAACATTAGGGATTATAATTCAACCTGAGATTTCGCTGGGTACATGGAGCCAAACCATACCATTCTACCCCTGACCACTCTGAAATCTCATGTTCTTCTCACATTTCAAAATACAATCATGCCTTCCCAACAGTCCCCCAAAATCTTAACTCATTCCAGCATGAACTTAAAAGTCCATCTCAAAAGTCTCATCTGAGACAAGGCAATTCTCTTCCAACTATGAGCCTGTAAAATCAAAAACAAGTTAATTACTTACATAATACAATGTGGGTACAGACATTAAGTAAATGATCCTATTTCATTAGGTAAATGATCCTATTTCAAATGGGAGATATTGGCCAAAGCAAAGGAGCTATGAGACCCACACAAGTCCAAAACCCAGCAGGGCAGTCATTAAAACTTAAAGCTCCCAAATGATCTCCTTTGACTCCATGTCTCACATCCCGGGCATGCAGATGCAAGGGGTGGGCTCCCAAGAACTTGGGCATCTCTGCCCCTGTGGCTCTGCTGGGTATATCAACCGCAGCTGCTTTCATGGGCTGGTGTTGAGTGCCTGTGGCTTTTCCAGGCACTTGGTGCCAGCTGTTGGTGGATCTACCATTCTGGGATCTGGAGGATGGTGGCCCTCTTCTCACAGCTCCACTAGGCAATGTCCAAGTAGGGACTCTGTATGTGGGATCCAACCTCACATTTCCCCTCTGCACTGCCCTTGTAGAGGTTCTCCATGGGGACTCTACCTCTGCAGCAGACTTCTGCTTTGTTATCTAGGTGTTTCCTTACATCCTCTGAAATCTAGGTGGAATCTCCCAAAGCTCAACTCTTATCTTCTGTGCACCCACAGGCCCTACCCCATGTGGAAGCTGCCAAAGCTGGGGCTTACACCCTCTGAAGCAATGGCCTGAGCTATATCTTGGCCCCTTTTAGCCATGGCCATAGTTGGCATGGCCGCTATGCAAGATGCCATGTCCTGAGGCTGCACAGAACATTGGGGCCCTGGCCCTGGCCCATGAAACCATTCTTTCCTCCTAGGCCTCCAGGTTTGTGATGGGAAGGGCTGCTGTGAAGGTCTCTGAAATGTTGTGGAGGCACTTTGCCCATTGTCTTGGCTATTAAAATTCAGCTCCTCTTTATTTATGCAAATTTTTGCAGCTTGAATTTCTCCCCAGAAAATGGGTTTTTCTTTTTTACCATGTGGTCAGGCTACAAATTTTTCAAACTTTTATACTCTGCTCCTCTTTTAAATATAAGTAGTTTCAGGTCATTTATTTGTTTATGCAAATAAGTATAGGCTTTTAGAAGCAGCCAGGCCACATTTTCAATGCTTTGCTGCTTAGAAATTTCTTCCTCAAGATACCCTAAATCATCTCTCTTGAGTTCAAAGTTCCATAGCTCCCTAGAGGATGGGCACAATGCTGCCAGTCTCTTTGCTAAAGCATAGCAAGAGTTACCTTTACTCTAGTTCCCAGTAAGTTCCTCATCTTCATCTGAGACCTCCTCAGTCTTGACTTCATTGTCCATATCACTATTAGCATTTTGGTCACAACCATTCAACAAGTTTCTAGGAAGGAAAAAAAAAAAAAAGGAAGTTCCAAACTTTCCCTCATCTTTCTGTCTTCTTCTGAGCCCTAGAAACTGTTCCAACCTCTGCCCTTTACCCAGTTCCTAAGCTGCTTCTACATTTTCTGGTATCTTTATAGTAGTACTCCACTTCTCCAGTACCAATTTTCTGTATTAGTCCATTCTCACATTGCTATAAAGAAATACCTGAGACCGGGTAATTTATAAAGAAAAGAGGTTTAATTGGCTCACAGTTCAGCAGGCTGTACAGGAAGCATGACTGGGAAGGCTCAGGAAACTTAGTCGTGACAGAAGGCAAAGGGGAAGCAAGCACATCTTCACCTGGTGGCAGGAGAGAGAGAGAGAGATAGTAAAGGGGCAAGTGCCACACACTTTTAAACCATCAGATCTTTTGAGAACTTACTCACTATCACAAGAATTGCAAAGAGGAAATACATCCCATGATCCAATCATCTCCCATGAGGTCTCTCCCCCAATGTCAAAGATTACAATTCAACATGAGATTTGGGTGGGAACACAGAGCCAAATCATATCAACATGGTTTTGAAAGCCAAAATTGTGTGGAAAATTCTTTTAGAGAAGCGTCATTCACTCCCTCCTCACATTTCTTCTATGTTTTCTCCTTGTTCTCACCCATCCCCTACAGATAACCAACCTCACTAGTCTCTAGTTTTTACTTGTGTTTCTTTTTATAATGAGCAGATATCTGAATATTTTCCTATTTCCTTTTTACTTAGAAAAAGCATTATAAAATTACTCTTTAAAAAATATTTATTTTAACTTTTAATTTCAGGGGTATATGTGCTGGTTCATTACATAGGTAATTGTGTCATGGGGGTTTGTTGTACAGATTATTTCATCACCCAGGTAGTAAGCCAGTATTCATTAGTAATTTTTCCTGATCCTCTCTCTCCTCCCATCCTCCACCCTCTGCTAAACCCAAGTGTGTGTTGTTCCCCTCTATGTGTCCATGTGTTCTCATCATTTAGCTTTCACTTATAAGTGAGAAAACATGCAATATTTGGTTTTTGACTTTGCTTTTTCACTTAATGCTTAGTGTATCCTTGACATCTCTATATATGGGTTCATTGAGTCTTTCTCATTCCTTTCTTTCACTCTCTCTTTTTTTTTTAACAGATACTTAATACTCCTTTGTATGGCTTTACTACAGTTATTTTTTCAACCACTTACCAATGTAAGGTCATATGGGAGATTACAAACAATTGCAAACAATGCTGCCGTGAATAACTATGAATATATATTTTTGTATTGTTGGGTGTATCTTTGGGGTAAGTTCCTAGAAATGAGATTGCTGGGTAGAAAGCTAAACACATATGTTGTTAAAATAGATATTGCAAAATCCCCTCTATAGATATTATACCAGTTTGTTTTGTTTTGTTTTTTGTTGTTGTTTTTTTTGAGACGGAGACTTGCTCTGTCGCCTATACCAGTTTGAATTCTCACTAGTGCCCATTTTCTACAGCCTTACCAACATTTTCACTTTTAAAATATACACAAACTGATTAGTGAGAGATGATATAGCAGTGTAGTTTAATTTGTAATTATCTTATTTTGAAAAGAATATATCATTTGATATATTTATGAGCCATGTTTCTGTATTTTTGTAAAAATTGTTCATGTCTTTTGCCCATTTTCTATTGTGATTTTGCTTTTACTCCTTTATTTTTAGGTATTTAAAAATGTGTTAGGGATACTAATGCTTTATCTAAAATATATTTTGCAAATACTTTTATCTCTACTTTTCAGTTGACTTCAGACTCTACTTATGGTTTTTTTTTTTTTGCCTTATAAGAGTTTTAAATACATTTTCATGTAGTCAAATATATATTTAATTTATATCTTTTTATACTGAATTGTATTGTGGTAAATTGCAGAAATATAATAAATTTTTACCAACTAAACAGAATAAAAATTTACATAAAAACATAGGGGAAACTTTTGTTGGAAAAATACTCTGAAGTTTTACTTCTCTAGAATGAAATTACAGATATTAAAAGTATTTTTAGACATTAAATGACTAAAACTAAATATGAATGTAATTTTTTTTTTTTTTTTGAGATGGAGTCTCACTCTATTGCCAGGCTAAGGCGCAGTGGCACAATCTTGGCTCACCGCAACCTTCGCCTCCTGGCTTCAAGCAATTCGCCTGCCTCAGCCTCCTGAGTAGCCGGGACTACAGGCATGTACCACCACGCCCAGCTAATTTTTGTATTTTTAGTAGAGATGGGGTTTCATCATGTTGGCCAGGATGGTCTCGATCTCTTGACCTCATGATCTGCTCGTCTTAGCCTCCCAAAGTGCTGGGATTACAGGCGAGAGCCACCACGCCCGACCATATGAATATAGTGTGGTAAGTAATGAATGAAATATTTCAGATCAATTTCAGCAAGATTATGTATTATTTTCTGATTTAAAATAAGTCAAACCACATGCCTGTGGTTTTGTTCTACTTCTCTCTACTTGGATACTGTCTCGTTTCCTGTATCTGTTGTCTTTTTTGAGTTTACTAATGACTTTTCGTATGTGTGACTATTTGTTCTCTATATTTAAATTTTGCGTGGAAATCCACGGTTAGTTCCATAGAAGATTGTTTAAAGTACCTTAAGGAAAGCCATCACTTATGTTTTTGTTGTGTTGTTTAAATGTTAAATATCAAATTATCCTAGCTCTTTTATAGATCAGAGAGTTGATCCAAGTACAAGTACATCTATAGATTTCAGGTTCCAGAGTAGCAGTTTCTGCTGAAGGCTAAAATGATATGCAAAGACCGTCATTTGTGTCCAGGGTCTTGATTGTGTTAGCCTATAGGTCATTTCCAAGGTCAAGCTTTGCTTTCAAACTGCAACACTGGTTCCAACATATCAAAGTTCCACACTGTGTTCCCAAATGCATTTGCTGAGATTATGTTCTTGTGCCAGCACTTTTTCCTTTTTGCCATCTATACGTTTGTCCAGATTTAAAAAAAATACCACACACTTAAAAATAATAATAGCTAACCTTTGCTACGTCCTTATTATGTATTTTGATAAACTCTATGTTGATTATATCATTTTAATCCTCATAATCGCATAAAAGGAGTGTGTTTATTTTCTGATGATCAGAAAAGTCAAAATTCACATCTAGAATCACACAGTCATTAGAACTGGGCTTCGAAGCAGAACTGTCAACTGGGAGTAAAATTTCTTAACCGGTGACCATACCATTGAGTAGTCTTATAAACTCACAGTTGTTTACTCAGAGTAGGTAACATGTTTAAGTGCAAAGAGCAAATA
The DNA here is from genome assembly GCF_000001405.40 of Homo sapiens. Taxonomy (NCBI): domain Eukaryota; kingdom Metazoa; phylum Chordata; class Mammalia; order Primates; family Hominidae; genus Homo; species Homo sapiens. The sequence goes on along the minus strand of NC_000014.9, from coordinate 48,772,508 downwards.
GTACCAAATTAGCTGGTACTTAAAAATCACATTGCCAATTATAATAACTTATTAAGGGATGAAAAGGCAGTGAACTTCAGTCTTGTTGTGTGAATGATGGAGGTAAACCAGACTTACAGGGAATAAAAACCAAACAAGAAAGTCTCAAAAGAATTCCAGCAGTGCTTTTCGACATAGCCCTGGGTGAAACCCAATGCCTATACCTTGTTTCTTCTCTTCATGCTGTACTCATAATAATCAAACACATCATCTGAAATAGGCTTCATATTTATGGACAAATTATAAAAAAATGAAACTACAAGTATTACAACAGTCAAATTATAAACCTCAAGAATAATTTTATTAGCAAATAAATGGGACCTGTGTGAAAATAATATCACAGTGAAATAAATGCTCTCTGAATCATCCTCCATGACTGATTCTTCTACTCTTCAGTGGAGCCAAAATCAGAGTGGGCTATTTTAATCTTTCACATGGCTGCCTTCCCAGGCATGTCAAGTGCTCTCAAACGTTGGATTCATCACTTCAAATATCTTTTGCAGTAGCTGTTCATTTTAGGCTTTATAAGCTAACAGAGATGTGCCTGTCACAAAATATGAATGAATGCTTTTCCTATCTTTCTTTTCTTTGAAGCTGTTGTCTCTGGAACCTTGAGGCATTAGGAGTATCCATTGCACTGACTCATCTCTCTATGTAAGCTGGTTTCAAGCATGAAAATGCAAAAGGCTGTGTTTAAAATATTTTAAGTGGAATAAACTTACAGTCCTTGCTAAATGCTTTCATTAAGATAAGGTATGCATACCTGCCTTGAGTCACCCCACACAAAAAATCCCCTAATCTCTTTTTGTCCTTAAACAATACAAATTGCTCCTGAAACATGACAGGTAGATGAAAAATGCAATATCACTTCTACAGAATACAATTAAATAGATAATCATTTAATAGTGGATTTTGCACTCATGTAGGTCACCACAAGCCACATCTTTAAAGGATTTAATTTAACTTTTCATTGTCATTGTTTTTAAGTCTCTTCACGTAGAATAGAATAGCCTTGCAAATAAGGTTAATGTTAGAAAATGTAGCAACTCTTCATTTTCAAGTATAGTAGGAATTCTGTGTCACCTAATGCCAAATTTTTAATACCAACAGTTTGTATAGCTGAGATTCAAGTAATTTTGAATTTGTATTCTCTTAATATCAACAAATATTTATTGATAACCTATTTAGTACAATGTAGCATATTAATATTTAATTTCCACCAGTTTATTTTATATAAGCATAATTTTGGAAAGTTAGCAGGCAATTTTCTATATTATTACAGCTTTGTTAGTGACTAATTGCTGTGGGAGGTCATAAGTCAGATGAAAATTTAGATTTTTTTATTTTTTATTTTTTTTAGACGGAGTCTTACTCTGATGCCCAGGCTGGAGTGCAGTGGCACAATCTTGGCTTACTGCAACCTTGGCCTCCCAGGTTCAAGAGATTCTCCTGCCTTAGCCTCCCAAATAGCTGGGACTATAGGCACGTGCCACCATGCCCAGCTAATTTTTGTAGGATGGTCTCGATCTCTTGACCTCATGATCTGTCCACCTCAGCCTCCCAAAGTGCTGGGATTACAGGTGTTAGCCACTGTGCCTGAATGAAAATTTAAATTAAATAGAGGTAGTTATTTTGGCCTTGGAATACAAATGGGATGTTATTAGTCACTTTATCAACTTATTTCTCTACTACTTTCAGTCATTTCTTCCTTTCGAATTCCTATAGTTGTATGCAGTAGTCCTTTAGGGTTTAATAATTATCAGTGCAGTTTCTTCCATAAGTCATTTTGCCACATTGATATAATATCAACTGTTGATATAGAGAAAAAGACACGATTGTTGCCAACACCCCACTCTTAAGCCCCATAATTAGTATAAAAGTTGGGAAATATTAGGCGTTGTGAAATCCACCTGAAGTTCCTTTTAGAAAGTAATTTTATTTAGTTTATTCAATGAAGTAAATGAAACTTTAAATGGATATCTGAGAACTTTAAAAATGTTTGACCTTAGTTTTCTGGATCATGTATTTACTAACATTCTATAAATACTATATATGTAATAGGAATATAGCTCTAATATGTAAATTCATATAAATATATATGTTTATATATGACCTTATATTAATTTTTAATTATTTTATAGGGACTTTTGCAAATGCTATACAGAGGTTGCAAATTTTCTCAAAATGCAACTCAAATAGGAAACAAAAATATAATTTTCTGATTCTCTATTGCTTCTCAACTACTTTCTGAGTTCTCAACTTTTAGGATGGGATTGAGGGCAGAAGGGACAACATTATAATCCAAAATAAGAATCTTAATAGGGTTTCTTTAGTAGAAATGTTAATCTTTCAGATTTTTGGAGCTGTTACTTTTGCTTCCAAGATTAGCTTGGGTATTTGAAATAGGGGTTTGGTTTACAAAGTGTTAATTGCTGGGGAGAGCAAAACTTAACTATAGGGAACACACACAAAAAGTCACTAGTAAACTCAAAAATGACATTACATATAGGAAATGAGACACTATCCAAATAGAGAGTAGTAGAACAAAATCACAGACATGTGGTTTGACTTTTTTAAAGTAGAAAATAGTACATAACTTTGCTAACATTGATCTTAAATATTTTATTCATTACATATCAAATTATATTCATATTTAGTTTTAACCACTTAATGTCTAAAAATACTTTGGATTTTTGTAATGTCATATCAGAGAATTAAAACTTGAGATTATCTATCTGTTTAAAATACCCGCATTCTCAGACTTTTTGCTTCTAGCAGTAGTCATGTGATTTAATTCAATTCAATGAAATATAAGAAGAATTGCAAGAAGATATAGCTAGGTGGGACTTCTTGGGAAAACAAATTTTAAAACAGCAGAGTAAGGCCGTATCCACCTTCATTTTTTGCATTTCTCTTTCACTCATTCTTGTATGTGGTGCATTGAAGGAACAGGAAAAATTTTGTGATCAAATAGATTAAAGCTACATTCTGAAGATGGCAGAGCAAAAAGATAGAATGTCTTTATGACACCGAAGAACTGTCTTTTTTCTCTCCACACTTTTTGTTAGATTAACATTCCTTACTTAAGCCCATGATGTTAAGTTTCCACTTTTTTCATCTGAATATCTTTCTACCTCATACAATATTCATGAAAGACTTCCTAAAGCCATGTTTAAAGTGATCTGTGGACCATAAAACACCTTTAAATAAAGTCCTGAGATCTGCAAGTTAACCAGCACCTTATGTGACTGAAGTATAGAAAACCTAAGCTCTAAGGCATAGGAATTTTATTAGATTTTATCCTTAGATCAAACCAGATCAGAAAGCTGCTTAGATAGGTAACATTGTTTTCTGATGTGTAGAATTTTACTCATTGATTTGCTTTGTATTTGGCTTGCATTTAGGGTCAATAAAATAATTACTCAATTGAAACTTGAAATATTTATCATAGGGATGTTGGTGACATCTTCATTGATTACTTGTTCTCAGTTTTCAAATCCAGCAGTAGTTATTCCTATTCTCATGGATTATGTGCTTTTATTCACTGGATACAGTAGTTAGCTTCCCTTCCTTGTCTTTACCACCAAGAAGTGCAGTACTAATCTGTTACTTGCTTCTAGCAACTCTGGGCTCTAGAAATTGGTAAGGTACATTTTGCATGCTAATTGTATCTCTGATTTTCTATTATTATCTTAATTTTTCTTTTTGGTCATATTTTCTCTGCTTTTATATCATTGTTTTGTTATGTCATTTTTATGTTTATCCATTTATAGATTAAAGTTGGTTGTTTTGAACTAAGTATTCTCACTACCACAGAACCATGAATAAGTGAGAAGAAGTGTTTATTACCTCCAGGAGAAAGCTAGACCCTGGTTAACAGAGGTATTCTCTTGAAAGTCACACAAATTGAACTCATGATAGCATTCTTTCCTTCTCTGCTCCATCAGTCTTCTCCATGAATCAGTTTCTGACTGATAAAATGCAAGTTTTTTTTCTTTACACCTGTCTTCTAAATCCTTTTCTGAGTTTTCATTTTACAACGTGTTTCATTATAATTTGGGTATTCAGAAATCTAGTTTCAGACAATCTGTTATTGATCCAAGAGACTTCTGCCATGCATCTTTATGTCCAAATTATTTTGTCTAACTTCTTACTCAGTAAACCAATAAGAGAAGTTTAGCAATAGCACAGATGTACACATATTTCAGTAATTAGCTACAGAAATTATTTTTGATTACTCATTCCTTCATGTTAATGACCTCAACAACATATCAGAAAAGTATTTATTGCACTCCACATTAAGTATACTAATAATTGTATATGCACCTTTAAGGCATCCAAACCATTTCTTTTTACCATTAAGCTAGTATTCTGAATTTCCTAGTCAACTGTCTCTAAATCTTTCAGGCTTATTTCTATAGCTGGGCTAAAAATAGCCAAGCCATCAATATACGTTATTGTACAACATTCCATCCCAGGTTTTAAATTATTCATCCGTTACTTGAAAGTAACAATAACATTCTTTAACACTCTTGAACTAACTCACCAAACTTTCAGAATATAACTATTTATAGTCTAAACCTGTCATAAGCATTGTGCAAAAGTAATTTTTGTCGTTTTTGTTTAATATGTAAATGCCATAATAAAATCTGTCATTTCATTAACTGTTAAAACTCTCAATTGAAGTCATTACCAAAAAAAAAAAATAGCATTTTAAAGAGAAACAGCAAACAAAGCAAGTAGATCAACTTTTATTTCATTTTTATTTTTTGCGGGTACATAGTAGAGGTATATATTTCTGGGCTACATGGGATGTTTCAATACAGTCATGCAATGTGTAGTAATCACATCATAGAAAATGGGGTATCCATCCCCTCAAGTATTTATCCTTTGTATTATAAGTAATCCAATTATACTCTTTAATTATTTTAAAATGCACAATTATTTTGACTATAATGACAACGTTGTGCTATGAAATACTAGCTATTCATATTTTCTGTTTGTTTTTACCCATTAGCAATCCCCACTCTGCTCCACCCCCTCCACTACCCTTCCCAGCCTTCGATAAACTATCCTTTACTCTCTGTCTCCATGTTTAATTGTTTTGATTTTTACATTCCACAAATAATTGAGAACATGTGATGTTTGTCTTTCTCTACTTGGCTTATTTTACTTAACATGTGACCTCCAGTTCCATCCATGTTGTTGCAAATGGCAGGACCACATTCTTTTTATGACCGAATAGTACTCCATTACGGATGAGTACCACATTTTCATTATCCATTCATCTATTGTACACATAGGTTGGTTTCAAATTTTGGTCCTATTGTAAATAGTGCAGCAACAGGCCAGGTGCGTTGGTTCATGCCTGTAATCCCAGCACTCTGGGAGGCTGAGGTGGGCGGATCATGAGGTCAGGAGATTGAGACCATCCTGGCGAACACAGTGAAACCCTGTCTCTACTAAAAATACAAAAAAATTAGCTGGGCATGGTGGCAGGCACCTGTAGTCCCAGCTACTCAGGAGGCTGAGGCGGGAGAATGGCATGAACCTGGGGGGGTGGGGCTTGCAGTGAGCGGAGATCATGCCATTGCACTCCAGCCTGGGCGACAGAGTGAGACTCCATCTAAAAAAAAAAAAAAAAAGTGCTGCAACAAACATGGGAGTGCAGATATGATACACTGATTTCTTTTATTTTGGGTATATAACCAGAGGTGTGATTGCTGGATCATATGATAGCTCTATTTTTAATTTTCTGAGGAACCTCCACATTGTTCTCTATAGCAGTTGAACTAATTTACATTCCTACCAGTGGTGTACGAGGGTTCCCTTATCCCCACATCCTCTCCAATATTTGTTATTGCCTGTCTTTTGGACAAAAGCCATTTTAACTGGGGCAGGGGGGGATGATATTTCATTGTAGTTTTGATTGCATTTATCTGATCATCAATGATGTTGAGCACCTTTTCATATACCTTTTTGCCATTTGTGTGTCTTCTTTTGAGAAATGTCTATTCAAATATTTTACCCATTTATTGATTGAATTATTTGATTTTTTTCCTAAGAATTGTTTGAGCTCTTTATATATTCTGGTTATTAATCCCTTGTCAGATGGATAGTTTGCAAATATTTTCTCCCATTCTGTGGGTTGTCTCTTTACATTGTTGATTGTTTCCTTCGCTGTACCAAAGCTTTTTAGCTTGTTGTAATCCTATTTGTCCATTTTTGCCTTGGTTTCCTGTTCTTATGTGGTATGACTCAAGAAATATTTGTCCAGAGCAGTGTCCTGGAGATTTTATTCAATATTTTCTTGTAGTTGTTTAATAGTTTGAAGTCTTATATTTCAGTAGTGAATTAATTTTCATTTAATATTTGTATATGGTGGGAGATAAGGTTTGAGTTTCATTCTTCTTCATATATATATCCAGTTTTCCCAGTTCTAATAGTTGCTTTGTGAAATCAAATACTTGTTTTGTGGAATTAGGTTTTTCCAAATATAAAATCATATTATCTGCAAACAATGATAATTTGACATCTTTCTTTCCAATCTGGATGCCATTTATATCTTTCTTTTGTCTGATTGCTCTAGCTAGGACTTCCAGTACTATGTTGAATAACAGTGGTGGTAGTGGGCATCCTTGTTGTGTTCCAGACCTTAAAGGAAAGGCTTTCAGTTTTTCCCCATTCAGTATGATACTAACAGTGAGTCTGTCATCTATAGCTTTAATTATATTTAGGTATACTTCTTCTATCCCCAGTTTTTTAGGGTTTTCATTATAAAGTGAAGTTGAATTTTATCAACTTCTTTTTCAACACCAATTGAAATTATATGGTTTTTATCCCTCATTCTGTTGATATGATGTATCACCTTGTTTGATTTGCAAATCTTGAACCAACCTTGCATTCCAGGGACAAATTCTACTTTGGTCATGATGAATGATCTTCTTAATGTATTGTTGAATTTAGTTTGCCAGTATTTTGTTGAAGATTTCTTTGCATCAATATTTATCAGAGATATTGGCCTGTAGTTTCTTTTTTGATGTGTCTTTGTCTGGTTTTGGTATCAGAGTAATACCAAAATGAGTTAATACTTCATAGAATTAGTTTAGAGTATATCAACTTTAATATTTTTAGAAAACACATTTTATGAGTTTAATTTTTAAGCCCCCATCTATGAGTGAGAACATGCAATATTTGTCATTCTGTGCTTAGATTATTTCACTTAACATAATGTCCTCCAGTGCCATCCATGTTGTTGCAAATGACAGGATTTCATTCTTCTTTATTGCTAAGTAATATTCCATTGTCTATATGCATCACATTTTCTTTATACATTCGTTGATGGACACTGAGGCTCATTCCATGTCTTGGCTATTGTGAATAGTAATTTAATAAATATGGGAGTGCAGATATATCTTCAGTATACTGATTTCCTTTCTTTTGCATATATACCCAACAGTGGCATTTCTGTACCAAATGGTAGTTCTACTTTTAGTTTTTTGAGAAACTGCCATCCTATTTTCCATGGTATATATACTACTTTACATTCCCACAGTGTATGAGGGTTCCCATTTCTCCACATCCTCGTCAGTATTCATTATTACCCATCTTTTGGATAAAAGCCATTTTAACTAGAGTGAGATGATATCTCATTGTAGTTTTGATTTGCATTTCTCTGATGGTTAGTGATGTTGGGCCTTTTTTATAGACTTATTGGCCATTTGTATGTCTTCTTTTGAGAAATGTCTATTCATATCTTTTGCCCATTTTTTAAATTGGATTTTTTTCTTATTGTCTGAGCTCCTTACATATTTTGGTTATTAATCTCCTGGCAGATTAGTAATTTGCAAATATTTTCTCCCATACAGTGAGTTTTCTCTTCATTTTGTTGATTGTTTCGTTTGCTGTGCAGAAGCTTTTTAGATTGTTGTGATCCCATTTGTCCATTTTTGCCATGGTTGCCTGTGCTTTTAAGGTCTTTCTCAAGAAATCTTTGCCTAGACAATATTCTAAAATGTTTCTCCAATGTTTACTTCTAGTAGTTTCATAGTTTCAGGTCTTAGATTTAAATCTTCAATCTATTTTGATTTGATGTTATATATGGAAAGAGACAGTGGTCTAATTGTATCCTTCTGTATATGTACATCCAGTTTACCCAGCACCATCTATTGAAGAGAATGTCCTTTCTCCAATGTATGTTCCTTGAACTTTTGTAAAAAATAAGTTCACTGTAAATATGTGGATGTTTTTGTTGAGTTCTCTATTCTGTTCTGCTGGTCTATGTGCCTGTTTTCATGCCAGTACTATGCTCTTTTACTTACTATAGCTTTATAGTTTAATTTAAAGTCAGTTAATGTAATGCTTTCAGCTGTGTTGTTTTTATGCAGGATTGCCAGAAGCTGGGAAGGACAGTGAGGAATGGGAGATCAGGGAGGGATGGTTAATAGGCACAAAAATATAGCTAGATAAAAGCAATAAGATCTAGTGTTTGATGGCAAAAGGATAACTATAGTTAAAAATAATTTATTTTATATTTCAAAATAACAAGAAGAGTGGGATTAGAATGCTCCTAATACAAATGATAGATATTCCAGGCAATGGATATACCAGTTACTATGATTTGATCATTACAATTATATGCTTGCATCAAAATATCATATACACCCCATAAATATATACAATTATTATGTATCCAAAACAATAGAAAATAAATATAAATAGATTTAAAAAGCAGTATTTCATAATAAAGTCAAAGCATCTGAAAAATTATGGAAAGATTAGTAGTAAACACCACTATTGTAAGCAACTATTTTTATGAGAATCACCGTAATCTTAGAACTCATTATTGGTTTCCAGAATATTTTATTATAGTCCCTGATATCTTATGTAATTGGAAAATTACATAAGATATCAAGGAAACACAAATATTTAGGAAAAATGTCCCATAAAAATGGCTGTGGCAGATCTTAATAGTTGTAGGATTTCAAAGGTTTAAAGTTTATTTCACTTTACTATAGACTAGTTGGTCTTGTTAACAATACATTTGAGAATTTTTTTGTAATTCTCCAGCTGTTTTACTAAGCTCAGCACCACTAATGTAAGTTTTTGTTTTTTTTTTAAAGATGGCCCCCCCCACCCGACTCTATCAGCTTGTATATTCTCAATATAGAGACAATGTTAGGCTTGGAAACAGTGTTTATTTTCCTATACAGTAATCAATTTAAGCCACCTGAACTCAGCAGCAAAGGGGGAAATCCTAAGGATTATTAATAATGTAATCCCTTCCAACTACAGCAGTTCACTAAATCTTCTTTTTTTTTTTTTTTTTGTGACGGAGTTTTGGTCTTGTTGCTCAGGCTGGAGTGCAATGGTGCGATCTCGGCTCACTACAACCTACACCTCCCTCATTCAAGCAATTCTACTGTCTCAGCCTCCCAAGTAGCTGGGACTACAGGCATGTACCACCATGCCTGGCTAATTTTGTACTTTTAGTAGAGACGTGGTTTCTCCATGTTAGGCTGGTCTTGAACTTCCGACCTCAGGTGATCTGCCAGCGTCGACCTCCCAAAGTGCTGGGATTACAGGCGTGAGCCACTGCGCTGGGCTGTAAATCTTCTTAAAATAAATGTTTGGTTTATCCATTTGGTAAAAATGGTGCTATATTGATGTGGTGCTGCTTTCCCTTCATTCTATACTATGGAGGTCCAGCCTTACTCTCCTTCCCTTCAGAGACTTTGCCTCTCATGACATTTTGCCTCATTGCCATTCTGGACTCACTCTGTTCAATCTGGCTGTAATCACTCAAATCTAATTTCTGATCATTCATGGAAAGGAATGTTTTAGAGAAAAATATTTCTGGGTTACAATTTTCCACCCAGTGTGAAAACCTCAGGGAGCCTTGTTTATATTACAGAGCAAGCTCATCATTTGTTGCCTTCACTTTCAAAATCCCTCTGTTTTATATACTAGGAATAGCTTATTCTGTCATCTTTTTCCGTTAATACAGAGTAATGAAAATATTGTGTTTGAAAATTCAAAGGCAGAAGTAGTTTTGTCTTAATAGGCAATTTTTCCTTAAGAATGTCTTTAGTCTTGGATGTGCATGTATAAATTTAATTATTTTTACTTTTTAACAAAGCCTGAATGTGCAAAAATTATCCACACAATATAATTTCATTAAATAGATTTTTGTAATATAATGTACAGAATTTTAGATTTTTGTCTTCCATTAAATTTTTAACATGTTAGTCACAGTAATATTTATTTACAATATTACATAGCCTTTATTTACAGTGTAAACTTATCTATGGCCTCAGAATATTTAGATTTTTAAAAGTAGAAGTATTTTAGTCTACCTTTATATTTTACATACAAGAACACTGAGGTCAATAAATTCATATGATATTTCAAATCTTTTATTCTACTTTAAGAAAGGACTAAGAGTAAAATCCATGTCATGTATTCACTTCAGTATTTTACTTTTATACATTGAAATATATCATTTTTACACTGGCTAAACACATTGTAAAAATGATTAAAAACCATTAATTAAGTTAAATGATTCTATAACTTTTTAAAATCAAGAGATGGCTGCCAATTCATTACTTCTGTAAATATTTATTAATATAGTCGGGTTTAAGTTCACCATTTTGCTATTTGTTTTCTATTTGTGCCATCTGTTCCTTTTTACTTATTCTTCTTTTATTCTGCCTTCAAGTGCTGTTCATTATTCCAGTTTATTCTTTTGTCTTTTAAATTATACTTTAATTTTAAGCTGATTATCCTAGGTATTTCATCACTTATCCTTAATTTATTACAGTCTAACTTGAATTATCATTTTCTTACTTAACAAACAAGGTAGAAATCTTGTAATAGTATATAGTTGACCCCAGAAACACATGGGTTTAAACTGCCTAAGTCCATTTATACATGAATTTTCTTCTTCCTCTCCCACCACTGAGGCAGCACGAGCAACCCATAGAATAGGAGAAAATATTTGCAAATCATCCACTTAACAAGGGGTTAATAACTTGGATGTGTAAGGAGCTCAAAAAAATCAATAGGAAAAATACAAATAAAATGATTGAAAGATGGGCAAATGGGCCAGGCACGGTGGCTCACGCCTGTAATCCCAAGACTTTGGGAGCCCGAGGTGGGTGGATCGCCTGAGCTCAGGAATTGGAGACCACCCTGGGCATCATGGTGAAACCTCGTCTCTGTGAAAATGCAGAAAATTAGTTGGGTAGGTGGGGCGCATTTTTAGTCCCACCTACTCAGGAGGCAGAGGCAGAGAATCGCTTGAGCCTGGGAGGCGGATATTGCAGTGAGCCGAGATCGCATCACTGCACTCCAACCTGGGCTACAGAATGAAAACAAAACAAAAACAAACAAACCAGATGGGCAAATGATCTGGATACATATTTCTCAAAAGAAGATGTACAAATGGCCAATAGGCATATGAAAATAATGCTCAACACCACTAATCATTAGAGAATGCAAATCAATATATTACAGTGAGATATTATCTCAGCCCAGTTAAAATGGCTTTCCCCATCCCCAAGACAGGAAGTCATGAATGCTGGTGAGGATGTGGAGAAAGGGGAGCCCTCATATACTGTTGATGGAAATGTAAATTAGTGTATCCACTATGGAAAACAGTATGGAGATTCCCCAAAAAGCTAAAACTAAAAGGACCATATGACCCAACAATGTCACTGCTGGGTAAATATACAAAAGAAAGGAAATCAATATATTGAAGAGATATCCATCTGCACTCCCATGTTTATTAAAGTACTATTTGCAATAGCCAAGAGATAGAGTCAACTTAGGTGTCCATCAAAGGATGCATATGTGCTGCATAGCATATAGACAATGGGATATGATTCAGCAATAAAGAAAAATGCAATCCTGTTATTTGCAACAACATGGATGGCACTGAAGGACATTATGTTAAATGAGATAATATAGGCATAGAAAGACAAATATTGTATATTCTCACCGATATCTGGGAGCTAAAAATAAAATTCAATTCACGGACACAGAGAGAGGAATGATATTGTCAGAGACTGGTAAGTATAGGGAGGAGGGGGTGATAAAGTACATATGAATAATGACTACAAAAATACAGTTAGATTAATGAAACAAATCTAGTATTTTATAACACAATAGGGTTACCATAGTTAACAATTTATTGTATATTTTATTTTTTATTTGAAAATGTAAACTTTCTTTCCATTTTTTATTTCAATAAGTTTTGGTGGAACAGGTGGTTTTTGGATACATGGATAAGTTCTTTAGTGGTGGTTTCTGAGATTTTTGTTGCACCCATCATCTGAACAGTGTACATCGTACCCAATGTGTAGTCTTTTAATCCTCGCCCCTCTACCACCCTTCCTCCCAAGTCCCCAAAGTCTACTCTGTCATTCTTATGCCTTTGCATCCTCATAGCTGAGCTACCACTTATATGTGAGAACATATGATGTTTGGTCTTCCAGCTGTTGGTATGTAGCAGTGCTACTGATTTGTCTACATTGATTTTGTATCCTGAAACTTTACTGAATTCATTTATCAGTTCTAGGAGATTTTTGGATGAGTCTTTAGATTTTCTAGGTATATGATTATATCATCTGCAAACAGTGACAGTTTGATTTCCTCTTTGCTGGTATGGATGCTCTTTATTTCCTTCTCTTGTCTGATTGCTCTGGCTAGGACATCCAGTACTATGTTGAATAGAAGTGTTGAAAGTGGACATCCTTGTCTTGTTCCAGTTCTCAGGGGGAATGCTTTCAACTTTTCCTTGTTCAATATAATGTTGGCTGTGGGTGTGTCATAGATGGATTTTATTACCTTAAGGTATGTCCCTTCTATGGTGATTTTGCTCAGGATTTTAATTATAAAGAGATACTGAATTTTGGCAAACGCTTTTTCTGCATCTATTGAGATGATCATGTAACTTTTGTTTTTAATTTTATGTGGTGTATCACATTTATTGACTTGTGTATCTTATGCCATCCCTTCATCCCTGGTATGAAACCCACTTGATCATGGTGAATTATCTTTTTGATACACTGTTGGGTTCAGTTAGCTAGTATTTTGTTGAGGATTTTTGCATCTATGTTCATCGGGGATATTGGTCTTTTTTTTGTTATATTCTTTCCTTGTTTGGTATTAGGGTGATACTGGCTTCATAGAATGATTTAAGGAGGGATCCCTCTTTCACTATCTTTTGCAATAGTGGCAACAAGAATGGTACCAATTCTTCTTTGAATGTCTGATAGAATTCAGCTGTGAATCCATCTGATACTGGACATTTTTTGGTTGGCATTTTTTAATTACCATTTCAATCTTGCCACTTGTTATTGGTCTGTTCAGAGTTTCTATTTCTTTCTGGTTTAATCTTGGAGGGTCGTACATTTCTAGGAATTTTTCCACCTCCTCAATGTTTTCTAATTTGTGTGGGTAAAGGTGTTCATAATAGCCCTGAATGAGCTTTTGTTTTTCTGTGGTATCGGTTGTAACATCTCCTGTTTTGTTTCTAATTCAGCTAATTTGGATCTTCTCTCTTTTCTTGGTTAATCTCAGTAATGGTCTATCAATTTTGTTTATCTTTTCAAAGAGCCTTGGTTCATTCATTATTTATATTTTTTTCTCATTTATTCAGTTCTGCTCTGATTTTTGTTATTTCTTTTCTTCTGTTGGGTTTGGGTTTGGTTTGTTCTTGTTTCTATAGTTCCTTGATATGTGACCTTAGATTGCCTATTTGTGCTTTCAGACTTTTTGATATAGGCATTTAATGCTATGAACTTTCCTCTTTGCACCACTTTTGCTCCATCCCAGAGGTTGTGATAGGTTGTGTCACTATTATCACTCAGTTCAAAGAATTTTTTAAATTTCCATCTTGATTTCATTGTTGACCCAACAATCATTCAGGAGCAGGTTATTTAATTTCCATGTATTTGCATGGTTTTGAGGATTCCTTTTGGAGTTGATTTTCAATTTTATTCCACTCTGCTCTGAGAGAGAACTTGATATAATTTTGATTTTCTTAAATTTGTTGAGACTTGTTTTGTGGTCTACTCTATTATTTTCCTATTTGGTCCCAACCTTAACATAGAAGACTTAACGTTGGCTGTGAATTTAATCTTCTTAGGATTTTGGCTACCTTCACAATTATGTTCTGGGATAGGCCTCAGCTTTCTCTGCCCTCCAAACTGCAGGAGATGAGAGCTCTCTCTATGCAAACAATGAGCCCCTTTTTCTTTCCCAACTTAGCTTTTAAATTGCTGATTAATTATTCTCAGTGTCTTAGTAAAATATTTTTTCCAATTGAGTTTAATAGTAACATTCCAATTATATTATCTTTATAAATTTTCTTTCCTATTTCTCAAAGGATGGATCTATATTATGCTGTCAGCAAAAGTATTCACTTCTACCGGGATTCCATTACAGTTCAATACCTGTGAAAGTTTAACAACTGGACTGCTACGTAGTAGATACTATCTGTCCTTCACCTACTGTCTACACCAAAGATGGCAGTCCTCCTTTTAGCTGGTGACAGATGATCTTAGTCTAAAATCCCAACCCCGTGGCTACAGTCTTAGACTATTTCTAGCACTAACAGTCACCAGATGGGTTCTCTGGAAGCATATATTGACTGGAGATGACAATATAGTAGATTCCTCAAGGATTGCCACTGGCATCAGCAGCTGTAGTGAACAGGGAAAGAAGCAAAATTGATTAGAAGAAAAAGTTGCAATATAATGCATTATCTACAGAATTCATGGTTTACTCTGAAGAGAATTCTGAAAATGAGGTGATCCTTTGAAATTTTACCAGGATGGGACAAGGAAGCCAGGTCTTTATATCCCCATGTGGATCAGTTATTGTATGTAGGTCATTTCACAAAGGTCTGTATGGCTGCTGACAGTTAGGAACTGTCTACTTATTGCACTCTCAGCAACTATGGTACTAAGTCTTTCGTTTCTGAAAAAACAATTTGAGTGGCATATCATAGCATATACCACAACTGGAGAAATTGATACAACAAGCAAAAGATAAAATCAGTAAGGATATAGATGATTGGAATGACATGATAACACTATCGATCTAATTGGTATCAAGAAAGCACTGCTCCAAACAACTACAGAACAAACGTTTTTTCCAAGTGCTTTTAGAGCATGTACTCATATTGATTTAACCATATTGTTTAAATGCTAGGCAATGAGGGACATTTTTACAAATTTCAAAGCACTGAAATGCAAGTTTCTAAAAATTTCAAAAGACGGCAAATACACAGACTATGTTTTCTGACCACAGTGGAATTAGCTAGACATTAAAATCAATTATAAAAAAAATCCCCATATATTAAGATATTAAGCATATACTTCTAAATAATCCTTGGGCCAAAGAATGGATTGTGTAAGACATGACTCTTTTAGTCATGTTTTGAACTGAGCATAATGAAAATATGACACATCCCAACTTGCAGGATGCAGCTAAAACATTCTTATTGTAAAATTTTCGGTGTTAAATATAAATGTTAGAAAAAACCTGATACAATTTGACAAAGTGCATACCTCAAGAAGTTAGAAAAAGAAGAGCAAATTAATGTCATTTTTAGAGATAATGTTTTGCTTAAATTAAAAGAAGCCTTTGTCTTTTAGAGATATGTGCTAAAATATTTATAAATAAATTAATATGATTCCTTGTATTTGCTTTAAAATAATTTACAGGTGATGGGGAGAGTAGTTTTGATATAAATGTGTCTAGGGAAATATAGATAATAAAAAATGGACCATATTTAGAATAAGTGGTGAGAATATGGGATATATTATACTGTTCTCTACACAATGTTTAAACTTTTTAATATTATAAAGGTTAAAAATGTACAGGTTCAATTCTTAAAATCTAATAAGATAAAGCAAGTGCAATAATAGAAAAATTGGCAAAAGGTATGAATATGTAGTTGAATTACAAGGCAGAATATTAAGGGCAATAAAAATCAGACATGAGGTAAAATATTTTTAAATAGATCAGGTTATAAATTAAAGATGATTTGTCAGAAACTAGACATAATTCATCTTTATTGGAACAACAAAGATAACTTTAATAAGTAGTTTTTAGTCAATTGTGTTTTTACTTTGAATATACGCTCATGGCATCTAAAAGGAATAATGCCAATTCTTTTATGGAAATACCATTTGAGGCTGAGAATGGTCATTCTCATGAGCATGTGTTCATGATCTATGTTTTGTATTTAACATTTGAAACAAGCTACACCATTGATTACAATAGTATATGTCAATATAGGATTAGGTGACTGCAGCAAGGTGGCAAAATAGAAGATTCCTTGGCCTCACTTCCCCCACAAAAAAATATACCTACAAACTATCCAAAGACAAGAATACCACCCTGAATTCACCAGAACTTGAGGGAGAAGTGGAGAAATCCCATGAGCCCCAAGAATCAAGAGATATTGTGACTTGGAAGAGAAATGCTCATCTTAGACTGTTACTCCTCTCCCATGCCAGCATAACACCACTCACAGAGAATTTGCCTAGATTCCACAGTTTCTTAGGTGAGAGGAGGAAAATTAGAAGTGAATATTGAATCTCTCCACTGGTCTGGGATCTTCCTGGGAAGCCTACTCTGGTCCTATTCCACAGAAATTGTTGGGAGTGCCAGGAGGGCTGAGCCACCTTGGGTGAACTGGGGACAAAAAGCAAGTACTAATGTCAGTGACTGATGAATGGATCTTGGTGACTACTCTGTGCTCCAATCAGAGGGGATGCCACACTGAAGAGAATGACTGGTGCCATAGTACCACAGGTGTCACAATTTAATAGGAAGGCCTGAATCCCTGGCTAGATTTTCCACAAAGTTTAGGTGCTTGTCTAGAGTCTTCCGCTTGTTCAGCAATGACTAAAAGTTTGGACTTAAGTTCCATGGCCTGCTTTAGTTTTCCCCAGACTGGGAAACAATGGCAGGGCAACGATATAGCTCCAAGGCATGTTTAACTTCTGGGGCTCACTATAAGTTTTCCCCAGACCAAGAAACAATGGTAGAGTGTTAATTCCAGTACAGTATTTTACTTCCAGTGTTCACTGGGCTAGCATTTAAGTTCTGAAAATAAGCAGTAAAGGTCTAACACTACCAAAAAATGCTTGTAAGAACTAGAAAAAGTGGCTGTTTCCTCAAATGCGCAGGCATTAATGTAAGGACACAAGGACTATGAAAACTCACAGAAATATGACAACACCAAAATATACCAACAAAGCTCCAGCAGTGGACCCCAAGGAATTGAAGATCTAAGCTATGTCAGACAGAGATTTTTGAATAATTATCTCAAAGAAGTCCAGGAAATCACAAGAAAATACAGATAGAGAAATAAGTGAAATTTGGAAAACCAACCAGCAACAAAATTAGAAATTTAACAAAGAAATAGAAGCAATTTAAACAATAGATATTCAAGAAATAAGGAATACAATGACTGAATTGAAAACCCAGTTAGAAAACTTCAACAGAAGACATGATCAAACAGAGGAAAGAATTAACAACCTTGAAGATAGAACATATGAATTTTGCCAATCAGAGGAGCAAAAGGAAAAAAAGAATAAAAAAGATTGAAGCTGGCTTACGACAATTATATGACACCATTAAGTAAACTAACTTCTGCATAATAGAAATTCCCAAAGACAAGTGAGAAAAATACCTCAAAAGAATATTTTTAAAAATAGTGGCAGAAAAATTTCCAAATCTGGAGAAAAATAGCACCATTCAGGAATAAGAAGCTCAAAGATCACCAATCAGATTTAACCCAATATAGAATTCCCCAAGACACATTATAAACTACCAAAAATTAGAGACAAAGAAAGAATACTCAAAGCAGCCAAAGAAAAGAAACATCATATTCAGCAGACCCCTAATATGGCTTTTAGCAGATTTCTCAGCTGAATCAGCTAAAAGCATGATCCATGTAAAAATGTGATAAGCTGGATAAAGTAAAAATTTCATTAAAACATCTATTTTCATTTTACATATTTTTTAAACAATATTATTCACACTCATTATTTTAACTGTCACTTTTATGATTGTACTACAAAACTTATATCCTTGATCCAGACTTTATTCTTGAGTTAGAAGTCATTGTTTCTTAATGTCCATGCATATTTCCACTTAGATATGCCATAGTGGTCCTAAGTACAATTTGTGCCAAGCCAAAATTCCCATCTTCATTTTCTGTTTTTTATTCTTTATTCCCCGTGTTGATGATTTTACTCCCAGTTAGTCAATGCTTATGTTAGAAAGCAATAGAGGTAGTTCCAGACCTTTTCCTCTTTATCACTGATTAGTAGATCCTCAACCTTTTTTCACTAGGAAAGTTGTGTTAGCCCACTTTTCTGCCCCTCTAAAATTTATCCTAATACTGCCTCAACAGTGTACAGTAAGAAGTGTGAATCTGACCATGTCAGTCACTCTCTTGGTTTTAATACAATAATGACTATCTGTTGCACTAAGGATAAAATATAAATTTGGTAGCATGGTATACGATGCCCTGCATTTTTAGCCACCTCCCAATTTTTCAGCATTATCTTCTACATACCCTTCTGTTCATCCTATACTGTATGTGTACTGAAGCATCTCATTTTCCAGAACTCTCCAAGCTCTGTCTCAGTCCATATTTTAGAAAAGATATTACTGTCCCACTAACCTCTACTCATCTTTTTGGATTAATTTCAACTTTGTTACTAGATTCTCTATTTTCCCCAGGCTGAGTTTGAGTCACTTTTCCTGTGCTCCTATATCACCTTGTACAAACATCAGTTTGAACATTTAGTAAATTGTATTTTGGTAGTTTGTTTATGTGACTCTAACACTAAATTGTCAGTCCCTTGAAGCCGGGGATGTTGCCTTTGTGTTGAAATAGTAATTATTAGGTGATACCTGTTTAACAAATGTTCCTGAACAGATGATTATCCTCTGGATCTTTAGAAGAAATTGTTGATAGTAATGAGTAGCTCAGTGCCACTGCTCCACGGTGATATTGGGGTGTGGCAAATCCAGTCTCAGAGTTGAGGCCATCTTGACCCCCTCCCACCCCAGTTTGGAATGCTGTGTCTGCATTTCCAGCCTCCTTAAGATAGCAGCTGAAGCAATGTTTGCTGGAAGTGATTCAAAGCCAGAGACCTTACTTTACTATTTTTATTGTTGCTCATATGACTTCCTCAAGCTGATAGACATTAGGCATACTGATTTTATTGGAAATTTTTAAAAATGTTTGGGCAAAATGTACGATTCTATAACAAGTGGGAATCATTGAAGGTCATTTAATTACTCTGTTTCCTTTGGTGTTTTCAATTTACATTTCTTCTTTAAATCAAATAACTAAACCTATCCTGTTTTTCAGGGATTTCTTTCCTATGAACCTGACAAGTGGCTGTAGGTGTTCTCCTCTGAAATCAATCTCACTCTCTCTCTTTCCAGAACATGAAGTTTAAAGTTAATCACAAACCAGAGTACCATAATTTTTCATGGTCACAGCACAAAACAACATCACAAATAAATGTAAAACTCTTAACTCTGGCCTAGAAATGAATTAACTAAAATTCACTTTATGCCGAAAGGATAAAGGTAATAATAGTTGCATTTTCTAGGCCAGGGAATAACAAAATGCCTGGAGTACATGAATATTCTCAAGACAAAAACTACATTTGCTTCAGACTCACAAAAAAGTTCAGAGATTTTAAGCCTTTGAAGCAAGGCTGATACGTTAAAAATTCAAGTGGTTCAGAAGTCTGAACTTTGAAGCTTGTGGCAAAATTGAAAATAAAAATTAATGCCTTACTATAGGCTATATTCCTCCTAAGTCATATTAGATGGTTGGGGCTCTTTTTTTCCCAAGTACATAATTTTAGAAGGTACATATTATAAAATCTTCCCTAATATCAGTTTAACATTAAGTTGCAACATAGATTTGAAAAACCTGTGTTCCAGTTGGGCTTTGCCATTTGTTGGCTGCTGAACTTCTGACTGACTTTGTAATCTCTAAGAACTTCATCATCTAATCTCTAAAATGGCCATTACAAATAATACATGTGTTTCATATCACATGATTGCCATGCATATTTTTTTAAATTTGCATTAAGAAGCTGTGTATACTAGAAAATATTTTTAATCATATTTTTACCTTCAAATTCCCAAATTATAAATTGTATGACCTAAGAATCATGTTTTCTTTTACCAAAAATATTTAAACATTATTCACTACCTGATTCAAATAATAAGTACCAGTTTTGTTTGTTTGTTTGTTTGGGGAGTCTTAAGTAGTAAAATAAGTTTGTAGATGTCGTCATTTGAAATGGTATATGGTCTCTGAACACAGTAAGTTATGCTTCTGATCCTCATTGATTACTTTTTGGCCTAAGTTCTGAATTATTGCAGTTAATTTATATATCCTCTTTATCATCCACACAACTTTGTATTAAAGCTCATCTCATGTCTCAGGCATTGGCTTATGTGAATAAGACAGAATCCCTAAACTCAAAACAGTCATAATTTATTGGGAAGAAAGACCCACAAAAACAACAACTGAAATGCAATATGATAAGTACTAGACTTCATGTGTGCAGAGGACACTGTGAGAAGATGACTGCTGCTTATACCTCACCACCGGGGGAGGTGACTCCAGGGTTGAGTTTTAAAAAGTGAGTAGCAGGTGAAGTTAGCTAAGTGACAGGTAGGGACTTATAGTTGTAAGGACGTGCTGTCAAGACAGGAAAGATCATGTGCTTGCCAGAGAGAGGTGCATGTATAACAGTAGAAATGGTAAGAAAAGTAGTCTATTTTAGCAAAATTACTCTAATGCTCACCTGTAAGATTCTCTTTCCTGTATATGTGGGGAGAGGGAAGAGCACTTTCAGGAACTCTAAAAGATTCAGTGTGGTAGGAGCACAGGATAAAAATACCAACATGGCTTGGCAAGACTGGGAAGAGAGGCAGAGGACAGATCATAGTCATATATGCCATGCTGAGGAGTTTGGACTGTTTTTCCTGAAGGCTATGGATAGCTATTGAAGAATTTTGGGCTTCAACTTGATTGGGTTTGGGCTGCAACTTAATTGGGTGTGAATTTAATAAGTACAACCATGTGGCTTGACAATGGGGATGTGTTCTGAGAAATGAATCCTTAGGTGATTTTGTCATGCTGTGAACATCATACAGTATACTCACACAAATCTACATAGGATAGCCTACTACAACCTGGTATATCTCTGGTATAGCCTCTGGCTCCTAGGCTACACACCTGTGTAGCATGTTGCTATAATGGACACTGCAGGAAATTATAGTACAATGGTATTTGTGTATCTAAGCATATCTAAATATAGAAAAGTTACAGTAAAAATATGGTATAAGAGATTTTTTAAAAATAGCACACCTGTATAGGGCACTTACTATGAATGAGGCTTGTAGGACTGAAAGTTGACCTGGCTGAGTCAGTGAGTGGTGAGTGAATGTGAAGGCCTAGGACACTACGGTACACTGTTATAGACTTTATAAACATTGTACACTTACGCTACACTAAACTTATTTTTAAAAAGTTCTTTCTTCAATAAGAAATTAGCTTACCAAAACTTTTTTACTTTATAAACTTTTAATTTTTTTTAACTTTTTGATTCTTTTATGATAACACTGAGCTGGAAAGAAAAATACATTGTACAACTGTACAAACATATTTTTGTTCTGTATATCCTTATTCTATAAGCCATTGTCTTTCTTTCTTTTTTTTCTTTTTTTTTTTTTGAGATGGAGTCTTGGTCTGTCACCCAGGCTGGAGTGCAGTGGTGCAATCTCGGCCCACTGCAACCTCCGCCTCCCAGGTTCAAGCAATTCTCCTGCCTCAGCCTCCTGGGTAGCTGGTATTACAGGTACGCACCACCACGCCTGGCTAATTTTTGTATTTTTAGTAGAGACGGAGTTTCACCTTGTTGGTCAGGTTGGTCTCGAACTCCTGACCTCATGATCCGCCCACCTCCCAAAGTGCTGGGATTACAGGCGTGAGCCACCACTCACAGTCCGCTATTTCCTATTTTTTTAATTTTTAAATTTTTTTTAACCTTTTAAACTTTTTGTTAAAAACCAAGACACAAATACACACATTAGCCTAGGCCTATAAAGGGTCAGGACCTTCAATATCATTGTCTTCCACCTCCACATCTTGTCTCATTAGAGGCCTTCAGGGGTAAAAACATGCCTAGAGCTGTCATCTCCTATGATAACAATACCTTCTTCAGGAATACCTCCTGAAGGACCAGGCCAAGACGGTTTTATAGTTAACTTTTAAAAAAATAGGTAGACAGAACACACTCTAAAATAACAATATAAAATATAGTATAGCAAATACATAAACCAGTAAGATGGTCGTTTATTATCATTTTCAAGCAATGTGTACTGTACATAATTCTATGTGCTATACTTTTCTATGACTGGCAGTGCAGTAGGTTTGTTTACACCGGCATCACCACAAACCATTTTCCAATGTGCAGTAGAGTTCAATAAATAAATATCTATAAACAAAATAAGATGTATAGATCCGTAGAGTGGCCACATGTGGAGAAAATGGACTAATGATGAGGGAGAGATGATCAAGCATGATGACTATGAGAGGAGGAGCAATTCTGGTGGTGAAGACAGATGAATATTTCATTTTTAGACATATTTGTGGGCACTGGTGTAGCCATAGAGAGGCCTTTGTGTACTGGGGCCTCAGAAGAGAGGTGTGAATTCAGGGTATGGATAGTAGTAGTTGTAATTATGGAAATAGGTGCCTTCACCTGGAAGGAGCTTACTCGGTGAACAGAGACAGTGCTGGGTAAGGAACCCCAGGGAACCCCACTATTCTGGATGCACATGGGAGAAGACTGATAGAAGAGCTGAGGAAAAACCACCAAGCAAACACAACAGGTGTGCTTGATATGATGGAAGTCGTGGGATAAGTTATTTCAATCCATTTAAATGGCTTGATATTCCAGGTTTTTAGCTCTTTCTATAAAAATAGGACTCAGGAGCTCTTCGTGAGGCATCACAACATTTTCCTGATGGGTGCCCTGTTCTTAAGCACGCACGTTCCTCTGGGATTTTATCTGTCCTGGTCTCTGGGTATCTTTGGGCCCTGCCTTCCATTATTCTTTCCCTAGGTTTCACTAGGCAAATTCTTTCTGTCTCATGTTTAATGTTATGAAAATTTAATGTGGCCCAGAGACTATACTTTTAACTCTAAAGTTTTCTCTATTCCAAGACCAGCAGAAAGGTTATCAAAGTATACAATTAAAGGTGCCTGAGATGCCTTCATTCAGAGCCAAAGTTCATCATGTACCTATAAACACTGAGTCTTACTGCTGATATTCTTTACCTATCACTAGGTGTGAGAATACAGGCATGTACACAGTGCATATACTCAGAAAGGAACCATTTGATGTTTTGTTTTCTCAAAGCAAGCCACTTGACCTGGAGTAGCCAAGAATAGGTAAACCAGTGTGGAAAGCTGGATTTCTGAAAACCAGTAAGATTATTTTATTAGGAAATTTTCCTGACTGTATGAAAACAAATGTAGTTTTAAAGTAAATTTGAAGCAGATTGTGAGGAAGGAGGAGAGTGAGAGTCTCTGGTGGTTTATCTGCTTATTTTGAATAAAGACATTCTTAGAAATCTGTGAACCGAGAATCTGTTGTATAGTTTCAGTTGATCCTAGTCAAACAGAAGATTATTATCAGTGAATACAGAAACCATGCTGCCACTCCTATTTGGAATGTGCAGGGTATTCTTTCTAACTTCATCACTGGGATTATTACACGGTAAACTCTCTATCATTATAAAAGGTTTTTGAGTATCTCATATACAAGTACTGTGCCAACAGCCAAATTATAATAGCCAAAAACACTGTGAAGACTCAGCTGCTGGTTCCAGCTGAAATTTGTCAACATTCTTGGAATTCTATCTTTATCTGCCTAATTCAGTGACTAAAGGAATTAGGGGGACTACCACAGAAAGAGCTAAGTAATTAAATAACTTTACACAGTCAAGATGATTTCCATTTGAACCAAGCTTTTTATTGTTGTTGTTATTCCTTCCTAACTCCTCTTTTCACCCCATCTGTATATTTGCACAGAGCAGCTTAACAAAGCAAATTGCAGAAAATGAGTCTGGCAACAATATAGGAAGAACGGAATTAGAGGAAAATGGATAGTGACTAAAGTAATTGTGCATATGGCTTTAAAAAAAGGACAAGGTCAAATGAAATACCTTACATTTATCATTATATGAAACCAGGAGACAAATGGGGACTCAACAGGCAGGAAATTAGACATGGGATTCACATATTGTTCATGTGACTTTCATACTTGAGTCTCAGCTCATCGTCATGAAAGTCACCTTTCTGCTTCTCCTGGAATTCTAGCTCTTATGACATTTTTGCTGAGCTACCCCTCTAGTCATTTATTCATTCATCCTAATAGTCTATGGCAGTACAGAGGCCACATCACAAGGCACAGTCTTTCTGCTTCTGTAAATGAGTTCAACCACTTCAAAAGCCGCTCCCTTTGTTCCTTGATTTCTTTTTTGAGCTCCTAGCAACCACCATTGTGTCAGATTCTAAATTTAGATGCATTTCATACATCTCTCTGAATCTCTAAATTATACTCCATCAATGCACAGCTGAGATTAAACCGTGGGCTCTTCAGTCAGGGTAGAGCTAACTACTGTACACATTTCTTTATGCATGGAAGCCTTACTAAAGTAGATGCATAGAAAGAAAAGGCAAAGCTGAGATCTGTTACAAATGGTGGAGCTACTAAGCTCAGTCATTTGTTACTTTTGGAATATCCCTCTTTCTCCTCTCTGTCATTATGAATTCCTCACAGTAAATTCTATAAATTCCATACTTAATTTCTCAGGACTTCCAATGCAAATAATAATTTCTAGTTAGATTGGTTCATGCAACCTGGTAATTTAAGTCAGGTGAGGTCTCTTCGTAAAAAGTTTAGAAGGAGGCAATTGGTCTACACAGGATTTTTGAAGAAATATTCCTCAACATTTAGACCTGTAAAAGGATGACGGCAGTTTTTGATAGACTTTACCTCCCTTGCGTGGGCTTTCACAGCCCCCTAGAAGGAGAGAGGCTGGGAAGCACTGCGACGCTGAATTGAAAACCTGAAGGCATTGGTATGTTACATGCCAACAAAAGTGTAAAAGACAGGAAGTGTGCTGGGTGTGCTGCTGTATGCCAGCTGAACTCTGAAAACGTCTACACCAATGGTATTCTTTATTGTCTCAACTTTCCTTTCAAGACTCATATTTAAGAAATTGTTACCGGCGGGGTGGGGGTCCTTGCTCCCAGAGCTCCCAAGATGGTGGCGGCCACTTCCAAGATGGTGTCGGGCCACTTCCAAGATGGTGGCAAGCCTCCTGTTCTCTGACCTGGGGTTCTTGGCCCCACGGATTCCAAGGAATGGAATCTTGGGCCATGCGGTGAGTGTTACTGCTCTATTAGAAACCGTGGGTCACAGAATAGAATAGTGGAACCCAGTGACTAGTGTTCAGCTTGATTAGGACGAACCCAGGCACTTAGCTGTGCAGGAACAATGGCAAGCCTTTAGCCCGATCGGTAGTGGCAATGGGCGCCTTGCTTGATCAGAAGCACAGCGGACACCCTGCTGGATCTGGAGGGATGGGAGTTAGCGGTGGGTCTGCCACGGCAACAAACAACAGTGGTGGATGGTGAGCGAAAGCTCAGCTTGAGCCGTAACAAACACGGACCAGAAGAGTGCAGTTGCAAGATTTAATAGAGTGAAATAGAGTGAAAACAGAGCTCCCATACAAAGGGAGGGGACACAAAGAGGGTAGCCATTGCTGGCTCGAATGCCTGGGTTTATATCCTGATCATTGTCCCTCCTGCTGTGCTCTCAGGCAATAGATGATTGGCTATTTCTTTACCTCCTGTTTTTGCCTAATTAGCATTTTAGTGAGCTCTCTTTACTCCCTGATTGGTCAGGTGTGAGCTAAGTTGCAAACCCCGTGTTTAAAGGTGGATGTGGTCATCTTCCCAGCTAGGCTTAGGGATTCATAGTCGGCCTAGGAAATCCAGCTAGTCCTGTCTCTCAAAATGATTGTGCATCCTTCATCTTCTTAATTCCAGATAAATTATGATAATCTAAAATGTCTGCAAGATGAGAGTTTCTCCTATTTTTAAAGATATTCAAGGAATAAATTCTTAGGCCTTTAATAAGAACTAATTTCAGTGTTTCTACATTCAGAGAAATGAGAAACTCACACATAATTTCTTGGATCATCTAATTTGAGCAGCTAATTATGAACCAGAGGTTAAGAATAAATTTTCTGGAAACCTGGCAGCAAAGCCTTTAGAAAACAGCAATGATAACAACAAAATTCCTCCTTCACATTGTTGCAAGTTTTCTTGTTCTTGTTAGTTGCTCTGCAGATTCATAATGTGTAGCAAATACCGAACACTCTGTAAAGATGTACTCACTAAAGAAATTATGAAATAAATGCACATTAAACAGTAAGGGAACCAGGAGCAAATTTATGAACATACAGGCAGTCCCTGCTTCACTTCCTATCTCTTAACCTCTTAAGGCTCAGATGAGGCTTCCTTCTAGGCCAGCATCAAGTCCAGTGACTGCTTACACCTCTCATATTACATCTGAAGGTGTTTATTCTCAATCTAATAGCCAAAATATTTTCATTTTTTCCACACTTGACATATATTTATTGAGTTTATGTTATGTGTGTATGCTTTCCTAGGGTCTTGGGATAAAGAAAAATTATGCCCATAAGCACTGCATGATCTAAGCAGATGTTGAATGTGAAGAAATATAGTAATTGCAATAAAACTAATAACATAAGGCTTTTGGCATTACTGAGTTTATCGTTCATTGTTTTGGCTATTTGAAAGTGTTTCCTAAGCTCATGTCATGAAAACAGTCACTTCTTTTGAGGCACTGATGTGATCATTAGTGTTGTGATCCTGGCACGGTTAGGCTCATCAGGTCTTAACTGTAACCGGCTCCATTTGATGTCTTCATCTCATCAAAGCTTTGCTTATTAGGGTATGATCATGAGTCTCTATGCATACAAGAACTCTTTGGAATTGTAATCTTTGAAAATTCAGGTTGGTGGGGGCTCTTTTTCAAGAGCCTGTATTAGGTATCTCAGTTGAACTAATGACAGAAAAATCAACTGTGTCAGGGAAGCCTGGGCAAGCTTCACAGAAGGGAAGATAGTTAACCTTCATCTCCAATGATCAGTGGGAACTTCCTAAGTACTGAATCGGGGAGGGATACTTCAGGTTCTAGAAAACTAGCACAGGCAGAGACATGGAAGCATAACAACTTCCAATGGATGGCATATTTGTGACTCACTATGGCTGAAGCATAGAAAATATGTAGGACATGTTTCTGGAATATGAACTCTATGTGATAGGTTGAGAAGAGCCCATGCTGAATTTGAAATTCAGAAAAAACAGAATTAGATTGCTTTTAATGTTAGTTGGGTCAAAAATTATGTGAAAGAATGCTTTTTATATTCTGTTTTTGAGGAATTCTGTTTTGTTTTGGATTAACTCAGAAGCTGATCCTAAAGCAAAAATTTGAGTAAAAGGCAGTAAAAGCAGACTTTTATTTTAAAAATATTATATCATTAATTATTTTTTATATTTTAGATGATCCCAGAATACCACTTATAGATCCCAGGCCAGTGAAACAGTGAAACAAGGCAGCTGAGTTTGTTATCATGCTAGTTACTCCTTTAAGTACATGCAGACAAATTCCACTGGGGAATTCTGAGAGTCAGTATAAAATTAACGTTTAAGAGTTCTCCCCAGAGCATGCGGAATTCTGGCTTCCTGAGCAGATGACAAAGTGGGCTGAGATGGCTGGAATAAACTCTGCAAAAACTAAATGTGAGTCCTGGCAGGTGGATATCACTGCAGTGGTAGGGCAGAAGGGTCTAGGGCAGGGTAGCAATGTCATCTACTGTAGGGAGGATTCCAAGGATATGCTGACAGGGGAAAAATGCTGCTTATGTTTTTACAAACCTGTCACCACAACTAGAAAACTATTTTAAGACATATATGGGAAGTTCATTGGCTTTGAATTTTATATTCCTCTACACATTCCTCTACATTGTTGATCTCTTACTATTTTTGATAAATTTTTCACTTATTTTCATTTTATTTGATTGTCATATAACCTCTGGACATATGTAAGGCCGATGGAATCATTTTTGTGTTACAGATGAAGAAATTGATTTCAGAGGAATTAAACACTTAAATGGCTTATATGACTGTAGTTAAAACTAAGTTCTGATTCCTACTGCTGCAAAAGAACATTTAGCTTGTCTAGGTCACACTCAGTGGTGATTCATTTAAAAAATTAAAATTTTATTGCAATTTAGAAACAATCCAAATATTATTTGCCAGTTATTTTTCTACCAAGTAGAAAGATACTATACAGGGAATTGTATCCTTTGACCAGGGATGTAAAAAGATGTGGGCCATAAATGCTCTCTACAGAGAGCAGACATGAAGACTTGAGTTGCAAAAGTTGAATTATGATGGTTAGGGACTCTGGCTTGAGAGAGGAGTCATGTTATAGTAGAGAAAGGTGAGTATTATGGCAGGTGGAGTTGAGTTTCAATTGGTACTTCATGAGTTGCAGAGTTACAAAGTAGATTGGGGGAGATTGCAACTAGGTTATGAGAAACATTGAACAGATGGGCTTATATGACCATGGGTCAAAAACAGGTATGCAAACTGGAACAAAAAAACCCATTGCAAAGATGAGATTGGTGATCAAAGATCTGTAGTGTGACAAATAAATCAAAATATACCAAAAATGCATGACAAATTAGAAGGCTAGTCATTAGATAATTAGTCTTGGCAGCAGGAAATGGGATTACATTGTAGGAAGAATCAGTCCTGGGCAGTAGTATCATCATCTGCTGTTAACAGAATTTTATATTTTAATGCTTTATCACCTTTGGGAAGCTCCTTACAAGTCTTCCTGCTTCAGCAAGAACGAATTCTATGGAATGGCATTTGGGAAGAAAATGGCATAAAATGATATGAAAATTTTTATGTATTTTGTTTCATTGAAAATATGTCATATAGAAAAGGAATAGACTTCAAAAATTACTGCCAGTTGCAAACATGCATTACATTTTTAATGAGAGAGAAGATGTTACCAATGCATTTCAAATCCATTATGAGCAAGAAGACATTCAGGGCAGACCTGAGCTCCAGTGAGTGGCTTTTATCTGTAACACTCACAGACACTACAAGTCTTGTGAGGCGAGCATTCTAAGGCAGTTGTTACAAAGTTCGTCTGTCCATTCTGAACACCATAAAAGTACTGGCTGCCGCACACTTTTGACTCACTTCAGCTCAGATGGCATTCTAATTTTTTTAATCACTGGAAGAGAAATCTTTAGCTTAGGACTTAAAAAAGATAATAAAAGGATTACTTGAAAATTACTTAGACTATAAAATGAATTATTCATAGTTCATATAACAGCTTAAACATGAATAAACAATACATTATAATGAATATGCAAGTTGATTCCGATGCTAACCTACAATCTGTCTTTACCATGGAATTGGTGGAAGCTTTAGGTAGTTTGTGGTAAATATTCATCTCCTTTTTGGTCTAGTTTGACTGTCAACTCCTGCTTCCTTTTGCCTGATTCTTGGCTATTCACTAATTCTTTTTCTGTCCCTCACACATTCTGTGCCATCCTTGTTAGAATATTCATGCCATTCTTAATCTAAGTTTTCTAAAAAATTGCAGAGAACTATTGGTAATTACTGTCTGCAATTGATGAAAGATCAACATTAGCTATCCTGTCCATCTCTACACCTGTCTTCCTTGTCTCTCTTTTGCTTCAGTCAGCTTCATTGCTCTCTTTCTTCCTTCACTTGTCCTCTCCTCTGCTAATGGTGTTGGTGAGTGCTGAGAGGCCTGAGAGGTACACAGAAGAACAGGTTCCATGTATTTTTGAGCTGCTAGTATCTTTCCTTTTGACTGTATATCTTTCAGGATTATTTCATCTCCTTGTATAGCCTCTGAAAAATGTATTCAATATGCAAGTATAAAACATAAATCTTTATATGTGCATTACAAAAATCTGTGTGTCTCCCCCAGCTGCATAGCTTTTTGGGAAAAGAGATTAATGCCTAAGTTTTGGTACACTAGTAGTGTTTCTCTGATTTGATAGAATCTAAAAATTTCCCTCCATTGCCCATATACATTGTTTTACCTAAGGAATAACTTAAAAATTAGCACCATTCCCCCAAACCCTCACCCCACTTAGCTCAGGATTCTATTATTTGACCCAATTTATGTAGATCTCTAGGTTTTCATGGTCTGAACATAAGTTGGAAGGCAGGGAACTCCATGTTCTGTTGATTTCCAAATTCTTTTTGGTTAATAGAGATGCCACACTTAGATACCTTATTAGGGAAAAGTTCAAGTTCAGTTTAGTTTGAAATCACCAAAGTAGTTCATCTTCAGTTAGGCCATTACTCAAAAAGACAAACCTAAATTCATAGCTAAACGAAAGATTTTGTGTTCATTACGTGTCAAATTTCAGGTTGCACCTTGATGGTACGGATCTGTCCAAACTGACACAAGGTTGCTGGATAGAATCAATGCTTTTAGAAGACTGATTCCTTGATGAAGAGGTTATAGTGTAATGGTTCCATGGCAGTATCACTGGGAAAATTTTTGCATTTGTTCAGCCACAGTGTTTAACTTTGAAGTGAACATGGATTTTTATGCTTACTTTAAGTCTTGTTTCAAGTTATAATACCAAAGAACAGATATCTCTGGATTCTAAGTTATTTGTATTTTTTCTCCACAGCCCTGGGAGTGTATCTTATGAAGTTCAGAATAAGTTAGCTTTTTCAGTAATTTCTTTCTAAGGTTGTCTCTGGCTTTTAGATTCCCTTTAGATTTACATTTCACTCTCCTTAGCCCCCAGCCCAACTTGGTATAATTCCTTCCTTTACGTTTCCTTGTCATGGACATGAGATAAAATAAATGACCTCTTCACCCTCCTTCACTTCCATTTTCTTTCTTGGCTTCTATCATTCTAATTCCACTATCTCATTCTTCTATATATTCGTGATGACAGAGTTCAAATAATGGGAAGACAGGTATTTGGCCATGTAAAGGCTCTCTTTCTTGTATTAGAAGTGCCTTTGAGGTTGACACTTCAAGTCAAAGCTCTGTAGTCTTTTGATATTGAATAACAAATTGAAAAGAGGTCAAAGGATAAAAAATCTAGTACAAATAGTGTGAATTTATGCATTTTGACGGTATCAATGCCTCGGACACATGCAAAGTGCAAGACTGAAAGGTGAAGCTCCTGGTATGGATAAGGAGGTAATTCCAGGAAATTTGACTTTCATATTGAATGCTATTAATGGAACAACTGAAAATAAAGGCTAAAGATAAGTTGTAGTAAGGAGAACAGGTAGCTGAGGGACAACCTTGAACTGGTCTCTCAAAAAGCCATCAAGTTGCTCTGATATCTTTCAGAGGTTGTCTCAGAAAATGTCTATCAGATGAAAAAATTGTACTGTACTGTCTTAAAGTTTTTAAAAATATTTTTAACATTTATATTCAAGTATCAGATTCAACTTGAGTCATTCTATCCTATGACACCTTTCTAATAATTTAACCTATTGTATCTTGGTCTATCTGTATCTGAAAAGATTTATTCAAAATGAAGCCAGTGGAAGTTCAGTCATAAATTATTCCCAGTGGGGTCAAACAAAATCATAGTTTATCTAATAATATAGAACAGCAGTAATTTATATGTCTGAATCTTAGGGTTTCAGATTGGTTCAACTCTCAGTTATTCTGAAGTTAAGTCTTTCTGTATTGAAAATTTCAGAAGAGTGAAAGCACTTAAAAATTTTTGGATTCTGAAGCTTAAAGCCAATAAAGTAAAAAAAGGTAAATAGGTATTAGGGTGGTGCAAAAGTAATTGTGATTTTTGCCATTATTTTTAATGGCCAAAACTGCAATTACTTCTGCACCAACTAAATACATTTTTGTGGAAAGGGTAATATGTGAAGGAAAAGATAAGTCTTTGACCACCTCCATACTAATTGCTTATAAAATCAAAATGTTGAAGTCATTTTTAGTAAAACCCAGATATCAGCAATGATTATTAATGTAAATCAATAAATTAATAAATCAATAATAAATTTGGAGAAACTCCCCAGTGTCTTCTGTTGTGCCTCTGATCCCCTCTCTGCTTTCCTCTACTCTGCTCTCTGCAGAGGCTGACCAGTTTAGACTCGGCAAATGACCTGCTTGGCCTCTGTCTTAGCACCAGGTTTTTGAATATGGAGCACTCAGAAGAGTTTGGGAAATGGGAGTAAAGTCAGTGTCCTTAATTTCCTAGTACCCTCTCTTCAGGGTTACCACTGGCTGACTGTTTTCCGTAAGACAAGGTAACTCTTGGCAGCCTGTACATTAAGATCTCCTTTTTTGGCTCTATTCCTCTGTCTTCAAGTTCTCATCATACTCTTCTTCCCTTTACCTCTTCAGTGTAGTAACAGAACCTCATTACTAGTCCCCAGTTAATGCCATGATAATTTTCTTACATATGGCCACACTTTTTAAGTAATGGTTTTATTAAAGTCTCCTTAAATTACCATTTGGATATGCCATCTCTTTCTTGCCAAGACCCTGAAGGATACAGCAGCTATTGGACAGATGAGGGGAAGCACTCCCAATATTTCAGCTTATTAGCTATGTACATTTAGGCAAATTATTCAACTTCTTTAAGCCTCACCTTTCTCATATGTTAATGAGGCCAATCATTCCTATTTTTGACAGACAGAATCATTGACCCTCAAAGATATCTACCTGTAATCCCCCAAATCTGTGAATTGTTATATTCCATGGCAAGGGTGAATTAAGACTGAAGTTGGGACTAAGGATGCCAGTCGACTGACTTTAAGTAAAGGGATTATCCTGGATTACCCAGGTGGGCCCAGTGCAATCACAAGGTACTTAAATGTGGGCAAGGGAGGCAGAAGAGTTAGTGTCAACGTTATGCATATGCAATGTGAGAAAGACTTGACTTACCTTTCCTGGCTTTGAGGATGGAGGAAGGGGCCATAAGCTAAGAAATGCAGGCCACAAGGAAATGCAGGCCACAAGGAAATGCATTCTCTTTCACAGCCTCCAAATGGAAAACAGCCTTGCCGAAACTTTCATTTTAGCCCATTGAGACTCATTTTGGACTTGTGACCCCTGGAACTGTAAGATAATTTTTGTTGGTTTAAACCACCAAATTTCTGGTAATTTGTTACTTCAGCAATGAAAAACTAGTACACTATTTTACTGACTTGTTTTGAGAATTGGATGAAATAATGTAAGTGCTCAAGTTTCAGAACATGAACACTGGAGTTATATAGATATAGCTATGTGTTTTGAGCCTCTGTATGTCAAAAAGTAACTGTTACCTTAATGTTTATGATATTAGTTTTCATACAATCAGTAGTATTTGTTTGAGAACTAAACTTGTTCTAAAATGGATTTTTCTTTCTATGAATGTTTTAACAGGGAATGCCTTGTTTAGTTTTGACAAGTTTTCTCTATGCTAGCTGTTTTTAGACTCAGAAATATCCCCCTTATGGTGGAGTTGGCAACAGTCAAAGACAGACAAAGGCTGTTGGATGTGTACACTTGTGATAACTGCCACACTTCAAAGTGTTTGCATAGGACCATGTTTATTCAAATGGACTCTTTAATTGCCAAGCAATGAATATAGAATGGAGGACCCATTTTAATTTATGGCCATAGATGGATTTTAACTCAGGGTTTGTGTTTATAAATGTACATTTCTTCCACAGTAAGCAGGATATGCAGACATGTAGGAGGTCTAACCGGCTGCTGAAAACTTGGACCCTCAGGGCCTGACTACAGAGGCTGGATGGACTTGCCTACTGTGTGCAGGTCCAACTCCTGCTTGGCTTACTGCACTGAAGTCACTATCTTTTGGGCTGACATCCAATTTTGGCATCATTTATCTACATGAACAGGTGCTCCCATAAAATGAGCTGCATAAAAAGCAAATGCTATGGCAGAGCTCTATGATTTCTCACTTGTTTGTATACAGGATATGTTTGGAGGCAGGCAAGGTTTCTCCACAGGCTTAAGAAGGTGAACAGAGAAAATACAGAAACCAACTTATTCCAGTGCAAAATAACTTAAAAATCTAGAAGGTTTTATTTCAAATAACTTCTTAAAAACACACAAATTCCCCTAATCCTTTAATATGATTTATGTTACATTTCATGGTATCAGGTTGGGTTAGCATGTATTTAATATTTAGCACAGTGTTAGAATAAAAGGGCAATGGATGGAATGTATTCAGAAGTGATTAGGGTGGGGCAAACAGGGTGGAGTGAAGGCTGGAGCAAGGAATTAAGGTTTGTCAAAATGGAAAACAACATATTTAATTCCAATCAAATGTTTCTGGAGCTCTGACATTTGCCAAAGTATTGGGGTGACTACTGAATAAATAAATCTCTGGAAAAAGTTCAGGAGATAGTCGTAAACATTTAAGAAGAAATAAAATCATAGTTTACCTAATTATATAAAACAGTAATTTATATGTCTGAATCTTAGGACTTCAGATTGGTTCAACTCTTAGTTATTCTGAAATTAAGAAGTCTTTCTGTATTGCAAATTTCAGAAGAATGAAAGCACTTTCAAATTTTTTTCTTAGAAATCTCTTACGAATTTCTGAGGCCTAAATGACCCTAGTAGAATAGAGGATCTGTCTAATGTGAATAAATGCTCATTTTTCAAGACATATCTTGTTCATCTCAGTGTACCAACTCAAAAGGCTAGCTCTCCTTAAATTCTAAGAGGACAATGCAGTGTGTTATAGGCAAGGGACAGTTAGAAAATAAATATAATATCCTTATATTATCACCTCCTCACTGTTAATTATCACAAAATTGAAATATCATCCCTTAGGGGAAAAACAAAATGAGAAAGAACTGCTAGTTTATTTTAAAATAAATGTCCAAATTTTAATATTTAAAGTTGTGTAATTTTTAGATAAGGAAAAAATGTAAAATGAAACATTAAAAAAAAGAACATATGTATCTCCACTTACATCATTCACATAAACAAAATGTCATTGTGTTGGCAACTATATGCTCTAAATGTGGCTTCAATTTGAATTTTACAGGAGTTTTGATGTTTTACATGATGTACCATGTGGTTGGAATCTACTTTTTATGTACTAGATTTAAAGAAGCTGATGCTTTTTTAAAAATTTTTTTGGTGTATAGATGGAATATCCAGCATTAATTCCCCACCTCCCAGAATTATTTATGGCAATTAGGATGATACATTAAAAAACAGTAAGTCTTTGCTTAATGTTTTCAATCAGTTCTTGGAAACTGTGACTTTAAGCAAAATGACATATAAGAAAACCAATTTTACCAGAGGTTAATTGATATAACAAGAGTTAAGTTTGTAAAGCACATTTCTGGTTTACAAAAAAAAAAGAGATCACCAAATTTCTAAACAAAACCAAAACACTTCTAATATTAAACATTGAAATAAATGTGACCTATACATGCCTTTAAGAAAGACTAATAAAAAATGATAATTCTTTACCCAGTTGCTTGTGAATCAGTGAGTAATGGTGGTTGTAGCAGTAGTAGGTTAAATCAGGGGTAAACGTTTACAAAGCGAAAATTGCAAGGCATGCTTCTTACAATAATGTAATTCAAAAACAACAACAAATGTGTAATTCAAAAACAACAACAAATGTGGTGGGCTCCCTGATCCCTAGTGTACTGCACTATTTATTGTCTTGTATTTGTATGATCATTGTATACTTCATGGATTTTTATTTTATGGTAATTTGTACTCATTCATTCATTCTTTTCCAGTCCACTTATTCCAGTTCAGTGTTGAAGATGGCTGGAGCCCATCCCAGTAGCTCAGGGCAGAAGGCAGGAACCAACCCTGGGTAAGATGTCATGTCATTGCAGAGCTCACTCACACACATCCACTGATATAATTTGGGTCTGTGTCTCTGCCCACATTTCATGTCAAATTATAACCCCAGTGTTGAAGGTTGGACCTGGTGGGAAGTAATTGGATCATGTGGGTTGATTTCCTCTTGGGTGCTGTTCTCCTGATAGTGAGTGAGGTCTCATGAGTTCTGGTTGTTTAAAAGTGTGTAGCACCTCCCACCTTGCTCTCCTTCTCCTGCTCTGTCCATGTAAGATGTGCCTGCTTCCCCTTCAACTTCTGCCATGACTGTAGGTTTCCTGAGGCCTCCCCAACCATGCTTATTGTGCAGCCTGTAGAACCATGAGCCAATTAAACTTCTTTTCTTTATAAATTACCATTCTCAGGTAGTTCTTTATAATAGTGCGAGAATGTATTAATACAGAAAATTGGTACCGGGGAAGTTGGGCATTGCTATTAGAGGTACTGAGAGGTACTTAGAGAAAGAAGAAATAAAAACTAAAAGAGAAAACAAGTTTTCCTGTATTAGGCTGTGTCATCCCAAAAAGCAGTGACAGACACAGCCCAGGCCCAGGCAAGGTCCTGATAACACTATCTAAAAAGTCAGAACCCAAAAGGAATGTTCTCTTGAGACTCTCCCAGCACTCCCCAACATAAGGATAAGAAAAACAAAATTCCTCTTTTAGCCCTTTACCCACTCCCCATAAATATTTTGCAAGTTTTGTAAGTTCCGGTTTCTCCTTCAATGCAGCTGCAAGGTCACAAGCTATGCTGGATATTACGAGACCTGTCACTATTTAATTAACTGTCCTTGTTCTGCTTCTGTAAGCTTGCTTATGAAAATCAAGCCCTTTCTTTGTTCTAGGCTCAGCTTTTTGGATATGAATCCACTGAGCCATTGTACACTTTAATAAAAATCCTCCTGTAATACCCATTTGGTCTTTCCGGTCCTCTAATTACCGCAACAGTACAGGAAAATGTGGAAGCAGCTTTGGAACTGGGTAATGGGTGGAGGTTGGAACGGTTTGGAGGGCTCAGAAGAAGACAGAAAGAGGAGAGAAAGCTTGGAACTCCCTCGAGACTTGTTAAATGGTTGTGACGAAAATGCTGATAGTGATATTGAAAGTGAAGGCTAGGCTGAGGAGGTCTCAAATGGAAATGAGGAACTTATTGGGAACTGGAATAAAGTTCACTCTTGCTTGCTATGCTTTAGTAAAGAGACTGGTGGCATTATGTCCCTGTTCTAATGATATATGGGACTTTGAACTTGAGTTTGATGATTTAGGGTATCCGGTCAAAGAAATTTCTAAGCATAAAAGCATTAAAGATGTGGCTTGGCTGCTTCTAAAAGACTATTCTCATATGCATACACAGAGAAATGATCTGAAACTTGAACTTATATTTAAAAGGGAAACAGAACATAAAAGTTTGGAAAATTTGCAGCCAGGTTATGTGGTAGAAAAGAAAACCCATTTTCAAAGGAGGAAGTGAAGCAGGTGGCAGAAATTTGCATAACTAAAAGAAATGCAAGTACTAATAACCAAGACAATAGGAAAAAGGCCTCAGAGCCATTTCAGAAACCTCCACAGCAGCCCCTCCCATAACGTGCCTAGAGGCATAGGAGGGCAGAATGGTTTTATGGGCCAGACCCAGGGCCTGACCCTGGGCCCTACTGTAGTATGAAACCTCAGGACGTGGTACCCTGCATCACAGTTGTTCCAGCTCCAGCCATGGCTAAAAGGGGTCCAGGTACAGCTCCAGCCATTGCTTCAAAGATTGCAAACCATAAGTGTTGGTAGCTTCTAGGCAGTGTTAAGCCTATGGGTGCACAGTGTGCAAAAGTTGAGGTTTGGGAGCCTCCACCTAGATTTTAGAAGATGTACAGAAAAGCCTGGATGTCCAGGCAGAATCCTGCTGCAGGGGTGAAGCACTCAGGAGGAACCTCTACTAAGGCAATGCAGAGGGGAAATGTGGGTTTGGAGTTCCCACACAGAGTCACCAATGGGGCATTGCCTAGTAGAGCTGTGAGAAGAAAGCCACTGTCCTCCAGACCCCAGAATGGTAGATCCAACAACAGTTTGCACTGTGCACCTGGAAAAGTTGCAGGTAGTCAGCACCAGCCTGTAAAATCAGCCATTGGGGTTGTACCCTACAAAGCCTCAGGGAGAAGAGCTGCCCAAGTCTTTGGGAGCCCACCCCTTCGGCCAGTCTGCCCTGGATGTGAGACATGGAGTCAAGGACATTATTTTGGAGCTTTAATATTTAATAACTGCCCTGATGGGTTACATATTTACACAGGGCCTACAGCCCTCTGGTTTTGGTCAATTTCTCCCTTTTGGAAAGGGAGTATTTACCCAATGCCTATACCCCATTGTATCAGGGAAGTAACTAACTTGCTTTTGATTTTACAAGCTCATGGGTGGAAGTGACTAGGCTTGTCTCAGATGAAACCTTGGACTTTTGAGTTAATGTTGGAATGAGTTAAGACTTTAGGGGACTTTTGGGAAGGCATGATTGTATTTTGAAATGTGAGAAGGACATGAAATTTGGGAGGGGCCAGAGGAAATTGATATGGTTTTGGTCTGTGTCACTGCCCAAATCTCATGTCAAATTGCAGTCCCCAGTGTTGGAGGTGGAGCCTGGTGGGAAGGGATTAGATCATGGGGATGGATTTCTCCTTTGGTGCTGTCTTTGTGATAGTGAGTTCTCATGAGATCTGCTTGTTTAAGAGTGTGTAGCACCCCCCACCCTCTTCACTCTCTTCCTTCCACTCTGGCTGTGAAAGATGTGACTGCTTCCTCTTCACCTTCTGCTATGATTATAAGTTTCCTGAAGCATCTCTAGCAATGCTTCCAGTACAGCCTGGGGAACCATGAGCCAATTAAACTTCTTTTCTTTATAAATTACCCAGTCTCAGGTAATTTTTTATAGCAGTGCAAGAACAGAATAATACATACATACTCACACATACAGGGACCATTTAAGCATGCCCATTTGCCTAACATGCACAGGTTTGGGATGTGTGAGGAAACCAGAGAAAACCCATGCAGACGTGGCAAGAATGTGCAAACTCCACACAGACAGTTTTTTATGAGAGTGAGTTTTTTTTTTTTGAGTTTTTTTTTTTTCATCATCAATGGTATAAGGAAATGACATTGAACAAAACAGTGTTATTTGAGGACCTGTTGTACTTCAAATCTTTTCTTGCTCCAATATTTTTATCTCCAACTACTGTTACACATCCCTACAATTCATCCTTTTCTTAAAGGATTATTAGTGAAGTCTACCAGAACTAATATTGATTCCTATTTAAAGTAAATAAAAGTTTAAAGTTGCCATATACAGCACAGCTAAAAGTTAATTTACAATAGAATGATTTTTTGACCAAAAGCAAAACAGTTATTTGTACAGTGTTAAATACCTTATATTAGTAGTTAAATACTCTTAGAATGAGGGTAAATAAATGTACATCCAGAAGCCTGTAGTCACAGGAATGAAACTTCTCATTCTATTATCTTCTAATTTTAGTATTTAAGTCTTATGATGTCACATACAGTCTGTTAAATCAACCTTAACTGGAAGGACATTGTATTTTATACTTTATAATAATGCACTTATAAAATGTTTTATGAAAATATGTTATGGGGCTGGGCACGGTGGCTCATGCCTGTAATTCCAGCACCTTGGGAGGCCAAGGTGGGTGGATCACCTGAGGTTAGGAGTTCGAGATCAGCCTGACCAACATAGTGCAACATTGTCTCTGCTAAAAATACAAAAATTAGCTGGGCATGGTGACGGGCGCCTGTAATCTGAGCTAGTCAAGAGGCTGAGGCAGGAGAATCTCTTGAACCCGGGAGGTGGAGGTTGCAGTGAGCCGAGATTACACCACTGCACTCCAGCCTGGGTAACAGAGTGAGACTCCATCTGAAATATGTATCTCTATATCTATATCTATAGCTATATCACATATATATGTGAAGGGCAGAGAGAGATGAGGGGAAAAGATGAGCTATTGTTTAATATCTTTTGTTTGAAAAAATAGATTTTTCTATAAAAATTTCCCCTAGATAGAAGCCTAGTCCCATTCTCCCTGTGAATTCTTCCTGATATTTTATATGTCCTTTTAATTTGAGGAAAAACTGGCATGTCTGGTGTTTATGTTCATGTGTCTGAGCAAAAAGCTCAGTTAGTGGCCACATGTGTGTACATACTAAAAATGATTTAATATGCTTAGATGAGTTGTTACATAGTTCATTGAGAAAATTCATCACCGGAAACAGAAAAGTGATATAGTTAGTGAACATCTTTTCATCTCTTTGTGTGGATTAAAATAGCAGTGAGATTACTTTGGAGATCTTTCTCTGGTATAATACTATCATAATGTGGACATAGAACTGAAACTTTATGGTTTATATAGTTTGTATTTCTAACTACATTTGCTTCTTTTTCTTGCAGTACTTCCATGGGCACATGAAAATGATTAAAATTCTGATTATTAATATGAACTAACAAAAAAGAACATCTTCTAAATTAAAATTCAGTGAGAAATTGAATCCCATCACAGTACTCATTTATATTCAAAGAATGCTAATAATCTTCAGTCTTTGTGCATAAGATCAAAAATTCAATCAGTAAATAACCGTAACAACAGAATCCAAAATTGAAAAAGCATAATAGATTTTTTCAAGATACCCACTTGCTGCTATTGATCAAAACTTGATCTAGGTTTATATACTATTAACATGTTGTGTATGGGATTTCACAGATTTATCAATGTAAATGTATCATTAGCAAATGTTTTGGTAATGTTTTCTGTTAGCTGTCTGTCACTCTTAGTTGAAACAGGAGCAAACACAGCCACTGTCTTTCTTTGTGGCAATAATTTCGCTCCAAAGAATTAGCAGCTTTAGGCAAGGAGGTGATTCATATCTTTGTTTATTTGCCAGACAAATGCGACTCATTTGCTAACTTGAAGCACATAGGTACTTCCTACCCTGCTGCTTTCTTAGAGGCAGCTTCATTGCCATCCATATTCATAATATTTGTTTCAAGTTTGGGGTTTTAAGGCATTATTTCAGATATAAAAGTGTCAAAAATATAATGATGCCAGAAAATATTACTTTTACAAGTTTTTGCAATGGATATAAAAGACTATATGGAAAAATACTGATTTGTATTTCTTTTCCTTATCCCTTCTGAATTCAGGGGCTCAGTGTTAAGGGAGTTAGTGGGTTAGGGACCAAACCAGACTTGCGACAATATCTGGAGTGTGTGAAGCCAGAGAGAAAGGATCTTCAATCTGCTGTGAGGTCTTCTACAAAACACAGAGAAAAAGCAGTACCATCTTCCTCTTCCTGTGCAATTAAATCTTGCTGCTGTTCCCTGGAATACACTATACAAACATTTCCAGATTAGATACAGCATGTTTCAGCTTGAAACCTACCATTTGAGAGTCTGTCCTCATATTTGGTGCCGCCCCTCCCCCTCTGCCCATGGTTCCTGTATCTTTCCTGAAAGGCCCATACGCAGTTCTCTCCCTTAGACTTCAGTGTCGGCTGCTTGGAAAGATGACTACTGATATCTTTAGCTGTTATGGCTCTGCAAAGTGAATTGCAAATATACACATAACCCACAATGTATATAAGTCACATTGTCCCAGACATAATTCCCACATTTGGTTAAAATTCCTCCACCATTTTCACGTGATAATTGATATAATAGATTTGTATACATGATTATCTTTATCACATAAAAAATTGATGGGCTTCCTTAAAAAAACATAAACCAGTTAGAAACAGTTCAGCTCCTATGTATCCTTGTCTGGAAAGAGCCTCACCCCAAAGCTGGGAGGGTGAAGTGTCAGACCCAACCTTATCACTAGTACCCTGTATGTAGCACCAGCTGGATCTCAATTTCCTTTCTTTCAAATGGAAAAGTTGGCTCAGATGTTTTGTTAGGCCCCTCAGTCCAGCTCCAGTACAATTTTTGTCGAGGATTTGGTCAAGGGAATTCATGCTTCCAGTAGTTTATTTAAGATTAAACAAAACAAAACAAACCTTGTATGGCCTTAACATGAGATTATATGTCCTGAACATGGATGGGTTTTGCTTTAAGTATTTTTTATTTTTTATTTCTGAAGTATGGATAATATAAAATATTCATAATAACTATATTCCATTTTCAGATTATTGAATAGCTTTGATATAATCATATATGTGTTGTTATGAACATTTATCAGGTGTTGGAAACCAACAGTAAGTTGTAATGGAAAAAAATTCCAGTCAGCTTGAAACAAGAAGTGGCACCATTTCAATAAATAAATGCATTCATGAAATATATGTACCTAAATACATTGTTTGGTGGTGAGTTGTGGAAGACATGAAGGAGGAAGTGGCTAGAAATAAAGTTCTGAAACGACCAACTGTGCCTACTTCTGTTCCAATTCATAGTCAAGAGAATGAAAGGATTTGAGCCTAAGGAAACCCAATGAGGGTAAATAGAGCTCTAATTTGTATTTGGAAGAGGCCAGTTATGAAGTCTGGGGATTTTCAAGAGGCACATGAGTGAATCTTATAATATTGGTAGGATTCTTTATTTTATTTGATTTTACTTTATTTTTCCGTAAGTTGTTGGGGTACAGGTGGTATTTGGTTACATGAGTAAGTTATTTAGTGGTGATTCGTGAGATCCTCGATAGGATTCTTTTCTCCTTTCTTTGGATTACTGGAAGCCCCTGTTAGTCTTGAATTGGGATTTGCCTCCTATACCCAAATTCTCAAATGCTGCAAGTGATGGTTGAACAATAGCCATATGAGTGCTAGCTAGTAGAGTGATAATGTTAGTCACCATAGTTATTTTCATCTTAAATGGATCCTGGAAAAAAATACCGGATGAAAGAATGTTAGTGTCTAGTTTTCTTATAATTCATACTTATAAAGTAGCAAGTGAAAGAAAATATTGCTTAAGGTCTATGCTATTAAAGTTCACCTTTTTGCCTCTATATGGGAAATCATGCATTACATACACTGTGCATAAGCATACTAAAGCTTTACTTAGGTCTTAGGTTAGGATTATATTGGTTTTGGCCAGAAGCCTAAGCAAAACTTTTAGAACAAAGGGAAAAATCTATTTTGAACTTTAGGATAAATTGTAAATTCAAGGCAGATTAGACTAATAGTGAGTTTATGTATATGAAAGTCTATAATACTTTACCACACATTTCATTAAATAAATACATTTTTATTATCAAAAATAACTATTCTGGAAACAGTTTGGGAAAGGCATAATTATGGATGTGTAAGTTTTAAA
Organism: Homo sapiens; assembly: GCF_000001405.40. Taxonomy (NCBI): domain Eukaryota; kingdom Metazoa; phylum Chordata; class Mammalia; order Primates; family Hominidae; genus Homo; species Homo sapiens. Next base: position 48,729,075 of record NC_000014.9, on the reverse strand, counting down.
AAGTTTGCAATTTTCCTAGAATTATTATTGATAAATGCTAGCTAAAATCACCTCCTAGGAAACATGAGATTGGTGTTTTTGTTTTGTTTTTTGTTTGTTTTTTTTTTTTGAGAGGGAGTCTTGCTCTGCTGCCCGGGCTGGAGTGCAATGGCGCTATCTTGGCTCACTGCAAACTCTGCCTCCTGGGTTCAAGCAATTATCCTGCCTCAGCCTCCCGAGTAGCTGGGATTACAGGCACCCACCACCACGCCTAGCTAATTTTTTGTATTTTTAGTAGAGACAGGGTTTCTCTATGTTGGCCAGGCTGTTCTTGAACCCCTGACCTCGTGTCCTTGGCCTTCCAAAGTGCTGGGATTACAGGCATGAGCCACAGCACCCGACTGAGATAGTTTTAAATAAATAGAGCAAAAACGAAAACTATGATTTGATTTTCCATAGCTCATGGGTTCTGTAAATGCAGATTCATTGGAATGAATGTCATCTGCCCCAGGCTGAAAACAAATCACTGAAAATGTGGGTCCGAACTTGGAAAAGGTAAAACTTGGTAGGTTACTGTTCAACTATGACCACTTTTAATTATTTAATATTGATGAGAAAGTTTCTTTTTTTCTAATATGTCAAGAATTTTAAACCTAAGACATGGTTATGAAGATTAATACTTTCTTTTATTTGAAATGGAATCCATATAAAGAACTTTATCGTTCCTAGAAGCTCAATCTACACAATTCACTAATTGCATATGACACAATTTTGAAAGGATTTTAGAAGATTAAGTGCATATGTATGTGATGTTTAATTCTTAAGAATATTATGGCCATTGGAAATAGAACCTAGTTGAGAGAGATTTTTTTTTTCTATCGCAGCTTAAGAGGGGAAGAAGGAAACATTTATGAGAAAAAAATATGAGGTTTCCAGTTCATTCATTCATTCAAGTGTTCATTTAAATATTAAACATCACTAAGTGTGTACTCTCCTAGCATTCTGTAGAGGGGTTTACATTGTTATAAGAGTTCCAGGACAGGATCAATCAAGTGGCTACCTTTTGGGTAAACATTTAAGTAAACTAGAATACTATTCATATGTTCCCATCCTATTTAGAATCTTAAGGTATGGAATTCCTCCAGTGTTTCCAGAATCCTTACAACATACCAGAAGCGGTGTTCAGATTGCAAAATCATGCTAAATGTGGGTTACTTAACCAAATCCCCTGGTTCCATAGAGTTTCCTTACTTATAAAATTTATTGACTAAACTGATGTAAAAGGTATATTTTATTTTCTGTTTTTTTTTTTTTAATGTAACCTAATTATTTTAACTTTGCGTTTTTTTTTTTTTTGTTTTTTGTTTTAAATGGAGTTTTGCTCTTGTCACCCGGGCTGGAGTACAATGGCACCATCTGGGCTCACTGCAACCTCCGCCTCCCGGGTTCAAGCGATTCTTCTGCCTCAGCCTGCCGAGTAGCTGGGGTTACAGACAGGTGCAACCACACCTGGCTAAATTTTTGTATTTTTAGCAGAGATGGGGTTTCATCATCTTGGCCAGGCTGGTCTCGAACTCCTGATCTCAGGTGATCCCCTCGTCTCAGCCTCCCAAAATGCTGGGATTACAGGCGTGAGCCACTGCACCTGGCCTGAGCCACCATGCTCAGCCTAAAATATTTTGAAGAAGATGTAATATTTAAAAATCAGTTTCAATTTTTAAAAAACAGAAAATTTAAAACTTAGCACGTAGTTCTTGACTACTTATCATTTTATACTGTTAAATGTCAGTTCAACCTCAGGTATTCTAACTTCCGAAAACTTACATAGAGAGATTAATGAGAACAAAAGTCATGCTCATTTCTCTTATATAATATGTATAACATGATTTTCCAGGTCAGTTATTAATTTTTGAGGGACATGTAAAAATAGACCTGGAAATATTCACTAAATCTCTGTGGTTGACTAGACAACTCATTGTAAAGAAAGAAACTGAGAAAGCTGTTAAGCATGCCTCTAACATCTGTATCATGAGGGTAAGCAAAATATTTTCATAACTTTATTTGAATTTAGTTTATAAAAGCAGGCCAGTGTTGAAAATATTTGAAATAAAGTTGTGGGTTTGAATCATTTTGGTAGAGTTGGCTTTCAAGTTTAATATTTAGCACATAATTTTCTTGATTCTCTATTATTGTTTGGGAAACATGTTTTGCTAGAACTCAATGGGAAGAAGGGCCTCTCCAGTGTTCCCATTGCTGCAGGCCCCCTTCCTGGAGTATGCACATTTTCACTTGAAGGATAGGGCTTCCTTCCCGGCTGTGTGATCTATATTAATATTAATTTGCCACTTCTCTGCAAGTATCACAAATAAATACCATAGTTAACAGTGTCTGACTCCGTGCTCCTGGGGAGAAATATCCAGGGACTTGGTAGTGCTACCATCTGGATGTACAGAGTGTATCTTTCTAAATAGCAGAAACAGAAGCATGCAGTTGCTACAATCTGTCTTCCTTGCTTGGACGCCCAAAGCAAATATTTTTTAAAGATTTAGGCAATGAGGTGCGTGTGGTGGTAGAACTACAAATAGGCAGGACTAGGACTAGGACTCTGTGTGCTGTTTTACCAAGGTCCATGAGCTTAGGGAATGAGCTAAAATATAGTCTAACCAGGGTCTAGTCATTCATGCTGCAGTTGAACAGCGAGGGATACTTAGCTGGAAGAATGCGGGAGCCATACCATCTCACATTCTCAAGAATGGAACGAACAGTGAGAAGCAGAAAGAGTCTTGCCAACTGCTAGAGGAATGTGGGTTTTTATCAAGCCAAGAAGATTATTCAGAACTTAATTTGGGTCCAAACACACATATCTAACCCCTGAGCTAAGTGTTTAGGTTTCCAAAACAAAGAGAAAACATACTGAGTCCAAGACTTGAGTAATTAAGAATTTAGGTTCAAAAAACCCCAAAAAAGGATAGTCCATCGTAAGTGAAATTCAAACAGGAGTGGATAATAGATCTGGGATTATCTCAGGTAGCAGAATCTCAATGGAACAATGCACTAGAGGCATTCTGGGGCTAAAAATCTCTAGTTGCCTTCTATTTATATTTACTTCATAAAGTCATGAGTGGGGGCTGCCCATAGCAAATTGAATATGCTGGTGGGGAACAAAAGTTGCAGACTTTGTGTCAGGTTCTGCCTAATTCCTTACCGTGGCATACATTTTTAAATTGAAAACAAGAGGTGCTTAGCTCCCATTAACATGTTCAAACCAGCTTTGTCTCCAGATCCAATCCTGACTTTACATAGAAAATAAAAGAAAATTAAGTGACTTAAGGCTTTGAATCAAGTCATCCAAGCTCCAATTTCAACCTTTATTATATTTAAAGCTCTGTATTGGACTTGTGATTTATTTGGCAAGTCTAATTCCATGTCGTCTCCGCCTTCTGGATAACTATACTTTTTCCAGTGAAAAAGCATATCTGTCTTTGTTTTTGCTCAAATCGTGTCTTTGTTTTTGCCCAACATCTTAGCCTCTTTAGGACCAGGGCCTTGCTGGCTCTCATTAATGCCTAGATTTGAGACAAAGAGGCCTGTCTCTAAAAGCCAGTGTGGTAGCCAGGAAATTGTGGACAGAGCTTAAACATCTAGGCAATGTGCTGATATAGATTTACAAGATAGCATTTGGCTTCATATATCCCATATGAGAAATATCAATGCCAGTGCATTATCTTGGTTTATATTTGGATGTTGTGTGAGGTCTAACAACCTGGAGTTTCTCCCAGCATCTGTACCAACTTCACTGACTTCACTGTTTAGTTCCACTTCATGGCTTTTCCAACTGGCTACATTCCGTTACCATGAGCCAGAGAATTCCATTTATGTAGGATATAACATTGCGTTGCCATTCTATTCATTTCCTCTTTATATAAACCTAATGATGGCTAATGTTGAAATAACTACGAAAGACCCATATCTATGTGGCATGATAATGAAATTTATTACATTGCTGTTTATACATTTTTCTCTTATTTAACACACATTTATTGGGAACTAAGTGAATGATAGATGGGGATGAAAAGGTGAATTTGGACACATTCCCTGTTTCTTAGCAATTTATCTTATTGTGGAAGAGTCTTAAAAATAATTGTGTTGCAATATGACAAGTGTTTAGAAAAGTGGTAAGTAAATGCTATGTAATTGCAAAAGGGGTTACCAGTTTCTGCTGGAGGGGATGGCACCAACAGATGTTCCCTATTTTGACATTTCTGCTCAATGCTGCTTTTGTATTCAGGATAACAAATGAATAAAAAACGAATCCTTCCATGATATTACAGATTTCTTTATATATCAAAACCTATTTATTTGGCAAGTTGTTAAAGGCATTTCATATTTTCTAAAATTCCATGCTAGGCTCTCTCTTTGCTTGCGATAGTCTGGTAATCTTCTCAGTTTTAAATATATCTTTATAAAATAGGATTTCCATGCTTTCTGATGTTTTTGAGACTACATTCAACTCTCATGTCCTCAGCTTTGATACAATCCTTGAATGAAATATTTATGGAAAACAACATAATGAACTTTTGTATATTTTAGCCACTCTGATCGATTTTGAACAATATTTTCATGACATACTGAAAGAGATTTATTAGAATACTACTTTCTGAATCAAGTAGATCACAGCAGTTTGCTCCTAACCTCTTCAAAATTGCCTTATTTCCTTAAAAACCTTTTTTGCACTTCAGGAGATAGGCAACTGTGTGATGTCATCTTGGGAGCAGACTGAAAACCACATCCTAAGCAAGGAGTCTGTTGACCTGAGTTAATTGGATACCTATCCTGAGATCTGTGTAGAGTGAGATGTGGTAATTGTATTGTCTTATCCCAACATAATTATGCAATTAACTTGTATCACCAGAATGGACTGTTTGTTAACACACAATTTATTTCAAAGGTATCAGTACTCCCAAAGACCTGCACACATTTTGTCTGGCAAGATTTGACGTGTAATTGTGCTGAAATGTGCTTTCTAGTGAATATTCAACCTCTAGTGACCATGATATTTAAAAAAGAAATGTTCTCAGCATGAGGAGAAAAGAAAGGAAAATGACTCTCTCTTGAAAAATTTAATCAATTTACATACTTCTTTCTTGCTCAGCAGTTTTACATTTGGTGATCCTAGTTCAGCAAGCATTTTCTTCCCTCTTTTGACATGCTTGAATTCAAGCTCCTGCACAACTTTCTTTCTTTGCAACTTATTGGTATCTAGGTAATTGGCTACAGAAGGTTTTACATTTGTTTTAGTAGACACTGTAGAGAAAATTAACAGCAGTATCCTGTATTTGTATGGGCAATAGATTTTCCATTATTCCAGTGGTTGGAATATCACATTTCTGCCCTGAATCACTGGGAGAAAACAAGCCCACCCTTCCCTTGTTTCTTCATTTAGACAAAAACATATATGTATATATGTACATACAATACCCAAAATAGTGTCAGCATTGGATGCTGCCATTATTGTCATGAAATCAGAGAGCAGGAAGGTTAAGGGACCGTAAGATTGTTACCATAATGATCCTTCTCCATTGTTTTGAAAACTTGGTTTCAGTTATACAAGATGAATTAGTTCTAGAGATCTGCTGTACAATACAGTACCTGTAGTTAACAACGCAATTCACTGTATGTATTGTTAGTGCACTAATTGTATTGTTAACATACTTTAAAATACGTTAAGAAGAGATCTCATGTTATGTGTTCTTACCAAAAACAAAACAGAAAAGAACATAAGGAATTTGTTGGAGGCGATGAATATGTTTAGTATAATACCTTGATTGTAGTGATGGTATCACAGGTGTATATATATATGTCCAAACTAATCAAAATGTATACATTAAATATGTATAATTTTTGGTATAGCAATTGTACCTCAAAAAATCTTATAAGAGAGAAATCTGGTGTTCACGGTGGTGCTGAGGATGGTAATGGCATAGTTGAAGTTAGCATTTCTTTAATGCATCAGATGTGAAGAAAGATTCTATGTGTACACACACATCCACTCATACCACTGTGTCTCCTTGGCTCTGTGAAATCAATTAGCCAATTTTAGCAAGTGCATTATGCATTTTTCCTCTTCTGACAAAATCACTATGCTTTATTTTATTGTAATTATGTTGTACAAAAGTGAGCACCTCTGCCATCTGTTTCTTACGATGACTGTGCATTTAGCAAATAAATAGTCTTGGGTAGGTGAAGGATCTCAGGAACTGCTCCACAGATAAAGCTTTTCCAGATGCTTGCAAATATCCAGGTGTAAGGCATTTGCTATCTCCTTTCATCAGTCATAAATTCACATATCCTTACCTTTCAGGACATTTAAACAATTTTTAGGAATCCATACTTTTGGAATTTAATGGCCCAATTTGTATTTTCTGATTTTTTAAAAGGAGAAACATTTAAAATATTTCCTGTGATTTCCTTGCTGCATTCCACAGTCTGATTTTTTCTTATGTCTCGTTCTGGGAAGACTTTTGTGGACTATTTCTTTCATTTTATTTGCCTCTGTATCACACTCCATAAAAGGGAACCCTGAGAAGTGCACAGCTTTATGAAGGATGGAGGAATAAAAAATGACTTTTCAGAGTAGATGAAATAAGTTCATTAAGCATGGATTCTGAAGGTGATTATGTAATTTTATCCTGCTATCATAAATAATTAAAAGTAAATAATTCAGGGAAATAACTCTCACTGTCCTCACTATGTTTTCATACTTAGTTACAAGGCATAGATAATTTCATGCTGAGATATGTTTGTTTCTGCCCATAAGTACTTAAGACATAGTAAAATATTCTATTTTATAGTATGATTGAGGGACCATCTCATTACCAGAGAACTGTTTAACAGTGGGTATAGTTAATAAGCAACTTGAATCCATATATTAATAGTTGATTTTGGAATAAAATGAGTTATTTGTTATGACTATTCATATTTTCCCCAGTACAACTGTGGCATCATCTTATTAAATAAATGCAAGAAAGGTATGCCTATTTTTGTGTTAAGGACTCCTGGGAGGAAATGATTTTTTTTTCTTAAAGTAGTTGCTGGACTGACTTCTGCCAAGTCTTTCCCTGGTTTTGTTTTGATTTTTTTTACAATTTTTATTTTTCCTTCCAACTTTTATTTTAGGTTCAGGGGTTACATGTGCAGGTTTGTTATATGGGTAAATTGAGTGTCAAGGGAGTTTGGTGTACATATTACTTCTTCACCCAGGTAATAAGCACGGTACTCAATAGGTAATTTTAATCCTTACCCTCCCTCCTACCTTGTAGCTTCAAGTAGGCTCTGGTGTCTATTGTTCCCATCTTTGTGTCCATGGGTACTAAATGGCTAGGTCTCACTTATAAATGAGAACATGTAGTATTTGGTTTTCTGTTCCTGCATTAATTCACTAGGATAATGGCCTCCAGCTACATCTATGTTCCTGCAAAGAACACAGTCTCATTTTTTTTATGGCTGCATAGGATTCCATAATGTATATGTACCTCATTTGCTTTATCCAGTCCACTGTTGATGGGCATCTAAGTTTATTCCGTGTCTTCGCTATTGTGAATAGTGCTGTGATGAACATAGTGTGCATGCATCTTTATGGTAGAATGATTTATATTCCTTTGGGTATATACCCAATAATGAGATTACTGGGTTGAGTGGTAGTTCTAAATTCTTTGAGAAATTGCCAAACTGCTTTCCACAGTGGCTGAACTAATTTGCATTCCCACCAGCAGTGTATAAGCATTCTCTTTTCTCTGCAGCCTCACCAGCATGTGTTATTTGTTTGACTTTTTAATGGCAGCCATTGTGACTGGTGTGAGATGGTATCTCATTGTGGTTTTGATTTGCATTTCTCTGATGATTAGCAATGTTGAGCCTAATAAGACTTTATATAATGTTGGCTATCGATATGTCTTCTTTTGAAAAGTGCCTGTTTATGTCTTTTGCCCATTTTTAAATGAGATTGTTTGTTTTTTTGCTTGTTAATTTGTTCAAGTTCCTTATAGATTCTGGATATTAGACTTTGTCAGATACATAGTTTGCAAATATTTTCTCCAATTCTGTAGATTGCCTATTTACTCTGTTGATAGTTTAATTAGGTCTTTGGTGTAATTTAATCTAAACTCTTTATTTAGGTCTTACTTGTCAATTTTGTGTTTTTTTGTTTGCAATTGCTTTTGGAGTCTCTGTCATGAAATTTTTGCCAAGGCCTATGTCTAGAATAGTATTTCCTAGGGTTTTTTTTAAGTTTTGCTGGATTTATAGGAGGTAGAGACACAAACCAATGAGAGGTGAAGAAAATTAATAATGCTTTTGGTCTGTAGAACTTAGAGGAGATGGTACACGTTTATTAACACCACATGCCAAATCTGCTTATGTCTTTTTCAAACATAGTTAATTTACAATATAAAACTTTTAATTTCTTAGAATCTCTAGATTAACACTAAGATCAACAGATTAAAAAAATTATCAGAGACGACTTGTATGGTCTCATATCTGAGCAATAGGCTAATTGACTCTGGATGGCATCATTGGCACTGTGATCTTTAGGGACATAGATATATATTTACTTAACATATAGTGTCAGAGGGGAACAGGAGGCTGAATGGCTGAATATATATGTCTCCCTTGCCAACATACCAGGCTTCTCCAGTCATAAACCTATAGCTACAGCAACAACTGCATCATAAGCGGCATCTTTGCTTAAGAAGCAGCTTCTCATAGACCTGCTCAATTCTGTAAGAATGTTCCATGAGGGAAAGAGATGATACATAGAAAACAACTTGGCTGTGTATATTAATGTTACTACTTTGATCAATACAAGTTAATAGGTGTTCTAGCCTACTAAGTAAACCTTATATTTAATTTATAAACAAAGTTTTATTTATTTATTTATTTTCACTATGGGTTCCTACTTTGACTTTTTCTCCTCAGAGCATATTCTTTTGCCTTGCAAGTAGACATCTTGGTCTTAGATTCACACTGCCTATCCTTAATTTTACCCTATTACAAAATATTAATCCCTCCAATTTCACTAATAATATATTATGATATCAGAATAGTCTACATTAAGATTAAATTCACAGAGCTTCTTTAGAATTATGATTATATTGGGTGCTGATATGGTTTGGCTGTGTCCCCACCCAAATCTCACCTTGAATTGTAATACTCCCCAGGTGTCAAGGGCAGGGCCAGGTGGATGTAATTGAATCATGGGATGGTTACTCTCATGTTGGTGTTCTCATGATACTGAGTTCTCATAAGATCTGAGCTTTTATAAGGGGCTTTCCCCCTTTTGCTCAGCACTTCTCTTGCCTGCCACCATGTAAGACGTGACTTTGCTCCCCTTTCACCTTCCGCCATGATTGTGAGACCTCCCCAGCCATGTGGACCTGTGAGTCCATTAAACCTCCTTTCCTTTAGGTATTACCCAGTCTTTGGTATGTCTTTATTAGCAGCATGAGAATGGACTAATACAGGTACTAAACAAAAAGACAAGAAATAAACAGGAATAGCCTAAGAGATCATTTGAATTTTGGTATAATAAACATTTGGCTCATGGGAAGGTTGATTGTATATACTCTTGGTACATAGACCTGTGTTTATCTTTGATGGACTTTTAGCAGCATAGTTTTCTTACCCATATGAAGACCTCTCAAATATGTCCAGAGTGTAATTAAATAAAAAGTTGACAACCAAGTTGCTAGGCCATTAACTTTATCTTGACATTGTGGATTTCTTTTATGCTGTAATGTTTGCTATAATCTAATGTTTCTGGTCCTTTTAAATTTTGGGGGCCCACTGAAATTCTTATCTCTTTTATTCTAAAATATTTATTTTAAAACCCCCCTTTTGCTCCTCTTTAGTAAATCTTTTTGTTAAACTTGTATGAAAAATATTGTTAAAAGAATTACTCAAATTTTTCCCCTGGGAACTCTACATATCTACTATTCTTCATTTACTTTTAGTATATTTTTCACCTCAAATGTGGGTCCTTAGAGATGATGGAGTGCTTGTTGAAGGATGAAATATACAACATGTTCTACTCATGGTCTAAAGATTATCTAAAGACCACTTCTTAGATTCACACTTACAAAGACTTATAAGTGTTTCTTATCCAACACCAATAAAATCAAAACTAAAATGACACATTTAATATGTTCATTATGTAGACCTGGTTTCAATTTTCAAAATTAATTAGAATTAATTATTTTATTCTATTAATTTTAACTATGTGCTATTCCCTGTGATTTTTTTTTTGTACTTTCCTGCACTGGTTACCTTCTTACTCTAAAATCCTCTTGTCCTCAAGGCTTAACCCAAGTGCATTGTTAGCACATGGAGAGTTTTTTTTTTTTTTTAACAGTGATTCTCTTAAGCACACAGAGCTTCCCCACTTTATTATAGTTATTTATGCGCATGAATTATTTTTCTCTTAAGCAGCAATCCCCTTAGAAACAGAATCTGCACATGTCAGATATACTTCATTCTTTTATATCTGTAGTATGGTGCTTTGCTGTTAATGAGCCCTTAATAAATACTTGATGAATAAAAATGAGCTGTTGACTTAGGTGATGCATAGTGTTCTGCAGTGGTCCACGTCTGGGGTGGCCATCAAAGATCTGAAACAAATACACCAGTAAAACAGAATAGAGGGCCCAGAAAAAAAGCCACACATCTACAACCATCTGATCTTAGATAAAGTTGACAAAAACAAGCAATAGGGAAAGGACTCCCTATTTGGTAAATGAAGCTGAGATAACTGGCTAGCCATATGCAGAAAATTGAAACTGGACCTCTTCCTTACACCATATACGAAAACCCAAGGTGGATTAAAGACTTAAACGTAAAATCTAAAACTGTAAAAACCCTTGAAGGAAACCTACGAAATACCATTCTGGACATCAGCCCTGGAAAAGATTTCATGATGAAGACCCTAAAAATTGCAACAAAAACAAAAATTGATAAATGGGACCTAATTAAAGAGGTACACAGCAAAGGAAATTATCAACAGAGTAAATAGACAACCCACAGAATGGGAAAAGATACTTGCAAACTGTGCATCCAACAAAGGAAGAATGTCTTTAGATATTAAAATCAGACATTAGATTTAGTTTTATTAGATGTTAGATATGAATATTAGATATTAATATTAGAATCTTTAAGGAACTTAATCAGATTAAGCAAAATCAACCCCTTTAAAAAGTAGTCAAAGGACACAGACATTTCTCAAAAGAAGACATATACATGGCCAAAAAACATATTAATAAAAGTTCAACATCACTAATCATCAGAGAAATGCAAGTCAAAACCACAGTAGGATAACATGTTAAACCAGTCAGAATGGCTACTATTAAAAAGTCAAAAACTCAGAGATGCTGGTAAAGCTGAGAAAAGGGAATGCTTATACACTGCTGGTGGGAATGTAAATTAGTTCAGCCACTGTGGAAAGCAGTTTGGCAATTTCTCAAAGAACTTAAGGCAGAACAACCATTTGATCCAACAATCCCAATTTTGGGTATATACTTAAAGGAATATGAATCATTTTACCATAAAGACACATGCATGCATATGTTCATTGCAGCATTATTCACAATAGCAAAGACAATGAATCAACCTAAATATCCATCAGTGGTAGACTGGATAAATAAAATGAGGAAACATATATACCATGGAATACTATACAGTCATAAAAAAACAATGAAATAATGTCTTTGCATCAACATGGATGGAGCTGGGATTCATTATCCTAAGCAAACTAACACAGAATAGAATACTACACACCGCATGTTTTCACGTATTAGTGGGAGCTAAACATTGAGTATACAAGGAACCAAAGATGGGAACAGTAGACACCAGGGCCTACCTGAGGGTGGAGGGTAGGAGAAGGGTGAGGATTAAAATCTACCTGATGAGTACTATGCTTATTGCCTGGGTGATGAAATAATCTGTACACCAAATTCCCACAATACACAATTTATCTATACAACTAACCTGCAACTGTAGCTCTAAAACTAAAACAAAAGTTAAAAGAGAAAAGTCAGGCTTCAAATATTTCAGGAACATTTATCATAGGAAGGATTATTAATAAGTAGCAGATCTGTTTTCAAGGAGATCTCAATCTAGTTGGGAAGACAAAGTAATAAGGCACATGAACAAATAACTATACAATATAGAACACTGCAATAGATGGTATGGAACATGTTTTACAGAACTATGAGAGGAGGGAGCACTCCTGAGGAAAGGTGACCAGTTAAGTCTTTACAATAAAGTTGAAAGTCGAGGGTCATGCATAATTAGATAAAATTTGGGTAGATTGAGAAGAGGTGGGAATTACCTTTAGAATTGAGTTTTTTGTTAGTGATGACTTCAGTGAAAAAAAAAAGGAAAAAAAGAAGAGCATAATATGTGGTAATCTGGGTTCACTCTTCCATAAAGTTCCAGGTTCTATTCCCAAGATAAGGATTGCTCATGTTGCTGAATTTGAATAAAGGTCAAAACAAATTTGTTTGCATTCTTCTGCTCAATCTGCTTTCAATGATCTGGAAGTTCCATATAAGGAGAGATGTTCACTCCTTTTGAAATAAAATTAAATTTCTAGAATGAGAATTTGTGTAACACCTCTATCCTTTCTACAAACAATTCAGTAGGCATTAAGTAATCTTTGTAGGGCAGCCAATATCAACAACTGCTCTTACCAACAACATGCTATTGCTCCTTAACCCAAGGGGCGTTGAGAATTATCTTGGCAACTTGTTGCCTTTTTAACTGGTAACTGGCCTATACTTCATTAATCCAGACTAGTCCTATTGTTAAAACATCTGTGTTATATAAATCCAAATGATATTAATAACACAGCACATGAATAATTGATTGCTTTTTATACTTAACATTTAGCAAATGTCCATGATCCTCAAGGATACCAGTATTAAATGTGCTTAAAGTGTTAAAGAAAATGGTGAAGTTTCTGCAATTTGATTAATTGACACCCTAAGGACATGACCTCTTCAACTGCTGAGATGCTAACTATGCAAAAGTGAGAGTGTGTGAGAACAGAATTATAATTATATGGGATTAGGCCAAGAAAGAGTTCACTATCTAATTTAATGGCACATTCAATAGCTTACCATGGGATCAAGGTTTGCAGACTTTCTTTTAATTATTATTTTTCATCTGATTCTCACAATTTATAGTTCTTTAATGATTTAACAATAAAATTCTTACATTGAAAAGTCAATGAAAGGGAAACAAACAAGGTAAATTAGTCTTTTGTTTGTTTCCAAATTTTCCTAGGGTGATTTTCACAACTCCATGTACACTTGAATTTTTGCTTTCTATCTCATTCCTTGTTTTTAAACTTAAAAGGTCTCCCTCCAGCTTCATTGTTATCTGTCTAGATCCCCGTCACCATCCAGTTCCCAGTGGAAATTCCTCTAAACCATGAACCCTTCAGTGAACTACTTGGTTGGAAGTAATCTCTCCCCTCTCAGAAATCTCTTGATATTTGATTTTTCTTCTTTTAGCTTCTTGTGCTTGTACAGTATGTTTATCATTTCATAGCATTCTTATATTAATCACATTTTAAAAAATTATAAAGTCTAATGCAAAACATTCCTTAATTTTGATAAATATTATTTGGTTATGCAACATGTTACTGTAAAGGAAGCCAGGTGAAGGGTATATGAGGACTTTCTGTACTATTGTTTCAACTCTTCAGTGAGTTAAAACTTTAAAAAAAACCTTCTTAATAGAACATGTAATTAGTTATTATACTTAATTTAAATGGAATTTTTGAGGTCAGCCAAAAAGATGGTGTTACATAATTAGAGGTATGCAGGAGTGGACAAACAAGATACTTTCCTGGCCTTCCCTGAAGCACTAAAATGAAGGTGGAATCACGAAAACATAAAACACTCCAAAAAAGAGAAATCACTTGTTTCAAAACTGTCAATCCACAAATTTTTTGAGGTCATTTACTGACCAAATGTTCTTTCTCAGATTTTTTTTTTCTTTGAGACCAAAGTTAGAGCACTAAAATCTTTGTTGAGAACATGTAAATATTAATGAATAGATTGTCACAGATCAAAAAATGGAATTTTGCTGAAATTAACTTAACTTTTTCTATAAACGTAACTGTTTCATGTAAGAAATATGTTTAAAGGGATATGAGTACATTAAAAAATAATTAATTCAACAAAACCTGAAAAATAAACTTACAAATACCACATAGATGGACCAAAAAAAAAAAATCTGTCATTTGCAGTTGATCCATTCATTAAAATAAGGCAATCTGTGCAGCCCATTTCTGTAACTCTTTTGCAGACTGGCTTAACTTTTCAGTCTCATAAAATTGAAGATGGGCTGTTTGGTTTATTGGTAATTGCAACAGAAGCAGAATGGTCTTATGTTTGCCAGTCCACAAACCCCGTAGATGTTTATCCACTCACGGCAGTGCCAGCCTGCTGCATTATTTCAGCTAGTGACGTTCCTCGATGAAAAAACAGCAGCTGCTCACTCAAAATAAACTTGTTTCTGTTTATGCTGTCAGCAGAAAGCTGTTTTAAAAAATCATTAGATGCATCGTGCTGTTGCGGTATGTTAAATTGTGAAGCATAAAGAATCATTCCTGAAAGACAAGCACCATGCTACCTCCGTACCCTCATTGCATAGTGTTTCTTTCTACTGAATAATTCAACTGCAGGTAAGATTGGTCACCTCAGGTGTTCAGATGCAATGTTAATGATGCCAAGATTGTGGATTGAAGCCCCTTCCAGGTTAGTGAATTCTGCACAAAGGAAAATGTGTGAAAAACACTACACTAAGATTCGGGAGCTTGGCACTGATGCTGGCTCTGCCAACCACAATCTATATGACGTTGGATACTTCTTTTAATCAACCCGGGCTGCATTTTCTCCATTTGATTCAAAAGGTTTCTTGAAACTTCACACTTAATCATGCAGTGTTTCTACTCTTAGTATTTTTCATCAGTTTTGAAGATGCATGGCTGATATAAATATATTCCGACTCTGGGTAAATTACACAAAGCATTATTTTACTAAAGTAGTCAATAAAGATATCTTTTATTAAAAGAGTGACACATTTATTTGTCAGCTTAAATATCTGAAAGTGTATTTTGAATATTTTTCCACTGATAGATATTGATAAATTATAGTACAGCTATAAAATATATTACCATACCATTAGTATGACATTCATTAGAAAATTGTATTGAATTCATTAGAATGTTGTATGAACTGACATAGAACATCACAAAGAATCATTAGTTTAAAAGAAAACAAGTAGAAAATAGGTTATATGAAGCTTGTCCAATTTTTGTAAAATATGTATATACATAGATACATGTGTGTATGTATGTGTATATATATTATATATACAACATTCTGAAGTAAGATATACTACATTATTTTAAAATGTGTTCCTCAGGAGGAGGAAATAATATGGAAGATATCCATTTTTATGTTTTGTACCTTTGAAATATTTGAAGGTTTATAGTTAGCATATATTACTTTTATAATCAGAAATGACTATGGAACATTAAAATATTTTAGTGAGAATATAATCATATAGTCAATGTTTTGAAGTATAATTTTAAGTGCATTTTGAGAAATGTATGCCTTTGTGCCACCATCAACCTGAACAGTGTCCTAGAGGCCTTTGTGGTTCATCTTCCCACCCTCCCTTTGGTCCTAGACAACCACTGATCTTATTTCTTAATTAATTTTGCCTTTTAGAAATTTTAACACAAATGGAACCATACAGTATCTTTGTTTCTATCTTCTTTTGGTCCATATATTGAGTTTTAGATTCATCTGTGTTATAGTGTGAATCAGTAGTTTGTTCCATTTAATTGAAGGCTACACTGTGGGAATATTTCATAATTTGCTTTTCCATTCACCCCTTGATGAATATTTCCATTATGTCCACCTTTTTATTATTTTAAATAAAGCTGCTGGAAACATTCATATATGTCTTTTTTAATAAGGAAATGATTTATTTCTCTTGTTTATATACCTACAACTAGAATTGCTGAGTAAGAGTAGAATTATGTTTAACTTTACAATAAATTGCTAAAGAGTTTCACAAAGTTGCTGTAGCATTTTGCACCACCACCAGAAATGAGTGAGAGTTTCAAGGCTTCATATACCTATCAACATTTGATATTGTCAGCTTTTTAAATTTTAGCTATTCCTATGAATACCTACTGGAATTTCTGTATAGCTTAAATTTTATTCCTCTGGTGATAAAAGGTGCTGGCCATCTATTCACATGTTATTAACAGATTATTTTGTGAATTGTCCATTCAAATCATTTTCCCCATAAAAAATGGCATGTTGTCTTTTTATTATTGAGTTATAAGAGCTCTTACTTTTTAGGTTATGTGTGTGTTGCAAGCATTTTCTCCTTCCCTGTGGTTTGCCTTTTCGTTTTCTTAACAATAACTTGAAAAGTTGAATATTTTATTTTTTATGAACTCCAGTTGTTCATTTTCTTCTATTGTTAGTGCTTTTGTGGTCCAAGAAATCTTTGCCTACCCAAAGGTTGTAAATATTATTTCCTATATTTTCCTCTAGAAGTTTTATAATCTAAGCTTTGTGTTTAGATCTTTTTTATTTTGATAATCAGAACATGTGACATTTCCAGTGAAAATGTACTTTTAACATAAAAATTATTATAAAAATAACTTCTTAATTGATCTCTTGATAGTGTTTGCAAAAGGTAGGACTTTGAAAATAGTGTGGCTATCTGAGTCCATTTATCTCAAGGAAGAAGGCTACATTTAAAATTTTATTCTTAGCCTACGTGTGAAGAAGGAAAGTTGTTTTTTGTGTTTTGTTTTGGCCTCATCTCATCTTTTCATACAGAAACATCCTTCAGTATAAGAAGGATGTAAGTCATGAAAGTAAAGAGAAGAGTTTTTCCACAAGGATTGAGCAGACACTTGTGTAATATACCTTGATAATTCCAGAAGGACAAAGAAAGAAGAGCGACCATTGCATTTTTTAAATAAATTTTATTGTCTAAAAGTATACATCATGATATTTTAAGATATATATGTTGGTGTGTGTATATATATATATATTAGAATGGTTATTATAGTGGAACAAATTAGCATATCTATCATCTCACATGGCCACCTATTTCTCCCTCTGCGGCAAGAGAAGCTACAATCTACTCATTTAGCAAAAATCCTAAATATAATACACTATTATTAACTATAGCCTTCATGTTGTAGATTAGATCTTTCAGTGTTTTCATCCTATATATTTACTACTTTGTATCCTTTACTTCCATCTCTCCATTTTCTACCCGCTCCCTAAGATCCCTACTCTGGTAAACCTCTGTTTTATTCTCTATCTCTATGTATTTAATCTATCAATCTATTTCTCTCTCTCTCTTTCTCTCTCTTATCTATTTATTTAATTCTACATATGAGTGGGATCATGCAATATTTTCTTTCTGTCTCTGGCCCATTTCACTTAGGATAATGTACTTCAGGTCCATCAATGTTGTAAATTTAATGATATCAAGTGGTGCTTTTTTTTTTTTTTTTTTTTTGAGACAGAGTCTCACTCTGTTGCCCAGCCTGGAGTGTAGTGGCATGATCTCGGCTCACTGCGACTTCCGCCTCCCAGGTTCAAGTGATTCTCGTGCCTCAGCTTCCCCAGTAGCTAGGATTACAGGTGCGTGCCACACTGCCCAACTAATTTTTGTATTTTTAGTAGAGACGGGATTTCACCCTCTTGGCTAGGCTGGTCTCAAACTCCTGACCTCAAGTGATCTGCCTGCCTCAGCATCCCAAAGTGCTGGGATTACAGGTGTGAGCCACCATGCCCAGCCCCTAAAGTGGTGCTCTTAATAAGAAATTATTGGTGGAATGATGTCACAATTCAGACTGGAGTAAATTGAGTAGTCAATAAGTAGTAGGAAAAGGACTTCCTAAAAGGAAAAAAATATTGGATATGATTATAAGTAGCTTTGTTCATATTTTATAGTAATTAAAAGCTTTCCTTGTCCTTAAACATTCGTGCTTGTCACAGTACATATTTTATACGAGGGACAGTGTTTGTTTGTCCTTAAATTTTTGTGCTTGAAATGGTAGGTTTTTAATCAATCTTCGAAAGGGTAGGACATGCAAAAATGAAATGGAAAATACTGCATTTACTGTTATTTGATAACAGTATTATTTGATAAAATATTATTTTATCAAACTATTATTTGATAAAATAATATTTTATCAAATGATAAAATATTATTTTATCAAACTATTATTTGATAAAATATTATTTTATCAAACTATTATTTGATAAAATATTTTATCAAACTATTATTTGATAAAATATTATTTTATCAAACTATTATTTGATAAAATATTATTTTATCAAACTATTATTTGATAAAATATTATTTTATCAAACTATTATTTGATAAAATACAGCTGTAAGAATGACCTGACATACAACTTTTGGGAAAATAATATCACACAAGGAATTAAACAATTAGAAAGTTTCACCACTATAGCACTTCTTTAGAAGCCTTAGTCTGTTTGGATTTTTAAATTGATATTCTACCAAAAGGTGACTAAGGATACTTACTGTTTTAGCCACCAGACAGTATATCTGATAGCACTGCACAATAGACTCTGGCATTGGACTAGATTATCAAAGTGTGGACTATGAATGGAAGAGAACAGATGTGAAAGCATCATTAATCAAGGTGCTTCGTAGATGACTGGTTATTGGACACACAATTCATATGCTCCTTCATGCAGTTTCATAGAGAAAATGTATCAGTAACACCATAGGGTGAGTTAACCTACTAGAAATAAGATAAATTATACCTTATGCTGAGAACAAATTCCAGTACAACTATTTGTGAATTTATGGGTGATTGAAAATTTGATTTGAAAAAATGCATGTTGACTGAAAGTATTATGTTTTCTTATTTTTTTACTGAGGTAATTTCACTAACTGAAAACAATACTTGTTTGATAATGTCTTGTTCAATGGAGGTCTTCTAAAATGGAATGTAATAGAATACATTAGGGGAGTTAACCTTGTTATGAAATTGAGTCGATTATAACTATTACAGTAACTTCAATTAAACAGTAGTCTATAATTTATTTACCTTTGTTCTTCTTTCTTTATCTCCTCACCGACCAGATTGATGAATGGCATATGCTGTGATCTACAAAATAGTACATCTGATAGCACTGCACAATAGAATCGATCATGCAGAGTCTAGGAATAAGCCAGACCAATGCAAAGTTAACCTCATGATTCTCACATCTTAAAATATTATCTGGAAAGATTACCACAGTGATTTGTCTTGAATGAATTCCATCCTTATTCTATCCCTCCAGAGTGCTAACTGAATTTAAAGCTTCTTTTTTCACTTATTATTTGTGGTCATTTCTATGTTTGAACATTTGCGTGTATGTCCAGGAATGTATTTTGTATCATCCATCAAGTAAAAATAGTGATTCATTTATAAAGTACTTAAGTCAGAATCTATCCCAGTATTAGAGGCAGAATCTAGTCAGCAGTTTCATCTTTGATGGATTGTGTTGTCAGAGCTTTCAATGAATTGGCAATTTCTACTTGTAAGCTGTCTTCTAGAAAAGATGAAAGTATTCACAAGACCTTAAGCAAGTATCTAATCATCCAGTTATCTTGTATTTACAGCAGTAAGTTTAATTATAATAAAGCCACACAATTTAAAGTGCATGTCTCAGTTTGTGACTATTTTAACATAATTGAAAAATGCCATCTAAGTGATTTTCATGTTTATATTTATCATTTTACATACACTATGTTTAAATTCTCCTACAAAGAGTTAGAAATAATCCTCAAGCTTTCTTTAAGAAAGAAATACAAGAAGGCTTGTTTCATGATTGTATTTATTAAGCTAGTTTGTCATTTTATGTGCATTAAGTGGGCCGGGCACAGTGGTTCACACCTGTAATCCCAGCACTTTGGGAGGCCGAGGCAGGCGGATCACGAGGTCAGGAGATTGAGACCATCCTGGCCAACATGGTGAAACCCCATCTCTACTAAAAATACAAAAAATTAGCTGGGCGTGGTGGCACATGCCTATAGTCCCAGCTACTTGGGAGGCTGAGGCAGGATAATCGCTTGAACCCAGGAGGCGGAGGTTGCAGTGAGCTGAGATTGTGCCACTGTACTCCAGCCTGGTGACAGGGAAACTCCATCTCAAAAAAAAGAAGAAAAATGTATTAAGTGGCTATTTCACACTGGTCATTGTGTCAGGTATTCTATTCTCTTTGCTTCTATGGATACAAACTGTCCTGGTTTTCAACCTACTTTTTGTTTTTCCTATTTCACTTTGCCTTTTAGGGCAGCCTTTTATCTCTGTCTTTGTGTGTTGATTTTTCCTGGGAGTATGTCTTAGGCCCTCTCTTTTTCTCACCCAGCTTCCACAGGTGATTGCATCTGTTCTCATCTTCTTCTGGGAAAAGAAGCAACATAACACAATAGATGAGCCTTCAGTTTTGGGTATTCAGGGTTTGGGATAGCATATAGGTCTATTGTCTCCTGCCTGACTTGAAGCAAATTAATTATAACATCTTAGCTTTCCAATTTCTTCATCAGTATAATGAAGGACCTGTCTTATGGGATGGTCATAAGGATTCAATGTGTTCCTATACAATCCAGTATTTTCCTATCATTGTACTCATCACAGAATGTTATAATGGCCTGCTTCATTGTCTGTGTTTTTGTCAAGACCCTGTGCTCTAGGTGCTATGACAGCAGGATTTATTTATATTTTTATAATTGAATCCCTAGTACTTAGATAAGTTCTTCAGCATAGGAGATATTCAATAAATGTTTATTGAATTCATGGTGATAGATGATTACAAAAGGGCACTATCCCTAAGCAGTTCACAGTGTAAAAGGAGAGACATATTGGTAAACAAATAATTATAATACTGTCAAACTATTTTAATAGAAATATGAACAAAACATGGCAGGCTACGCTGGGTGTGGAATCCTAGGAGTGGGTGGCCCTAGCAGCTGCTGGATAGGATATGGCTCAAGATTCTTCATCAAGCTTGTTGTAATGTACAAGCTACTAATAGAGACCTAGAGAGGTCTATAGTTCTTGAGTAGGTTGCTTGATCCTTGAACTTATTTAATACAAGAATGACACTTTATGAAATAGAAAAGTTAAGAAAAGCAGAGAATGTATAGGGACGCAGACTTGGAAAGGCACCCCATTTTGTGGAGGCACAGTTAATATTTTGGTGTGGCTGGAATGCAGTGTGTTTCTGAAGTAGTAGGGTGATGTGCAGCTGGAAAACTGGTGATGAGGAACTTAAACTTGATCTCATAGACAACAGAAGGATCATTACCATTGAAATCAAATGATGAAAAGACTGTCATAAATGTAGAAATGATATTGTGAGAAAATGCTTAGGCCTAGCCAGAAATGTGTGGAGAAATACCTCTCTTGTTCTACTTGGAGAGTGAGATGCAGCCTTCAGAAGGGAATTAGTCAAGAGAAGACAAGTCGTCATTTCAAATTTTAGCTTAGCAAAGAGCTTTTCCTGGTCTCATGTTAAACCCATTTCAATGATAGAAGCTTTGGGGTTAATCAGCAGCTCCAGCCTTAATTATCTAAAACAGGACAAATCTTGTTCCGAAATCTTGTTCTGAAAGCATAATGTAAGAGGTTAGGAAGGTAGGTTTCAGGGGAGGATGAATAAGCTTATTGATGCATGGTAATTGTCCTTGCAGCTATCTTGCAAATGAATTACACTTTGCACCCTCCCACTTCCTCTTCGGGGCAGTTTTTAACCAACAGACAGACTTATTTTATAAGGCTTTTAAAAATTATTGCATTGCTCCGTTTCAATAGTAGTAGGGGTTTATTAGCCAGAGGTTATTGCCTGATTCCATCATTCTTTTAAGAAATTTCTTTGGAGACATATTTCTCCACATTTCAAGTGGTTATGGTAGAATTGATTATCAAGATGCCAAGTCTCTCCTGGTTAGCAGGTGGGCATGTGACCCAAAGCTCAGCCAATCCCACTCTTCCTGAAATCTGAATATTTAGTAAAGTGATACAAGCAGAGGACATGGTTGAATATGATTTATTTAAATCTGAGAGACTTGAAAAAGTTTATTGTTCTTGCTTCCTATATTGCCAGAACCTCTTCAGTCCCTGAACTTGCCAAGATGTGTTTTTCCAGGTTTTCTTTCAATTTTATAAGTTATTTTATCCAACCACTTCTATAAAATTATCTAGGTTGTAAGTTACCAAGAATTGTTTTCCACTGGTGAAAGTCAAACATCACTAATTTATTTTTGTTAAACATTGTTCAAAACCTTAAAAAAGAAAACAAAGTATCTCAAATCTTGCTTTTAATAAGGCACCAAATAATTTCAGTTTTCAAAAGAACACTTCTTTCTTGATAAGCGCATACAAATTTTCACAGAAGACAGTGGGTCATTGACTAACAGAATCTGAGAGATTTTGAGATTGAAAAGTGGTATGGCATGGTGGTTACAAGTGCAGGTTCTCCAGGTGTGGTGTTGTAGTTAAAGTCCTTGCTCCACCATTACCAACAATATGACTTTGGATAATTTCCTTATCCTTTAAGTTCCTCCATTTCTTTACCTGTAAAATGGGGCAAAGACATTTCATGTGCTATGTTAGAGCAGTGCCCAGCACACAATAAGAACTCAATAAAGAAACTTTAGTCTCATGCTCCAGCTATGCTGCTATTTTGCTTCAAATCTCAATTTTGAGCTGCTTGTGAGCAGAGGCATTGTTTTATCCATCTTTGTAATCCTATTTCTGAACCTAGTAAGTGTGCTTTTTCCCAATGGCTACACTGTAATGAAACATCTGAAATTTGTTTTCATATATGTGTTGTAGTTATTGTCTTGATATTTACACAGAAACCTGATATCAATAATAACATTGAAATCTTAGGGTCCAAACTTGCTGCCCTTCTACTGATCTCTACCATACCATGGCTTTCAATGTTTATAAACTTACATAATGATGTTTCATTGTTTTATGTAATAATTTTTTTGTTATGTAATATTTTTTCCTAGTTAATTGTGTTAGAATCCTTGTGTAATAATTAAGACTCCACCAGTGGTTCTTAACTTTGGCTGAATATTAAAACCAGCTGGAGAGCTTTCATATACACCAATTCCAGATTGCCAGCCCAGATTAATAAAATCTAACTCCTTGGGGAAGGAACCTGGATATCAGCATTTTCTCGTTTCCAGGTGATTCTAACTTGCATTCAGAACTGAGTTACTGCTGTTTGAATTCTGTTGGAACATCCTAGTAAAAAGCCAGAAGGCCTCAACAGTGCAGAAGGCTTCTCTTTTCTTATTAAATATATATATTTTTATATATATATTTATATATATATATTTTAGAATTAAAGATTTTTGAATTTCAACTAAGTAGTCAGACTAGTTTACTTATAACACTAAAGAACAGAGTAATAAAGCTTAAAAAAAGTCTGTTCTCTTACTCCCTCTATTTATTTCATCATTGTAAGAAACGATATATATTTTTATTGAGAGCCGATAGAATTTGGAGGAGGGCACTTGAAAATTTACTGTACTTTTGGAGTTGATGATGTCTGTGTGAACACATAAGTCTCTTAAGAGGCCAGGATCTGCATGTTATCTGATTATTTTTTGAGTATGTAGTCTATAAAAGTGCAGATGAAATTTCTATATAAATTTACATCAGGATCCATAGGGTTGGAAACAGAGAGATGATTGGCATGTATATATATGTGTATATATATAGTGTCTATGTACTAGTGTTTACTAGTTTTCTTCTCTGGTACATAGATTAAGTTTAATGCCTTAATAACTTTTCAGACATTTGAAGACAGCTATCAACTAACTTCCAATTTTTCTTTTCTGTAGGATACACATGAGCAATTACATGCATGACATGGTTTCTTGAACATTCAGTGTGCTCATTTCTACTCTGCTTAATTATAGTAGCTGATATTAACTGAGCATTCACTATGTGTCAAGCACTGTTCTAGGTACTTATCATTTACTATGTAATTTAGTCCTCACAGCAACCTTATTGAGAGTAGCTCATTTTTTTGAAGATGAGGAAACTGAGGCACAGGTATGGTAAGACATGTTTAGAAACCTGCCCTAGGTGGATCTCATATTAAAATTCTGGAAATGCTGCATCATCAATTTGAGTCACTACACTATAGTGATTTATATTCTATGCAGTAATATATAATTAAATATGTAAAAATGCAATCAAGATATCAATGCAGTGGAGGGTGTAGGTGAGTGAAAGGAAAATGTTCTTAAATTAGTTTAAAAAGAAGTTTTCAGGTTTTGGCATGCTATACAAAGCAAGAATTTCTATAGTTTATTTTTTCCCTGAACAATTCATGGAATCCTTTGATACTGTTTTGTGTCTTAACTATAATGCCTGGAGCTATGAATTAAATAGAAAATCTACAAAACCTTTCTTAGTCTATGACACGATGTAATATAATTTTCAATCTTCTAGCAAATGGTTAAAAACCACTAACATAACACAGGCTTCATTTTGATCTGGCTGTGTGTGTGTGATCCTTAAAGACAATGCTTTAAGAAGTGACATCTAATGTAAGAGTCCCCAGAGTTCATCATACCTGCAGGTTAATCTTTTCTTTAATGCCTTAGGTACTCACAGGCAATGAGGCAGGATAAATATATCAATCTAGCACATCTGAAGTAACAGGCAGGGGAAGTCTGAGCTCAGTGGTGCAATGTGTCAAGAGAGAAGCTAAGCCTACCAGAATGTGCACTGCTGAATTTGGGCAGTTGGCCAATGCTTAACACTGCCAGAGAAGTGCAATTTTATTTTAATCATCTATTCTTATGTCAAGGCCAAGAGCAGCATTTATACCAGCTTCAACTTCCCCATCAGTTACCACAATATGCACTTCAGAGTTCTCAATGCAGGGAAGCTGAATTTGCATATTAATAGAGCAGAAAAATATATTTATTCCTTTCATTTTTGGAAGGTGGGACAGAGAGATAATCATGGAAGCAAGGACTAGACGTTTCCAAGCCTTTCAGTTCTAAAACATACCAGGCTAGGCAGATAACGTTTGAGTCATGAGGTCAAAATACAGCCAAACAATTTGGTATATTAGAATCAGCACTTTAGAGGAGCAGACAAATTATGGAGGTGCATTTTTGAATACATAGGAGCTCCTTTGGGCCCAGTCTATTCTCTGAAGACTGGAACACATAGATTTGGTATATAGTCAGCATCTTAAGTAAAAATAGAAGCTAAAACAACCACATCTACTATTTTTGATGGGACTAATCTCTTAAGTCTCCCCACAGTCTGACCATTTTTTTATCAATGAGTTTTCTAGATTAGAACAGTTATTTGTACTTATACATATGCAGCCATAATTAAGGGTGACAAAGTGTAATTCAAATGGCAACTCTAACACAGCTAATGAAATCTTCAAGAGAATTGAGTTAAAAAAAATATATTGACATTTTTACCTGATTCTGTCACATATTTTTCATAATTCTCTTTTCTCTGCTCTCTGATATCCTATAACATATCACATGCATAGTTCGGATTTTTCATCCAAGGTCAAGCTCAACCTTTCTACTTCACATTCCATAGTTCTGATAGAACTTTATTCTTCATAAATCTTAGTCATATACTGCCGTTCTTTCCTTTTACTTCTTTTGAAATTAATACATTTTATTATAGTGTAGTAGTATCTTTTAAAACTTCAGTTAACAATATGTTTATCAAATTGTTTAACTTTTTTTCTTACATTTGTCATTTACAATTTGCACGATAGCTAATGCTTTTACGTTTTTGTTTTAAAAACTATCTTGACTTGTGGCTACTAAAATTCTTGGAGTTATGGACCTGATATGAGCCATGATGTCCTTTGTTTGATGCTTGAAACTTTCTGCAATATTCCAGACAAGTGGTTATTCAGGTTTGCCAGTATACCTTAAAGGTGGGTGGATTATTACCTCAACAATGCAGTCTAAGTTATATGGATTAATTTCATTCATTGTACATACATATTCATTGAAAAAATACTTTCTGTCAGCTTGTCCCAATTGTCTTCAATGATAGATAAAGTTTAAAACCTCATCCATGGCTGGTGGAGCCAAGACGGCCGAATAGGAACAGCTCCAGTGTACAGTTCCCAGTGTGAGCGATGCAGAAGACAGGTGATTTCTGCATTTCCAACTGAGGTACCGCATTCATCTCACTGGGGAGTGCCGGACAGTGGGTGCAGGACAGTGGGTGCAGCGCACCGTGCATGAGCCGAAGCAGGATGAGGCATTGCCTCACTCGGGAAGTGCAAGGGGTCAGGGAATTCCCTTTACTAGTCAAAGAAAGGGATGACAGACGGCACCTGGAAACTTGGGTCACTCCCAACCAAATACTGCACTTTTCCAATGGGCTTATCAAACCAGTGATGGCCAGTGATGATGAGCATTTTTTCATGTGTTTTTTGATGGCATAAATGTCTTCTTTTGAGAAGTGTCTGTTCATATCCTTCGCCCGCTTGTTGATGGGGTTGTTTGTTTTTTTCTTGTAAATTTGTTTAAGTTCTTTGTAGATTCTGGATATGAGCCCTTTGTCAGATGAGTAAGTTGCAAAATTTTTCTCCCATTCTGTAGGTTGCCTGTTCACTCTGATGGTGGTTGCTTTTGCTGTGCAGAAGCTCTTTAGTTTAATTAGATCCCATTTGTCAATTTTGGCTTTTGTTGCCATTGCTTTTGGTGTTTTAGACATGAAGTCCTTGCCCATGCCTATGTCCTAAATGGTATTGCCTAGGTTTTCTTCTAGGGTTTTTATGGTTTTAGGTCTAACATTTAAGTGTTTAATCCATCTTGAATTAATTTTTGTATAAGGTGTGAGGAAGGGATCCAGTTTCAGCTTTCTTCATATGGCTAGCCAGTTTTCCCAGCACCATTTATTAAATAGGGAATCCTTTCCCCATTGCTTGTTTTTCTCAGGTTTGTCAAAGATCAGATAGTTGTAGATATGCAGCATTATTTCTGAGGCCTCTGTTCTGTTCCATTGGTCTATATCTCTGTTTTGGTACCAGTACCATGCTGTTTTGGTTACTGTAGCCTTGTAGTATAGTTTAAAGTCAGGTAGCGTGATGCCTCCAGCTTTGTTCTTTTGGGTTAGGATTGACTTGGCAATGCGGGTCTTTTTTGGTTCCATATGAACTTTAAAGTAGTTTTTTCCAATTCTGTGAAGAAAGTCATTGGTAGCTTGATGGGGATGGCATTGAATCTATAAATTACCTTGGGCAGTATGACCATTTTCACGATATTGATTCTTCCTACCCATGAGCATGGAATGATCTTCCATTTGTTTGTATCCTCTTTTATTTCCTTGAGCAGTGGTTTGTAGTTCTCCTTGAAGAGGTCCTTCACGTCCCTTGTAAGTTGGATTCCTAGGTATTTTATTCTCTTTGAAGCAATTGTGAATGGGAGTTCACTCATGATTTGGCTCTCTGTTTGTCTGTTATTGGTGTATAAGAATGCTTGTGATTTTTGTACATTGATTTTGTATCCTGATAGTTTGCTGAAGTTGCTTATCAGCTTAAGGAGATTTTGGGCTGAGATGATGGGGTTTTCTAGCTATACAATCATGTCGTCTGCAAACAGGGACAATTTGACTTCCTCTTTTCCTAATTGAATACCCTTTATTTCCTTCTCCTGCCTGACTGCCCTGGCCAGAACTTCCAACACTATGTTGACTAGGACTGGTGAGAGAGGTCATCCCTGTCTTGTGCCAGTTTTCAAAGGGAATGCTTCCAGTTTTTGCCCATTCAGTATGATATTGGCTGTTGGTTTGTCATAGAGAGCTCTTATTATTTTGAGATACATCCCATCAATACCTAATTTATTGAGAGTTTTTAGTATGAAGCGTTGTTGAATTTTGTCAAAGGCCTTTTCTGCATCTATTGAGATAATCATGTGGTTTTGGTCTTTGGTTCTGTTTATATGCTGGATTACGTTTATTGATTTTCCTATGTTGAACTAGCCTTGCATCCCAGGGATGAAGCCCACTTGATCATGGTGGATAAGCTTTTTGATGTGTTGCTGGATTCGGTTTGCCAGTATTTTATTGAGGATTTTTGCATCCATGTTCATCAAGGATATTGGTCTAAAATTCTCTTTTTTTGTTGTGTCTCTGCCAGGCTTTGGTATCAGGATGATGCTGGCCTCACAAAATGAGTTAGGGAGGATTCCCCCTTTTTCTATTGATTGGAATAGTTTCAGAAGGAATGGTACCAGCTCCTGCTTGTACTTCTGGTAGAATCTGGCTGTGAATCCATCTTGTCCTGGACTTTTTTTGGTTGGTAAGCTATTAATTATTGCCTCAATTTCATTGCCTGTTATTGGTCTATTCAGAGATTCAACTTCTTCCTGGTTCAGTCTTGGGACAGTGTATGTGTCGAGGCATTTATCCATTTCTTCTAGATTTTCTAGTTTATTTGCGCAGAGGTGTTTATAGTATTCTCTGATGGTAGTTTGTATTTCTCTGGGATTGGTGGTGATATCTCCTTTATCATTTTTTATTGCGTCTATTAGATTCTTCTCTCTTTTCTTCTTTATTAGTCTTGCTAGCGGTCTATCAATGTTGTGGATCTTTTCAAAAAACCAGCTCCTGGATTCATGGATTTTTTGAAGGGTTTTTTGTGTCTACATCTCCTTCAGTTCTGCTCTGATCTTAGTTATTTCTTGCCTTCTGCTAGCTTTTGAATGTGTTTGCTCTTGCTTCTCTAGTTCTTTTAATTGTGATGTTAGGGTGTCCATTTTAGATCTCTCCTGCTTTCTCTTGTGGGCATTTAGTGCTATAAATTTCCCTCTACACACTGCTTTGAATGTGTCCCAGAGATTGTGGTATGTTATGTCTTTGTTCTTGTTGGTTTCAAAGAACATATTTTTTTCTGTCTTCATTTCGTTATGTACCCAGTAGTTACTCAGGAGCAGGTTGTTCAGTTTCCATGCAGTTGAGTGGTTTTGAGTGTGTTTCTTAATCCTGAGTTCTAGTTTGATTGCACTGTGGTCTGAGAGAGAGTTTGTTATAACTTCTCTTCTTTTACATTTGCTGAGGAGTGCTTTACTTCCAACTATGTGGTCACTTTTGGAGTAGGTGTGGTGTGGTGCTGGGAAGAACGTATATTCTCTTGATTTGGGGTGGAGAGCTCTGTAGATGTCTACTAGGTCCACTTGGTGCAGAGCTGAGTTCAATTCCTGGATATCTTTGTTAACTTTCTGTCTCGTTGATCTGTCTAATGTTGACAGTGGGGTGTTAAAGTCTCCCATTATTATTGTTTGGGAGTCTGAGTCTCTTTCTAGGTCTCTAAGGACTTGCTTTATGAATCTGGGTGCTCCTGTATTGGGTGCATGTATATTTAGGATAGTTAGCTCTTCTTTTTGAATTGATCCCTCTACAGTTATTTAATGGCCTTCTGTGTCTCTTTTGATCTTGTTGGTTTAAAGTCTATTTTATCACAGACTAGGATTGGAACCCCTGCTTTCTTTTGTTTTCCATTTGCTTTGTAGATCTTCCTCCATTCCTTTATTTTGAGCCTATGTGTGTCTCTGCACATGAGATCGGTCTCCTGAATACAGCACACTGATGGGTCTTGACTCTTTATCCAATTTGCCAGTCTGTGTCTTTTAATTGGAGCATGTAGCCCATTTACATTTAAAGTTAATATTGTTATGTGTGAATTTGATCCTGTCATTAAGATGTTAGCTGGTTATTTTGCTCATTAGTTGATGCAGTTTCTTCCTAGTATTGATGTTCTTATTTGGCATGTTTTTGCAGTGGCTGGTACCGGTTGTTCCTTTCCATTTTTAGTGCTTCCTTCAGGAGCTCTTGTAAGACAGGCCTGGTGGTCAGAAAATCTCTCAGCACTTGCTTGTCTGTAAAGGATTTTATTTCTCCTTCACTTATGAAGCTTAGTTTGGCTGGATATGAAATTCTGGGTTGAAAATTCTTTTCTTTAAGAGTGTTGAATATTGGCCCCCACTCTCTTCTGGCTTGTAGAGTTTCTACCGAGAGATCAGCTGTTAGTCTGATGGGCTTCCCTTTGTAGGTAATCGATCTTTCTCTCTGGCTGACCTTAAGATTTTTTGCTTTGTTTCAACTTTGGTGTATCTGACAATTATGTGTCTTGCAGTTGCTCTTCTTGAGAAGTGTTTTTGTGGCATTCTCTGTATTTCCTGAATTTGAATGTTGGCCTGCCTCGCTAGGTTGGGGAAGTTCTTCTGGATGTTATCCTGAAGAGTGTTTTCCAACTTAGTTGCATTCTCCCTGTCACTTTCAGGTACACCAATCAGGCGTAGATTTGGTCTTTTCACATAGTCCCATATTTCTTGGAGGCTTTGTTTGTGTCTTTTTACTCTTTTTTCTCTAAACTAAACTTCTCTTCTCACTTCATTTCGTTCATTTTATCTTCCATCACTGATACCCTTTCTTCCATTTGATCAAATCTGCTACTGAAGCTTGTGTATGCATCACGTAGTTCTCATGCCATGGTTTTCAGCTCCATCAGGTCATTTAAGGACTTCTCTACACTGTTTATTCTAGTTAGCCATTCATCTACTGTGTTTTCCAGGTTTTTAGCTTCTTTGCGATGGGTTCGAACATCCTCCTTTAGCTCGGAGAAGTTTGTTATTACAGATCCTCTGAAGCCTTCTTCTCTCAACTCAACAAAGTCATTCTCTGTCCAGCTTTGTTCCGTTGCTGGCGAGGAGCTGCATTCCTTTGGAGGAGAAGAGGCACTCTGATTTTTAGAATTTTCAGCTTTTCTTCTCTGGTTTCTCCCCATTTTTGTGGTTTTATCTACCTTTGGTCTTTGGTGATGGTGGTGTACAGATGGGGTTTTGGTGTCGATGTCCTTTCTGTTTGTTAGTTTTCCTTCTAACAGTCAGGACCCTCAGCTGCAGGTCTGTTGGAGTTTGCTGGAGGTCCACTCCAGACCCTGTTTGCCTGGGTATGACCAGCAGAGGCTGAAGAACAGCAAATGTTGCTGACTAATCCTTCCTCTGGAAGCTTCATCTCAGAGGGGCACCTGGCCTTATAAGGTGTCAGTCACCCCCCTACTGGGAGGTGCCTCCCAGTTAGGCTACTCGGGGGTCAGGGACCCACTTGAGGAGGCAGTCTGTCCATTTTCAGATCTCAAACTCCATGCTGGGAGAACCACTACTCTCTTCAGAGCTGTCAGACAGGGACATTTAAGTCTGCAGAAGTTTCTGCTACCTTTTCTTCAGCTATGCCCTGCCCCTAGAGGTGGAGTCTACAGAGGCAGGCAGGCCTCCTTGAACTGTAGTGGGCTCCACCCATTTGAAGCTTCCAGGCCACTTTGTTTACCTACTCAAGCCTCAGCAATGGCGGACGCCCCTCCCCCAGCCTCGCTGCTGCCTTGCAGTTGAATCTCAGACTGCTGTGCTAGCAGTGAGCAAGGCTCTGTGGGTGTGGGACCCTCCAAGCCAGGCGCGGGATGTAATCTCCTGGTGTGCCATTTGCTAAGGCCATTGGAAAAGTGCAGTATCAGGGTGGGAGTGTTCGGATTTTCCAGGTGCCCTCTGTCAGGGCTTCCCTTTGCTAGGAAAGGGAATTCCTGGATCCCTTGCACTTCCTGGGTGAGGTGATGCCCCCCCCTGCTCCATGGGCTGCACCCACTTGTCTGGCAAAACCCAGTGAGATGAACCTGGTACCTCAGTTGGAAATGCAGAAGTCACCATTCTTCTGCATTGTTCATGCTTGGAGTTGCTGACTGGAGCTGTTCCTATTTGGCCATCTTGGTGCCACCCCTCTAAGGACAATTTTTTGGAGCAGTTTTAGATTCATAGCAAAATTGAGAGGCAGGTATAGAGTTCCCATATACCCCTGCCCTGACACATGTATAGTGATGTTTTATTTCTAACCAATCTTTCATCTGTTCTTATCTCAACTTGGTTTACTACTGTTTGTAAGAAGAGCATCTACTGAGTTTTAATTTTAAGTGTTATTTTAAATTCTACATTTCAATGCATTACTTTATGTTGTTAGTTTCCTGTTGTTATATAATTTTTAAACATGTTAATCATAGAAATTTTAAATCCATGTCTGCTAACTCCAATATTTGAATATTT
Source organism: Homo sapiens (assembly GCF_000001405.40). Taxonomy (NCBI): domain Eukaryota; kingdom Metazoa; phylum Chordata; class Mammalia; order Primates; family Hominidae; genus Homo; species Homo sapiens. The sequence continues at coordinate 48,696,862 of NC_000014.9, read as the reverse complement.
TGTGAGTTTGTTTCTATTCTCTTGGTTTGCAGTTATGTGATCTTCACTCCTTTTATATTGGCAATTTTTGATTGAATGTTGGTTATTGTATATAAAAAACAGAGATGTTTTGAGGGTCTAAATAATATTATCTTCCTGCTGAAAAGATTTACTTTTGTGTCGATGGGACTTTCAGTAGGGAAAGAGAACTTCAAACCAGTTATAAAATTTATTTAAATTTAGGCTTCACACTTTTTATAGGCTGATCTATTTCTGGGTTGCCCTTATTGTCAGGGGAAGTCCTACGAACGTCTAATCTAAAATCTGAAGTGTTTATTAGGTTCTTTCTTCCTTTTTGGGCCCAGATGTTCAATTTTTGTCTCCTTAAACCCATGGTATTGTCATAAGCTTTGCTCACCTTCTCAGCCACTCAGCTGCTACTTTCTCACATTCTTAGTCTTTTCAGCTGCTGCTTTAAAATTAGCAAATGTCTTGAGGGGAGAATATATGATTTTCTTCTATGGGTTTTTTTCTTTCTGGATTTTGGCCTTTAGATCCTTGCTACCTTGCATCTCTCCAACACCCCTGACTCTCCTGCCCATACATTAATAATGACATAACATCTTAAGAAAGTAGTAAGTAGTGTCTGCCCCAAATAAATGTGGAAGAACCTTTAATTTTTACTAATTTTTACACAGTAGCTTCTTGCATGATTATCTGAACCCCAAATATATTATTCTTTCCTGCGTCTGCATTTTTTCATGTTCCCTCGTCCAAGATTGCCTTTTTCCCTCTCTTCTACCCAAATCACTAAGATTAAGCAAATATGTTAGTACTTAGTCACTTTGCTTATATTGTTCCTCTTTCCTCAAGTTTCTGTTAGCACTTAGTACATTTCTAATCACATATCTCCTTATTTATTTATTTATTTATTTTTCAAGTAGGCAATGGTTTTCTTAGAAGGGACATGAGTATCAACAATAAAGGGAAATAATAAATGCGACTTTATCAAAATTTAAAACTCTTATTCATTAAAATACACTACTAAGATTAACAAACAAGGCAAAGTCCAGGAGAAAGTATTTACAACATGTAAATCTGACAAAGGGCTTCTACCTAGAATATATAAATGACTCCTATAATTTAGTAATGAAAACACAGTTCAATTATGTATTTGTTTGTTTTTGTTGGAACAGTTATTAACTTTTTGATTTTATATTCGGGGTACATGTGCAGATTTGTTATATAGGTAAATTGCATGTCATAGGAGTTTGGTGTCCAGATTATTTTTTTACCCAGTTAATAAACATAGTACCTATAGGTAGTTTTTTTGATCCTCATCCTCCTCCCACCCTCCACCCTCAAATAGGCCTCAGTGTCTGTTGTTTTCTTCTTTGTGTCAATGATTAGCTCCTACCTATAAGTGAAAACATGAGGTATTTGAATAGTTTGCTTAGGATAATGGCCTCTAATGCCATTCAGGTTGCTGCAAAGGACATAATCTCATTCCTTTTTATGGCTGTGTAATGTTCCGTGGTGTGTATGTAGCACATTTTCTTTATCTAGTTACTGTTAATGGGCACCTTGACTGAATCCATGTCTTTGCTATGTGAATAGTATTGCAGTGACCACATACATGCTCTTTATATGTACTCTCAACTGATTCATATATATCTTGTTTAGAATTGCTTTATGGATTTTTGTTGTTGTTGTTGGCAAAAATTAACATGCCTTCCAAAGTTAATTCTGTTTATTTACTTCAATCCTGTTTATAAATTATGTCTCATGATATGTCAAATTTCCTCTTTCTTCTTTACTCTGTGAATGTACCTAAGATGCAGAGTTTTGGCTGAGTGGGCCTAAAAAGCAATGGTAACCCTGAGTACTGATACTTAACAGGTGACTTAACAGCAAAGACCGGGTTGATTGAAATCAATAGAATATGTCTAGTTTTACACTGATGCTTATGGATTTCATGGTGGGATCATCCCAAACAAAAGTGTTCTTCATTTTTATCTGGGATGTTTTGGATTACAGGTACCTCATGAGCCATTTTATTTATTTGTAACACTTACTAAAGAAAGCTGTGCCTGTGGAAACTGTTCAATATACATTTTTAGTTGAATTAATAAGCTTTTTTCAAATTTAAAAGTTAGATAAGTAGGGTCATTCATTTCTCATTAATATATATAAAATCAGTTGAGCAGGGATATTTATACTTTTAATGGTAGCCTTGGTAGAGTATCCAATGCGCCAAACTTGTTGCACTATTTCCCAAGCCATGTTTAATAGAATTATGTGTTAAAGGAGAAAATTAAATTACATCATCAAAAAGTATTTGAAACACTGCACAATCATTGGGACATTTCCAGTGATTGTAAACACAACACGGCCCTGTGGTAAAGAATCCTGAGTTTTTCAGAAGTATTTGATTTTGTAAAACTTCTGCTTTTGCTTGAAACCCTATCAATATCTCACAGAACACTAATGCTGGAAGGATCACAATATGAAAAGCTTGGCATAGGGCAATATCTATCTCATGGAAACTGTCAATTATTTATTCTTCTTTTATGCCTTTTTTCCTGTTTCCTATTACTTGGCTTTAAGACTCTGTCGAGACACTGTGCTTAAAGTATATGAAATGTTTAAATCCCTCTAACTTGCTCCCAATTCACAAGGAGGTTTATATTGTGTTTAGATACAAATTCTGTTGCCTATAAACTTTTCATTCCTTCATGATGACAACTGTATTAATTTCTTGGGGTTGCTGATACAAATTACCACAAATGTAATGGCTTAAAAAACACTGACTTGTACACTTTCAGTTCTGTGTATCAGAAGGCTGATAGCTGAATTTCTTTTGGAGGCTCTAGAGGAATGTGATAGCCACAATCACATGCCCTCAAATATGCCTACATTCTAATCTCTGGAACGTGTGAGTATGTGATGTTACATGGCAAAGGATAATGAAGATTGCAGAGGGAATTGTAATAGGGAGTTTAACCTGGATTATTTCTGTGGACCCAATGGTCCATAAAAGTGGGAGCAGGAGGCAGAAGAAAGTCAGTGTCAAATTGATGCAGCATGAGAATGACAAACAAGTTTTGGCTTTGAAGATACAAGGGGGGGACCATAAGCCATGAAATGTGGTCAGCTACAGAGACTAGAAAAGGAAAAAGATTCTACCCTAGGTCCTCTAGAAAGAATACAGCCTTCCAGCATTTTGAATTTAGCAAAGAGAAACTCATTTAAAAATTTTGAAATCCAGAAACAGAAGATAATCTGGATGGTTAATTTCACGTGTCAACTTGGCTAGGTCTTAGTACTTGGATGTTTGAAACCATACCAGTCTAGTTGTCCCTGTGAAAGTAATTTTTTTAGATGAGATTAATATGTAAATCAGAAGAATATGAGTCGAGGAGTTTATCCCACATAGTGTGGTTGGGTTTCATCCAATTAAATGAAGGAATTAATAAAAAAAAAAACTTCACACTCCTGTAAAATAATTCCATAACATCTCTCTGTCTCCATATATATATTCACACACGCACACACACACACACACACACACACACACACACACACAATTGGTTCCATGTCTCTTAACACAATAATAAATGTCTGTTGTTTTAATCCACCAAGTCTGTGGTAATTTGTTGCAGCACTGATAGAAAACTAATATAGAGATAATCCATTTACCTTTTCTTTATAATCCAGGATAATCTTTTTATTTTAAGGTCATGTGATTAGCAATCATAATTCACTCTGCAATCTTGATTCTCCTAAACCTTGTAACATAACATATTTATTGATGCTGGATATTAAGATCATTTTTGACCTATTCACATTGCCTCTCTATAAAAAAATTATGTAACTATTTATTCTTTGTACTAAATCTTAGAATGCATTATGGTTGTTAAGTAAACCATGTTAATTCAGACATCACATAGAAATAACATTTTACTAGCTAACTTGTCGTGGGGCAGTTGCTATTGAAAGAGAAAATAAAGGTTTTTTTTTTTAAATTATCATGCCTTTAACATCATCTTAATTTGTCATTTGTGACTACTGCAATATCCAATAAACTTTTTAGTATACAGGATATTAAGTGTGTACTTTAGTTTTGAAATAGGCAAAGGTTTATTCAACTTCCCATTTAATATGCATGGCTTTTCAAAAATATATTACAAAGTTAATAAAGCGTATTTTTCTTTTCCAAGGCCAAAGTAGTGGAGAGGTGCTGACAGTCCCTCCTCAGCTTCAGGCTTTGACAGTAAGAGCCTTGGCTACAACAAAACCAAAGCGTGTTTGAATGGAAGAGCAGAAGAGTGATGAAGCCATGTTGGTCGCTGACAGATATATATTCCTAAGTACATGAGTCAGTTCTCAGAGCCTTCTAGGAACAACTGGGTACGTGAGCCACATTTGCCACCAGCCATCCTAGCTTACAAATCTCAGGAAAGCCAGTGTTACTTGTCATATGTTCTCGAATAGTTAACCAGTGCTGTTACTAAGGCTTTATGCTTACATAAGGTAACGACCAGCATTAAATATTTAGATTGCCATTCTAATATGTAAGAATAGAAAATCTTTTTGTTGTTGTTAACAAGGATGCAGGCTATAGTAGAGAAAGCCTTCATGTAGGAGTTATGATATTAGCATATATTAGCAAAATATTAGCATATTTTGATTTAGTTTAGGACTCAATTGTTCTGTGTCATTGGACAAGTCATTTAACTTTGCCTACTTTTCTTCCTCTGCAAAATCAAGGACCTTGACTGCGTTATCCCTAAGGTTTCTGCTGGTTCTTATATCCCTTAGTCCTAATTACAAGTAACTTATCCAATTTCTAATAATTAACATTTATCTGTCTTTACTGGATTAGGTGTTAGGTAAATAGATTGCCTTTATGTTAGTCATACATTCCTATAGGTTAGTCATATGTCCCTGCCTAGAATATAACTTTTTAGTACAGGGACTATGTTCCACACCTGCTTCATATTCAGTGTAGCAATAAGAAAAGTATTGGAAAAAATAAATACATAATACACATTAAAGTGTAGTAAACTGATTTCAAGTATCTCTTATGTGTGGCTGTGTTTTAATATTTGAGTTATGGCCTGGTGTGGTGGCTCACGCTTGTAATCACAGCACTTTGGGAGACTGAGGCAGGTGGATTGCCTGAGCTCAGGAGTTTGAGACCAGCCTGAGCAATACGGTGAAACCCTGTCTACTAAAAATACAAAAAATTAGCTGGGCGTAGCAGTGTGTGCCTATAGTCCCAGCAACTTGGGAGGCTGAGGCAGAAGAATTGATTGAACCCGGGAGGAAGAGGTTGCAGTGAGTCAAGATCATGCCACTGCATTCCAGCCTGGGTGACAGAGTGAGACTCCATCTCCAAAAAAAAAAAAAAAAAAAAAAAAAAAAAAATTGAGTTATTTTAAGATATATTTTAATATTACAGATTGTAAATTATAGTTTTCTGTTTGGCATGCATGTTGGAGCTCTAGAAATTTTCATTATTTTGAATGCTTACTATTAGCTAATAGGCTTGACAAAACCTTAGTCATGACATTCCACAATGCTCCTGGCAATTACTAGGAACCAAGCACTCTACTTGCCATGGTTTCTTATTGCTTATCTTTTCCTGTAAGGGCTGTTGGAGCTGGGAAGCATTTGAGATGTGAGGACAATCTCCAGGGGCTGGACTAGTGGCCAATTAGAATGCAAATGACTGAGAAGTATATTACTGAACCTGGAAGATCAGCGACTACTGCAGCACTGATGAGGAGTGGCAGAAGAAGAAGGGAAAGAATCACTATGTGGTAGCAAAGGAGGTGCAAGTGACCAAGATGTATTTAGGATATGAGTTGGGATAAATGCACAGATGTCAAGGTGTTCAAAGACAGGGATCTGAATCAGCCTTCTAGAAAATGAGCCGATCATGGAAGATTGTTTTGTAGCTGATATTTTCTGCAGTGCCTGTTCCAACTGACAGCAGCAGCTTCTAAAGCTGCTGCTGCCTAATTTAATTAAGCTAATAAAAAAGTAGAAAAAAATATAAAATATTTCACTTACAGACTATAATACCTTGAGGAAACAGGAATCTAAAAATCAATAAAACATAGTGGTAGAAGAGAAAAAGAAATTTATCTGTGCCTGATTTTTCTTGGTAGAAGAAGGATGGTGACTAAAATTATCCATATCACCTTTCCAATAAACCCAGGAACAGAGTCTGGATAAAAAGGGCAGCTGCAGGGAGGTTTTTTTTGCTTGCCTAAGTAACATTAAGAGAAAAGACAAAAATGTCAAATGCAGACATACATGTTCCATCAGGAGGTGCTATGGAGCAATTTAAAAAGGATTAATAGCCCTGCATTGCAGCTGAAATCAAACAGGGCATTCCCATATTTCATTTTGTGTTGTTGAAAAGCTAATAATAAGAGAAAAATCTTCCGATGAGATGAGAATTGCTCCTGAAATATTTCTAAAGGAAACAAACCATCAAAACAATACTCAAATGCATCATGCAAATTTTTGAAACGTTAAGGATTTTCAAGAAGGAAAATTAGACCACAAAATGTCCTGTGTATTGAAAATTACTCCTCTCACCTCATTGCTAAGAAATCCACAAATTGCTGCATATATTTGCTGTGTATTTCCTAAACTTAAAGGAGCAAAGGAAAGTGGCAATTTAACACTAACTTCCTAATAGCAATGAAAAATAAAATTTTTAAGTAGATTATTTTTATATTTACTAAATAAGCAGTCAAATTCTTTTGTAGTTGCATTTTAAACCTAGATTTACTTGGGCTGCCCACTCTGTTATCAAATCAAATGCATACTCATCCAGCAAGAATAGAATTAATGTACCATATTAGATTAAAATATTATTACAGAAATAAATCAAAAATTAGATCAAAGTTAACAGTTACCACTGCACTTTATTTTCCTATGCCCTTCTAAATTCAGGTACATATATACATATACATATACATATACATATACATATACATATACATATACATTGTTAATGGCATAAAACAGTACTAACATTTTATGGCTGTATTTTTTACTTAGAATTTAGTAAGATTTCTTTTACATTTATACTGATATTGCTGTGCTTTCTTTTTCTATCATTTTCATTTTCAAAAGGAAGCAAGTTTATAACATTTTTTAGAATTTATTTAAAAATATAGGCAACTTAAACATATGCATTGACTATTCTCAGATTATGAATAGTTTGAAATAAATAATAATTTAGAATTTAATAAAGTTGTTTCCAACTTAGTTTTTGTAATGCTAGAGATAAAAAATTCCAAAATATATCACCATGGATACAGAAAGCAAAATGTTAGTAAATGCAGACCTAAAATAATGTTTCCTTGAGAATCGTTTTCAGTGATCACATGATGGCTTATTACATAAGTTAGAGTGAGAGTCTCTCAATAAAAACTTAAATATTTGTTAAATGAATAAATTAGATTAATGAATAGATAGGAATGGATAGATCTGCTTTTTTTTTTTTTCTTTTTTGAGGTGGAGTCTATCTCTGTCACCCAGGCTGGAGTGCAGTGGCGTGATCTCGGCTCACTGCAACCTCCACCTCCTGGGTTCAAGCGATTATCCTGCCTCAGCCTCCTGAGTAGCTGGGACTACAGGTTCGTGCTAACATGCCCGGCTAGTTTTTTGTTGTTGTTGTTGTTGTTGATGTTGTTGTTGTTGTTGTATTTTTAGTAGAGGCGGGGTTTCACTCTGTTAGCCAGGATGGTCTTGATCTCCTGACCTCGTGATCTGCCTACCTTGGCCTCCCAAAGTGCTGGGATTACAGGTGTGAGCCACTGCGCCCGGCCTGGATAAGTCTATTTTTAAAACAACAACATTACACACACAGTAAAAGTCATTCTTTTACTGCAAAAGTCTGGACTTGGTTATGTTTAACAGAGTTAAATAGTGACCTTGCTAATCTTTTATAATCACAGAAATGTTTGCAGATGTAAGATTATTTTTTCAGTATTTGTCATCCATACATTCCTAAATATATGGATATTGGAGAAGTAAACATCCTACTCAAAAGTAAGCCATACTACAGGACATTTTAGAAAAAAATTTAAAATAACTTGATTTTTCCCTCCCGTTTTTCATCACATATCCACCTTTGAGCTGTTCTTCTTTTCTGTACTATCATCAGGAATAAAACCTTTCACATATCCAGAAAGGGTAGCTGCTAAACAAGTTGTTGCAGGTTAACATTTGGGGTTAATTGACATGTGAACACTGTGGAATTATTGGCCCTATGAGGACCTTTAATAAGGAAATTGACTCTGAACTCTGCACTAATCCATTTGTCTCATCACAGTCTTATAAGGAAGGACTAGACTTTCCATTAGACTGTCAGTTAAAATTACCAGAAACATTTTTTATGATATCTATGCCATCTCTAATTCTTCTTAGGCTCAACTAACTTCAAAGTAGGACAAAAGCAGAGTGAGAAAGCAGGAGCACTATTAGATCCCCAGGGGAAAAATGCGTGATAAGTCAGGCAGCTGAAGATGGTGATTGTAATTAGTATTTACTGTGAATATTATTTAGATTAAAAAACATTTTATTTGTTATTTCAGCACTATCACATGGGGTGGTTAAACTTGCAGTTATTTACAATAAAATCAATGTACTGAGAATTATGGTCACATAGCCAGAAATACTTTTTTTCAAAAAATTATTTATCTTCTTTATATAGTGTCTGTGTTCCTTAATGAATACGTTGAAATTGAATGTTTGTAAATGGTCTAATACTTTGCCACTGGCAGATATTAAAATCTAATGAATACCTAACTTCCAGCTACTACTCAGTTGATGGCACTAATTGAATTAGTTTCCTTAATTTTTGATTCTGAAAATTTTATTTCTCCCAACTTTCTGGTAAGTACCCAGTGATGTTCAAGCAAATGCCTCATTTCAGGGCTTCTTATATAAAGAATTTCTTTTTTTGTAAAGCATCAAGTGACTATTAAATTTCTAAATTAATCTCGTTATTTTGGAACTATGTAAATTGGGTTCTCTTTTGGAATATGATGTACCTGTAACTGAGCATAGAAGCTTAATAAAAATTCTTCCTTATGACTAGCAAATTATTTCCTGAAAAATACAAGGAGACTTCAGTGAGGTAAATACAAAAGATTGGCAACTGTTAGGAAGTTGTAAAGCAATTTATTAGAGTATGTAAAAGCTATATTATTAACACAGGTGTACTCTTGACACTAACTCAAATACTAAAGACTCTGATTAGCTGTAATTTTGCCTTCTGGCATTAAATTCAATGTGCTATATATATTCAGTGTGCTACTATGATTTTAAACTAGTGAAATGTAGAGATGTACTCTGGGGCTTGTACTAACCATGTATTAATAATTTGTATTAACCATGTGGTGTCATTAAAAACCTTCACTTGGCAGCAAATGTTAACATCTATATTACTTTAGGGTATTAGAAGCCACCAAAATAGACATTTATTGGTTTACCCATTTACTCAAAATATACATTAATTTCCTATTGTTGCTGTAACAAATTACCATAAGTTTAGTGGCTTAAAGAATACATATTTGTTATTTTACAGATCTGTTGTTCAATGTCTGAAATAGATCTTATGGGCTAAAATCCAGGTGTCAGCAGAGCTGTGTTCTTTCTGAAGGCTCTAGGGGAGAATCAGTTTCCTTGCTTTATTTAGCTTAGAACCTATTTGCATTCCTTCTCCCATGACCCCTTTCTCTAATTCCAAAGCATATCACTACAATTCTGCTTCTGTTTTCACGTCTCCTTTCTAACTCAGACCCTCCTGTCTTCTCCCTCTGATCATCTACCGCATACCAGATCTCAAGCTAAATGCTGGGTATATAATGATAAGGGGGACTTAGTTCATGCCAATGGAGCTTAATTTTCTTTGGAGAGCCAGAATAGAAAGTGTAGAGTGAGCACATTTATCCACTGCACTTAGAAGTTCTTTTCAATGACTTATCGAAACTTCATGAATCCATCCTCATGAGTTGTAAGGAAGATATTTTGTTTAAAAAGTTTCTTTTGAGTGACTCATTTGCTTTTCAGTAAGTTTGCATTATGTCCAATTTCTTCCCTTCTATTTATTTCTAAGAAGGTTACTAGGGTAGAGAATGGGGCTTCATCTCTTCCCAGAAGTAGAAGAGAGAGCTTTGAAACCAATTGATATCCGCTGCCTTCTTGCTAGTCTCTACTGAGCCAATCTAGTCTAGTTCCTAGATCCATTGCATTGATTTCTTATCAGGTGTGGCTGATGAATGTATCCTTGGTTTTCCAGGAAACTTTCAGAGCTTAATGGCTTTCTTTGATGGTTAAACCAACAAATTTTTGGAACTTTTAGATGTGACATAGCCTGCAGACTCATGTGGTGCCTCAAACAGCCTATACCTGACACCAGCTAATCTGTTACCTTTCAGCTACTTGCACTGGGGTTTAGCACTTCTGTCTGGAGTGTCTCCAAAAGGCAAGGTGATATTTTGAATTATCTCTGGGATATGGGGTAAATTATGGATCCCTTTAAGACATTTAACCACCATTCTCAGCAAACTATCACAAGAACAGAAAACCAAACACCGCATGTTCTCACTCACAAGTGGGAGTTGAACAATGAGAACACATGGACGTAGGGAGGGGAATATCACACACTGGGGCCTGTTGGGAGTGGTGGGCTAGGGGAGGGATAGCATTAGGAGAAATACCTAAGGTAGGTGATGGGTTGATGGGTGCAGCAAACCACCATGATACGTGTATACCTATGTAACAAACCTGCACGTTCTTCACAGGTACCCCAGAACTTAAAGTATAATAAAAATAAATAAAAAAGGTTATTCCTAGGTATTTTGATTTTTGTGCCTTTTTTCTTTTTTAATCCAGTTGTTTTCTTACTATTGAGTTGTTTGATTTCTTTATGTATTTAGGATATTAACCCCTTATCAAATGCACAGTTCGCAAAGATTTTCTCTCATTATGTAGGTTGTGTCATTACTCTGTTGACTGTTTTCCCTTGCTGTGCAGAAGTGTTTTAGTTTTATGCAGTTTCAATAAAAATCTAATTTTGTTTTTTTCAAAGAGAGTTGAGAGAGTCTCTCTGTCTCTCATGCTTTTTCACCTTTTATTTCACCTCTCCTTTCATCTAACCCAGTGATGCCATCATTAATCTTCTGGGGTTGACATAGGACTATCTAGCTTAGAAGTCAAAGTTCTACTGAGAAAATGAGACAAAAATTCCTTTAGCTTTTGTCTCTCTTTCTCAGCCTAGTGAAGAGTTTTTCCTTCCCCAGGCTGATTTCTCTTAGAGAAGGGAATTCTAACATTTCTCACATCTCCCTTGCTCTATTCTCTTTCTTCTTCCCACACTGGGTGAGATAAAAATCTTCTTTTGGCTTATAACAAAACCTATTGTCAATGTCCCTGGGGGCTGGTTCTTGATATGTTGACAGGAAAGAAGGAATTTAGAAACTTTTCTTTGGATTATTTTAATGGCTATTTTATATTATGAATTTAAGAATAAATCATCTTTGATACTGAAAGTTAAAATATGAAACCTACATTCTCGGTACCATCCGTCTTCTCTCTAATTCCTATCAACTGATTTGATGAATGGGAAGCTACAGGACAAAAAGATTTACATGGCTTGAAAAAGTTTTGGAACCATCACAGATTATCCCTGATTATTATATTGTATAGAATATATATGTAGGTCATTATGAGTTAAGGGGATGATAGAAGGAATTACAAAAGGTTACTTATTTTATGTTGGGCAACCAAATAATACCTTTCTGGAAAGTGGGAATTGAGCTAAGACTATAAGGAAGGATAAGAGCTGCTGTTTGAGCATGAGGGGAAATGTATTTTGGTTAAAAAAAAAAGCCATGTATAAGTTCTGAGGCAATGAAGAGTATTGTATGTTCAAAGCAACAAAATGAAGACTAGCATGACAAAAGTTATTCTAAGTGGGAGGATATGTAGCTCGAGGTGAAGTTGGACAGAAAGGTAGAAATCAAAAAAGAGGTACCTTATTAATCACAGGAATTTGGATTCGATTTTAAATATAAAATAAAGCCATTTGAGAGTTTTAGGCTGGGTTAGTATATTATCCTCTCTGTATTTCAACAAAGCTATACTTTTTATGATACGGCATAGTGCTGCCCAATAAAAATGTATCATAAGCCACTAATGTAACCATAATGGAAACCATATATAATTTAAAATTTTCAAGAAGCCTTATTAAAAAAGTAAAACTAATCAGGTGAAATTAATTTGAATAATGTACTTTTAAAATACAACATATGCAAAATATCATTCCAATGTGTAAAGTTTTCAATTAAATATTTATATATTACCTTTATGTTAAATCTTCAAAATTTGGTGTGATTTTATGCAGATAAGTCATGTTTAAAATATTTCTTAGCCATCTGTGGCTATTATTTATTGTATTTGGAAGTGCAGCTATAGAAAGATTGGGCAAAAGTGAAGATGAGTTCAGAGAAACATGGGATATTTAGCATTTTCTTGGCAAAAGATGACTTTGGAAAGAAAAAGAGAACGGCAGCAGAGGTTAAGGTGAAATGGGAAGATTTGTGGGGACTCAGGGAAAGATGTACATCAAGGAGAACTCATAGAAAGAATCCTAATATTTTAGTTTAAGTAATTGAAATGGCTGATTATATCATTTACTGATGACAGGCTAGGACCAGTTTTGTAGAAAGACTAGATACGAAAGATAATCTATTAATCTACTCTTGGAGGATAAGTGAATGGAAGCAATTAAGAGTAATCCTAAAATCTCTGGGTTTTTGCTATATTTTCCTTTTTTTAATTTCACAAATCACCCAGTAGCAACATGAAAAATTAGAAATTAAATTGTAAAATCGAAAATTGACAAAACTCGAAAATGACTGCTATCCCCACCCAATCAAATCCAGTAAATATCAAGCAAGTGTGTGGAACAAATAGAAACAGGAGACCTAGACTTTCAGACATGCTAGGATTGCTCAGGAAATCAACACCAGTGTTGTCATATAGAACTATGCGACTTACTATTTTATTTAAATATATTTAATAGACCTGTTTATATGACTCATTATGAATTTTCAAAACATAACTCAAAGTTAATGGCACACACTGAAGTGCACAATCAATGATGACTTCTTTTGCTATATTTGGAAAGGGGTATGTAGACTTGTATTAGGAACTTTTCTGGTCCCAGTTTGATTTCAATAAGAAGCAATAGAAGCAAAGATGAATAAGAGATGCCACATGTACAGTAAACTGCCTGCTGGTAATGTGAACATGAGTATTATGAGCAATGGTGTTTATTTTGATCAGCTGGGTAGAACTCATACATACAATCTTGTTCCTTAAAGGCACTTCTGTTAGCTTTCAACATATCCTTGGCTATTTCTCCCACCAGAACACAGACAAAAAGCAAACAAAAATCTTTGATCCAGAAAGAAGTTCCTCATTCACAAATGAGTAGTCAGAATAAAGACAGTGCAAAATAAATGAGAAAATAAAAAATGCATATAAATAAGTCATTAATAAAAATTTTTTAAAATAATTGACAATTGTGACTGACTACTTATATCTTTATTAACTCCCCAAATGTAAACGTCCAAGACTTCAGAGCAGAAATACAAGAGCTTAAGGCAATTACAAAAGGATAACAGGAATGAAGCAACACATGAGCAGAATTCAGAGGAGAAACAGGAGAGAGTTGCTTACTTATATTAACAGAAATCAAATACACCTACCATGTACTCTCAAAAATTAAAATTTTAAAAATTAAAATAAGAAAATACTGTTAACAACAACACAAAATAGAAATCAAATTGGAATCAGCCTCACAGAATAAAATAAAATCATGGAAAATAGTAGTGACAAGGATATCAGGATTGAGAAAAACAAGCAAATGAAATGGAAATGAAATAAATAAAATGAGCTAAAAACAAAATTATGAACATTTAAGACAAAATAGAATGGATATATGTAATTGGTGGGTGTTTGTTTGTTTGAGACAGGATTTCGCTCTGCTGCCCAGGCTGGAGTGCAGTAGTAGAATCTCAGCTCACTGCAACTTCCACCTCCTGGGCTCAAGCAATCCTTCCACCTTGGCCTCCCAAGTAGCTGGGACTACAGGGGCCCGCCATCGCGCCTGGCTAATTTTTGTATTTCTTGTAGAGACGTAGTTTTGCCATGTTGCCCAGGCTGGTCTCGAACTCCTGAGCTCAAGCAAACCACCTGCCTCTGCCTCTCAAGATGCTGGGATTACAGGCATGAGCCACTATGCCCATTGTAATTGGTGTTTTTGAAGAAGAGATAAAAATAATAGAATGAAAAAAATTTATTTTTTTAAATTGCAGAAATAAGAGACTTTATATAATGAACAGGCACAATAAGTTGCAGGCAAAATTGACACTGAATATTTAACAATGACATATCTATTACTAAAGTTACCAGATTTCAAATATATAGCATGAATCTTTGTTAGTCAAGCAGAAAAAGTGTTACATATGAGCATAAACACGTCAGTTTGTCCTCATAGTTCTCTATCACAATGTTTGTCCATAGAAGAATTTAAGCAGTGCTTATAAAGTCTTGAGGGAAAATCTTATATTCAACTGAAAAGTTGTTCATGGGTAAAGGCATACAACATATATGTTTTGCCCTGAACATGCAAAAACTCCTAGACTTTAGTTTCTCTGATCACTTCTTAAACAACTATAGTACAAATGTCATAAAGCATTAGCAGAGAACCTATATTCAAAGTACTGACAATGAGCATGATATTTACAACTGTAGAACTAAAATATAAATAAATGTACGGATTGAGATTTCAAAGAAACATATACATATTTCAAATCTTGATAATGTAGGAATGTTATAAGTATAAAAGTTGAAAGAAGAAATGCTAGAGAAGTTGAGAGATGGTAAAGAACACTGATTTTTCTCATCTTTTATTACCAGTGATAGAATATTTTTTTAATTTGATAAGGAAAACAATGGAGATATAAAGATAGTTAAAAGATTAAGGAAAAACTAAGAAAATAATAGACCTTGATTGTATAGTCTTTGAGATAAACTCTACCCAATTCTTTTTTGTGTGTTGTGTGTGTGTGTGTGTGTGTGCGTGTGTGTGTGTGTGTGTGATGGAGTTTCACTCTTGTTGCCCAGGCTGGAGTGCAGTGGTGTGATCTGGGCTCACTGCAGCCTCCACCTCTCCTGTTCAAGCAATACTCCTAACTCAGTCTCCCAACTCAGTCTCCCAAGTAGCTGGGATTACAGGCACCTGCCAACATGCCCAGCTAATTTTTGGTATTTTTAATAGAGATGGGGTTTTGCCATGCTGGGCAGGCCGGTCTTGAACTCTTGACCTCAGGCGATCTGCCTGCCTTGGCCTCCCAAAGTGCTGGGATTACAGGTGTGAGCCACCATGCTTGGAGAGCGCTACGAAATTCTTGAAGAGAAAAATTCCATCGCTGCTTACATGGTTCCAGGGCAAAAAATAAAAAAAATTAAAAGGGGGACAGATTTCAATTTTATCTTATCAAGTAACCATAAAACTGATAACACAATTTAACAGAAAGGGAACAAAATGCAAAAATTATACACCAATCTCACTTATAAACAGGATTTGCATTTTCATTCCTAATGTTAAATAATCAGCTAACCAAGTCAAGCGACATATTAAAATAACCCCAGTGAAGCTTGTTCAAGCAGTGTTAAAATTGTTCAACATAAGTAAAGTTATTAATATAGTTCACTGTGTTAATAAATCAAAAAAGAAAAATCATGAGCAATTCCAGAACTAATGAAAAGGTACTGAAGGAAATTAAACATCCATTCTTAATAAAAATATAAATATAATACAATGTATGGATATTTCATTAATATTAATACAGAATAAATATAGTCTGCATAGTGCAAAATGGAAGAAATGCTAGGAAAAACTGCATTGAATTTATGAATAAGATAAAGATGTCCACAATCACCATTATTATTTAGAACAAATATAGAAGTTCTAGCCAATACAATTATACAAGAAGAAAAATGAAATTAGAAAATTCAAAAAAAAAGAATAAACATTGTTTTCGTATATATTACATTATATTGCATATATATTATTTGTGTGTTTGTGTGTGTATATATATATATATACGTGTATATATATATATATAGTCTGTGTGTGTGTATCAACCAAAACTTTTAATAAAAAAATGACAATTCAAAATTTCAGTAATGTCGCTAGGTATTTCCAAGATGTTCTGTAAAATACATTCATAAAAAGTCTACTGTTACATACAGGCTTGTTTACATACAGGCTTATTTGATCATGGAAAGGACAAAAGAAGATAATTGAAATGTTAGGAAAAGTAAAATAGATAAAATTGTCATATAATTTAAAACATTGCTGTTTGGTTCTCAGAGTCAAAAAATAAACAAAGAAAACGAGATAAAAATATAACAATGTTACATAGAGAATTGATGTTATGTAATGGAATATTGAGTATACATTTAAAGGTCTTATTTTAAGACAACATTTTATAGATGGTATTTGATTTATCATGTTCTCCTGCCTTACCACAAATAAAATATATTAATATTCATCTGTATTGGAATATGATTATCTGTAACTCACTGAAAGTTTTTAATAGACGTTCCTTCAGTTATAAAAATAATGTATAAAATATATGAGAAACATAATTGGCTCAAATATTAAGAAAATAATTTCCATATTATTTTATGTAAACTTTTGATCTCAGAGTCTAAGATATGTGCCTAGTATTTAAATATGAAGAAAATAATTTATTTATTGGAAAGAGCACTTGAATATGGATTCTTGTCTTGCTTGTGCTAATGCTAATTACTTAGTGATATTTAGTATATTTATTTCTAATATTAAATATATGTTAAAGGATAAACAGAACAAAATGACATATGTTTCAGTTATCTAATTCTGTGCAACAAACCACCGCAATACTTAGTAGCTTTAGATAACAATCATCCATATTGTGACAAAACACAGTTTGGGTGGAGTTTGAAAGGAATGGTTTTTCTCTGATCCATGTAGCTTCCCATCAACTGGGGTGAACTGGGCTAGAAGACACCCTTCTAAGATGGCTTCTTCAAATGCCTAGCAAAGTTGTTGGCTGTTGTCTGGGAGCTCATCTGGGGCTGTGATTTGGGAAGGCTCAATTCCTCTCCATCAGGGCTTTTTGATGAAGATAATTGTTTCTTCACAGCATGGTGGCTGGTTTTCTATAGCGTCTTCCAATAGACCGAAGAAGAAGCTGCAATTTTTTTTTAACATAGCCTGAAAATTCATTGTGTCACTTCCACCACATTCTATTGATCAAACCAGTCACCGAGGCCAGCTCAGACTCCAGGGAAGGGGAATTAGATTTCACCTCTAAATAGGAAGTGAAGTAAGAATTTTTAGCAATCTTTGACCTACCATTATATAAATGCAAGTAATAATAATTTCTTAATGTAGTCTATATTTTTTGTGCATAAAGTGAACTTCAGGCAATCATTAGTTAGAATGATTATTTTTACTAAAAATGAATGCTAATATAAACATCCCTACTCGGTCATCAAAATGGTATAAAATATAATCACATTCTTATAGTTGTGAGGAATTGGCTAATACTTGATATTAACCTTAGGGATTATGTTATCCACATAAAAACGGCAGAAGTTTAAATGATAAGATTTATAGAATAAAAGAAAAAAGAGGCACATTTGTGATGTTGGGATTTTTGCCTTCTTTTGAATGGCCTTGAAAATTAAACTTTTCACACCTCAGGTGGGGGTTTTCCAGTGATTGAATATTCATGTAAAATTCCACAGCCTATCAGACAAATGTGGCAGTTTTCTGACTTCAAATGGTAGGATAATAATGATGAAATAGAAAATAATGGTATAAAATATAATCACATTCTTATGCTTAGAAGATGAAAATTACAATTTTATCATTATAGCAGTAATTCTCACTATCAACAAACACATCCTAGAATTATTCTCTGCTTGATAAAGGTTTTTGTATAACATATACTTACTAAGGAAAACACAAACTAGTAGCTTTTCAAAATACTCTGTAATTTTTTTCCATCATAAAGTATTAAATATCTGACCATATTTCATAAGCATGTCTAGTATATTATCTGTATAATTCTGTATATCAGAGTACTGTGGTACAAACATAATATATAGGTCAATGAGTCAGTGTCCCATGTTTGGTCTAGGTATATGAATTTAAATAAAGAATAAGTTTTCATCAAAAATCAAACTATAAAATTGCTACTGGCCATTTTAAAAATCTTACCTTCAATGTCCTCTTTCTCGTGATGTGCCCCTGCTTTACCTTTGATAAACCACATACCTAAATATTTTTTATACAAAATGCTAAAATGCTGATTCATGGTACTGTCAATTTATGATTTCCAACCTCAACCAGTGCTTTGGTATATGCAATTGATTTATATTTTAAAGCCCTATTCAACTCCCTTTCTTTACTATACACACAGTTATTTCAGAATGTCTGCCACTGTTCTCAATACTCTAACCCCACCCCATTTACTTTCAGCAGGCAAAAGATCTTTAACTGAGAAAAATAATTCACTAGTCCTAAATTTCTCTCCCCATTTTTGTCTATAGTTGAAAGTGTAGTCACTGGATAACTGGGGGGTCACTGAAATGTTTTCAGGAGTCTGTGAAGTCAGAATTGTTTTAATAATATTGAGGTATCCTTGTCCTTTTTACTGTGGCTATTTGCAGTGATGGTGGAAAAGCAATGGTGGGTAAAACTGATGGTGCCATAGTACAAATCATGGCAGTGGCACCAAAGTGTAATACTTGTCATTGAACCCTCATTGCTCTGTACTTCCAGTAAAAGAAAATAAAATGCCAGTTTAACTTAAGAACATCTTTGTCTTAGTCCATTCCTACTGCTATAACAAAATACCACAGATTGGGTTATTTACAAATGATAGAAATTTATTTCTCACAGTTCTGGAGGTAGGAAGTTCCAGACAAAAACACCAGTGAATTCAGTTATCTTGTGAGGATTGCTTTCTGATTCCAAGATTGCCAAGATGGCATCTTCTTGCTGTAGCCTCACTTGGAGGAAGTGGGCAAAAAGGGCACACCTGTGTCCTCACATGGGCGAAATGACTTGAGACCAGGGCACTCCAACCTCTTTCATAAAGTCAATAATCCCATTCATGAGACCTCTGCCTTCATGACTTGATCACCCCCTAAGGGCCCAACTCCTTACGTTGGAGATTAAGTTTCAACATATGAATTTAGGGGATAAATTCAGACCATTGAAGTATTTGATAAAGCCACAAAAACTTTTGATCTTATAAAATATTCTGAGATGATAATGGCAAATATGCATAAAGCATTTGTGCTGCCTATAAAATAAGGCATTTTTCTTGGGGAAAATTACTTTTATGATTGTTTGAGTTGGGAGTTGAACTAGCTACTTTTTAAAAATGGAGTACCATTTTCACTGGAAAGAACAACTGATAAAAAAGGAAGGTTATTTAGATAACTATTTGGCAGACATTTTCACAAAAATAAACGAAGTGGGCCTTTCACTTCCAGGAAATTCCTGGCAATACTTGTTTCCAATGAAAAAATGTGAGCTTTCAAGTGAATATTTGGAGTTTAGATCATGTATATTCTCCAATGTAAGATTGACAGTTTCTCTCTACTTACTTTTCTGATAGTTAATGTAAATAAATGCACTTATTTATTCATTTATATTTTTTAGTTTTAATTTTCATGGCAAATTTATTCCAAATTACATTGTAACTAGCAATGTCAAAGTTTACCAAATTCATCTCAATTATGTTGGTATTATTAGTAGTTATTCTTTTGCAAATTAGGTGTATCCATTCTTTTAAAATTTTTTTCAGCTTTTATTTTAGATACAGGGGGTACATGTATACGATTATTTCATGGTTATATTGATCCTAGGTAGTGAGCATAGTACCCAATAGGTAGTTTTTCAATCCATGACCCCCATCCTCTCTTCCTGTGTAGTAGTCTGTAGTGTCTATTGTTCCCCTGTTTATGTACATGTGTGTTCAGTGTTTAGCTTCTACTTTTAAGCGAAAACATGCAGTATTTGCTTTTCTGTCCCTGTGTCAATTTGCTTAGGATAATGGCTTTCAGCTCCATCCATGTTGCTATGAAGAATGTGATTTGATTTTTTATGGCCACGTAGTATTCCATGGTGTCTATATACCACATTTTATTTATCCAGTTCTTCACTGATGGGCACCTAGGTTGATTTCATGTAGTGGCTATTGGGAACATCATCGTAATGAACATAGGAGTGCATGTATCATTTTGGTATAATGATGTTTATTCCTTTGGGAATATACCTGGTAAAGGGATTGCTTGGTCAAAGGTTAGCTCTGTTTTAAGTTCTTTGAGAAATCTCCAAACTGCTTTCCACAGTGCCTGGACTAATTTACCTCCCCACCAAGAGCATAAGCATTCCCTCTTCTCCACAGCCTCAGCAGCATCTGTTGTCTTTTGACTTTCTAATAATAGCCATTCTGACTGGTGTGAGATGGTATCATTGTGGTTTCAGTTTGCATTTTCCTGAGGATTAGTGGTGATAAACATTTTTCATATGTTTGTCGATTGCTTGTGTGTCTTCTGAGAAGTGTCTGTTCATGCCTTTTGCCCCTTTTTAACGAGGTTATTTGTTTTTTGCTTTGTTGATTTGTTTAAGTTGCTTATAGATTCCGGATATTGTCTAATATCCAGAATATTGAATGAATGGTTTGTGAATGTTTTTCCCATTCTATAGATTGTCTGTTTACCCTGTTGATGGTTTCATTTACTGTGCAGAAGTTCCGTAGTTTAATTAGGTCTCACTGTAACTTTTGTTTTCGTTGCAATTGCTTTTTCAGATGTGGCCATAAATTTTATGCCAAGGCCAATGTTGCGAAGGGTATTGCCTAATTTTTTTTTCTTTTAGGAATTTATGGTCTTACATTTAAATCTTTAATCCATCATGAATTAATTTTTACATGTAGTGAAATGAAGGGGTCTAGTTTCAATCTTCTGCATATGGCTAGTCAGCTTTTCCAACACCATTTATTGAATAGAGAGTACTTTCCTGATTACTTGTTTTTGTCAGCCTTGTCAAAGATCAGATGGTTGTAGATGTTTGGCTTTATGTCTTAGTTTTTTATTCTGTTCAGTTGGTCTATATGTCTGTGTTTGTACCAATACCATGCTGTTTTGGTTACTGCATCCCTGTAGTATAGTTTGATATTGGGTACTGTGATGACTCTGGCTTCGTTCTTTGAGCTTAGAATTGTTTTGGCTGTTCGGCTCTTTTCTGGTTCCATACGAATTTTAGAATGTTTTTTTCTAGTTCTGTGAAGAATGACGTTGGTCGTTTAATAGGGATAATGTCAAATCTGTAAATTGTTTTGGGCCACATAGCCAATTTAATAATACTGATTCTTCCTGTCTATGAGCATGGATGTTTCCTCATTCATTTGTGTCATCTCTGATTTATTTCATCAGTGTTTTGTAGTTCTCCTTGTAGTGGTATTTCACCGCCTTGGTTAACTGTATTCCTAGGTATTTCATTTTCTTTGTGGCTACTGAAAATCGGGTTGTTCTTGATTTGCCTCTCAGCCTGGATGTTATTGGTGTACAGAAATGCTACTGATTTTTATATATTGATTTTGTATCCTGAAACCTTGCTAAAATCATTTATCAATTCTAGTGGCCTTTTGACAGTGTCTTTAGGGGTTTTTAAGTATAGAATCATATCATCAGCAAAGAGAGAGACTTTGACTTCTTTTTCTATTTAGATGCTTTTTCTTTCTTTTCTTGCTGATTGCTCATAGGACTGTACGTTGAATAGGAGTGGTGAGAGTGGGGAAACTTGCCTTGTTCTAGTTCTCAAGAAGAAGGGTTCCAGCTTTTGTCCATTCAGTATGATGTTGACTGTGGGTTGGTCATTGATGGTATGTTCCTCTAATGTTCCTTATTGTTATTTTGAGGTATGTTCCTTCAATGCCTAGCCTGTTCAGGATTTCTTATCATAAAATGGTGTTAGATTTTACTGAAAGCTTTTTATTCATCCATTGAGATTATCATATGGTTTCTGTTTTTAATTCTGTTTATGTGGTGCATCAGATTTATTTATTTATTTATTTACTCCAGGAATAAAGTCTGCTTGCTCATGGTGAATTAACTGTTGGATGTGCTGCTGGATTCAGTTTGTT
This sequence comes from Homo sapiens, assembly GCF_000001405.40. Lineage (NCBI taxonomy): Eukaryota > Metazoa > Chordata > Mammalia > Primates > Hominidae > Homo > Homo sapiens. The sequence goes on along the minus strand of NC_000014.9, from coordinate 48,674,567 downwards.
AGTATTTTATTGAGGATTTTTGAGTCTATGTTCATCAGGGATAGTGGCCTGAGGTTTTCACTGTTTGTCTTGTTGCCAGATTTTGGTATTAGGCTTTTTCTGACCTCATAGACTGAATTAGAGAGAAGTCCCTCCTCCTTGATTTTTTGGAATAGTTTCAGTAGGATCGATACCAGCTCTTTTTACTTCTGATAGATTTCAGCTATGAATACATATGATTGAGGACTTTTTTTGGTTGTTAGGGTTTTTTTTATTACTGATTCAATTTCAGAGCTTGATATTGGTCTATTCAGTTTTTCAATCTCCTCCTGATTCAATCTTGGGAGAGTGTGTGTGTGTGTATCTAGGAATTTATCCATTTCCTCTAGATTTTCTCATTTGTGTGCATAGAGCTGTTTATCATATTATCTGAGGATCTTTTGTATTTCTGTGGGATCAGTTATAATGCCATCTTTGTCATTTCTGATTATACTTATTTGAATCTTCTCTTTTTTAATTTGTTTAGCAGTCCATCTTATTTTTTCAAGGAACAAATTATTGGTTTCATTTACCTTTTGTCTGGGTTTTTGCATCTCAATTTCATTAAGTTATGTAATTTTAGTTATGTATTTTCTTCTGCTTGTTTTGGGATTTGTTCTTTTTAAAGTTAACATTAATCTGAGATCTTTCTAACTTCTTGATGAAAGTGTTTAGGGCTGTAAACTTTCCTGTTTTTACTGCTTTTGTTACATTCTGGAGATGTTATTTCCCAATTTTTATTAATTGCAAATAATTTTTTCATTTCTGCCTTAATTTATATGTTTACCCAGAAGTTGTTCAGGAGCAAGTTGTTTAACTTCCATGTATTTGTGTACTTTTGAGAGATCTTCTTGATATTGATTTCTATTTCTATCAATCTTCTTGATTTCTATTTCTATTGTACTGTGGTCCAATAATATACTTGATATGATTTAAATTTTTTAAAATTTATTAAGACTTGCTTTATGACCAAGAATGTGTTCAATCTTAGAATATGTTCCATATGCAGATTAAAAGAATGTATATTCTGTAGTTATTGGTTATGGTAGTCTGTAGATGTCTATTAGGTCTAATCAGTCAATTGTTGAGTTTTAAGTCCAGAGATCTTTGTTGGTTTTCTGCCTTGATAATCTGTCTAATGCTGTCAGTGGGGTGTTGAAGTCTCCCACCATTATTGCGTGGTTCTCGAAGTCTTTTCATAGGCTAAGTAGAACTTTTAAATGAATCTTGATGCTCTAATGTCGGGTGCATATATACTTAGGATAGTTAAGGCTTCTTGTTGGATTGTACCTTTTATTATTATGTAATACCACTCACTGTCCTTAAGGTTTTTGGTTTAAAGACTGTTTCATCTAATATAAGAAGAGTGATTCCTGTTTGTTTTCCATTTACATGGCTGATCTTTCTTCATCCCTTTACTTTGGGCGTATGGGTGTCATTACAGGTGAGATGGGTCTCTTGAAGACAACAGAGGGCTGTGTCTTGTATTTTTATCCAGACTACCACTCTGTTTTTTAAGTGGGGGCATTTTGCCCATTTTCATTCAAAGTCAGTATCCATGTGTGTGATTTTGATCTTGTCATCTTTTGTTTAGTTGGTTTTTCTGTAGGTTTTATTGTGAGTTGCTTTATAGTGCCTGTTGACAATGGACTATGTGTTTAAGTGTGTTTCTGCGATAGCAGGTATCATTCTGTTGAACTCTTTTAAGGCTAATTGAAACATATTCCATCAGCATTTGCTTGTCAGATGAGGATTTCATTTTCTCTTTCATTTATGAAGCTTCTTTGGCACGATATGAAATTTGTGGTTGGAAATTCTTTTCTTCATGAATGCTGAAAATTGTCCTCTAATCTCTTCTGGCTTGTAAGATTTCTGCTGAGAGGTCTGCAGCTGTCCTGATGGGATTCCCTTTGTATGTAACTTGACCTGTCTGTCTAGCTGCCTTTAAGATTTTTTCTTTTGCATTGACCTTGATGAATCTGATTACTAGGTGCCTTGGTGATAGTCACCTTGCATAGTATCTAGTCAAAGTTCTCTGTATTTCTTGAATTTGCATGTCAACCTCTCTGGTGAGATTAGAGAAATATTCATAGATTATATACTCAAGTATACTTTCCAAGTTGCTTATTCTCTCTCCTTTTACTTCAGAAATGCCAATGAATCATAGATTTGGTTTCTTTACATAATCTTATATTTCTTGGGGGTTTTGTTCATTTTTCCTAATTCATTTTTCTTTATTTTTGTCTGACTGAATTGATTTGAAGAACTGACCTTAAAACTCTGAGATTCATTCCTCATATTGGTCTATTCTACTGCTAATACTTCCGATTATATTATGAAATTCTTGTAGTGAGTTTTTCAGCTCTATAAGTTAAGTTTGATTCTTAAGGTGGCTTTTATCTTTCAGCTCTTGAATGGTTTTACTGGATTTCTTGTATTCCTTGGATTGGGTTTCAACTTTCTCCTGAATATTGCTGAGTTTCCTTGCCATCCAGATTCTGAATTCTATGTCTGTCATTTCAGACAGGTTCAGACCATTGCTGGGGAGCTGGTGGACTCATTTGGAAGTAAGGCAACACTGGCTTTTTGGATTGGCAGAGTTCTTTTGCTGGTTCTTTCTTATCTGGGAAGATTGGTGTTCCTTTAACTGTGGTGTAAGTGAGTGTAGTCAGTTGGCTTTCTTTCTGGATGCTTTCAGAGGGCCAAGGCTCTGTATAGGATCTTTATGTGTGGGTGAATTTTTGCACCTGTTTTCAAAGCTGTGTATATTACAGGGATACATTTTTGGTGTTATACTTTAGGTTGCAATTCAGTTGGTGGTGCTTAAGATTTATGGCCACTAGCTAGATTAATACCCAGTCACATGGCTCTTTTGTACTTCCTTGCATTTGCAGACTTCTGCAGCTCTGAAGTGGTGGAGGAAGGGAGATACTCCTCACCCCATGCCAGGTCTACTCTTGGACTTTGGGGGAGCCCCTCTGATCACTGGGAATGCACTTACATTTCTTTTGTTAGGTGTTCTAGCCCACAGAGGCCTCTCAGGCAAAGACTGCAGCAGGGAGATATGCCACACTCTCTCTGGACCAGCCCTGTGGAGGGAGGCATGCCCCACTCCCACCCCTGTCCAGGAACCCATGTGTCTCATTCTTCTCAGTTCTCTGAGGGTGGGGCCTCCTCCTCTTCTTGAGTGCAGGCCATAGATTTTGGTGATCTACAGCTGAGCTACATGCTGAAGCCCTGAGGACACTGAAATGTCCTGGTTCAGGTTTGGGTTCCAGCTGTGCTGGTGGATCCAGGTGCTCCTGGGTCACTGTAAAAGTGCCCGCAATACACTCAGGCTGAGCTGTGGGGGCTGGGCTGTGCACATGCTCCTGCAGGGCGGCTAGGCAGGAACCCTGGGAGGGGTCAGCAGGCATGAGAACTTGCAGAGCAGATGTGCCCCAGTCCCGTAGGGAAGGTGGCCCTGATCTCTCCTGGCTTGGAGGTCAACTGCAGCCTCTGCTTCCTGGAGGTGGGTGGGAAGCCCTGGAGGATGCACGTCTATGGCTGCTCTTAGCTGAAGCTGTCCAGCACACAAAAGCTCCTGGGCTCTGTGCTGTCCAAGACTCCATGGAAAGATCCCCCTGCCAGCATACATGTTTGTAGGGATGGGGAACATGGGGTCCCCTGTAGCTAGGATCCTAGAAATATGCAGGGAGATTGAGCCATCCCTTTGTTCCCTCACTCACCACTCTCCCAGGAGTCATTTAGGACTAGGACCTAGCCTTGGCATTCAGGTGCCCAGCACAGGGTTCCCAGCTTCCTCCCTCTTCACCCTTGACTTCAATGTTGCCCATTTTTTTACTCTCAGCAAGATCTTCTCTTGGAATATCTGCCCAAATTACAGTAGTTTACTCAATAATTTTGTTGACCATCTTATCCCCTTCCATATTTATTTTTATGTTGTATAATGAGTCAATAGTTTTCAAATATGTTATGTTACCAAATCACAAATGGGTAAAATGTTTCATTTAGGGTACACAAAAACTGATACACTTAATATGAAAGACTATGAAAAGCTCACTGATAATGTTTTCACCCTCCAATTAATCTTTCAGAAATTACCACTGATGAATTTTAATGATGTATTAAAGAAGACCCTCCACCAGTATCTGAAAAGATTATTAAACTACTCCTCTGAGTAAGGCTATGTTTTCTGCGTGTACTTGAAGAGCATATAACACCAGATAGATGAATATGTGCAAGATACTTTGTCATACTCTTGGAATACAGTATTAATCCAGATAAGATACCTCCTGTCACTGAACATAGAAAAGTGTTCCTTGCTGTGTCTCAGGTCTGGGACAAATAGGTATCTCATGATTATTGATTTAGTTTTATAAATAGTTTTATTCTCTGACTACACATTCTCAGCTGATTTTTCTGATTTCTCTTTCACAATTTTCTACTTTCCCCTTCAAAAGCTTGTATTCTTTATGGTACTAATTCTTATTCCTTGCTATACTTTCTTTCTGCGTACCTGTTCATTTGACTATATTCACCTGACCCTCAAATACATATCGTTAATTTTGGATGCTGTTGTAAGTGTCAAGATCTTCAAACTTTAATTTCTAATTACCTGCTTCACTTTTCTGCCTAGGAATACCAATAACCCTTCAAAACTAACATATGCCCCCCAAATTAAGGGCGGGCATGATGGCTCACAGCTATAATCCCAGCACTTAGGGAGGCCAAGGCAGGAGGATTGCTTGAAGCCAGGAGTTTAAAACCAGCTTGGTCAATATAGCAAGACCCCCATCTCTACAAAATAAAAAGAAATAAAAAGCCACCTGGGAGGCTGAGGCAGGGGGATTGTTTGAACCCAGGAGGTGGAGGCTGAAGTGAGCTCTGATCATGCCATTGCACTCCAACACATACATACGTACATACATACGTACATACATACATATATACATACATAACAAATTCAGTCCTCTATCCCTACTCCTTCTTCTTTATGCTAAAGCTATCTTTTCTAGTAGAAAGTTCTTCTGGGTAAATTATCCAGTTGTAATACATCAGCATATCACAGTCATTATTTTTTCACATCAAAATTGATCCATCTGATTTGCGTATGTATATATATGTGTGTGTGTATATATATAGCATATAAAATATGTGATTTTATCTTATTGCTATTTTACTTTATAATGTTTTATTTATCATCCTGCTTTAATTCTCTAGCATGCTTTTATTTTTAAAACAACATTTCCTTTAGGTGAATTTCATATAACATTACCTCTTTAAAGTTAACAGTTCAGTAGCATTTAGTACATTAATGATGTTGTGCAAGGACCACCTCTGTTTAGTTTAAAATATTGTATCAAGCCCAAAAGAAAACTTCATATCAATTAAACAGTTACTTTCTATTCCCTCCTCCTCCCAATCCCAGGCAACCACTAATCTGTCTTTTGTCTCTATGGGTTTGTATGTTCTAGATATTTCATAAAAATATGAAATTGCTTCTTTCACTTACATAGTACTTTTTAAGTTAATGGACATAGTAGCATGTATCCGTATTTCATGTTTTATTCCTTTTTAAAGTACTCTTTTTGATAAAATACACATGTGTGAAAAAACTTCAGAAACCTCAGTATGTAGAAATCTTCAAAGTAGCCTCAGGATTTGGATAAGTTTCCACACTTAAAATGGTAAAAAAGCAAACACAATCCCACATAAAATGGACAACTTAGTAATCTTAAGAAATACCTTAGGAGAAGATGCCCTGGTAAGTGCTGTCATTGGAGACATGGGAGATATCAAGTCCAATCAAAAGGATCAGAGTGTATCCCCAGACTGAAGAAAGATGAAAGTCACTCAATTGTGTTGTAATCTTGTTTTCAGAAGTAATGATGTGGTAAGCATTAACGGATAACAGAAAAGTAGATAGAATTTGTAAGTATTTAGGAAGCACAGCCCAAAATAAAAGAGAAACTGTGTCTGGCAGACACAGATATTTAAATCACAAGGGACATCTATTTTGTTGTGAAGAAGAGATAGTTCATCAGGTTTCTGTGCAGACAGGATGAAATATCACTCAAGACAATCTAATTCTCTTTGCTCTGATTCAATGCTCATCAAGAGACTTTGAGGTTATTTGCTTAGAAGTTCTGTACTGGTAAGAACTCCTGTGGATAATGGACATGAGTATTCGTGTTTGGAAATAAACACACTGGCATTCTGGTGTACAATAAGCCTGTTTTGCGTTAATCAGTCTGTAGCACCTAGCACATTACCTAACACAAACCATACTCAGAAAAGATGAGTTGAATGAACTAATAAGTGGGCAAAGCATCTATAATACTGTGTTGTACTTAAGCTTGATGTGGACAGGATAAGCTGAAAAAACTATATACTTTATTCATAATTTTGTCATCTTTTCCAATGTAAATCATTTGGAAATTTGGATTATTAGGATGTTTAATTATGCATTACTGGGGAGAAAAGAATAAATGAATTAACAAGTGGCCTAGAGTAATTAGAATAAAGAAGTAATTTAGGTTGGAAAATTAATATTATTAATATAGATTTTAATATGGCAAACATTCAGTGGAAATCAGGGTGATTTTTCTTTTTTTTACCAAATATTACTATTCAGAGACAGGATATTCAAAAATATTGTTCAGCAGACATATTCCTAAGAATTGCTCAGGCACTCAATGTATATAAGGACTCTTAAGATTCCACTCTGCAAAATACTTTCCACTTGGAGAAATTGCTGATATAATTAACTCTGGAAAGCATGAGATCCCTGTAGGCTTCCTTTTTGGTAAGAAATCTCAGGGATAATTGCAAGAGCCATTTTTAATAAGTTAGAGTTAGATTGCTGATTAGTTTGTTTTTTTTTCTCAAGGTTACATTTTTATAATTTTTTACTTGAAGACATTTCTGCTGTAGTATATTAATGTTACAACTTGCTCAGAATTCAGCAGGTTCTGCCTTCCAAGGGAACTAGCTGCTTTAGTATATTCTTCCTATTACTAGTTCTTCCTATTGTGGTGGACCTGTTCTAAATAAGTATGCATTTATTGAAAGTCTTCTTTTTCTTTTATCTTTGTAGTGATTTTCAGTAAAAAGTGCTATTATATCAAGAGTTGGTGAAAATAGTTTCTTTATCATATTGCCTGGTGAGGGCTATGGCAGTTTTGAGGATTATTTTATCTGAGTGTCTTAATTACAATGAATGCTGCTTAGAGTGAATCCAGGGGAATTGGGGGAGGGGGAAGGGGGGGAATGGTTAAGCACAGCATTTTGTATCTATGCAAAGTACTTGATTGCATCCTCCAACATCCAACCAGTACTCCAAAGTGTAACTCCAAAAAGAGGCTGACAACTGTATCTTGATACATTCTCATGTTTCATTTTCTAACAAACAAAATGATCTTAGATTTTGTTGACATCCGAAATGCTAAAGAGAATTTTCCTCAAAGTACGTTAAAAAATGTCGCATTAATAGCTTAAAAATAATCAAGTTAGAGTTGACTAAAGCCAACAATTCTATTACCTATTTTAATGTGAGAAGATTTTTTTCAGAAGTATGAAAATGTTAAGGCAAATATAAAATTTCTTGGAAGAAAGACATGATTGTCTTCTCCTCAATTATATATGTAATCTTCTACTGAATTTAGTTTGTTCATTATCCTGGTTATTAGGTGCATTATTCCTGTGTTCCCCTAGGACAATCAAGCAGGAAGATTGTCTCTGGTTCCTGCTTGAAGAGAATGGTTCAGACTGCTGTATTCCAGAGGGCTGGGGTGGTTTCTAAAACGTAGAAATGTTGAAGTTTAACATTGAAATTATAATCACCTTTAAGTGATTTGATGAATTGAGAAACACATTAAGACTGAGGACTGCTGTATACATTTAATGTCTTTCTTGAGTGTTCTATATCCATTTATTTTTATAAGATGTTTTCAAAAATTTGGTTCATATAATTACATGTTAGTATATATATATTTGTTTTATATATATTATATATACATATACATATATATGTGTGTATATATATATATATATATATATACACCAAATTAAAATTTGGTGCATATAATTACATGTTAGTATATATATATTTGTTTATATATATATAATATATATACATATACATATATATGTGTGTGTATATATAATATATATACATATACATATATATGTGTGTGTGTATATATATATACACACACACATATATTTGTTTTTAAGCTCAGCCAGAATCTCTTTGCTTCCAATGGTTAGAAAAAAATTATCAGTGTTTTTTTAATGCTTACATTAGCTTGAGTTACTGACACTTGAACCAAAATATACTTGTAACAAATCAAGCAGAAAACTGTTTATTGGACACAATTCTGTTTATCTAGTCAACAAACTTTTCTAGATCATCTACCATGAGCCAGATCATAGGAGAACAGACACACAAATACCCTAACTTTCTAGGTTTTAGTCTTGCAGTGCAGACACATAAAAGGTTGATGCCACAGAAGGATGGACCTGGGAAGGTCTGGGCAGTCCTCATAGAGGAGGAAATGTTGGAGAAGACATTTGAAAGAAGGTGGACACCTACCAAGGAGACAAGGAAATGAGAACTGTTTCAGATGTGTATAGAGGGTGGGATGGAGGAAAGGGAGGAATAGAAGAGCCTATGGAAGCTTGAAAAAAACAAAATGTGTTCAGAGATATGAAAGCCTTTGGGAAGAACAGTAGTGCAGAGTTCACATTTAAGGTGAGAAGGAAAAGAAAACAGGGGCAAAGAGTTATAGAGTAGAGGGTTTTATAGTCTGTGTAATTGACTTGAGACTTTAGGTTTTGGGAGATGAGCAAATGCTACAATGTTTTAAGTAGGCAGTTTGTATGTTTTTTTTTTAAAAAATGTCATTCCCTAGGCATGTGAAGTATGAATTAGTGTAGAAAACCAGGAAGCAGAGAGATTAGCGAGGAAGCTACTGATACTGTCTGGGTAAGAGATGATGAATTAAGTACAGGAGTAGTATGGAGGAAGGGGAAGGTAAAATCAAGATGATATGGTTAGCTCAAACTAAGTACTATGTTAAATACAAAATGCTTTCTGCTCTAAGGAGATTATAAATTACTATATATTGTCAGGAGATGGGATAAAACTGATAGATTTTACAAAATGACTAAATGTGTTGTTAACACAATTTTATAAAAATATGTACAATGACTGTTTTGTAATATGAATACTTCAGCTATTAGTACATCTATACACTGACAATATGACTCAGGCTACAAAAATACTTCTAGAATTTTCTAGTCTTCCCTTTGTTTTGTACTTTTTCCCATCTCGTTCTACTCTAGAAATGAAAAGTATAGCATCACCTTCTTGAGAAAACAATAACATAGGATAATTAAAGGAAGGGTGTGACCTGGAAGAAACGTTAAAGATAATTTTTTAGTAGTTAGCATAAGTACAGGTATAATGAGTGGTAGGAACTGATGTAGTGTGTAAAAGGGGCAGGGAGAAGTATTATTTGATTGAAGAATAGGAGTTTGTGTGAATGCAGCTAAGTTTGACTAGGTAGTAAGGGGCCTATTACATACTGTGGAAGATCATGAATGACTAGCTCAGGAATTTACACATTACTTAACAGACTCATATTTTAAATTAATAGGCTACACTACGATGTGGTGACTATTCCATTACAATCAAATTTATTTTTCTTGCATCCTCAGGGCTTCTAATTTCAAAAAAGTTGAACACAACTATATATTATTGTTTTAAAGTCAGGTGAATGGATACCTTGTGATATCTTTCTAACTTTCCTTTTCTACTTCCTTAATTTTTGTTTTAAAAGAAAATGACACACTGGAGTGTTATTGTAACACTTTGCATTAGTCAATAATTTAATAAAAATATATTCATTAACAATGAGTAAAATATATTTAAATATACGAATGTATGGTACCTCTTGAATTGTTTATTTTCAGAGTACAGGCACAAGTTGCATTTCTTTATTTTATTCTCCTATTTTTTATGTTTGTTTTTCAAACAAAATATAATTTTACTAAAAAGATTTTGGGAGAATGAGGAAAATTTTACTGCACACAGAGAGATTTATATATTTTATATATTATGTAATAACCATAAAACAAGACCAGTGTAGAAATTATATAGAATGGCCAAAAACCAAAATTTAAAAATTCCAGCTTTGTCCATTTATTTATAACATCACCTTTTTCAGTTTTATTGAGGTAAAATTGACAAATTAAAATCATCAAGGTGTACAACATGTTTTGATATCAATATACATTGAGAAATGATTACCACAATCAATATACCTTGCGAAATGATTACCACAAACAATCAGGCTAATTAACATATCCATCACTTCATATAATTACCTTTTTAATGAATGGTAAGAATCCTTAAGATCTTCTCTCTTAGCAAATTTCAAATAGACAATACATTATTATTAACTATAGTCACCATGCTATATATTTTAAATCTCTAGAAATTCTTCTACTCATAACTGAAAGTTTGTACCCTCTGACCAATATTTCCCCCTCCCTACCCCACTCCTGGTAACCACCCTTCTGTTCTCTGTTGCTGTGAGTTTGACTTTTTTAGATTCCATATATAAGTGAGATCATGTGGTATTTGTCTTTCTGTGTCGGACTTATTTTACTTAGCATCTAATCATCTAGCTTCGTCCATATTCTCACAAATCGCAGGATTTACTTCTTATTTTTAAGGCTGAATAATAGTTTTTGTGTATACATATTTATGCATTTATATCACATTTTCTTTATCCATTTATTCATTAATGGATTGATTTCATATCTTGGCTATCGTGAATAATACTGCAGTCAACAAAAGAGTGCAGATATCTCTTCAACATACTGATCTCATTTCCTTCAGATATGTACTCAGTTGTGGGACTGCTGGATCATATGGTAGTTCAATTTTCATTTTTTCAAGGAAATTATGTGCCGTTTTCTATTATGGCTATACTAATTTACATTCACACCAATAGTGTGCAAACTTTTCCTTTCCTCCACATCCTTACCAACACTAGGTATCTTTTGTGTTTTCGGTACTAGCTATACTAACAGGTAATAAACTCAATTTGTATTTCCCTGATGAGTAATCACTTGAGTATCTTTTCACATATCTGTTGGCTGTTTGTATGTCCTCTTTGGACAAATGTCCAAAATGTCCAGGTCCTTTGCCCATTTTTAAACCAAGTTTCTTGTTTGCTTGCTATTGAATAATAGAATTTCCATGTTTATTTTGGGTATTAACTTAACAGATATATGATTTGCAAATATTTTTCTCTAACTTAAGCGTTGCCTTTCTATTTTGTTTATTGTTTCTTTTTCACTGTGCAAAAACTTTTTATTTGGTTTTATGTATTTGCACTTGTTTATCTTTGCTTTTGTTGCCTGTGCTTTTGGTGTCATATCCAAGAAATCATTGCCAAGGTCAATGTTATGGAACATTTTCCATAGGTTTTCTTCTAGTAGTTTTACAGCATTAGGCCTTACATTTAAGTCTTTAATCGCTTTTGAGTTTATATTTGTATATGATGTGAAATAAGGGTCCAATTTCATTCTTCTGCATATGGATATGCAGTTGTCCCAACACCATTTATTGAAGAGATTGTACTTTCTTCATTGTATGTTTTTGGCAACTTTGTTGCAAATCAACTAAGCATAAATACGTGAACTTATTTCTAGGCTCTCTTCTGTTTCATTGTTCAATGTATCTGTTTTTATGCTAGTGCCATGCTATTTTGATTACTGGAGCTTTGTAGTATATTTTGCAATCAGGATATGTGACACTTTCACTTTGTTCTTGTTGCTAAAGATTACTTTGGTTATTCAGGGCCTTCTGTGGCTCCATATAGATTTTTCTTATTTTATTTTTAAGAAAAATGCCATTAGATTTCTTAGAAGGGTTGCATTGAATCTGTAGATTGCTTTAGGCAGTGTGGGCCTTTTGATAATATTGATTCTTCTGGTCCATGAACTTGAGATACCTTCTCATTTATTTGTGTTTTCTTCAATTTCTTTTTTCAATGTTTTATAATTTCTAGTGTACAGATCCTTCATTTTGGTTACATTTGCTTCTAAGTATTTTATTCTTTTTGATGCTGTTGTGCATAAGATTGTTTTCTTAATTTCTTTTTCAAATAACTCAGTGTATAGAAATACAACTGATATTTGCATGTTTTTTAAATCTTAGCACTTTGCTGAATTATTTATTAGTTCTAAAAGTTTTTTGGTGGAATCTTTATGGTTTCTAGATATAAAATTATGTCATCTGCAAAGAGGGACAATTTTCTTCTTTCCAATTTGATTCCTTTTGTTTTTTTCTCTTGTCTAATGGCTCTGAGCACAACTTCCAATGCGATGTTTAACAGAAACAGTGAGAATGGGCATCTTTGTCTTATTCTCAATCTTAGAGGAAAAGCTTGCAGTTTTTCACCATTGAGTATGATGTTAGCAATGGGCTTGTGCTCTTTATATGGTCTTTATATGGTTTATTGCATATGATGAGGTAGAATCCTTCTATACATAATTTGTAAGAAATTTTATCATGAAATGATGTTGAATTTTGTCAAATGCTTTTTCTATGTCTACCGTGATGACCATATTATTTTTGTCCTTCATTCTGTCAGTGTGGTGTATCACATTTATTGATTTGCATATGTTGAACCATCCTTGCATGTAAGAGATAAATCCTGTTTTATCTATATGTATGTATTCTAAATGTTTTCTCCTCATCTTGAGCTTGCTTATTTTCTTAATGATGTCTTTTGATAAATAGAAGTTGTGTTTAACTTTGAAAAAGAATACTTAAAAATAATTTTATGGCTGATACTTTCTATATACTGTCTAAGAAATATTTTTCTTAGGTCCCAGGGATATACTTCAACTTTTTCCTTACACTTTATACCTTTGTGTTTAAGTTTAGGTCTGTGATTATCTTTAAATATTTTTTTCATATGTTGTAATATTTTAGTCAAATTACCTTTAATGCAATTATTAATATGTTTAGATTTGCTTCTGTCAGTTCACAGACTTTTTATTGGTCTCATTGTTATAAAATTGTTTCTTTATCCTGACTTTTTTGACTTAATAAAACAATTTCATTATATATTTTAATTCCTCTATTAGTTTTCAAACTATGACTTTACATTATTGTTAGTGGTTTCTGTAGTTATTATGGTATACATGCTCAATTTATCAGTCTACTTACAATTAATATGGTATCATTTCGTGTAAGACTTAAAAAGCTCGAATGGGATAGTTTCATATCTCTTCCCTCATCTTTTGTGCTATTATAAGTACAAATCATCTATATAATTTATGAAACCTCTAATAAATAATATTAATTTTTGATTTAAAGTTTTTAGGTTATTTTAAGAAATTAAGGCAGGAAAAAATGTTTTCTGTTTAGCTACCTGTGTAACATTGATGGCTCTTTTCATTCCTTCCTATAGACCCAAGTTTTATTATATGTTTCATTTTGAAGGACCTGTTTTTAAGATACAGAATTCTAGATAGATACTTTTTCCTTCAACACTTGTTTCATTAGCTATTGCTGATCATTATTTCTGATGAAATTTCCATGTTTCTGCATATTATTATTTGCCTCTTGCTGCTGCCTCTAGCTACATTCATGATTTTTTCTTCACATTTATAAAGTTTTCAGCAACTTAATTATGATGCGTTTAGAAGTTGCTTTTTTTTCCTATTTGTTTTGCTTGAGTTTCAATGATATTTTTGATTCTTCAAGTATATACTTAAAAATGTATTTAGGATTGTTTCCTGCTATTACAATATTAAATACTTTCATTTCTGCCCAATCTTTTTTATTACTCATACTGGAACACACACACTCTCTCTCTCTCTCTCTCTCTATATATATATATATATATCTCTATATATATATATAGATATATAATGTTTTCTTAATTTCTTTTTCGAATAACTCTTTGTTAGTGTATAGAAATAGAACTGATATTTGCATGTTGTACTTAAAAATGTATTTAGGATTGTTTCCTGCTATTACAATATTAAATAATTTCATTTCTGCCCAATCTTTTTTATTACTCATACTGGAAGACACACACACACTCTCTCTCTCTTTCTGTCTCTCTCTCTCACTATATATAAAATGTTTTCTTAATTTCTTTTTCGAATAACTCTTTGTTAGTGTATAGAAATAGAACTGATATTCATATCCTTCACCCACTTTTTGATGGGGTTTTTTTTGCTTGTAAATTTGTTTGAGTTCATTGTAGATTCTGGATATTAGCCCTTTGTCAGATGAGTAGGTTGCGAAAATTTTCTCCCATTTTGTAGGTTGCCTGTTCACTCTGATGGTAGTTTCTTTTGCTGTGCAGAAGCTCTTTAGTTTAATTAGATCCCATTTGTCAATTTTGGCTTTTGTTGCCATTGCTTTTGGTGTTTTAGACATGAAGTCTTTTCCCATGCCTATGTCCTGAATGGTAATGCCTAGGTTTTCTTCTAGGGTTTTAATGGTTTTAGGTCTAACGTTTAGGTCTTTAATCCACCTTGAATTGATTTTTCTATAAAGTGTAAGGAAGGGATCCAGTTTCAGCTTTCTACATATGGCTAGCCAGTTTTCCCAGCACCATTTATTAAACAGGGAATCCGTTCCCCATTTCTTGTTTTTCTCAGGTTTGTCAAAGATCAGATAGTTGTAGATGTGCGGCATTATTTCTGAGGGCTCTGTTCTGTTCCATTGATCTATATCTCTGTTTTGGTAGCAGTACCATGCTGTTTTGGTTACTGTAGCCTTGTAGTATAGTTTGAAGTCAGGTAGTGTGATGCCTCCAGCTTTGTTCTTTTGGCTTAGGATTGACTTGGCAATGCGGGCTCTTTTTTGGTTCCATATGAACTTTAAAGTAGTTTTTTCCAATTCTGTGAAGAAAGGCATTGGTAGCTTGATGGCGATGGCATTGAATCTGTAAATTACCTTGGGCAGTATGGCCATTTTCACAATATTGCTTCTTCCTACCCACGAGCATGGAATGTTCTTCCATTTGTTTGTATCCTCTTTTATTTCCCTGAGCAGTGGTTTGTAGTTCTCCTTGAAGAGGTCCTTCACATCCCTTGTAAGTTGGATTCCTAGGTATTTTATTCTCTTTGAAGCAATTGTGAATGGGAGTTCACTCATGATTTGGCTCTCTGTTTGTCTGTTGTTGGTGTATAAGAATGCTTGTGATTTTTGTACATTGATTTTGTATCCTCAACAGACACTTCTCAAAAGAAGACATTTATGCAGCCAAAAAACACATGAAAAAATGCTCATCATCACTGGCCATCAGAGAAATGCAAATCAAAACCACAATGAGATACCATCTCACACCAGTTAGAATGGCAATCATTAAAAAGTCAGGAAACAACAGGTGCTGGAGAGGATGTGGAGAAATAGGAACACTTTTACACTGTTGGTGGGACTGTAAACTAGTTCAACCATTATGGAAGTCAGTGTGGCGATTCCTCAGGGATCTAGAACTAGAAATACCATTTGACCCAGCCATCCCATTACTGGGTATATACCCAAAGGACTATAAATCATGCTGCTATAAAGACATATGCGCACATATGTTTATTGCGGCAAAGACTTGGAAGCAACCCAGATGTCCAACAGTGATAGACTGGATTAAGAAAATGTGGCACATATACACCATGGAATACTATGCATCCATAAAAAATGATGAGTTCATGTCCTTTGTAGGGACATGGATGAAATTGGAAATCATCATTCTCAGTAAACTATCGCAAGAACAAAAAACCAAACACCGCATATTCTCACTCATAGGTGGGAATTGAACAATGAGATCACATGGACACAGGAAGGGGAACATCACACTCTGGGGACTGTTGTGGGGTGGGGGGAGGGGGGAGGGATAGCATCGGGAGATATACCTAATGCTAGATGACGAGTTAGTGGGTGCAGCGCACCAGCATGGCACATGTATACATACGTAACTAACCCGCACATTGTGCACATGTACCCTAAAACTTAAAGTATAATAATTAAAAAAAAGAAATAGAACTGATATTTGCATGTTGTTTTTTCATGTATATGAAAAAACATATATATGAAAAACACAGTTTTATTTGCATACATACATATGTATGTATATATTCTAGCCTCCTTTACATCATCCCTCAGGTCATTGAGGCTCTCTTTTTTATATTCAATCCCTTTTTTCTCTGTTTTTCAGACTTGATAATTTCTGCTGGTCTTTTTAAGTTTACTGACTGATTCATCTGCTGTTAAGGCCATCTAGTAAACTTTGTGTTTAATTTGTTTTATTCTATTTCTCATTTCTAAATTCCTATTTGTTTTTTTTCATAGTTAATCTTTGCCTACTGATATTTCCAGTATCTTTCTGCATTATGACCATATTTTCTTTAAATCACTGAACATATTTTAAATAGGTGTTTACAATGCTTGGCTGCTAATTCTAACATAAGTTATTTTAGTTTTGGCTCAATTAAACTGCTTTTTCTCCTGATTATATGTCACATTCCCTGTTTCTATTTTTATTTTTTTTTGTTTAAATTTTAAAAATTACATCCTGGCCGTTGTCGGTAGTATATTACAGAGTTCTATTATAGTATAAATCTGATGATAATTTATTTTTGTTCTAGCAGGCAGATAGCTTAGCTGGACTGAAACTCTAAACACTGTTTCCCTGATGTGATTAGCAGTCTAAACATTTATTTGTTTCCCTTAGTCTACCAGCTACCTCTTTTCTTGGAGTCTCTTGCGTGTATACACAGTTAAGAGGTAAATGAAGGACCAGGGCATTTAAAGATGGATTAGCATGTACTTCCTTCTTTACATTTCTTCATGTGTGAATTCTGGTGTTTTGGGGCCACTGGTCAGTTTCTACCAGCTCTGGTACCATTAAATTCTAATTTCTAACTCCTAATTTATCAGTATAGTGAGAATGGGGCTTTCTGCTTGGGTTCCAGTTTGCATCATACACTTTTAGTAAAGATTAGGGCATGTTTCAAGGGAAAAATTAAAAATAAAAAAACAAAATGACAACAACAAAAACTCCACATAAAGGGAAATATCACCAAGTGCAGTTTGCCTCTTTTAAAATTTGACTCCCCTGCAGCCTCTGCCTGTCTTTTGTCATTATACAGTACTTTTAAATGCAATTAGTTATTCTGTAAGAGAACATCTGTGTTCCTAAAAATCATCATAATATGCAAAGCAATGCAATTAAAACAATAGGGTTTATAGAAAGAAATTGGGTTAAGATCACAGCACTTAAAAAGTTTACCAGTGATACATAAAAAACAGTATTCAGTATTTGTAAAAATTGTAACCCAGTTTGGCGTATGTTAAATGATTAAATGTATCTTTTCTTGCAAAATATTTGGAATTTATTTATGGAAGTGGGTATTGGAAAGCTTGCAGTTTGAGAATTATTGTGAAGTGGTAGAGGGATTGCTATCTCAAATCTGGAAGTCATAATACCAGGTATAGATGGGTGTGGGCAATAATACATGGGAACTGAGGTAACGTGTAGATATGAAGTATGTCTGTATGTGTGCATATACATTTTGTGTGTTCCTATGGAACTAGGTTCAGATGAGTTAAGTTTTCTGTATTCATCTAAGGTTTTTACACATGAAATTGAACAAGCAAATGTGAAATTTAAATTATGTTCCAATTATTTCCTAGTATATCAATTACTTTGGAACAAATTTGCAGTTTCAAAATAAACATTATATCAGAACTGATAGTTTTGTAAAAATATTTATACCAGTTTACAATTGTTATTTGTAGGATAATTCTTCTAAAATAAGCAACTTTGTCATTACTGAAAAAAGAACCTCCATGTTTTCATTTTGAAGTTTATGTGTACTTTTTATGTGTCTGGTATCTGTCACATAGCATTGTTTGCAAAATTTGTTAGTGCTTTGCATTAGAAGTATTTTATTAATTTCTTATTTCCTTATAATATTCCATTTTATAAATGTACCATTTGATGGACATTTTGGTTGCTTCCAGGTTTTTTGCTATTTTGACTACAGCTGCTCTGAATATTCTTTGCAGATATATTTTGAACTGCATGTGTAAGAGTTGGTGGGTCATCGTAGATATGTATATTTATCTGTTGTATATAATGACAAATAGTTTTTCAAATGAATTATAACAATTCATTTTCATGAGAATTGTATAAGGTTTCCACTTGCCCCAAATCCTCACTAATACTTACTATTTATAGTCCTTTAAATTTGAGTACTTTCTGGAATTTTGGCCTAAGCTGTGAACCAATGTTTCTATTTGGTGTAGGAGGTTAGTTTTAAAATGTCATTGTAATGATTTTTCAGAAAAATATATTTGTTAATTAAGAGTAATTCAATAAATGAAATAATAGTGATTAAAAATAAGTTTTAAAATGATTATATGCTGCCTCAGAGAATCTCTAAATTTTAAATTAATAAGTTTTGATGACTCCATAATTCAGATTAAATGACCACTCCCTAAATTAATTTAACAAATAACTTTGAACCCATTAGATATTTTCTACAGAAGAATAAAATTTCAGTAACTTTAGACAACAGTTATCAAGTGGTTATAATTCATTAAATGAAAGAAGTTCCCAGCAATTCTTCTAGGTATAAAGGCATAGCAGTCTGGAAATAAAATTGCAGCATGAAATTTATTCTAGTTTTTATCCCAAATCCATACATACCCTGAATTATGATTGTTTAAAATAGTTATTAAATCTAATATGATACTGGGACATGTGCTGGTAAGTAGAAAAATATTTCGGAGGAACAGGTGCACTGTGCGAGTAGCTATTTAGAACTTATTTCTGTTTCTTTTCTTTATTTTTTCCAGACAGTCTTTCTGTAGCCCAGGCTAGAGTACAGTGGCGCAATCTCGGGTCACTGCAAATTCTGCCTCCCGAGGTCAAGCAATTCTCCTGCCTCAGCCTCCTGAGTAGCAGGGATTACAGGCACCCACCACCACACCCGGCTAATTTTTTATATTTTTAGTAGAAATAGGGTTTCACCATGTTGCCCAGGCTACTCTCGAACTCCCGACCTCAAGTGATTCACCTGCCTGGGCCTCCCAAAGTGTTGGGATTACAGGCGTGAGCCACCATGCCTGGCCTTAGATTTTATTTCTGATCTGTATGAACAAAACCTATTAGTAGCTAAAGGCCTAAAATTATATAGCATACCTGATGCTGGAGAGAGGAAGAAATAGGTAAGATTTGCAACTTGTTTACAAGGAATTCCGTGGAAGAATTTACTTAGTTTCCCAAGGTCATTGAAGTAAACAGGAAACAGGTACAGTCAACTTTTAATTATAAGGAATCTCTGGGGAAATACAGATAAATGAAATCCAAATTAATTTTTCAATTTAGGCATTAGTTCCACCTGTTGGTCACTGATGCTTTGCAAACAGGAATCTGACCTGGCATTTGTTTCTCAATGCACTTAAGGTTCTTTCCTTATTTCTTGGTGGAAATGGTAGCAGAGTAACTGGAAGAAACCTAAATAAGCACAATGAATTAGATAACTGAGAAATGGCCAGCAGTCTTCTTTTAGCAGCTCAGTGATGTGGAAACAAGCACTAAACAAGCAAATAGTTTCTAAATGTCACATTGTTAATGGGAGATCCAGGACTACCATCCAATTATTTTAGGATTTCTGAGAAAATATTCTTTCCTCTGTGTAAGTTGCTATCATAGCTAATTAGTAAAATCATGATTCATACGTATTTCTTTATAAGCACATGGATTATGTTCAAATAGAAAAGAGTAACGTGAACCAATACGTGTATGCCTGTGTGTGTGTGTGTACAAATGCCTGTGTGAGTGTATCTTTTATATTTAAATATGATCTCAAAGAAGAGGAGTTTCACTGCACTTGAAGAAGAGAAATAAGTAGAGACAACTGAGGAAAGGGCTTGATGGATTATGTTGCAGAAGACTTGACAGAAGAGAAAAAGGCAATTGCAGGATGAAATTACTACTCTGGGGAGAAGAAAAAAGTGAGCTACTGTATTCAGGCTCATCATCAGTGATAATCATCAGATTATTCACTGGTTGAGAAGCAAAAAAAAACAATACACAAAAATAAGAATAATGGAATTTTAAAATACTTACTTTGAAAAGACTTAGGACAGATACTTTAAGCATCTGTTGATTTTAACTGGTAGCAAATGGTAGCCCCAAATTGAGTAAAACAAAATCTTTTTTTAACAGAAGGTATATTTGAGCATAGCTTAGTTCTAGGACAGTGGGGTCCACTTACTCTGATTTTGAGAATAGCATAGTTTAAAGTTTAAATAATTTCCACTTTTTGAATTCAAGAAATGTAGACCATATTAGTTATGTGTGTATGTATTTATGCTGCAACTTTGAAGTAACTTCTTTTTTACTGTCACTATTTAGTTAACTTCATTGTAATATACCTGAGAGATGAAGCTTTCTATGACTATGACTATTTTAATATAATTTTGAAATGCTTGAATAATAAAAATATATTTCATTCAAGGTCATTACATTAAATGATTAGTTGAAGCTTTCGCTTAAGAAATATGTAGGTCAAAATTTTTATTAATATTACTGTTTTACAATTTATATTTATGAGCCTAGACATTAAATTTTGCCGGACATTATTTGGTTATGTTAAAATTAGTTTAGTGGATTCCACTATACTTAACATCCTTTTTATATTGCTTAAAAATATGTCCAAGAAAAGCACCATACCTTAAATTAGAGACATATGCTTTGGCTATAAAAATCAGCAAGCCAACATCAGTTGCTTTTGAAAAACCATTTCATAATACAAAACTAATTAGCTGTGACAGAATAAAATAGCTGTGACAGAATAAAATATAGTAAAAAACATTTAAAAAAGTAGCTTGCTATTTTCAAGACAGCAATTATAAGTGCTTTCATAGGAGTTTGTGGAGTTTAGTTATTACTTATCTTGCTTAAGCATTGCTTTATTGGAAAAATCAAAATTAATTAAGTTTATTTTGTATAGTTAGCAAAAATAAATCCATATGAACCACTGGTATATTTTGGCTTCCCAAAAGGCAGAGGTTTTTTCTTTTCCAAGGTCATTGAAATTAGCAAGCAGTTTTAAAAAGACATACTTTAAAAATTGAGATTTTTTTTGCCTGTTAATTAATGATTATTCTAAATACTTTTTTATTTTGTGTGTAATAGACCCATTACAACTATTTGCTGTTACTACTACTACTGTTATTATTGTTACTATTATCATTTTGCAAATATGTCTGCTAGTGACCAATATATTTAAAATGTAAAGAATCAACAAAATCATAAAGAAAATATGCTTTGTACTTTTCTCTTTTTTATTACATTAAAAGGACTTCTGCTTTATTTTTTAGGTAATGGCTTTAGTTTTGTCCCATATAGCTGTGAAGATATAAAAATGAGAAGAATCAGGAGTAGGGGTTGCATTTATAGTAAGAGATGTGCACAGGCAAATTTCAAGCCAAATTAATACCAATAAAAACATGTTGCTTTATTAAAACGATATTTTTTTCTGGAATCAGTACCACGTAGAAAGTCTTATACGTGAATATGAGCCTGATATCAGATGTTGTTCATGAGTAGCAAAATTTCTCTGCCAAGACAATAAAATAGAAGTATAGAAGTATCAATATGGCCATCTGAGGAATTGGATATGAAATGCTTACATCTGTGCATCTAAAGTAAAATGTAGTAATTATTGGGTTCTCATATTTTTGTTGTTCCAAAATATTAATTTTTCTAGGCAACCAAGAGAAGACTTGATGTGTCATAGTAGTAGCATATTGAAACCTTTTTCTTTCATTCACTCACTCACTCAACACCTCTTGGTATGAAATATGCACAATTTACTAGGCATTGCACTGGCTGTAAAAAATTACTTGTAATCCAGCGGGCATAATTAGTCAGTGTAAACACACTGTAATTTAATAAAAGATTTAACAGAAATATTGTATTCCATTATATGGCTTGGATTTCAATATACATAATAGAAAAATTACAAAGCATCAAGAGAAAAGCTTGACATGGGTTTTTCAATCAAACACCATCACTTTCGTGACTATTCAATTTCCAAAACTTTGAAATTCTTTTCCAAATCAAAATTTAAGCCAGAATTTTTAAAGGTTCTTTTTAAAATTTCTTATCTTGGAAAAATATAAAGTCCATTAAAAAAAACTGGTATTCATGTATAATTTATATACAGTAAAGCACACATATTTAAAATGTATGATTTGATAAGTATGTATATATCCTGGAAATCATCACCACAATAAAGGCAATGAATCCATTCCTCTAAAAGTTGCTAAGTGCCCCTTGGAAATTCTCTCTCTTGTCTCTTCCCACCCAGGCAATCACTGATCTGCTTTCTGTCACTGTAGGTTAGTTTTCATTTTCTAGAATTTTATATAAATGGAAACATACTTTATGTACTCATTTTGGTATGGTTTCTTTCACTCAGAGTAATTATTTAAGATTTGCCTATGATGTTCCATGTATTATTTTGTTTTATTTTTGCGGAATTAATTAGTTCATGGATATACCACAATTTGTTTATCCATTTGCCTATTGATGATGAACTTCTAGATTGTTTCAAGTTTTGGCTATTAAAAATATGCACGCTTATAAACAAGTTTTGCAGAGATATATGCTTTCCTTTTTAGGAAAGTACCTAGGAGTGGAAGGCGTGGGTCATGTGGTAGGTATATGTTTAAGATTTTACAAAAATGTCAAATTGCTTTCCAAAGTGTTAATACCATTTTAAATTCCTACCAGCAGTGAATACAAGTTCCATTTGTTCCACATACCTGCCAATACCTCTGTTATGTGCAGTCTTTTTAATTGTAGCCATTCTAATAGGTATGTAGCGATATCTCATCATAGTATTAATTTGCATTTACCTAATTTAAAATAATGTTGAGCATATTTTCTTTTTCTTTCTTTCTTTTAAAAAATGTTTTAACTTTTATTTTATGTTTAGGAGTACATGTTCAGGTTTCTTACATATGTAAACTTGTGTCATGGGGTTTTGTTGTACAGATTATTTCATTACCCGGGTCTTAGGCCTAGTATCCATTAATTATTTTTCCTGATCCTCTCCCTCCCCCGACCCTCCCCGCCGAGAGGCCCCAGTGTGTCTTGTTCCCCTCTATGTGTCCACGTGTTCTCATCATTTGGCTCCCATTTTTAAGAACATGGTGTATTTGTTGAGCATATTTTCTTATGTTTATTTTCCATCTATATATATTCTTATTTTTATTTAGATATTTGGCCCATTTTAATAAATGGGGCTGTTTGGTTTTATGTTGAGTTCTGAGAATTTCTGCTATATGCTGAATAGAAGTTTTCTATTGAAGAAAGAATTTGAAAATATTTTCATATTTTCTTCTACTTTGTGCCTTGTCTTTTCATTCTCTAAACAATGTCTCTTGAAGAGCCAGTATTTGATTTTGATTTTGTTGATTTTTTTTCTGTTATTGATTGTGCCATTTGTGCCATATACAAAAAATCATTGTCTAATCCAAGATTATGAAGACTTTATTCTAGAAGTTTTATAGTTTTTGATTTTAAATTTAGATTTACAATCAATTATGAAGTACTATGTGTATATTGATCAAGGTTTACTTCTTGCATATTGTTAGCCAATTGTTCTGGCATTGTTTGTTGAAAAAGCTATTCTTTATCCATTGAATTGTTCTGGCATCTTTTTCAAATTTAATTGGCCAGGTTTTTGTGGGTCTTTTCTGGACGCTGTATTCTTCCCATCTATCTATTTGTCTATCTGTACATCAATGCCAGGTGGTCTTGATTACTATGGATTTATAACAAATCTTAAAGCCAAGTAGCATAAATCCTCCAAGTTTTCTATCTCAATAATTTGCTCTTCTGGGTTCTTTGCATTTCTATTTAAATTAGCTTATCAATTTCTGCATAAAAGCTTGCTGGAATTTTGATTGCTATTTAGTTGAATGTATTATCAAGATAGGGAGAATTGATATGTTAATAAATAGTAAATCTTCCAACACCTGAACACTGTATGTATCTCTACTTATTTAGGTCTTCTTTGATTTATATTCCTGCAATGTTTTATAGTTTTCAGACTATAGGGTTTGCATATATTTTGTCAGATTTATCCCTAAGTACTGTATATTTGTATGCTATTTCAATTGATTTTTTTAAATTTGAATCTCTGATTGCTCGTTTTCAGCATATAGAAATATGGCTGATTTTTGTATATCAATCTTATATCCTGCAACCTTGGTAATTTTGCTTAATAGTTCCAATAGTTTTATTGTAATTCTCATCAGATTTTCTAGATTGGTGAATATGGCCTCTGTGAATAAAGACAGTTTTACTTCTTCTCTTCCAACCTGAATACCTTTTATTTTGTTTTCTTGCCTTACTATTTTGACTAGTACCTCCTGTACAATGATAACAGAAATGGGTGAAAATAGATGTCATTGCCTTACTCCTTTTTTTCTTTTTTGAGATGAAGCATTTAGTCATTCATTAGCAAGTATGTTAGCTGTAGGTAATTCTGTAAGTTACACAGAAACAGCTTTATTCCTACTTTTAAGCTTTGGTTTACAGTTCCAGAACAGAATTACTTTAGTGTTAAAATTACTCAACTTGGGAGGAAAAGCCCTTCTTCAATACTCTGCCCAATGGCCTGCGAATTATGCAGTGTTCTCTTCTATACAGTGAAAACAGTAACTCTTCTCAATCTCCTCGTGTGAGTTTCAGGGACTGTACCCTATAATGTTGTTTCTTTTCCTGACTGAAGCTGGTTTCCTCACATGGCTGTGCTCATTAGTACACAGCTACTACTTGATGGTGGTATCTCTTGAGTTTCCACTCTCTGCAGCTTTCTTCTTTCAGAGACGTTGTCCTAATAACCCTCGCCTTTGCTTGCCATGTTGCCAGCTTAGTCCTTCCAAAGACAGACTGCTAAGGTCTACTTCGGTTCTTACTCCCTGTGCTGTAACCTGGAAACAGTCTCTAGACAGTATTGTGGAGCAGTTGTGATGCTCACCTTCTTTGTTTGACATCTCTCAAAAATGTCTAATGTCCAAAATCCTGAAAACTCTTGCTTTATATATTATTTTCCAGTTTTAAAAAAAAAGCCTCAGAAAATAATTTAAATCTTGTCTCTGTTTTCTCATCCTGGCTAGAAGCAGAACAAAATGTAGTATTTTACATTGTGTTTATTCAAGTGAGTAATAGGTTTATTTAAATTTACATCAAGTGAGGAATATATTTTAGAATCATAGTTTAAGAAGAGGTATCTGTACGCTTGCTTCAGATTATTTTTATTTAATTTTATATTCCTTGATATTTCTTTCTTTTCTTATTTTTTTCTGGTGATTACCAGTATATAGTAAAGAGGTGGGAGAAATTGCATGCATAATAAAAAATAAGCATCTTAATAACAAAGAAGAATCCAAATGATTTGAACCAATATTAGAAAAGGTTGGCTTTATTTCCTCATGAATTTTATGTAATTATTTTCTTTCACCTATATTTCTATGGAAACTCTTGAACAAATTATAATGGTGCCAAACTTTGAAATCCTAGTAAAAGTTTACTAGGATTTACCACTTTTGATTAATGGCTCCATCATCCACTGCCAGTGAGGATTCTGCAGACGTTTTTTATCAGGAACAGCTGGTTCTTGAACACAGGTGCAGGCTGTTTCTGCCACATGATCTAAGACGTATTAATAAAAGAATGATGGTTTAACTCTTCCTGTTGCTATCGAAAAGTCAATTCAACGCTTTCTTGAAAGAGAAAGGATAAATGGCTCATAATTTTGTTCATGTTGTTCAATGTCTTGTTTTATCTCAGAATTCTCATACTTTCAAGCACAGAATTATTTGGTGTGCTGAAAGAAAATTTTGATACAGTTAAAATGATTTTTGTGGAAAATGGTCAGAATATTCAAATAAAGGAGCCTCAAATTTGTAACCATTCTTAATTAAACAGATCTAGGAGTAAAAACATTTATCTATGTGAAGTGCAAACCATTTTTAACAGAAAATATCAATTTAAATTTTTAAGACAAGAAGCACTCTGCTCTCCTTGTGATTTAGCAATTCATACCATCTTTACTAATGACTTATATCTTTATTTTTATCATCATTTGCTTGGGTAAATTACTTTTGATAGCCCAATATGGAAATGGAGAGATTTTGTACTAATAAATATATACAGTCATACAATGATTAATAAAGCATCAAATATAGAACTAAGGAATAAGAAAATGCTAATTAAAAATGCATAGGAACTCTACGTTATTGTAAATATGTTATGTTGGGCAAAATAATGTTTGCCATAAAATGTAAGGTAAAAGGAAAGTTCCATTTTGAGCAGCAAAATAAAGAAAAAAACCAATGGAGCTTATACACTCAGGTTCAATTCTCAGCTCTACTACTTACCACATAGTGGTTGAGTGATTATTTAACTCTGAAAATCCCTACAATTCTCATCTGAACTTGGGGTTGATATTTTCTATCCCCCAGAGATACTTTGAGGAGTAAATGAGGGAATATGCATGTAGTATTTGTTAAATAATTTTCACTCATCAAATATTACTTCTTTATTTACAAATTCAGAGTGGTATAAATAAACATGCCTTACTCTCAATTAACATCAGGGCTTGTATTCTTATAATGGACTTTTTATGATATTTTATTTTCTGTGATTTTTTTAAATGTCATAATAATTTAAACACTTATATCTGTATTCAGTAAAGTGCTATTATTAAAGTAATAAAGTTACTTGAAATCAGAACCGTTGAATAAACCTACAGCGGGTGATAAACAGAAGTAAATTTTTAGAAATACAGGGTGTATTCACATTCTGGTCCATCATTTTCCAGCTGAACAGGAACTGATTCAAATCATATAGTATGCAGTGGTCTAGTAACATTATTGATTTGCATTTTGGAGGAAATGTTAAATATTGTGTTTATTTCTAACTATAAAAAATGCTTTATCTAAGTTTTTTACTTATGGCAAATTAGGTAATATGTGTGTGAGTAGTACCTCACTGACAGCTTTATAAAATTTACTTATTATTATTATTGAAATATAAGCTAGAGAAGTTACTTATATAACTTCTAGCTTGAATATCCAATTTATCAACATTTTTGTTCTGTGCATGAAAACTTATTTTTTTTTCTTAAAATACTTTATAGTTTTTGTTAGCAGGGAAATTAAATGACTCTAGAAACATTATATGCTCAAATGGCAATAGGGATTAGAAGAGGTAGAACTCTTCAGAGAGAATGTTGGTTTTTTTACTCTCTCCTCACTTGCAAATTGAGATTTGCTGTTACTTTAAACCTTTTCTTCAGAGGAAGAGCTAAAGTGAATTGGCACATCAGATCCAGAATGAGAGGAAGAGAGCTTTCCAACATACCTCTGCTGGCAAGCAGCACTTAGGCTAATTTATCCTTCCACAGCAATTACTCTGGTATTGCTGACTCTTCATGGATTGCCAACTGATGATACCTGCCAGCCTACACCTGTAGATACCTGCTGGCTGGAAAAAGAATCCTTTGAAAAGTCAGCCTGTGGAAAAGAGTATATCAATTCTGTCTAGTAGGAGTCTAACTTGTTTTTATTTTATTCCAGTTTCTACATCCTTGACCCATTTCTTTTTTTTTTGAGACAGAGTCTTGTTTTGTCGCCCAGGCTGGAGTACAATGGCACAATCTCGGCTCACTGCAACCTCTGCCTCCCAGGTTCAAGTGATTCTTCTGCCTTAGCCTCCTGAGTAGCTGGGATCAAAGGTGCACGCTACCATGCCAGGCTAATTTTTTGTGTTTTTAGTAGAGACAATGTTCCACTATGTTGGGCAGGCTGGTCTCAAACTCCTGACTTTGTGATCCACCCACCTCGGCCTCCCAAAGTGTTGGGATTACAGGAGTGAGCCACCACACCTGGCCTCTACATCCTTGACCCATTTCTTATGTTACCTTTTTTTTTGTACTAAGCAGATATAAATAAGAACAAAACATTAAGGGATCACTGAGAAGCCACCTCGAGCATCTCATTCCCAGTTTCAGGAATTTTCAAGTTGTGCTAGAAACTGAAAATGTTAACAGGATGACTTTCTTCTAAGAAGTTGTATAGCTAGGCATACAATAAAGCTCGATTCCTAGGGTAGGTAGTTGGCTAGAAATGGTAAGTGTGTTGATGAGAAGCTCTAGGTATTGGCTATTTGCTAGGGTTTTTAACTATTTTTTAAAATGCTACTATTTTGAAAACTAAGTGGTTCATAACAAGGTTTCTTATGTACAATTTTTAAACATAACCTGAGATCAGTTAATTATTCGATAAACTTTATCCGCTTCACATGTACTGTTTCCTGTATTTCATAAATGTAAGAGAAAGAACAATTAAAATGTAAGGAGTTTTAAGTGGAATGGTGGCATGATTTGACTTTATTGAAACCTAAACAGTATTCTTAAAATGAGAAGACTTTGGTTAATTATAGCAATCAATAAGATAAAGTAATGAAATAACCCTCACTTACATTCAAAATCTCTTTCTGTGTCTTGACTTTCATAACTTGCTTAAACCAGATAATTGGTTAGTACACTGCATAACATGAAGAACATTATAATGAAAAATTTTCTACCTATGAAAGCATCAGTTTGCAATGCATGGAGTCACTCCAAAAGAATTGTGGCAAAAACTAATTATTATAACAATGTTTTATTTCTCTAAACCAAATTGTAAAAACAAAGATAAAAGCCCAAGAAAATATTTTGTCACCAAAAAAATTAATGCCCCATAAATCAAATCTTCTTGAGGGGTTAATATTTCAGATAACTTCAAAGAAGGAATGTGGTGCATACAGTGTAATGCAATGGAACTGACAAAAACTAGCTCAGTCTAACATCAAAGGCATAAGGCATGAAGATAGCATGAGAAACTCTGAAGGAAACTGCTCTCTATTCTACTTTTCTACTCAAATGGTGTATGGTAAAATCCACGGCTGACTAGATTGCAATTCCAACTCTGCCATTTACAAGTAGTGTCATCTTTGACTAGTTGCTTAAACTTTTTGTGACTCAGTTTTTTCATCCATAAAATGGAGATATTCAAAGAATTAAATTGGCTAATAAGTGAAAAGGATTTAGAATAGTGCTTGTCACATACTAAGCTCTCCATTAGTATAGTTACCACCACGACCACTTCCACAAAGAAACTAATTCCAAGCTGCAGTCAGAAACCAGTGAGCAGGGTGACCACTGGGACTGTTTCAGGGAAACATTACATGTGCATGAAAAGCCAAAGACCACAGTCAAGGGTAATAATGAAAATATTTTTTGTCCGCTAAAATTAAGGCATATAAGAGAAAAGGTGGAAGAAGAATGCGATTGAATCTGTAAAAAACTATTTTCTTGAATTCACAAAGGTGGGGTGGGGTGGGCGTGGCATATGAATTCAATGTTTAACAGCTGACCCATGGCCTACAGGTCCTAGTCTACAAGGATCTCAGTGGAACACTGAGGCTAAAGCAAAACTGGGAATGTTTCCAAGCTGGAAATACCTTTATTTGTAACCGCACTGCAGCACTTAGCTGGGGGCATGATGGATATTGCAGCCAGGGTCTATTCTATAAACCTTTTATCTATTTTGATATTATACTCTGATATTTTCCCACAACCCATCACCCTCCTTCTCCTTACCACGACATTTCTAGGAATTGCTATATTGCTATCAATCTATTTATAAAATATATTTCTATTTATCCCTGAGAGCAAAGATGGTAACTTTATAATGGTTTAAAGGGGAGAGAAATTTTTAGTGTTTACTGGAATACATGGAGTTCAACACAGTATGGTTAGGGAGTTATCAAGATCTTGAGCTTCTAGTTTGCTTGCTAGATTAGCAGGCTGGTTGGGTGAAATGTTGGCTTTTACACCTCTTTTTCAATGTTGAATAAATCCAATCTTTTCAACTAAATACATAATAAAGACTGAGTGATTCTATTAGCTATGTCAGGTGACGGTATTTCTTTTCATTGTTAGTCCTTGGACATGTCGATAAAAGCTTTCTCCAACTCAAAATATTTGGTCCTTTAAAAAGATTTTATATAGCATCATGAACTTGATATTCCATTAAAATCAAGGCCCCAATGAATATATAACTTTCTTTTCTTTTCTTTTTTTTTTAAGGCAGAGTCTCACTGTGTTTCCCAGGCTGGAGTGCAGTGGCGGGATCTGGGATCACTGTAACCTCTGCCTCCTGGCTTCAAGAGATTCTCCTGTCTCAGCCTCCCACGTAGTTGGGATTACAGGTGCTCACCACCACTCCTGGCTAATTTTTATATTTTTTTTAGTAGAGAAAGGGGTTTCGCCACTTGGCCAGGCTTGAATATACAAATTTCAGTGAGGAACAGAGTAATTTAATTGTATCTGCTGAAACTCTGTTGGTCTTTTTAGTTATTTAAATATTTATATTTTACATTTGATATGTGATAAATGTATACAGCTCTTACAACCTAGAAGTCAAAATATACTTTACGTTTACATGGAGAGAAACAACTAATTTGTAGAGGAATAAAAGGTACATAAATAACGTTACTATTAACATATAAAAAGTGACCTGTTTACCCATTTTTACCTTATGGATTGTATTATCTCTTTGATTTGAAGGGGACAAAGTGATTAAATGTTAAAAATGTTAATTTATACTGCTAAACGATGTTACCTGTGTAATATGTTAGAGTTACTTAGATTTTGTAAAGATAAGGCACAAGGAACTTAAAGTAAGATGATACACCCTCAGCCTCTGCTTAGAATAGAATACCAAAAAGGAGGGACATGCTATGTAATATGGTAGATCTTTAAACACTTTAAAATAACTATTGCTTGGATTGAGGCTTAGAACACTACAGGAGGAAATACTTCATGGAGATAAAAGAGAAGCTTAGGTTTTTGTCTCCGATGAATGTGTGAAACTGCAACTCAGCTCCATTTTATCACTGTACCAGCATTCCTCTATTGTGCAGAGACTAGAAGCTAACAATAGTATTTTCTGGGCTATTTGGCTACTGGGGTTCTGAATGTAACTAAGGTTTAGCAATCAGATGCCCTTGCATGTGATTTAGAAGACAGAAGTGAGGTGGGGGATGGGAAGAAACAGGGCTCCCAGCATCCATCTAGTTGTTATAGATCATAGTAGGCATCCCCTGGTTAGGATATTTTCAATTCTTGTCATTTCCTGGTATTGGCAGCTTTATTTTGGATGTCTGGAGCCGGTAGCTTCCTGATATAGGACTGTCGTATAGCTCTGGAAAAACTTCGTGAATCTTCATGATCTATATTTTCAGCCCTCTCCAAATTTGTATGCATTTAATGATGCAATACCTTAGTAAGTACTTAAGTTTTTTTATAGTTAAAAATATTCAAGTGGATGCTGAATGATCACTACCACAGATATTGAGGCATTCATTGGATTAGTTAGTTTCTGAGCTCGTTTCCAATTCTGAGATTCTCCCTAAATAAGCTTCTTTAGATATGTCTCATAGTAAGTCAATGCAGGTTTGCTGAAAAGTCTTCTGTTGTGAAATGATTTGTGGATTTGTCTTAACAACAAATAGTAATGAAAATGAAAGCTTTAAAAAACCAACAGTCTCTAGAGCAAAGTTATTTGGAAAATTCCATATTCAATTTAATTTTTCTTCTCTATTCTTTCATTATTTTCCTGAAGGTTAAAATTTTATTGTGATGGGTTCAAATAAAATACAGGAGTCCTAAACTGTATGCTTTATATATGAGTCTGAGAAATATAAATTGGTTTTAGCTTTCCATACCAGGAGACTTACCAACTTTTAATAAAATACCCATATAGTCTAATAAATAAATATGCATGTGTGTACATGGTAGCATTAATGTTGAATTTTTATTATTTGCCATACTCCTCATTTACCTGCCTGCTGATTTCAAGTCATATTATGTTACAACCCTTTTTATTAGGTGGCATGCTACTTAACTGCTTTGTTGAATTTAAAAATCTTTTAAATCAATGCTTTTTCATTTAGCTTGTATTCATTTAATTTGTGATTTGTTACTTGACAGAATTTAAATTTTCTATTCAAAACCGCTTTATAAAGCAACTTGTTTGAACTGCAATTTCCGGTAACATATGATTTATTTGTTGATCAAATACTGCAGTGAATTTGTTTTCCTACTAGTTGATGAATAGTGTTACAGATGGATATGAGCTGATACATGTAAACGTTCTTTATAAACTGCAAATAGTATAAGAGATATGTGCAAGATGTACAACCTTTTTTATGTGCACATATTGCTTTAATTTTAATAATTTGAAAATTCTTACATAATACGGTAAAGTATAGTAATATAATAAACACCTCTGTTCCTAATAGCTAGATTTATCAAATCAACATTTTACCATCTGTGCTTCAGATATGATAGAAACGATATGTTACAGATACATTTGAAGTTTCTACCTAATAATTCCTCTCCTTCCCCAGAGGAGGTTGGTGTTTGTTTTACATATTATATTTATGATACACACACATTTTAAATCAATATATGTATTATATATTATATGAAAGATAAAGTGCTAAATAATTCTTTCTTTTTTGAATTAATACTATTTATTTTTTTCCATAAGTTATTGCAGTACAGGTGGTATTTGGTTAGATGAGTAAGTTCTTTAGTGGTGATTTGTGAGATTTTGGTGCACCCATCACCCAGACAGTATACACTGCCCCATATTTGTGGTCTTTTATCCCTTGCCCCCCTCCCACTCTTTCTCCCAGTCCCCACAGTCCATTGTGTCATTCTTATGCCTTTGCATCCTCATAGCTTAGCTCCCTCATATCAGTGAGAGCATACGATGTTTGGTTTTCCATTCCTGAGTTACTTCGCTTAGAATAATAGTCTCCAAACTCATCCAGGTTAGTGCAAATGCTGTTAATTAATTCCTTTTTTATGGCTGAGTAGTATTCCATTGTATATATATATATATATATATATATATATACGACAGTTTTCTTTTTTTAATCTACTCGTTGATTGATGGGCATTTGGGTTGGTTCCATGATTTTGCAATTGTTAATTCTGCTGCTATAAACATGCGTGTGCAAGTATCTTTTTCATATAATGACTTCTTTTCCTCTGGGTAGATACCCAGTGGTGGGATTGCTGGATCAAATGGTAAGGAGTCTCCACACTGTTTTTCACAGTGGCTATAATAGTTTATATTCCCACCAGCAGTGTAGACGTGTTCCCCAATCATTGCACCCATGCCAACATCTACTATTTTTTGATTATTGCCATTCTTATAGGAGTAAGGTGCTATTGCATTGTGGTTTTGATTTGATCATTAGTGATGTTGAGCATTTTTTCATATGTTTGTTGGTCATTTGCATATCTTCTTTTGAGAATTTTCTATTCATGTCCTTAGCCCACTTTTTGATGGGATTGTTTTTTACTTACTGATTTGTTTGAGTTTGTGGTAGATTCTGGATATTAGTCCTTTGTCAGATGTAAAGATTGTGAAGATTTTCTCCCACTCTTTGGGTTGTCTGAATACTCTGCAGACTGTTACTTTTGCTTTGCAAAAACTCTTTAGTTTAATTAAGTCCTAACTATTTATCTTCGCTTTTATTGTATTTGCTTTTGGGTTCTGGGTCATGAAATCCTTGCCTAAGCCAATGCCTAGAAGGGTCTTTCCAGTGTTATCTTCTATAATTTTTGTAGTTTCAGGTCTTATATTTAAGTCCTTAATCCATCATGAGTCGATTTTTTTATAAGGTGAGAGATGAGGATCCAGTTTCATTCTCCTATATGTGGTTAGCCAATTATCCCAGCACCATTTTTTGAAAATGGTGTCCTTTCCCTACTTTATGTTTTTGTTTGCTGTGTCAAAGTTCAGTTGACTGTAAGTATTTGGGTTTATTTCTGGGTTCTCTATTCTGTTATATTGGTCTATGTGCCTATTTTTATACCAGTACCATGCTGTTTTGGAGACTATGGTTTTATAGTATAGTTTGAAATCAGGTAGTTTGATGATGCCTCCAGATTTTTTCTCTTTGCTTAGTCTTGCTTTGCCTATGCAGGCTCTTTTTTCATTCCACATGAATTTTACAATTGTTTTTTCTAATTCTGTGAAGAACGATGGTGGTATTTTAATGGGGATTACATTGAAATTATAGATTGCTTTCAGCATTATGGTCATTTTCACAATATTGATTCTTCCCCTCCATGAGCATGGGATGTGTTTCCATTTTTTTGTATTATCTATGATTTCTTTCAGCAGTGTTTTGTAGTTTCACTTGTAGAGGTCTTTCAATTCTTTGGTTAGGTATATTCCTGAATATTTTATTTATTTATTTATTTGCAGCTATTGTAAAAGGGGTTGAGTTCTTGATTTGATTCTCCAGTTGGTTGTTATTTGTGTATAAAAGAGCTACTGATTTGTGTACATTAATCTTGTATCTGGAAACTTTGCTGAATTCTTTTTATCAGTTCTAGGAACTTTCTGGAGGAGTCTTTAGGGTTTTCAAGGTAAACGATCATATTGTCATCAAACAGTGACAGTTTGACTTCCTCTTTACTGATTTGGATGCCCTTTATTTCTTCTCTTGTCTGGTTGCTCTGGGTAGGACTTCCAGTACTATGTTGAAGAGGAGTGGTGAGAGTTGGCATCCTTGTCTTGTTCCGGTTCTCAGAGGGAATATTTTCATCTTTTCCCAATTCAATATAATGTTGGCTGTGGGTTTGTCATAGATGGCTTTTATTACATTGACGTATGTCCCTCGTATGCTGATTTCGCTGAGAGTTTTAATCACAAAGTAATGCTGGATTTTGTCGATGCTTTTTCTGCATCTATTGAGGTGATCATGTGATTTTTGTTTTTAATTCTGTTTATGTGGTGTATCACATTTATTGACTTGTACGTGTTAAACCATCCCTCTGTCCCTGGTATGAAACCCACTTGACCGTGGTGGATTATCTTTTTATATATTGTTGGATTTTGTTAGCTAATATTTTGTTGAGAATTTTAGCATCTGTGTTCATCAAGGATATCAGTTTGTAGTTTTCTTGTTTGGTTGTCTTTTCCTGGTTTTGGTATTAGTGTGATACCGGCTTCATAGAATGAATTAGGGAGGGTTCCTTCTTTATCTTGTGGAATAGTGTCGAAAGGATTGGTACCAATTCCTCTTTGAATGGCTGATAGAAGTCTGCTGTGAATCTGTCTGGTCTTGAACTGTTTTTGGTTGGTAATTTTTTAAATTACCATTTCAATCTTGCTGATTGTTATTGGTCTGTTCAGGATATCTAATTCTTCCTGACTTAAGCTAGGAGGGTTGTATTTTTATTGGAATTTATCCATCTCTTCTAGGTCTTCTAGTTTATAGGTGTAAAGATGTTCATAGTAGCTTTGAATGATACTTTGTATTTCAGTAGTGTCAGTTATAATATCTGTTTTGTTTCTAATGAGGTTATTTGGATTTTCTCTCTTCTTTTCTTGGTTAATCCTGCTAATGGTCTATCAATTTTATTTATCTTTTCAAAGAAACAGATTTTTGTTTCACTTATCTTTTGTGGGTTTTGTTGTTGTTGTTTTGTTTTGATTTCATTTAGTTCTGCTCTGATCTTGGTTATTTCATTTCTTCTGCTGGGTTTGGGTTTGGTTTGTTCTTGTTTCTCTAGTGCCATGAGGTGCGATCTTAGAATGTCCGTTTGTGCTCTTTTGGTCTTTTTGATGTAGGCCTTTAGGGCTATGAACTTTCCTCTTAGCACCGCCTTTGCTGTATCCCAGAGGTTTTGATAGGTTGTGTCATTATTATCATTCAGTTTGAAGAATATTTAAATTTCCAACTTGATTTCGTTTTTGACCCAGTTCTCATTTAGGAACAGGTTATTTAATTTCCATGTTTTTGCATGGTTTTGAAGGTTCCTTTTGGAGTTGCTTTTGTTTTATTCCCCTGTGATCTGAGAGAGTGCTTGATATAATTTCAATTTTCTTAAATTTATTGAGGCTTGTTTTAGGGCCTATCATATGGTATATCTTGGAGAAAATGCTATGCACTGTTGAATAGAATGTGTATTCTACAGTGGTTGGATGAACTGTTCTGTGTATATCTGTTAAGTCCATTTGTTCCAAAGTATATTTTAAATCCATTGTTTCTTTGCTGACTTTCTGTCTTGATGACCTGTCTGGGGCTGCCAGTGGAGTATTGAAGTCCCCCACTATTACTGTGTTGCTGTCTATCTCATTTCTTAGGTCTATTTGTAATTTTTTAATAAATTTGGGAGCTCCAGTGTTAGGTGTATATATGTTTAGGATTGTGATATTTTCCTGTTGCACAAGGCCTTTTACCATTGTATAATGTCCCTCTCTGTCTCTTTTAACTGCTGTTGCTTAAAGTTTGTTTTGTCTGATAAAAGAATAGCTACCCTTGCTCACTTTTGGTGTCCATTTGCATGAAATGCCTTTTTCCACCCTTTTGCTTTAAGCTTATGTGAGTACTTATGTGTTAGGTGAGTCTCCTGAAGGCAACAGATGGTTGGTGAGTTCTTATCCATTCTGTGGTTCTGTATCCTTTAAGTAGAGCATTTAGGCCATTTACATTCAATGTTAGTATTGAGATAGGAGGTACTGTTGCATTCATTGTGCTATTTGCTGCCTGTGTACTTGGGATTTTTGTTTTTTTTTGTTTTGGCTTTTTAACTTGTGTTTTTGTTTTATAGGTCCTGTGTGATTTATGCTTTAAAGAGGTTCTATTTCGATGTGTTTCAAGGATTGGTTTCAAAATTTAGAGCTCCTTTTAGCAGTTGTTGTATTCGTGGGTTGGTAGTGGTGAATT
Organism: Homo sapiens; assembly: GCF_000001405.40. Classification (NCBI taxonomy): domain Eukaryota; kingdom Metazoa; phylum Chordata; class Mammalia; order Primates; family Hominidae; genus Homo; species Homo sapiens. Next base: position 48,637,614 of record NC_000014.9, on the reverse strand, counting down.
CTCTCAGCATTTGTTTGTCTGAGAAAGACAGTATCTTTCCTTCATATATGATGCTTAGTTTTGCTTGATACAAAATTCTTGACTGATTATTGTTTTGTTTGAGGAGGCTGAAGATAGGGCTCCAATCCCTTCTAGCTTGTAGGGTTTCTGTGAAGAAATCTGCTGTTAATCTGATAGGTTTTCCTTTATAGGTTACCTGGTGCTTCTGTCTCATAGCTCTTAAGATTCTTCCCTTCAACTTAACTTTGGATAATCTGATGACAATGTGCCTAAGTGATGATCTTTTTGTGATGAAATCTCTAGGTGTTCTTTGTCCTACTTGTATTTGGATGTCTAGGTCTCTAGCAAGGCCAAGGAAATTTTCTTCAATTATTCCCCCAGATATGTTTTCCAAGCTTTTAGAATTGTCTTATTCCTCAGGAACACTGATTATTCTTAGGTTTGGTCATTTAACATAATCCCAGACTTCTTGGAGGCTTTGTTCATATTTTCTTATTCTTTTTTCTTTGTCTCTGTTGGATTAGGTTAATTCGAAGACCTAGTCTTTGAGCTCTGAATTTCTTTCTTCTACTTGTTCTGTTATATTGCTGAGACTTTCCAGAGCATTTTGCATGTCTATAAGTGTGTCCAATGTTTCTTGAAGGTTTGATTGTTTTTTTCTGTAAGCTATCTTAAATAATGAAACCAAACCAAAGACTTCTGCCTCTTTAAGGACTCTTGGAACAGGGGAGAAGAAAGGAAAGGGCTGAGAGCGGAAAGGAACTGAGTTAAAGTAGAGAAAAATGCCTCAGCTGAGATTCTCACGACGGAGCTCTTGGTGAGGACACCTGGGAAGTATCTCAGATGAGTCTTTAATACAAAGGACTTTGAAAGGAAGTGGTTGGTCTAGAAATGCAGATATGTAAGAGCATGGTTGGACTGGGAGTAGATTGCTGCGTCCTGAACTGCAACTCCCTCCAGAAAACTGTAAGGCACTGGCTTTGCACACCAATTTTGGTGTGGCGAGGTTCACTTTCCCTACTGAAACTTGCCAGGCAGAACCTTGTAATTGCTGATGGTCAGTCCTGAAAGATCATAGATACGATTTTTGGCCTGAACTGGGCCAAATTTTTTTTTACCAAAATGAGATCATATTCTTTCTCCTTTGTAACCTGCCTTTTTCAACTAATGATTTCCAACTCTCCTTGAAAATAAATTTTTTTCTTAGCATTTTAATAGATGCTTTGTCTAAACCCATATCTAATTAACAACCACATATTACATCTTACCATCAGCTACTCAAGTCTCTTCTAATCTAGAGTGGTCCCCTTTTTATTAAAAATACTTGTATTTTTATATGTACATTTAACATATACATACTAGTTATACACACACACACCACCACACCACACCATATATATATATATATATATATATATATATATATATATATATAATTAGTATACCAATAGGAGCAGGGGAGAATGACTAGTGAGCTCCTAGTTTAGATATGATGATCATGAGACTCCTTTCTAAAGGGATTGTACTTTAACAGATACTTCAGTGATGTTAATGTCATGTGTTTTAAACTTAAGTATTAGACATTTTATAGCTATAGGGTACTCATATTTTGATGTGTTCCAACCCAGGTTATTTAATTTGATCTCTTAATACCAATAACTAATGCCACAAGACACTATTTTGAAAAACAGGTGTTAACACATAAGAGAAAGGATCCCTTCTAGTGCTAATGTATAGGAACAATGATTAGATTATCTTTGATGTACTCTGTGAGACCACATTTCATTACATGTACCAGGCTATTTGTATAATTTTATGATTAAAGTATTAAAAGATAATACGTAAGTCTCTGTTGTAAGTACCTAAAATGTAGTTTTAAAATAAAATTTTTAAAATGAAATAAAAAGTTTAATGTCTTAAATAGTAGTTTTTTTCTATGTGTAATGCCTCAATATTTCAAGAACCCAAAAATTCAGTGCTCTTTTGCTTTATATAGCAGTTTATTCATAGACTTGCCTGACACCTTGGAGTTAAAATGAGCTGGTAGTTTCATTCTCAATATCTGGTTGCCTTTAGCATCTTGTTTCTGAAGAAATTGGATCAACTGAAATAAGATAAGTTTTTTATAAGAAGCATTGCAAGACCTTTCCTTAGTCCTAACCATTTTGACATCTATTTTCACCGGGAAAAGAAATGGAAGTCAGCTACCAGCACTAGTATTAGAGGCTGGGTTAACATTACCTGCAGGCTATAGAGTCCTGTTTCCATAGAAATGAAGTTTGGATTGTTGAAAATAGGAGACAGACTTTAAAACCAGCGTGTCCTCTCAATAGTGAAAAATTGTGTAGATGTGTGTTCAGATTTCCAGACCAAAGAGGCTGAATAATTCCATGTGATGAGCTTTCCATTGTGATCTGAAAGTCTATGGGGGAAAGTAAAACTTTCATAAATTTTGATTAGAGGAGTATGGGCATATTAGTCTACGAACAATGACATAAGATAGCCATAATGCTTCCTAAGAGGCCAGAAACATCAAAGCTTCCTGTTTATTACATTTTGAAAGCTTTGATACACTTAGTCTGCAATTTATAATTTAGTCTCTTAAGAGATCACAGAAAGCTGGCATTTTAAGATGAGTAGAAACATTTTCATCTCTTCAAGATTGAAGTCAAATATTGAATATATATAGTCCTATTTGTTTGCTGATTTGACAGGTTTAAATCAGAGAATGCAATTGCAATTTATTTGTATTGATATAAAGTTTAGTTCAGTAAACTTGACATTGTCCTCACTTTCATATATACTCGTATTTTGAAATACAACCTTATTGAAGTTTGTTATTAGTGGATCAGATCAAACATTTTTAATAGCCTATTTTGTATTGCAGAATGGGACAAATAAAATGTAAGTATCAAATTTTCAGATAACTAGCATGAACATATGAACAATGGAGAGAATAATCTCATGTCCTGTGTCTTTGACTATATACCATACTTTATTTATCTGAGATATAAAGTTGTGAATTTTTTTCGTTTCTTCTTTTTTTCATTTTACATGACTGGGGGTGGGTGCGGTTACTGATTGAATGCTTTCTTGAAGTTTTAACAGAGAAAAAGACATTTCCATGGCAGTGTTAGGTTTGTTTTGAACTAAGGCGCACCTTTTTTTCTTTAAAAAACAGTAGCCCAATTATTGATTTTGATCATTGCTGTATGATATTTACTGATAGTCTACATTTGTTATATTTGGAAATGATAGCAGTCATTAAGTCATGAATGTATAAAACATTTTTCATTAACATTTGGAACTATGAAAAGCAGGTCAAAAATAATGCAGTCAAATTAATTCAAAATTTAAAGATTAATATCTAGTTAAGTTTTCTATTCACACTTGCAACCAATTTTAAGTTGATTTAAAATAATTATGACTCCTATGTTTGGTTTTAAAAAAATTGAAAAAAACAAGAAACAACTTACTTATCATTGAAGTTTCAATATTAGTTAGGTCTCAAAATTTTATAAGTATAATTTTGTAAGCTGTTACTTTAAATAGGAGAGGTATGGTGATGTTAATAGAGGGAAAATCCATGACCGTATATAGTATTAACATCAGTGATATCTGATGTTTGAGATTTCTTTGACCATTCCACTAGTAGGGATTTGATGACCATTTGATATTCCAATTTGTTTCATAGTGTTACCCTAATCCAAAATGATTGAACTTTCACAAGATCGAGGCAAATATTTTAAGCCTGCAGTTCTAGGATAAAGAGGTGCTCAGTTACAGAGAAGCATAGGTGACTAGCCTGTTGGTGATAATCTACATAACTCTCCTGTGTTTATGACTGGAGCTATCACAAAGGAATTTGTCATGTGCACTCATTGTAGAAATACTAGAATATATTTCTTCACCATTTTGTCTTCATTAGTGCTTCTGGATCCTTTCCAAATAGTTAATGCTTATCAAGCTTGTACAATTTGCTAAATGTACAGATAAGCAAAATCACCAAATGAGAGAGATAGCAAAAATCCAGGAGGAGAGCTAGAAATAGGTCCTTATGTGACATATCTTTTTGTTACACTTTATTAGATGAGTGTGAGCATTTTACCCATAGCCCTAAATGAACTAATCTCTGCCTAGCTCATTAAGATTCTCTCCTGCCACTATTCTTCAGACATCCTAAAATTCCATCTTCCAAAAAATGTTTGAACGTATTCAAAACTATGCAGAATACAGGTTGATTAAGGCACTGTCCTTTTCTTAATGGCATTTATTTTCTAGGGGTGAGGTGGTCAATAAACAAATGAAAACGTAAATGACCAAATAAGATAATTTCAAATGGTGATAAACGCTAGTAAGAAAATAATTATAGAATTATTAAGTAATCAGTTACTCGATTAAAGAATGGATTCTAAGGATGTGAGCTTTTCAAGGAGTTGACCTATGAATATAACTTGAATAACGAGAAAGAGGCAGCCTGGGACGTGTGGAGAGAATCTAGGGAGAGAATGAAAGGAGAGAAAAGTTTCCTCAGATTGCAAGGTTGCCACATCCAAAAGATAGAAAAAAAAGGCTCATGTGACAGATGAATATGGGGCTGGAGATTGCGGAAAGACAAAGATCATGTAGATTTGGATGTATAATCCATGGATATCAGTACCAGCATTGAGGAGAGCTTGTTGTATTCCCCACTCCAGAACTACAAAATTAGAATCCGTAGGGGTGGTTCTGGAAATCCGTGCTTTACCAAACTTTCCAGATTTTCATGCATCCTAAAGTGTGAATCAGCATGGGTATATGTACAATTTTGGGAGTGATTACTTAGATGATGGTTGATTTTGGAATTTAGTGTAATTTAAGAGACATATCTTTGAAAAGAGGTTACAACAAGGAATTTATGGGTCTTTAAAAATACTCTGGTTTCTGTAGGAAGGCACTATTGAAACAAGAGATACCAGGTTGAAGGCAATTACAATATTGTAACTGACAAATGATTTTGGCATGAACTAGATTGGATTCATTGATGATAAAAAATTGTATTTTTTTTTTAAAGATTGAAGGGTGAATTGGATGCTGGGTAAGAGAAAATACTAGAAACCAAGCCTCTTTCAGCAGCTGTAGTTGATTGGGTAATTTACCAAGATGGGAATAACTGAAAGATGAACAGCTATGATGGAGAAAAAAGATAACTGAGTTCAATTGTGGACCTGTTGAGTTTGAGATGTATCCAAGCTTATGCAACTGTATAGTATATTCCATATAGTGTCCAGGATGCAGTTTCAATACTTACAAGTTATTAACAAGAACCCAAAAACAAACCTGATTTTGAAAAGGATAAAATATCTGAATAGATATTTCACCGAAGAATACATATGCATGGCAAAGACACAAAGGACACACAGAAAAAGATGCCCAAAGTCCTTAGGTAAATGTAAATATAAACCAAAATGAAACATTAATAGCCACCCACCACAAAGACTACACATTCTTCTTAGAATAATGCTAAGCTGAGGTGAGGATGTGGAGCAACTGGGACCCTCAGTTATTTTTAGTGTGTATGCAAACTTCTAAAGAGAAACACTAAATTGTCTTCAAAGGAACAAAGGTGAGAATGACATCAGACTTCTGGTGAAGAATGCTAGAAGAATTTGAAATAAGTTATTTATTATTATGAGTCAAAATTATTTAAACATAAAATTTTATTTGGTCAAGTGGCTAATAAATGTTCTAAATTTCAAATATAAAGAGATTTGTTTACACACACAATAATTCAAAAAATCTAGTATACACAGTCTTTTTCTAAAAAAAAAAGAAAATTACTGTTTGTAGTTCAACAAAACAACAAAAAGGACTCCAACAAAGAGAAAGGTAGCAGTTTAAGAAGAATTCAGCAGTAACCAAAACAGCATGGTACTGGTACCAAAACAGACATATAGACCAATGCAACAGAAAGAAGACCTCTGAAATAACACCACACATCTACAACCAACTGACCTTCAACAAACCTAACAAAAACAAGCGATGGGAAAATGATATCCTATTCGATAAGTGGTGCTGGGAAAACTGGCTAGCCATATGCAGAAAACTGAACTGGACCCCTTCCTTACACCTTGTACAAAAATTAACTCAAGATGGATTAAAGACTTAAATGTAAAAACCCAAGCCATAAAAACCCTAGAAGAAAACCTACGCAATACCATTCAGGACATAGGCATAGGCAAAGTCTTCATTAGGAAAATGCCAAAAGCAGTTGCAACAAAAGCTAAAATTGACATATGGGATCTAATTAAAGAGCTTCTGCACAGCAAAAGAAACTAGCATCAGAGTGAACAGGCAACCTACAGAATTGGAGAATATTTTTGCAATCTACCCATCTGACAAAGGTCTAACATCTAGAATTTACAAGGAACTTAAACTAATTTACAAGAAAAACCCCCATCAAAAAGTGGGCAAAGGATATGAACAGACACTTCTCAAAAGAAGACATTTATGCAGCCAACAAACATGAAATAAAGGTCAACATCACTGATCATTAGAGACGTGCAAATCGAAACCATGATGAGTTACCATCTCAGGCCAGTCAGAATGGTGATTATTAAAATGTCAAGAAGCAGGAGATGTTGGCGAGGCTGTGGAGAAGTAGGAATGCTTTTACACTGTTGGTGGGAGTGTAAATTAGTTTAACCATTGTGGAAGACAGTGTGGTGACTCCTCAAGGATCTAAAACCAGAAATACCATTTGACCCAGCAATTCCATTTCTGGGTACGTACTGAAAGGAATATAAATCATTCTTCTATAAAGACACATGCACACGTATGTTTATTGCAGCACTATTTACAATAGCAAAGTAATGGAACTAACCCAAATGCCCATCAATGATAGACTGGATAAAGAAAATGTGGTACATATACACCATGGAATACTATGCAACTATAAAAAGGAATGAGATCATGTCCTTTCCAAGAACATGGATGAAGCTGGAAGCTGTCATCCTCAGCAAACTAACACAGGAACAGAAAACCCAACACCCCACAATCTCACTCATCAGTGGGTGTTGAACAATGAGAGCACATGGACACAGGGAGAGGAACAACACACACCAGGCCTGTTGAGGGGTGGGGAATGGGGGGAGGGAACTCTGAGGATGGGTCAATAAGTGCAGCAAACCACCACGGCCCATGTATACCTATGTAACAAACCTGTGCATTCTGCACGTGTATCCCACAACTTAAAGTAAATTTTTTTTTAAAAAAAAAGAATAATTCAGATCGGCAGTGAGATGAAAGTGATGACAGGCATGCAACAGGCTACAATAAAATTAGTCCAAATTATGTAATGAAGACCCCATGAGAATGTCCTAAGAAAGAAAATGAATAGTGTGATTAAATAAAAAAATCTGTTTGTTATTAGTAAGAAGGCTGAATACAATGAGGGGTGGAATATAGCAAATACTTTTTTTGTAGTATGATTAAAATACATGAACAAGCTTGAGATCTGAAAATCAGAAAATCAGTTATGAGTGTGATCAGTGACATGGAACACTTTTCCGTGATAATAATAGATAAATTAAAAGGATAATTTAAATAGCAATTCCCATATGTTGCCCTTCCTATCTGTTCCCTTTTTTAATAATGGTACCTTTGAACAGCAAATATTTAATGACCACTGTTAAAAAATAAACTTAGGCACAGTAAAATTTTAGAGTGTAATTGAACAGACAATGATTCCTGAATCAGGCAGCTCCAAATCACAAGTGGTTTGAGCTCCACCAAAAGGGTACAAGGGAAAAACTCTTAAGTGTGTGAGGGAGCAAGACAAAAATATATTTGATTGGTTAAAGTGGAAGGTCCCTAGTGAGATGAGAGGTTAATTCATGGATTTTAATTGGTAAAATCTCTAGTTAGAATTTACTTGGCAGTTTCTGATTACTTAAGCTTGAGTTTTATTTTCCTAGGCTATGACCATTCGCAGTGAGTTGAGTTTTGCTTTGCTTACGTAGAAACTCAGGATGTTAGAGCTGCTCCATTCTAATGGCATTGCAGTGTGTTACTCTAACAACATAAAATAATATCTTCTATCTCATATGTTCAATCCCAGTACTGAATTTCACAAAAAGATAACACATAAGAGCCGTGCTTTCAATCTTTGAGTTAATGTATGGAGAAACTAGGAAGACAGTTATTGTTATAGAACAGAATGCAAATACTGTAAAAGAATAATAATAACATTGGGGATGAAGATGGAATTAAGGCTCTGCCGGAGAAGCAGTAGTTCACACTCTTTCTCTCACACATGTGCACACGTATGTATATGCATACGTTATGTACAAATTACAGTGTATTAAAGGACTGGCTAAGCAAGTCTGAAGTCCATGGGGCAGGCAAGGAAGCAAGAAGGGAAGACATAAAGTGTCTGGAATCCTGTGAGTATGAGCTAAAATATGGAATCTCTCTAGTTCATCCTAGCAAGGCAAAGACTTATATAGCCACATCATAAAGTAACCATGGGAGTATCATTGCATCATCTTTGCCATACTCTATTTATTATAAATGAAACAGGGTTGTGAGATACTTTTAGGAAGTGAAACATCATGTTAAATATAGAGTCATTTGAAAATAAGATTCTTTTTACTCCATAAAGAGATGTCTTTATTTTGTAATCACTGGACTATATCTCAGTAGTTTGAAGCAGAGAAAGGGATTGTTAAGTGATGGAAAATTCCAGAACAATTACTGATACTGAAAAATAAGCACCATAAAATTATAGAAATCTAATTTTGCTATTGGAAAGGCTCCTCAGCAGCTATTCACTCCTAATCAGCCTGAAGTTGTAATGAATAGAATAATAAGCACCATTAGAATAATTCTCTATTCACCAAGAATAATAAACCACTTAGAATAACAAGGCTAAAATAATAAGCCAAATGCTTAAATCATGAAAAAGAAATAGGGGGAAAAAGGAGATTCTCAGAGGAGTTGAGCTTAATGCTGTCGTGAGTTACTGAGCACCTCTAATGTGTTGAATTGTTTATTAACCTATTCAGCTTCCTACCACCTCTGTATCCTTCTCATTATCACTCTGTGTCATTTGTAGATCATCTATACCAGACTCATTTAGAGTGCTTGTTGAAACAGAGAGAGATCACACACACACACACACAGAGACAGAGAGAGAGAGAGAGAGAGAGAGGAGAGGGAGAGGGGGAGGGGAGAGAGGGGGAGAAGGGGAGAGGGAGAGAGAGAGAGACAGAGAGAGAGAGAGAGAGAGATTGAGAGATTGAGAGACCTTCCAAGCCTCCACCCTAACTGGGATGATTCTTCTTTATAAGTCTACTTACTATTCCACTTCCATGCCATTTGCGTCTGCTGTCCTTTGCACCTATAATGGGAGTGATTTTTAACTTCAGCTGTCAAAAATCTGCCCATGATTCAAGGCCCAGATCAATAGCTATTTCCTTCTTTACTCATCTCAGATCAATTTCCTCACTGCCTTACCCTCCCTGATCCAAGTGAGGGTAGGATTCAGAGAATCTTAGAAACAAAAGATACCTTAAAGATTACTTAATCCAACTTCCTTGGTTTAAAACAAAGAAATATAGGGGAGAAAATACTAAGATTTTCCTTTAAAGGAAAATCGGCTTTCCAAACAAGTAATGATAAAGTTGCTCTTAACAAGGGAACAAAATAGACATATACGAGAGTGACTTATGTGACTATTACTTTTTTATAGAGTTTCTAAAAAAAGATGTCACTTTAAATTAGAAATATACAGATATAAATATGTTATATTTGGTTATTTTTACTGCTTATAAAGCAGTATGAACCCTAGGGAGATGCTGAAAATATAGGAGAGAATTTTAGGTAGTTTACCAAGCCATAGATTCTATGGATCAATGATGTTTTCCAGTTTGTGGACTCGCCCCTTTCAGCAGCTGTGTAAATCAACTGACTACTCTGTGACCCTCTTTAGCTCTCTACATTATCATCTATCTATCACCTATCTATCATCTCTCTCTCTTTCACTCACTCTCCATCATCTCTTTCAGTAACACCTGAAAAGGAAGTTGCATAAGTTAATGAGGTGATTTCAGTATTTTGAAAAATATGTTCTAAATGACTCTGTGTAAATATGAAATATCCATAAAATTAGCCCCATCATCCTCCTCAAATATTTGAGTTTCTTTAAGTATACCACTCAGTGAATAATTTGGTAAGGAATTTTTACCTCCTTTAAGTTATCCATGTTTGTATTCCTGAAGTGGCATATAATTTAGAATCCCCTTATGTGTTTATATAATATTTGAGAACATATTATTTACATAATACTTGAGATCTGATGACATTTTATAAAGGAAATCTGTAGATAATTTTATCCAATAAAAAGCATGACCCTCTGGGAAGGAAGATGCTCTTTCAGTATCTTTCACATGGCTCCAATATGGAGTAGAGAAGTATCAGATTATGTGGTCTTTGGATGTAACTTTGATAGTAAACGCAAACAGATTCTTTTGACAGACTTAATAAGTCAATCAGTACTAATTTCTATACAGTTTAAGACATAATGGACTGCACTGAAAAAAAAAGATTAGTGAAGGAAGAAGTTTTTTTAGTTATAAATTAGGAAAATATTTTCCATGTTTGAACTTGTTTCAGATTAGTCTTTTTTCTTTTATTAATTTTTTTCTCAACTTTCAGTTCAGTGGATTCAATGACCAGTCTTATTGCAAATTTTTATCCACTCTTGTTCTCTATTCTTGGTAACCTCATGCATGAATGTGTCAGAAAAAAATGTGTTTCTAATAATATTCTAGTGAGTACATAGATTCCTGAAAAATGCGAAAAGCCCCCCATAATGAAGTGGAAAACATTTTGGCAAAGACTACGATTAGATATCACGTAACAAATAATGCCATTATTACATGTTAGCATCTTATATGACCTAATAAAGAGAAATAAATATACTTTTTATAGAAAACAGAGTGAGCTTTAATTTGTTCTCTACAGTGTATGTTTTATTTTTTAAGAAGTTCATTGGCTGAAGCCATGAGCAATTTTCCTGTGCTCATAGACAGTGTAAAAAAATCTTCCCATTGTCCAGATCTAGTTTTAGCTAAATAAATCATTCTCAGAATGAAAAACTGTGCACTGGATGGTTTATTTTGGCTATCTCCAGATTTCTAAGTAGTGCCTTTCATCACTACTAGCTTATGTGAAAAATTAATAAGATAATTTTGGAAAGTAAAACACTTAAAGGTTTGGGTGTATCTGCAAATAGAGATAAGAATAATAGGTGATCGCTTTCTCTTTCCCTTCTCCTGTCCTCTCCCGCTTCTGCTCTCCCCACTCCCCTTCCCTCCCCTTCCCTTCCTTATACTGTGGGGGTAATGTGTACTCTAAATACAGTCAGAATGAAATGGCGGCATCCCAAGGAATAGAAATGAGATATCTAGCTAATCAGCACCTTGGGAATAGCAGAAGTTTGAGGAACAGTGACTACAAAACAGATTTCCTTTTAGAGAGTTGGCTAGGCCCTACTTCTCTGAGAGCCATCTTGCCAATTTAAACATAAAGCTCTAAGGGGAAATAAGCTATATCTTTCTTGGGTGTGAAATTCACTGAAAAGAATATTAGAGCAGGACCTAGACAGGTCAGTAGAAATTTGATAAAAATGAAGGAGTAGGAAATCTTATATAGAGGAATTATATTTTGCAATGCAAGGAAGTAAAGAAACCCTATTAAAATTAAGTATGGCTGAAGTATTGCATGTATGCTACAAAGTATAGATGAGGTGGCATCCATTTGGGAAGGAGCTTGTATGTCAAGGCTTTAGCCTTTATCCTGTAAGCAATAGTTAACATGTAAACACTGTTGAGGAAGAAATTACTGAGTCCAGAATTGAGGCATTTTTGTTAGCTACGCAGTGTCTTCAATTCCCTAGCAAGAAAAGATTGAAAAAAAAATCATACTGATATCATCTCTTTATTACATAAAAAAATTTAATTTATTATTCATGTTCTTTAGATCATGCGATAGGTGCTTGGCATAGAATGCTGTAATGGTGGAGAAAGTTTGCAAGTGATCAGGTAATGAGTGGAAGTGTCAAGTACTGCCATGGGTGTAATGATAACACATAGGAGGGATATTTAAGTTGGTCTTGTGGGGCTTGGGAAGCCTTTTCAAAAAGGTTTTATTCACTTTGACACCTCAGAATTGTCATTACTTGTTTCTTCTTGTCTAAATATGTAGAGTTTTTATCATATAGTGTTCGTTTAATCACTCTCAACACCACCTACCCATCTTAAATTTTTTTTCACGCCTCAAATAAACTCCTCAAGACTTGCTATGGATAAATAAATATATGCACAGATAGCCCTTTCAGTTAAGTTTTTTATTTTTGGAGATGGAGTCTCACTCTGTCACCCAGGCTGGAATGCAGTGGCATAATCTCGGCTGACTGCAACCTCTGCCTCCTGGGTTCAAGCAATTCTCCTGCCTCAGCCTCCTGCGTAGCTGGGACTACAGGCGCACATGCTGCCATGCTCGGCTAATTTTTTGTATTTTTAGTAGAGACGGGGTTTCACCGTGTTGCCCAGGCTGGTCTGGAACTCCTGAGCTTAGGCAACCTGCCCGCCTCGCCTCCCAAAGTGCTAGGATTACAGGCATGAGCCACCGCGCCCAGCCTCTACTGCTTATTTTCATAAAACTGATTTTTTTAGTACCTTTTAGAGAACAGTATCTTAATAAAGCACATTATCATCTGAGTAGGCTACATCTTGCAACCAATTTTCTGTCCCTTGTACAGCATGCTTGTTTGTTCAAAATTTTGTGTAAAAAGAGAGACATTGCTTTTTGCCTTCTCTCCTTAAGGGGATTACTAAAAGTCATAGTATTATATTTTCCTCCTCCAGAATTAATTGTATTTTTTAAAACAACTATTTTATATTTAACTTACTGCCAAACTCTTCTTAATGGCCCAACATCAGGAATAATGCAACTTCAGTAGGAATAGAAAAGCTGTAATACTTCTCTACCCAAGCAACACTATTGAAATAATTTCTTCCCCCAGCTCATTCCTTTCTCTGTTTTTCAATTAAGCATACCACCAAAAGAAAATGCCCAGAGTCTCTTCAAAAGAACAGCAAACTATTAAAAATCTCCAGAATCAGGGATAGCAGGTATTTTCCTGTTTCTGCAACATTCACCCCAGCTGCCATCTTAGGTAATGGCAGCTGCTGTAGTGGCCAAAACGCAAGAGCCTGAATAGAGTTCTAAGTTTTGTGTAGCACCAGTGAGAAGCAGAGGTGGGGAAACTGTATGGTGGCACCTTAGTCATCAATGATTGTGAGGGAAAAAAATTGGTTTGACAACATCCTTGTTTTTGGAACAAATGGGATTAACTTCAGAAGGTTCAAGTGAGGAGACTTTATGGAAGGAACTACTTACGGAAGCATGGGCAAGAGCAAACAAGGATGTTAAAATATTAATATTCCTAGAATTGAGAGAACAAGTGGAGGAAATAGGATTTCCAGAGCCCAGAAAGTGAGTCATGAAGGACAGGCTGCCTGGTGGGAGCTGTTGTCCTGAAGGATGGCAGCTACTGTCAGAAATTCAGGGCTGGAGCAGAGAAGAACTGCCCAGGGTCCTCTTTCCTATTGCATTCAAATCTCCTACATATGACTCTCTGTTTGCTAAGTCCATCAGGAAGCCAATTGGCAAAAGTGCCGAGAGAATACAATTTGCATTGTCACTCTCCCAATGCACAATTGGGACAGAAAAATGGGAAGAAGTGTTAAATGGAAAATAGCCATGTGATGGTTTATCTTAGGTGTCAACCTGACTGGCTCCAGGTGTGCCCAGCTGCATTTGAATTGGTAGACTAGGTAAAGCAGATCCATCTCCCCAGTGTGAGTAAACATTATCTAATCTGTTGAAGGCCTGAATAGAATGAGAAGGTGGAGAAACAGATAATTCTTCCTCTCTCTCTCTGATTGCTTAAGCTGGGACATCAGCCCTCTCCTGCCTTTAGGCTGGAATTATACCATTGGCCTTCTGGTTCTCACATCTAGTTCTGGTTCTCTTGGACTAGAACTCACATCATCAGCCTTCCTAGTGTGTAGGCCTTCAGCCATGAACTGGAACTACACCACTGGTTTTCCTGATTCTCTGCCTTACAAACAGCAGACCCCAGCACTTCTCAGCCTCCACAATCATGTGAGCCAATTCTAGATAGATAGATAGATAGATAGATAGATAGATAGATAGATAGATAATTGATAGATAGATGATAGATAGATATATAGATAGATAGATAAAGATAGATAGCTATATCTCCATCCTAATGGTTCTGTTTCTCTGGAGAACCCTGGCTAACCCAACCCAAGACAACAGAAAGAGAAAGAATCCTCCCTGTGTGGCTCATAATGAGTAATACAGGAAAACAAAACAAAACAAAAATATCCTGGAAAGGACTGAATGTAGCTAACATACTCGGGTTGGTATTTTGTGATAGTGGCCACATTTATCTGAGAGGGCTGGTAAAGCCTGAGATGTTATGGGTATTTAATATTTTTCTGAGAATAATTACTTGTAACCCAAATGTTTACTGGGTGAATGACCTCTACCTTCATATAGGAAGAGCCTCAGTACCTCTGCCCTCCAAACATAAAAATATCCTCATTTATTTTGGGGAGTCCCTGAAGATTCCTTATGTGTGAAAACTGTCAGCTTTGTTTCTGCTGTGTGACTCTACTTGTCCAAGCCACTGTTTCATGAAATTTCCATTGAAGAAGTTTTAGTGTTGCCATCACCTAGAATGAAAATGCTGATGTCAATGCCAAGGGTACTACGTCTCCAGATGTTTATAAAATTTCTAACTGGGGAGGAAGTGAGGAAGTTAAAGTTAGTGATGGATTCTGTGCAGCAGTAGAATGGGAACAAAGGTGACTTGTTTATTCTTGTGGAATCCTGAGCAGCAAACTGTGTTGTTCACAGATTCTCTCTCTCTCATGAGCTTAATAGCAAAGTAGTCTAAGGGCCTTTGACAGCCCATGCTTCTCTTAAGCCTGTTCTGTATTCTCCCCTCATCAGAATGTCCTTTCTTAGTTTTTATCTACAGAACACCGAGAAACTGTTGAGTGTGTTCGTGTGTGTGTTGGAACATAGACGTTGTCTTTACCAAAGGAAGACAAAGCTCAATGTATAATTATTTAGGGAATCCTTGATAGAGAGACCCATAAAGAAAAGAACCACGGGCCAGGTGTGGTGGCTCACACTTGTAATCCCAGCACTTTGGGAGGCCGAGGTGGGCGGATCAGTAGGTCAGGAGATTGAGACCATCCTGGCTAACATGGTGAAACCCCGTCTCTACTAAAAATACAAAAACAAAATTAGCCGGGCGTGATGGCAGGCGCCTGTAGTCCCAGCTACTCAGGAGGCTGAGGCAGGAGAATGGCGTGAACCCAGGAGGTGGAGTTTGCAGTGAGCGGAGATCGTGCCACTGCACTCCAGCCTGGGCAACAGAGCGAGACTACATCTCAAAAAAAAAAAAAAAAAAAGAACCCCAATATCATTTTATAAGTATTATTTATATTTCAGTTGGCTTCTGATTCCATTTGGAAACCTAGTCTGACACCATCTGTAACCACATTTGCCACGTGTGGGTAAGGAAATTCTTCCAAAAGGAAACCAGCAACTATGATCCATTAAACTATGGGCAACTCTTAGCAGTCTATAGTTACATGGTCACTGTTATGTAAAATACCTGGAGAAGCCTCAGTTCTTGAGGTTTTACATGAAAATCTGTGACGGAGAAAAAGTCATTTTTTTAAATCGGTGCTGTATTTGTAATATCAGCTAGATTTATTTTTCTGTGAATTTCTATCCTGTTATCTCTCCAAACATGCAAACTCTTGGACCTGTTATAAGCAGGATAATTCCTAAAAAGACGACGCTAAGAATTCCTGACCCAAATTACTCATGGATTATTAATTCTCTTTAACTTACTTGCTAATTATCATTTTAGTTATATTTGCTCCAATCCTTTGATGTTGGAGTTTCTCATTTTATTGGAAAAAAAGGATGAAAGTCAAAATGTCATTTAACTTTTTATGCATACCATGCATCTTATGTTGAATAGCTCTTATTATTTTTCAAATGTAAAAGAAAATAAAAAATCAAGTACTTACACTTTAAAAAGTACTTATACTTAAGTATAAAACAGGGCTGAAATATTTCTAGTTTAGATTAAAGCATGGTAATATTTGTTAAGACATAGGTAATATGTCCTTAAGAAAAAAGTTCAGCCTCAGGGCAAACCTTTTAGGATCACCTGGAGATAATATAAGTTTACATATTATGATCAACACCGATTGCTTTATTTATGGATTATTTTAATAAACATATGAGTATTAAATTCTTACCCATACAGTATTTTATTGTTTCACGTAACATGAATTTATTTATATTCTACTTTCTGGAAGTTTACCTTTTCCACTTCTAAAACTGTTTTGTCTTAAGAAAACAGAAAATACATTTAAATGAACAGTTTCTAATTGTCCATTTGACATCTTTACTTGTAAGTCAAAATGTAGATTAGACACAACATATTCCAAAGGTAAATTCATCACTTTCTCCAGAAATATACTCCTTTTCAAGCATTTTTCAAAGGTTTTCTATTGTTCTTGAAATTAAAGACAAAACTGCTCACACGGCTTATAAGGCTCCAAGTTACTCCTCAAGCCTTATTTTGTTCTGGTCACAATCTCGTTTTAATTTCTTCAGCAGTATTGGTGTACTTACCTTGTTCAAGTTTACCATATTTCCTGCAGCTTCAGGAAGTAGGTTTGAAAAGGCTGTTTCCTAAGCCTCTTTTTCCCTGCCCTGTAACTATTGGCTTAGTTAACTTGTGCTTATCCTTCAGATCTCACCTCAATATCATTTTCTCATCATTGTTTTAAAATCCTGATATCATGTGAATGTTTCCCATAAAATTCATGTGTTGGAAATATAATCCCCAATGCAATAGTGTTGGGAGGTGAAGCTTTTCAGGAGGTGTTTAGGTCAAGACTGCGCTCATTAATGGATTAATGATTATAAAAGGGCTTGAAGAGGGAGTGTGGTCTATTTTGGCCTGCTCTTCTGCAGTGTGAGAGCACAGAGTTCTGGTCCTCCCCAGGATGCAGCAACAAGGCACCATCTTAGAAGTGGAGATGGGCCGTCACCAGACACTGAACCTGCTGGTTCCTTGATCTCAAACTCCAAGCCTTCAGAAGTGTGAGAAATAAATGTAGTTTCTTTATAAATTAGCCAGTCTCAAGTATTCAGCTATAACAACATAGATGAACTAGGACAAATCCCTACTCTAAATCAAATACTTTTATGTTTTCTTTCATGGCAATTATCAGTTTTATCTAAATAATTGCCTGATAATGTTTTCTTCTTTTCCTCTATAATATAATTTCCATAAAGGTTAAGTTCATGCAACTCAATAAACTACTAAAGTTATTAGGCAGTTAATAAAAATATTGAATGCTTGAAAAAAATCATGAATAATACATATTGTTGAGTCAATGATTTCTGGACTTTGCTTGATGCTGCCGTTATCCCAAGAAAAACGATGGATCGTTATTGTAAGAGTTTTTCCTCCTCACTTTTTATTTTTTATGAACTCCTAAGAATATTTCAAGTAATTAAGTTTACTGGGACACTGATTCCATGAGTTCAAAATATACTCACATTATGAATTTCTAAATTATTAAATTATTATGCTAAATAGCATATAACAATGTAATTCTTTAATTTCAAGTCAGCTCAGGTTAGGAAAATGAATGTGAATTCCCGCTTGTATAAGTATGCCCATCATACTAACCACAGATATATTGATCATTGGATATTGTCTGTCTAGCTTTAGTAGGTGAATGAATTAAAAGAGGTAGATGCCTCTTATATATCTAATATGGTCCAACGTTTTTCTTTTATATAACCACCACTCAGTCATCATATAGTGAAACAGTTTTTTATAAAGTATGCAGTTAAGCTATGAACTATATCATCTACCTAAATGAAACAGACTTGGAAATATTTGTCATATAATACATAAATCAGTAAAATCTGGAGTTTGAAGACATATTACAGATTTTAGCCTAACTCTTACACCTAGGAATTACCTGAAGAATGTGGGACCTATGAGCACTCGAATAGCTTGCCCAAAGTCACTCAATTGTTTAGTAATGTGTAGATCTAAGTTTTTAAATTCTTAGTCTTTTGCTCTTTGTACTAGACATTATCTCATATCTTATAATTTTATTTTTGCCATAATAGCATGGATAATTGCTTTAATTCACTTTATTAATTCATGAAGTCATAGTAACAATCTCCCTTAAGCCTAGAGCCTATACCTAACCATTTGGCATATAAAATTATAATCAACAACTGGCAAATACATTTAATTTCAGACTTATTAAGCTATTTTATAAAAGATAATTGGCGTGTTAATTTGGAATATATAATTGGAATAGGTTTTTAAAAATGTGGATCCAGTATTTACTAAGGGAGAAAAACAGAAGTTTTCAGTCTTCAAGTGCAGAGCTCCTGAAATAATGGTCAACTACATTTAGCTAATAACATAACTACGCAGGGTATTACACATTACTAAAGGCTTAGGGTATAGGATGAGAGAAGAAATAAGACAGATAAATTTAAAATGCAGGAAACTTTTATGATTTTGATAATAAAATTATCGGAACAATAATTTATCTTCTTGCAGTTTGTTTTACCTTATGTAATGAAAGGAGTCACCAAATTATAATGAGAGTGTCTGTTCTTTCTAAGCTTGTGGGTTTTTCTCTTCTTGCCTTAATTTTACGTCGATTATAGGTTGTCAGGAAAATTAGAATTAGATTGGGAATTCTGAAATGATAATTAAATAATAATTTTGAGTATGTCGATATATTATTTTGATTTTACTTAGTCTTCTGTAGTTATCTGATATAATTGAACCACTGAGTGCAATGATCATGACATTCTTCATCTATACAGAAATGTCTGGTGATTGGATTAATATAGTTCACCAGAGTTTATTTATTGGTGATAATGAAAACAGTAGGAATGACATTGTTGAGTTATATCACACCATGATTAAACAGATGTTAGTACTCATGCATAAAGAAAACAAGCATATTTTCTACTTTCTATAGGTAAAAACCAGTAACAGGTAATTCACTGCTAACAGATCTCTTTCCCTAAGCCTTGTTAGATACTGAGCAATTCACAAGTGTATTTTTTGAGTAACAAGGAAGACGAGTAAAACAGCAAGTGCTTCATTTGTTTTCTAGCCTGAGTTGAAACTAAGCAGCTCCATGCTGGCAGCACTTTGTGAAGAACTCTGTAATTTATATTGCTTTCCAAGGAAGTTGGAACTTCCTGTGGATTACTGGGTTTTTGACATATAAAGAGAATGTTCTCATCACTTAAACTGGTGAGTGAAGTCCCCATTTTATAAATCAAATAAACATTTTAGAATTTTCTTGGGAAATAAAAAATGTTTTACATTTCCAAAATATACTATACTATCATTTCAATGAGATTTCTATAATGTTTTCTGTAATATTTGACATACTCCTTTCCTTGAAAGAATCTTATAGAAAAATATTTATATGTATATATATATATATATATATATATATATATATATATATATATATATATAGGTGTATACACACACACAGACTTGCACTGGCTTTGGGGTTTACTTCCATGTGGTGGGGTGTTAACGGGTCCTTTTGTCCCTTGTGATATCTGTGTTTATGTTGATTCTCGGATCTCCAGTGCCACTTGAGCTGCCCAGGGGCACATGTTAGACTGGAATTTGGGTTAAAAAAATATGCACCTGGGAGACAGAATAATGTTACTATATGAAAGAATTTGTTGATAATCGGCAGAAAATACCTTATATGGGAAACACATTTGAAAGTTTTTAGGGAGTGACAAGAAATACCAGAAGCTACATATTTTTTAATATTCCATTGAATTTCTAAATCCAAGTAGAGGGTAATTAAATGCTTGATCTAGAGCATCTTGAGATAGCATTTTATGAAGCCCTCCTATCACACTGCCCAAGAATCTTTCATCAACGTTTAAAGTAACCACAAAGAAGAAGTGATTACTATATGTCCTGTGAGGCTGTGGGCTGATAGGCCTACTCCAATTCTGTAAATGCACTTTAACTGGTGTAATATCTATTTATTACTGTTCTTTCTTTTGTCTAGAACTCAATCAGCCTCTGCTTAATTAGATAAGCCCTTCGTGATTGAGTAAAATTACTTTTTTGTCTCATTCTCTAATTCTTATATCAAAAGCCTTTCTCTCTTGATCTTTGTCTACTCCTTGCTTCCACTTTAGTGATGGCCAGGTTGCCACATACAGTTTTTCAGTCGTGCACTGCACAAAGAAACTTGCCCAAAAAAGCAGCTGGAGACTGAAACCCAGCCTGCATTCTTCCTGACAAGCAATTTTCCCAGCGGGAGAGAGAGCATGTTTTTGTCAATTGCACAAATTAAATAGAGTAGAAACAGCTTATGAGACGACTTAAACATGCTTTTTAATTGTGATTGCTGAGAATGACCAATAAATAACGGTCCAAAATTAAAAATAAAAATAAAGTTTAAAATTCCAAATGCTAATTCGTATGTGTGTGCATGTGTTTGTATGTATGTGTGTGTATACAATATATATTTTCCACTTTGTGGGGATTACACGTCTTCAACTTACATTATTCCATTCTCTTTCTTAAAAATGAACCAAATGATATCTGAGGAAAGACCAGAAGTCACATGTTCATTTTAGCTAAAACCTAATCCCAAGCTTGTGCAAAATATTACTTGTTTTGCATGTCTAGTGTTTGCTGAACACTACAAAGCTTACAGAGTTTCCTGTCAGGCCTATGTATATGCTATAATGAAAGTAAAATATTTAAATCTTTAGCTGTATGGTGAAGTGTCTTCTTGAATTAACTGGTGGAAATCCCATTAAGATATTTCACACATTCATAAAAAGATGAAAATTAGGTTTGAGCCATTTGATATTCTGACATGTGGTATTTTGCTTGCAGATAAGATCCTTTTAATTCAAGTCTTCAAACCTCTCAGACAGAATGAAAGACTAATATCTGAAATTTCTTATCTATCCTTATCTTAAATTTTAGATTTTTTTGGAGAATTAGAGAAAAACATTCAGACTAATAGCTTTAGTAAGCAGGATTCATCATTCTCTTCCTTGACTCCTTGGTTGACGGGGCATTTACCACCAGCTGCAAGAATAAAAGGGAATTTTATCCATAAAATATGGAAAGTTAGACTGTAACACTGATTACTGACAATTTAATAAGGATTTTTTCCTCATGCATCTGATGTATGACTCCGGAAGGAATGGGTTACACTGTTGAAGAAAACACACTGGACAAATTACAGGAGTCTCTTTATTCTTCATTTCCTAATCATGGATTCATCTGTGATATGTTGAAAGCAGAGACTGGCCTTTTAGTTCTGAAACTTTACTTTTTTGTGCTTTGTGATATAGGTGTTACAGAGATGATTTTGACATTGTTGCCATTCAATGTGACATTTTAAGACCTAGGAGATAACAAAAACTAAGAGGTTGATTACAGCAAAATGCCAGACACTGAAATATCTGACTGATTTACACATAGCCACATACTTTTGAAAATTGAGACAACTAAATATATAATGCATCAAATATTTCCTTTTAATGAAATTTATCTTTAGAGCATGACAGGAGAAATCTCTCATTAATCATCTACATCAAACTACTCATTATGTTATTGTGCAAAACTTCATATCCTTCTACAATTGTACCATTAATCATAGGTTGTACTGCCAGTAAAGAATGCATATATATTTCATGAAAACAAAAAGAAATATTTTTAATTTTCTTGGCACATTCCTGAAAACTGAAAATTAAAAATATTTAGTATCGTGTCTGGAATTTGTTCCTTCCGGTGGGTTCTTGGTCTCGCTGACTTCAAGAATGAAGTCGCAGACCCTCACGGTGAGTGTTACAGTTCTCAAAGACGGTGTGTCCGGAGTTTGTTCCTTCAGATGTTCAGATGTGCCCAGAGTTTATTCCTTCTGGCGGGTTCATGGTCTTGCTGACTTCAGGAGTGAAGCCGCAGACCTTTGCAGTGAGTGTTACAGCTCTTAAAGGTGGCGAATCCAGAGTTGTTTTTTCTTCCTGGTGGGCTCCTGGTCTCACTGGCTTCAGGAGTGAAGGTGCAGACCTTCGCGGTGAGTGTTATAGCTCATAAAGGTAGTGCGGACCCAAAGAGTGAGCAGCAGCAAGATTTATTGGGAAGAGCAAAAGAACAAGCTTCCAGACCTCAGTGGTTGCCACTGCTTGCTCAGGTGGCCAGCCTTTATTCCGTTATTTGGCCCACCCACATCCTGCTGATTTTTCCAATTTACAGAGAGCTGATTGGTCCATTTTACAGAGTGCTGATTGGTCCGTTTTTACAGCGTGCTGATTGGTGCGTTTACAAACCTTTAGCTAGACACACGGCACTGATTGGTGCATTTTCAATCCTTTAGCTAGACAGAAAAGTTCCCCAAGTCCCCACCCGACCCAGAAGCCCAGCCGACTTCACCTATCAGTATGGGTTTGACTTTTTCCTGTATCTTCCAGAGAAAGGAGCGAATACTTTGAAAACTCATTCATATGCATACTATTTCATAAAGTGTATACATAAAGTTTTATTTTTTCTGGAAAAATCTTGTTACTTATTTCCAGTTGGAACTGCATATTTCTTCAGAAAATTTTAAAGACATTTGAAATTGTCAGAAATTGGGATTAGGTTTGTGCCCAGTTATTATTTCATAAAGAGAAATATGTATGTTTAATATTTATTAAAACATTTAAATTTTTTTTAAAAAAATTTATATTTATTAAAATATTTAAAATTAATAGAAACTGTGAAGTAAGTGACAGGGTTCAATTGTGACCAGTTAGTCTTTTATTAGTAGCTATTGAGCAGCCAATTCATCCCTCGAAATTTGCTCTGATCCTTGAAAAAATTTTGAGATGTGAGTAAATATAGAATAGTTGATAAAGATACATGGTACAGAAAAAAAAGACAAATGAAAGCTATCAGAGTATCAAAGTCCATAACACTATAGAAAATATATTGAACTTATATTTTATTACTGTTAATTATGTATAGTGCTAATTAAAATGTTTTCTGTAAAACTTCCTGTCCTCTCTGTAAATTGCGAAAAATTCATGCATCTGTACTAAATTTTTCAAATGTTATGGAAGATAATTTCTGACAGTTATTATATGAGTGGATTTCAAAGAAAGCTTCTGAGGAGTGAGTGATTCAATTGTACAAAGAACGCTGCTCAATAAATTCTTTCATGCCCTGATAGAGAGAGATGGAATGTGTGGCTTGTGAACTTTCCAAACAAAACATCTCAAAATCTATAATTCATCTAGAATATTCTGATTACTTTTTGTGACCAGGGCTCCTGTAAGCCTTATTCTGTATTAAAATGCTAAAATTTCAACCAAGCTTTTAAGAGAGGAAAACTAACTTGGTAAGATGTATCCACTAGTTAGCTGACTTAAACATCTACACTTGGCAGGTCATGAATCAAATAGAAATTTAGTTAATCATAGATAGCCTGAGAAATTTACTCCCATGTCTAGATAGCATAAATTAAAAAATCAAGCCATATGATGTAATGAAATCAGCTAAATTTTGTGTGCCAATTAATTTCAATTTTTTGTTCAGCAAATTCTAGGAACTGCTTACTCTATATTTAGATTGGAAGGTTCAGAAAAAGAACAAAATAAAATTCAAACCTTAAAAAATTCGAGTTTTATTTACTATGTGGAAGCTTGTGGAAATGTCTCTGAATTGTATGCAAACATATATGATCTTGAAATGAAAAAATATGTTTCCTACATTTCTGGTGAGGGGGTAGACTAATTTACACATTGTTTGAAAAGCTGTCCTCTGTTTTTCATGCTGAAACTCAGGCTCTTTATTCGCTAAAAAACCTCAGGCTTGAACTGTCCTAAATGAATCTCACCTGTTAAATATTGCAACTGATATTCACTGTCTTTCCTAATTCACTTAGCAGCTTGTTCTGGCAAACACTAGGTGGAATACCATGTCCACAAGTGAGAAAAAACCATGTTCAGGCCTAAAGCAGTACCCAATCTGGGGCTCAATATATATTTGTTTGTAGACCAGCATCTTTTATCTTCCTTTCCAAATAAGGCTTACAAAATACTTTTACTAGTAATGAGATTTAGGAGTAGATATTTCCTTTCTTTCCAGATGGAATTTTACTCTTGCTGCCCAGGCTGGAGTACAATGGCACAATCTCAGCTAACTGCAACTTCCGCCTCAAGGGTTCAAGCGATTCTCCTGCCTCAGCCTCCCAAGTAGCTGAGATTACAGACACACACCACCATGCCCGGCTAATTTTTGTATTTTAATAGAGATGGAATTATACTATGTTGGCCAGGCTGGCCTCTAACTCCTGACCTCAGGTGATCTGCCCACCTCAGCCTCCCAAAGTTGTGGGATTACAGGTGTGAGCCACCACAAAAGGCCTGGGAGTAGATATTTCAAGGGAAATAGAGCAATAATAAAAATGTTGGCTACATCCTTCTCCTTGTGTATAAACATTTTTTAATTTTTTATGTGTAATTTTCTTCTCTCTCCCTTCTTTCTTCTTCAATTTCTTCCTTCTTTTTTGTTTGTAATTATTATACTTTCAGTTCTAGGGTACATGTACACAGCATTCAGGTTTGTTACATATGTATACATGTGCCATGTTGGTGTGCTGCATCCCTTAACTTGTCATTTGCTTTAGGTATATCTCCTAATGGTATCCTTCCCCACTCCCCCCACCCCACAAGAGATCCTGGTGTGTGATGTTCCCTACCCTGTATCCATGTGTTCTTATTGTTCAATTCCCACCTATGAGTGAGAACATGCGGTGTTTGGTTTTCTGTCCTCATGGTAGTTTGCTCAGAATGATGGTTTCCAGCTTCATCCATGTCCCTACAAAGGACATGAACTCATCATTTTTTATGGCTGCATAGTATTCCATGGTGTATATGTGCCACATTTTCTTAATTCAGTCTATCATTGATGGACATTTGGATTGGTTCCAAATCTTTGCTGTTGTGAATAGTGCTGCAATAAACATACACGTGCATGTGTCTTTATAGCAGCATGATTTATAATCCTTTGGGTATATGCCCAGGAATGGGATGGCTGGGTCAAATGGTATTTCTAGTTCTAGATCCTTGAGGGATCACCACACTGTCTTCCACAATGGTTGAACTAGTTTAGAGTCCCACCAACAGTGTAAAGGCATTCCTATTTCTCCACATCGTCTCCAGTACCTGTTGTTTCCTGAATTTTAATGATCGCCATTCTAACTGGTGTGAGATGGTATCTCATTGTGGTTTTGACTTGCATTTCTCTGATGGCCAGTGATGATGAGCATTTTTTCATTGTCTGTTGGTTGCATACATGTCTTCTTTTGACAAGTGTCTGTTCATATCCTTCGCCCACTTTTTGATAGGGTTGTTTGTTTTTTTCTTGTAAATTTGTTTGAATTCTTTGTAGATTGTGGATATTAGCCCTTTGTCAGATGGGTAGATTGTAAAAATTTTCTCCCATTTTGTAGGTTGCCTGTTCACTCTGATGGTAGTTTCTTTTACTGTGCAGAAGTTCTTTTGTTTAATTAGATCCTATTTGTCAATTTTGGCTTTTGTTGACATTGCTTTTGGTGTTTTAGACATGAAGTCCTTGCCCATGCCTATGTCCTGAATGGTATTGCCTAGGTTTTCTTCTAGGGTTTTTGTGGTTTTCGGTCTAACATTTAAGTGTTTAATCCGTCTTGAATTAGTTTTTGTATAAGGTGTAAGGAAGAGATCCAGTTTCAGCTTTCTACATATGGCTAGCCAGTTTTCCCAGCACCATTTATTAAATAGGGAATCTTTTCCCCATTTCTTGGTTTTGTCACCTTTGTCAAGGATCAGATGGTTGTAGATGTGTGGTATTATTGCTGAGGGCCCTATTCTGTTCCATTGATCTATATCTCTGTTTTGGTACCAGTACCATGCTGTTTTGGTTACTGTAGCCTTGTAGTACAGTTTGAAGTCAGGTCGTGATGCCTCCAGCTTTGTTCTTTTGGCTTAGGATTGTCTTGGCAATGTGGGCTTTTTTTTTGTTTCCATAAGAACTTTAAAGTAGTTTTTTCCAATTTTGTGAAGAAAGTCACTGTAGCTTGATGGGGATGGCATTGAATCTATAAATTACCTTGGGAACTATGGCCATTTTAATGATATTGATTCTTCCTATCCATGAGCATGGAATGTTCTTTCGTTTGTTTGTATCCTCTTGTATTTCGTTGAGCAGTGGTTTGTAGTTTTCCTTGAAGAAGTCCTTCACATCCCTTGTAAGTTGGATTCCTAGGTATTTTATTCTCTTTGAAGCAATTGTGAATGGGAGTTCACTCATGATTTGGCTATTTGTCTGTTATTGGTGAATAGGAATGCTTGTGATTTTTGCACATTGATTTTGTATCCTGAGACTTTGCTGAAGTTGCCTATCAGCTTAAGGAGATTTTGGGCTGAGACAATGGGGTTTTCTAGCTATACAATCATGTCATCTGCAAACAGGGACAATTTGACTTCCTCCTTTCCCAATTGAATACCCTTTATTTCCTTCTCCTGCCTGATTGCCCTGGCCAGAACTTCCAACACTATGTTGAATAGGAGTGGTGAGAGAGGGCATCTGGGTCTTGTGCCAGTTTTCAAAGGGAATGCTTCCAGTTTTTGCCCATTCAGTATAATATTGGCTGTGGGTTTGCCATAAATAGCTCTTATTATTTTGAGATACATCCCATCAATACCTAATTTATTGAGAGTTTTTAGCATGAAGGGCTGTTGAATTTTGTAGAAGATCTTTTCTGCATCTATTGAGAAAATCATGTAGTTTTTGTCTTTGGTTCTGTTTATATGATGGATTACATTTATTGATATGTTGAGCCAGCCTTGCATCCCAGGAATGAAGCAAACTTGATCGTGGTGGATAAGCTTTTTGATGTGCTGCTGGATTCAGTTTGCCAGTAGTTTATTGAGGATTTTTGCATTGATGTTCATCAGGGATATTGGTCTAAAATTCTCTTTTTTTTGTTGTGTCTCTGCCAGGCTTTGGTATCAGGATGATGCTGGCCTCATAAAATGAGTTAGGGAGGATTTCCTCTCTTTCTATTTATTGGAATAGTTTCAGAAGGAATAGTACCAGCTCCTCTTTTTACCTCTGGTAGAATTCGGCTGTGAATCTGTCTGGTCCTGAACTTTTTTTGTTTGGGAGGCTATTAATTATTGCTTCAGTTTCAGATCCTGTTATTGGTCTATTCAGAGATTCAACTTCTTCCTGGTTTAGTGTTGGGGAGGTGTAAGTGTCCAGGAATTTATCCATTTCTTCTAGATTTTCTAGTTTATTTATGTAGAGATGTTTATAGTATTCTCTGATGGTAGTTTTTATTTCTGTGGGATTGGTGGTGATATCCCCTTTATCATTTTTTTATTGCATCTATTTGATACTTCTCTCTTTTTTTCTTTATCAGTCTTGCTAGCGGTCTATCAATTTTGTTGATCTTTTCAAAAAACCAGCTCCTGGATTCACTGATTTTTTGAAGGGTTTTTGTGTCTCTATGTCCTTCAGTTCTGTTCTGATCTTAGTTATTTCTTGTCTTCTGCTAGCTTTTGAATGTATTTGCTCTTGCTTCTCTGTTTCTTTTAATTGTGATGTGAATGTGTCAATTTTAAATCTTTCCTGCTTTCTTTTGTGGGCATTTAGTGCTATAAATTTCCCTCTACACACTGCTTTAAATGTGTCCCAGAGATTCTGGTACGTTGTGTCTTTGTTCTTATTGGTTTCAAAGAACATCTTTATTTCTGCCTTCATTTCGTTATGTACCCAGTAGTCATTCAGGAGCAGGTTGTTCAGTTTCCATGTAGTTGAGTGGTTTTGAGTGAGTGTCTTAATCCTGAATTCTAGTTTGGTTGCACTGTGGTCTGACACAGTTTGTTATAATTTCTATTCTTTTACATTTGCTGAGGAGTGCTTTACTTCCAACTATGTGGTCAATTTTGGAATAAGTGTGATGTGGTGCTGAGAAGAATGTGTATTCTATTGATTTGGGGTGGAGAGTTCTGTAGATGTCTATTAGGTCTGTTTGGTGCAGAGCTGAGTTCAATTCCTGGATATCCTTGTTAACTTTCTGTCTCGTTGATCTGTCTAATGTTGACAATGGGGTGTTAAAGTCTCCCATGATTATTGTGTGGGCCTCTAAGTCTCTTTGTAGGTCTCTGAGGACTTGCTTTATGAATCTGGGTGCTCCTGTATGGGGTGCATATATATTTAGGATAGTTAGCTCTTCTTGTTGAATTGATCCCTTTACCATTATGTAATGGTCTTCTTTGTCTCTTTTGATCTTTGTTGGTTTAAAGTCTGTTTTATGAGAGACTAGGATTGCAACCCCTGCTTTTTTTTGTTTTCCATTTGCTTGGTAGATCTTCCTCCGTCCCTTTATTTTGAGCCTATGTGTGTCTCTGCATGTGTGATGGGTCTCCTGAATACAGCACAGTGATGGATCTTGGCTCTTTATCCAATTAGCCAGTCTGTGTCTTTTAATTGGAGCATTTAGCCCATTTACATTTAAAGTTAATATTGTTATGTGTGAATTTGATCCTGTCATTATGAAGTTAGCTGGTTATTTTGCTCATTAGTTGATGCAATTTCTTCCTAGTATCGATGGTCTTATTTGGCATGTTTTTGCAGTGGCTAGTACTGGTTGTTCCTTTCCATGTTCAGTGCTTCCCTCAGGAGCTCTTTTAGGGCAGGCCTGGTGGTGACAAAATCTCTCAGCATTTGCTGGTTTGTAAAGGATTTTAGTTCTCCTTCACTTATGAAGGTTAGTTTGGCTGGATATGAAATTCTGGGTTGAAAATTCTTTAAGAATGTTGAATATTGTCCCCCACTCTCTTCTGGCTTGTAGAGTTTCTGCCGAGAGATCAGCTTTTAGTCTGATGGGCTTCCCTTTGTGGGTAACCTGACCTTTTTCTCTGGCTGCCCTTAACATTTTTTCCTTCATTTCAACTTTGGTGAACCTGACAATTATGTGTCTTGGGGTTGCTCTTCTCGACGAGTGTCTTTGTGGCATTCTTTATATTTCCTGAATTTGAATGTTGGCCTGCCTTGCTATGTTGGGGAAGTTCTCCTGGATAATATCCTGCAGAGTGTTTTCCAACTTGGTTCCATTCTCCCCATCACTTTCAGGTTCACCAGTCAGATGTAGATTTGGTCTTTTCTCATACTCCCAAATTTCTTGGAGGCTTTGTTCATTTCTTTTTACTCTTTTTTCTCTAAACTTCTCTTCTCATTTCATTTAATTCATTTGATCTTCAATCACTGATACCGTTTCTTCTACTTGATCAAATTGGCTACTGAAGCTTGTGCATGCATCATGTAGTTCTTGTGCCATGGTTTTCAGCTCCATCGGGTCATTTAAGGACTTCTGTACACTGTTTATTCTAGTTATCCATTTCTCTAATTTTTTTCAAGGTTTTTAGCTTCTTTGTGATGGGTTTGAACATCCTCCTTTAGCTCGGAGAAGTTTGTTATTAGCTATCATCTGAAGCCTCTTCTCTCACCTCGTCAAAGTCATTCTCCATCCAGCTTTGTTCCTTTGCTGGCGAGGAGCTGCCTTCCTTTGGAGGCTGAGAGATGCTCTGATTTTTAGAATTTTCAGGTTTTCTGCTCTGGTTTCTCCCCATCTTTGTGGTTTTATCTACCTTTGGTCTTTGATGATGGTGACCTATGGATGGGGTTTTGGTGTGGATGTCCTTTCTGTTTGTTAGTTTTCCTTCTAACAGTCAGGACCCTCAGCTGCAGGTCTGTTGGAGTTTGCTGGAGGTCCACTCCAGACCCTGTTTGCCTGGGTATCACCAGTGGAGTCTGCAGAACAGCAAGTACTGCAGAACAGCAGATGTTGCTGCCTGATCCTTCCTCTGTAAGCTTCATCTCAGAGGGGCACCCGGCTGTATGAGGTGTCAGTCGGCCCCTACTTGGAGGTGTCTCCCAGTTAGGCTACTTGGGGGTCAGGGACCCACTTGAAGTGGCAGTCTGTCTGTCCTCAGATCTCAAACTCCGTGCTGGGAGAACCACTACTCTCTTCAAAGCTGTCAGACCGGGACGTTTTTGTCTGCAGAAGTTTCTGCTGCCTTTTGTTCAGCTATGCTCTGCCCCCAGAGGTGGAGTCTACATATGCAGGCAGGCCTCCTTGAGCTGCAGTGGGCTCCACCGAGTTCGAGCTTCCAGGCCACTTTGTTTACCTACTCAGGCCTCAGCAATGGCAGATGCCCCTCCTCCAGCCTCGCTGCTGCCTTGCAGTTCCATCTCAGACTTCTGTGGTAGCAGTGAGTGAGGCTCCGTGGGCGTGGGACCCTCCGAGCCAGGCATGGGATATAATCTCTTGGTGTGCCCTTTGCTAAGGCCTTTGGAAAAGTGCAGTGTTAGGGTGGGAGTGTCCCAATTTTCCAGGTACTGTCTGTCAAGCCTTCCCTTTGCTAGGAAAGGGAATTCCCTGACCCCTTGCGCTTCCCAGGTGAGGCGATGCCCTGCCCTGCTTCGTGGGCTGCACCTACTGTCTGACAAACCCCAGTGAGATGAACCCGGTACCTCAGTTGGAAATGCAGAAGTCACCCATCTTCTGCATTGCTCACGCTGGGAGCTCCAGAGTGGAGCTGTTCCTATTCAGCCATCTTGGAACCTGAATTTCTTCCTTCTTTACTTTCTTCTTTTCATCCTTTCTTTCTTTTTAATGAGTAGACACTTCATAATTGATTTTCTGGATAAAATAAAAATAATTTTGAATTTGAATTGTAATCCATTGTCTTTCCATCCCTATAAATGACTTGAAATCCATCACTTTCAGAATGTTTTTTCCTGAAACATTTCAGTGTGTATCCCTCACATAATTGCAACTGTAATATTTTTATATCATACTTAAGAATATATAGTACACTTTGCAGATGTCACTTCTGCCCTATCCATTTTACAGGATTATTGTGAAAATCAATATAAGAAAATATGTATATAAATAATATTCAAATGTTAGGTCTTTGCAAATTCTAAAGTATTGTACTCCTATCTGGTGCAATTATCTTTTCTTGGGATTATTTTTTACAGCATAATTTGTATTTATGATTATAAGATACTCTTCAAATAGGTATTAAAAACAATGAAGACTCATTCATTATGTTTTAGTTGTTTGCCACACTTGACACTTTCTTTTGGGCTGATTGTCTTCCTTTATTAGTTTCCTTGGAACTAGCGTATGAATCACTTGCATTAAAGTATGAAAATAGAGTTGCCATGGTTTGACTCCAAGTTTTGGTGGACATGAGTTACCTCAACCGTGAGGAGAGTTGCCAGCATATGAAACAGACCCACACCTGTGGTTGATTTCAGTGTAAAATTGACATGCGAACCTGAGTGGCATAAGTGATGCCACTGTAAATGCACACTGTAAAGGCTTGTGAAATCTCTTCAGAACACCTGTTCTGTGATTTAAATCAATAGGGACTCTTACTTGCTTAAGTAGAACTTTTGCTGGATTAGAAACACTAAAATCTTCTGTTTCTAAAATAGCAACAGAAGCTCTCTGAGAGGATAGCACACACAAACCTAGGTTTGTCTCTTGGTCTTGCTGCTGATTTATGGATGCCTCTTGATCAAATCTGAGTTTGTATGTGTTTTCAACCAAGAACAGTTATCTAAACATTGACTTTTATGAGTTTATGTATAGGGACTGTTTTCAGATATTAAATAACTCTGTAAAGGAAGTACGATGTTAAGAAATATTTGAAAATTAAAATCAATAAAAACATAGGTTTGTTTTTTATTGTAGACATTTGTAGGAAGTCCAAGCCGCACTCCTCCGTGTGGCAAGAAAGATATACTATAACTATCTGTTCTGGCTGACAAGAGAAGATTGTAACATTTTCAGGAATTTTACGAGTCAGTGGTTAAGTAGTTTGTAGGTTGAAATTTGCCACAGTAGCAGTATTTACACCACAGAAACTGGCCAGTGTTACCAATCTGGACTTTGTTTTTGGGAGGTGAGATGGTGGTGGTAGTTTTTTCTGTGTGTGTTCTTTGTTTCTGGAGATCTAGCTGCTAAGCATTTACCAGCATACTACTGGGCTTAACTTATCTCTTCAGTAACAGTTTCTTTCTTGAAAAGTGAAATCCATTTCTACATAAAACCTATTCCTTGGGTGTCTTCTAAATGCTTGGCATGGCCAATTGTCCTTGACCTCACTCTACTTCTGTTGTGTGTATTCATTTTTAAGAAAGGAACAGGATGACTTGTTTTATAAAAATACCTGAGTGAAAGAAAAAGGTCAGCTTTCAGAAACTGGATAAGATAGGAGAACATTTGTAGACAAAAGCTGCTGCTGGGAAAGCTCTCTCTCTGCCCTGTTCACTGAGTAACGTTTGCTCACAGAATCACATGGCTCTCAGTGCTCATCTTTCTTCTTTCAGGGACATTTTGTTATTTTATTTTCTGTTGCTCCTGGTTTTCCAGTTGAATTTATTGTGTCCCTAGAAACACATTGTACTAGAGAGACCATGACTTAATCTCTGCCCTGAATAAAACCATAATCTAGTGGGGATTGCAAATCCAGTCACAATTAGTTATTTACATGAAGGTACATATGCATGTATATAGATACGCATGTATGACTTTATGCATGATTATTGCCCCAGGTTCCAAAAATTGAGTTTAGATTATTTAAGGGGGCTGTACATATTCCGCAGTTTTAATACCAAGAAAATAAGATATATAATTACTATTATTGCTATTATTTGGATAGTAAAAGTAATGCATAACAAATAACAACAAAGGGCAAAAACATTTAGCTCTGGTTCCAGGTCCCTGTAACACTAGAGGTCCACTCTCCTCAGGGATCCAGGCATCTTCTTTCTTGGTCCCTCTCTTCGTAACATGCAATTTTCATTTAGCAGCTTAAGATGGTTGCTTAAACTCCGTATTTCATATCTTTATTCTACTTAGCATGAAGGAGAAATTAGAAAGAAAGTATATGTTTGTTCGCTTTTAAGGAGACATCACAAATTTCTTGCAACACATCTACACATACATCACTGATCAAAATATAGTCATATGGTCACACGTAGCTGCAAGAAGTCAAAGAGCTGTAGTTGTTTAGCTGGTGGCAATGTATGAAGTGATTAAAAGGTAGCTGTCTGTTATAAAAGGAGAAGAGAATGGATATAGAGTGGCTTTAGGAGAGTGGCTCTATGTGTGAATCCTGTCTAGGGGTCTGGTTACCTGAGGAAATCAAAATGATATAGCACTTAGGACATGAGTCATACAGTATCATACACTGAAGGAAATACTGAAGAAAGAGCATTTTCTATCAGTGCCTGAGAAAACACATTTGCCTGGGGCAGTCAATCAAGGCCTGACCCAGTGGTAATATAAAAAGGAGATCCCTGGGAAAAAATAGAGAAAATGTTACATAAAGGCCACATCTCAACAGGTTACTTGGGCTTCAA
The DNA here is from genome assembly GCF_000001405.40 of Homo sapiens. Lineage (NCBI taxonomy): Eukaryota > Metazoa > Chordata > Mammalia > Primates > Hominidae > Homo > Homo sapiens. The sequence goes on along the minus strand of NC_000014.9, from coordinate 48,603,929 downwards.
CAAGCAGCAATACAGAGCCTCTGGCATCCAGGAAGCAATAAGTAGGGCACGGGATCGAGAAAGGTAGTCAAGATCATCTTAAGTTTTTTTGTTTTTTTTTGTTTTTTTAATGGAGTCTCACTCTGCTACCAGGCTAGAGTACAGTGGCATGATCTCAGCTCACTGCAACTTCTACCTCCGGGTTTGAGTGATTCTCCTGCCTCAGCTTCCTGAGTAGCTGGGACTACAGGTGTACACCACCATGCTGAGCCAATTTTTGTATTTTTATAGAGATGGGGTTTCACCATGTTGGCCAGGATGGTCTTGATCTCTTGACCTTGTGATTCACCCACCTCGACCTCCCAAAATGCTGGGATTACAGACGTGAGCTACCGCACCCGGCTATTTAAACTATTAATACATTAGAGAAGGCAATGGACAGCAGCCCTATTCCAATGTGGCCAAGCTGAAAACTGCACTTCAGGATTCATTTAAGGATTCTTGTGAGGAACAGGTCTAGTCCTGCTTCACTTGCAAACAGATGGTACAAGCAGGTCAGAATCTCAGGCAAATGCCTGGAGAAGGTGCACACGAAGAAAGAAAGATTAGGGGAGGAGATACTCTTTCCCTGTTTGGCAGGTAAGAGCCAGAGTGAGATAAGTTGGGTTATTAAAGTAGATGTAACTTTTCTTGTATCAAAATTTGTCTCGCCCTGTCACCCAGGCTGGAGCGCAGTGGCATGATCTCGGCTCACTGCAACCTCTGCCTCCTGGGTTCAAGTGATTCTTCTGCCTCAGCCTCCTGAGTAGCTGGGATTACAAGTGCCCGCTACCACGCCTGGCTAATTTTTGTATTTTTGATAGAGAAGGGGTTTCACCACATTTGCCAGGCTGATCTTGAACTCCTGACCTCAGGTGATCCGCCTGCCTTGGCCTCCCAAAGTGCTGGGATTACAGGCATGAGCCACCACACCTGACCAAGGGCCCTAATTATGAATTCCAATTTTCTTTTCTTTTCTTTCTCTTTTCTCTTGTCTTCTCTTTTCTTTTCTTTTCTCCTTCCTTTCATCTCTTTTCTTCTTTCTTCCTTCCTTCTTTTCTTTTCTTTCTTTCTTTTTTTTTTTTTTGTAGATGATATGGGGTCTTGCTTCATTGCCCAGGCTGGTCTTGAACACCTGGCCTCAAGCAATCCTCCTGTCTTGGCTTCCCAAAGCGCTGAGATTGCAGTTTGAGCCATGGTGCCTGGCCATGAATTCCAACTTTCACACTCACTGGTAGTGTGATTAGAGACAAGTTGCTTTACTTCTGTTTCCTTATCTGTAAAGTAAGAATAACACTGGTAGTACCCTCTTTGGTAATTCTGTTGTATGGATTTGTTCATTTGCTTATCTGGAATATTTATTGAGCTGCTTGTGAATACAAGACACTTTTCTTTTATCTTTTTTCTTGAGACAGAGTCTCACTCTGTCACCCAGGTTGGAGTGCAGTGGCACAATCTCGGCTCACTGCAACCTCTGCCCCTCGAGTTCAAGTGATTCTCCTGCCTCAGCCTCCTGAGTACCTGGGATTACAGGCACCTGCCACTGCGCCTGGCTAATTTTTGTATTTTTAGTAGAGACAGGGTTTCACCATCTTGGCCAGGCTGGTCTTGAACTCCTGACCTCGTGATCCACCCTCCTCATCCTCCCAAAGTGCTGGGATTACAGGAGTGAGCCACCACGCCTGGCCCACAAGACAGTCTTCTAGGTGTTAGAGATACCCCAGCAAAAAAGAGAGTGTCAAATACCTGTTCTTATGGAGTCCACTATCTAATCGGAGAAGGATAGCTGAGATATCAGTTTATACATATTTCCCAGCATATAGAAAACTTTCCCTAAGAGTACTTGCCATCATTTCTGTTATGTGTGAAATAAGGAGATGATTGAGAATGTCACTTTATTCAAGTTTTGCAGTTGGTAAAATATTGTATTGGCTTTGAAGCAACTACTATTTTCAAGATGATTCCAGCCATAATACTCCTTAAGGAAAATGTGAGATACATTGAACGTAATTCACTTAAAGTTAATTATTACTTGTTTTTTTATATTTTTATTAATGTAGTTGTTTAAATACAAATATATGGTATAAAGGAATATTATTTACCTTTTTCAAATGAAGGTAACATTTAAAGGTTTGAGTGACATGTACTTCTCCCATCAGAACTATTTTGCACTAAATACCTAACTCAAGTGCTCTAATTCAATTTTGATTGAGGAAATATTTCTATATAATGGAAACATATTTCCATTAGAATAAATTATATACTGTCTTAGTTCATTTTATGGTGCTATAACAAAATACTACAGATTAGGTAATGTATAATAAACAGAAATGTATTTATTTGGCTCACAGTTCTGGAGTCTGGGAAGTCCAAGACTGAGAGGCCACATCTTTTGAGGGCCTTCTTGCCTGCATCATAATGTGGCAAAGGTGTCATGTGGGCAAGAGAACATGTGCAAGATAGAGAACAAGAGATCAAACATATCCTTTTATCAGAAATCCACTACCACAGTAATTAACCCACTGCAATAACAGCATTAATCCATTCATGAGGCAGAGCCCCTGTGACCTCATCACCACTTTCAAAAAAAAAACACAACTCAATGCCCTGTTGCATTCAGAATTAAGTTTTCAACACATGAACTTTGGAGGATACATGCAAACCATAGCATATATTTTCTTACTTCTGGACTACTTTCTTTGTTATCAGAATTAGATCGTTCTTTATTCAAGCAAGTAATTTAGTATTAACTTAATGATCTCAATATATATGGTATATTAAAATTACAGTGTATCACATGACCTACTCTGGTTTCTTAGTTTGAGAATTAAAACCAGTATTGACAAGGTTTATTAAATTCTTGCTTTTAGGAAGTAATATTTATTTGACATGTAAATGCTTCCTATTTTATTTTACACATTGAAATAGAAATGATAAATATGGATTGTGATAGAGTCTAATATCTGGATAAAACTTTTAGGAGAAAACAAAAAACAAACAGAAGTACTATTCTATGAACTTTATTACCTACTGCTTAGAAAAGTTTTTTATCAGGAAATAATTGATGTGGTTTCTTTGTATAGCAATCACACAAAATAGAGTGATAGCATAGCTCTCTTCTTGTATGTGGAAAAACTATGAACTATAGATGTACTATATGTTTTAATTTTTTCTTAATTATGAAAGAAGTTACATTGAATGGAATAGATAGATATCAATAATGATTTATATTTGTATTTCTAAGGTGTTTTATTAGAAAAATTAAAATGAAGTTCCCTTTTTCCCCTCTTTACAGCAGGTGGGGTATGAGGAGTCTGTAGCTTATTGGGACAGTTGCTGCCCTTGAGTAATTAATCTTAGGAAGATCCACCATGATTTGTGCATTTGTGGTTTGTCACTCTTTATTTGGACTTTAAAACAACACAGAATGATTTCAGAATATTTTACTAAGCATAACATGAATGAAATTTAAATTAATTACATGTAATATAAAGTATTAAGTTTCAGTCTCATTTAGCCACTATCTTCTTTTTTTTTTTTCCAAGTGTTACAACATACGGGAATTTTATTTTCTCTGTGGGTAAACCTGTATATATTGACAGTCAGATCTACTTATATAGGTGCCTGAGTCTTTTAAATTTCTTTTTAAAGAAATGTGGATCTCTTATTGGAGGCAGGCTTCATGGTTTTTTAGACATTCTGTCCATAGCTTTGTATATTATATAAGTCTAGGAAGTTCCTAAAAATCTGAATTAGGGAAATGTGAAATTCTAGTATAAGTGTGTTATTAGAATTTTTGACCTCGTATATTGTGTATCAATGTTGAAAATGTGATAAAATTATTGGAATTGTATTCAAGTGACATTATTGAAATGCCTGCCATGTATAAGATAACTATCCTAGGTTCCATATCCTAGGTTCCGTAGAGACTAACAAAATGAACACTTTCAAGACAAGGTTGGTGGTGGGAATGTAAAATTGTAAACCTAGTTTGTTGAAAAATTTTACGAACAGGTATTTAATGTCTTTGAATTTTCAAAAGAGACAATTAAAAGTTAAAGATAATAAAAAGTTTTTATATAGGCTCTCTTTCCTCAAGAATCATAAATAGTCTTTACCTAAATGTATTTTAAAACAATTGTACTCTTCTCTCAGGGATTCTTTTGGTCCATTCCCACCACCACTCCAGTGCACACACATACATACACATTTAGTTAAGCTTCATTAATTCAAACAGCTATCATCCAAGCTTATAATAATTTACATTTATACTATTTTTTAAAAAAGAGTTGTGTTAATAATATAAATAATATTGTTTTAGGAAATGTTTAACCTAGTTAGGAGCATGAACTTTTCAAGCATAAACACAGTTTCTCAATTTTGTTATGTAGTCATTAAAGTAGAATGGGCAAAACTATTTTTGGTGATTAATTGGAATGATGCAGATAAAAACACAAATGTGGCCAGGCGTGGTAGCTCACATCTGTAATCCCAGCACTTCAGGAGGCTGAAGCAGGAGAATCGCCTGAGCCCAGGAGTTTGAGATCAGCCTGGGCAACATAGGAAGACCTGGGTCTCTAAAAAATAAACAAATAATAAAATTTTAAATTCCACTAATGTGTTTATTTTTAAATTTAGTTTTCATGTTAATTGGTCATAAACTAATGACATTATGTTTTTTTATCTTTTTTTAAATTTTTTTAGTATTTATTGATCATTCTTGGGTTTTTCTCGGAGAGGGGGATTTGGCAGGGTCATAGGACAATAGTGGAGGGAAGGTCAGCAGATAAACATGTGAACAAAGGTCTCTGGTTTTCCTAGGCAGAGGACCCTGAGGCCTTCCGCAGTGTTTGTGTCCCTGGGTACTTGAGATTAGGGAGTGGTGATGACTCTTAAGGAGCATGCTGCTTTCAAGCATCTGTTTAACAAAGCACATCTTGCACCGCCTTTAATCCATTTAACCCTGAGTTGACACAGCACATGTTTCAGAGAGCACAGGGTTGGGGGTAAGGTTATAGATTAACAGCATCCCAAGGCAGAAGAATTTTTCTTAGTACAGAACAAAATGGAGTCTTCTATGTCTACTTCTTTCTACAGAGACACAGTAACAATCTGATTTCTCTTTTTTTTCCCCACATTTCCCCCTTTTCTATTTGACAAAACCGCCATCGTCATCATGGCCCCTTCTCAATGAGCTGTTGGGTACACCTCCCAGACGGGGTGGCTGCCGGGTGGGGGCGCCCCCCCACCTCCCAGATGGGGTGGCTGCCAGGCAGGGGCGCCCCCCATCTCCCAGATGGGGCGGCTGCTGGGCCACTATCTTCTTAACTGCAGACATGTTAATAGCTTTCAAGCTATTAAGTACCAATAGTGTATTTGAGAGTCTTTTGATTGGCACCCAAGCAACATTTGCTATTTTCACTTTAGGTTATTCTAAATTAGCAACACCTGCATGGAATTATTTTACTAGAAAATTGGAACAAATGAATGAGGAACAAAAATAATAGTATAAAATTTATAGTAGTTATTAATGTATTGACCTGCTTGGTGCATGCATAACTGATTATAATGTTTGCAATTATTTGAAGCCATTGTTTAACCACCAATCCTATCCTATTAAGGAATTGAAAAACTAATTAGGGACATCAGCAAACAGAAAGAGAATCTGAGTCCTGGCCTTGGTCCCAAATTGCTCTTCATTTTTATGGTTTTCTGGGTTTTATTCTTTCCTAGGCAGTTAAATTTCTATGCTAGATACAAGAATTTTCTCAATGACTACCTCCATTTAACTAAGTAATTTGATAATGTAAAATGTTTTCTGAATATACCGCTCCACTATTGCACTTCTGTCGCTCCCATCCTTTTATTTCTTTGGCAGCAAACTTAATAATACATGAGACATTTATTCTAAGTACTTTTAGACATGATGATATTGACCACTCCTAGATAACCCAAATCCCAAAGGTCAAATTTAAACTTGGATCTCATTAAAAATGTTTTATCTACCTGTCTGTTAAAAATATAACACACATGAAGAAAATATTACAGTTTACAGGAATATCAATTGTAATATATTGAGCCAAAGCAAATTTTATTGTGCAAGTGAGATTAAAAGCCAAAAATACAGTTATGAACAGTAATGATGGTTGAGGATACATTTGCTATAGGAAATATATAGTCTATAACAGATAGTTAAACATTGAAACCTTAGAAACAGTTAGGCCTAACTTACTTGGTAATATCCAGTGTTGTAGTGGAGCAGGTTCATATGGATTTTCAAGAGCCCATTACGTACATTTCTCTCCCCTTTCACAATCAGTGACCTTACATTTATAGCTTGACATTGGCCGTGGTGGGAATATTTACACCACAGAAATCAGCAAATGCTTCAAATCAGAGTTTTACCACCCCTGGAGAACTGGGTTGTTAAATGTACTATTATGTCCCTAGTAATATTCTAAGAAGTGAAGATTAGAACATATAACTTTGTAAATTACATTTTGAAGCAAGCACATTCTTCTAGGTGTGTTTCCAGAGATCCTACTTCTACTCTTTTACAGTATTAAAAACTGGAGCTGATGATCCTCCTGAGTTCTATTTCGAAACTTCTGTCTTTTCTAAATCAATTTCAGGATATACTGGACAACAAAGAAAGCCCAAGCAATTTGTCTTCATTCAGGCCTGTAAGGATCACACCTCTCTAGCAGTGAAAGCTACCTCTTCCTGTAGTTTCATCGAATCCTTTTTATTTAAATAGTTTGTTGGCAATACCATTCAGGACATAGGCATGGGCAAGGACTTCATGTCTAAAACACCAAAAGCAATGGCAACAAAAGCCGAAATTGACAAATGGGATCTAATTAAACTAAAGAGCTTCTGCACAGCAAAAGAAACCACCATCAGAGTGAAGAGGCAGCCTACAGAATGGGAGAAAATTTTTGCAACCTACTCATCTGACAAAGGGCTAATATCCAGAATCTGCAATGAACTCAAACAAATTTACAAGAAAAAAACAAACAACCCCATCAACAAGTGGGTGAAGGATGTGAACAGACACTTCTCAAAAGAAGACATTTATGCGGCCAACAGACACATGAAAAAATGCTCATCATCACTGGCCATCAAAGAAACGCAAATCAAAACCACAATGAGATACCATCTCACACCAGTTAGAATGGTGATCATGAAAAAGTCAGGAAACAGCAGGTGCTGGAGAGGATGTGGAGAAATAGGAACACTTTTACACTGTTGGTGGGACTGTAAACTAGTTCAACGCTTGTGGAAGTCAGTGTGGCGATTCCTCAGGGATCTAGAACTAGAAATACCATTTGACCCAGCCATCCCATTGCTAGGTATATACCCAAAGGATTATAAATCATGCTGCTATAAAGACACATGCACATGTATGTTTATTGCACCACTATTCACAATAACAAAGACTTGGAACCAACCCAAATGTCCATTAATGATAGACTGGATTAAGAAAATGTGGCACATATACACCATGGAATACTATGCAGCCATAAAAAAGGATGAGTTCATGTCCTTTGTAGGGTCATGGATGAAGCTGGAAACCATCATTCTCAGCAAACTGTTGCAAGGACAAAAAACCAAACACCGCACGTTCTCACTCATAGGTGGGAATTGAACAATGAGAACACATGGACACAGGAAGGGGAACATCACACTCTGGGGACTGTTGTGGGGTGGGGGGAGGGGGGAGGGATAGCATTAGGAGATATACCTAATGCTAAATGACGAGTTAATGGGTGCAGCACACCAACATGGCACATGTATACATATGCAACAAACCTGCATGTTGTGCACATGTACCCTAAAACTTAAAGTATAATAATAATAAAAAAATAGTTTGTTGGATGATAATCTTACAAAAATTAAAGGTCTCCTAAAGCATATCATCAAAACCAATAGATTTTGGGGACTTAAGAATGCAGCCTTTAACATTGATAAGTAGAAAAGAGTTAAATCAGCAGGTTTTGGGTGCTCACGGTTCAGTAAAAGGTTAACTCCGTGGGTTTTGGTTGTTAAAACCCTGCACACTCCAAAGAAAGAACTAGTCCTTTATCTGCTTCTGGAAGATAATCTCTAAATCCTTTGAATTCCCTGCTTGAAGGGTGTTTTGTTTGTTTGTTTGTTTTTTGTTGTTTTGCTTTGTTTTACCTGTGGCCCTGAGCCAGCCTAAAGAATTTGTGTTAACAATATGATTTTTGGTGGGGACTTTGAGTCACATTGCATGAGTTTGACTTCTGGAGGGGCTGGCAATGGAATTAATCAGGTCAGTCACACTGGTGCTCTATGCCTATGGGACAGATCCTGCAAAATATCCCTGGACACTGCAGCTCAGCTGAGCTTCCCTTGTTGGCAATACTCTGTGCATGTTTGCTGGGAGAATTTAGCACTGTCTGTCTGTATGACTCTGTGAGGAGAGAACAACAGGAAGCTTATGCCTGGTCTCTCCTGAACTCTACTGTTCACCTATTCCTTTGCAGATTTTCATGTGTATTATTTTTTCTGTAATAAACTGCAATTGTGATTACAATAGCTTACATGAGCTCTGTAGGTTCTTTCAGCAAATCATTGAACTTAAGAGGATCTTGGGGATTTCCAATACAGTGGTCTTCAAAGGAGAACACTCATACACTGAGTGGGAGTCAGGAGTGCTTGAGTCTACCCTGCCCTCTGTCATGAATACAACTCTGTGGGCTATGCATCCACTCACTTTGCTAGATTCCAGTTTCTTTATCTATATAATAAATCTAAACTATATGATTTCTAAGTTCAATCCCATATCTGATATTGTATGATACTAAATATGCAATTTACCTATGATATTCCTGGGTAGCCTGTCCAAGATGGCAACTCTCAAAGCCTACATCTTTGAATGCATTGAGGCATGTCATAATACTTCAGTGCCAGTAGTTATTGCTTTTGTTTTTGTTTCTTTCTCCTTCCTAACATCTGCTATTCAAAGGTTAAGTAATCAACAAAATATTTCGAGCTCCCTATAAATATGACAATGTGTTGAGCACTGTGAACAAAGGAGATATTTACCTGAAGTTATAATTATGCTTTTCCTTGTTATTATTAGAAAGTATGTTTAAAATATTATTTTGCCTAAATATGAAGACTGAAAAGCTTTCAAGGTATTGGAAAAAAACTTCTAGCAATTTTAAAATCCCAGAAACATATTTAAGAGAATAATTACATTTGATGGGTGGTAAATAATATCCTCAGAACATAGTGTATGTTTTCCAGTTTCTTACTGAATTGATTCTTACAGTTAACAGTAAGATAGAGGCAGGTACTTGCTTGTTATGTAGCCATCATGTCTTGTTAATAATTATTATGTTTTCACCTACAGGGGCTTTTCAGATTCAAGGAAGCAGGACCAGTTTCTACCCCAAGGGGTAGAAAACAATATGCCAATAACACAGAAATATTAAATAAACACAATTATCTAAATCCTTAAATAAAATTTTGTATAATGTTCAGTTGCATGAAAGAGAAGCAAAAATAAACATCAGAAGTTAATCAAGACTGTTAATTCTACTCACTGTTCCTGCGATAATAAGGTCATACATTTAAAAAGCTGGGAATTTCACAGATTTAACTATTTTTTGGGGTAGTAGAAAAAATAATGTTCTATTTTATAACTGTTCTGGGTTTTTCCTGGGAAGTGAGTAATGGTTTGATTAAGATTGTCTGTGGACAATCTTAATTGAAATTAGCGATTTGGATTCTAAACCAAGGCGTGTAGAATGAATTGAGGCTTTGGATTGTGCAAAATATGTCATTTGGCCTTTATTGTTCTCATCTTTTGGGAGAGCTATGATGGATATCAGGAGAGACATCAAAGTGCCTCCCTTTTTTGTAAGATAAGGTGATAAGGCAATGCATCTATTTTCTCCCAGATACAGAAATGAGAAACAAGGGATGATACTTTTAAAATATGGTAAAATGTTGATACATTTCTTCACTGAAGGGTGCAATTCCTGAAATTTTATTTTTTTAAATTTTTCTTTAAGTTCTAGCGTACGTGTGCACAACGTGCAGGTTAGTTACATATGTATACATGTGCCAGGTTGGTGTGCTGCACCCATTAACTCGTCATTCACATTAGGTATATCTCCTAATGCTATCTCTCCCCCATTCCCCCACCCCATGACAGGCCCTGGCGTATGATGTTCCCCTTCCTGTGTCCAAGTGTTCTCATTGTTCAATTCCCACCTATGAGTGAGAACGTGCGGTGTTTGGGTATTTTGTCCTTGCAACAGTTTGCTGAGAATGATGGTTTCCAGCTTCATCCATGACCCTACAAACGACATGAACTCATCCTTTTTTCTGGCTGCATAGTATTCCATGGTGTATATGTGCCACATTTTCTTAATCCAGTCTATCATTAATGGACATTTGGGTTGGTTCCAAGTCTTTGCTATTGTGAATAGTGGTGCAATAAACATACATGTGCATGTGTCTTTATAGCAGCATGATTTATAATCCTTTGGGTATATACCCAGTAATGGGACGGCTGGGTCAAATGGCGTTTCTAGTTCTAGATCCTTGAGGAATTGCCATCTGTCTTCCACAATGGTTGAACTAGTTTACAGTGAAATCAACAGTGTAAAAGTGTTCCTATTTCTCCACATCCTCTCCAGTACCTTTTGTTTCCTGACTTTTTAATGATCACAATTCTAACTGGTGTGAGATGGTATCTCACTGCGGTTTTGATTTGCGTTTCTCTGATGGCCAGTGTTGAGCATTTTTTCATGTGTCTGTTGGCTGCATAAACGTCTTCTTTTGAGAAGTGTCTGTTCATATCCTTTGCCCACTTGTTGATGGGGTTTGTTTTTTTCTTGTAAAGTTGTTTGAGTTCTTTGTAGATTCTGGATGTTAGCCCTTTGTCAGATAAGTAGATTGCAAAAAATTTATCCCATTCTGTAGGTTGCCTGTTCACTCTGGTGGTAGTTTCTTTTGCTGTGCAGAAGCTCTTTAGTTTAATTAGATCCCATTTGTCAACTTTGGCTTTTGTTGCCATTGCTTTTTGTGTTTTAGACATGAAGTCCTTGCCCATGCTTATGTCCTGAATGGTATTGCCTAGGTTTTCTTCTAGGGTTTTTATGGTTCTAGGTCTAACATTTAAATGTTTAACCCATCTTGAATTAATTTTTCTATAAGGTGTAAGGAAGAGATCCAGTTTTGGCTTTCTACGTATGGCTAGCCAGTTTTCCCAGCACCATTTATTAAATAGGGGATCCTTTCCCCATTTCTTGTTTTTGTCAGGTTTGTTAAAGATCAGATGGTTGTAGATGTGTTGTATTATTTCTGAGGGCTCTCTTCTGTTCCCTTGGCCTGTATCTCTGTTTTGGTACCAGTATCATGCTGTTTTGGTTACTGTAGCCTTGTAGTATAGTTTGAAGTCAGGTAGCATGATGCCTCCAGCTTTGTTCTTTTGGCTTAGGATTGTCTTGGCAATGTGGGCTCTTTTTGTTTCCATATGAACTTTAAAGTAGTTTTTTCCAATTCTGTGAAGAAAGTAATTGGTAGCTTGATGGGGATGGCATTGAATTTATAAATTACCTTGGGCAGTATGACCATTTTCATGATATTGATTCATCCTATCCATGATCATGGAAGGTTCTTCCATTTGTTTGTATCCTCTTTTATTTCATTGAGCAGTGGTTTGTAGTTCTCCTTGAAGAGGTCCCTCACATCCCTTGTAAGTTGGATTCCTAGGTATTTTATTCTCTTTGAAGCAATTGAGAATGGGAGTTCACCCCTGATTTGGCTCTCTGTTTGTCTGTTATTGGTGTATAAGAATGCTTGTGATTTTTGCACATTGATTTTGTATCCTGAGACTTTGCTGAAGTTGCTTATCAGCTTGAGATTTTGGGCTGAGACGTTGGGGTTTTCTAGATATACATCTGCAAACAGGGACAATTTGAATTCCTCTTTTCCTAATTGAGTACCCTTTATTTCCTTCTCCTGCCTGATTGTCCTTGCCAGAACTTCCAACACTATGTTGAATAGGAGTGGTGAGAGAGGGCATCCCTGTCTTGAGCCCGTTTTCAAAGGGAATGCTTCCAGTTTTTGCCCATTCAATATGATGTTGGCTGTGGGTTTGTCATAGAGAGCTCTTATTATTTTGAGATACATCCCATCAATACCTAATTTATTGAGAGTTTTTAGCATGAAGGGCTGTTGAATTTTGTCAAAGACCTTTTTGCATCTACTGAGATAATCATGTGGTTTTTGTCTTTAATTCTGTTCATATGCTGGATTACATTTATTGATTTGCATATGTTGAACGAGCCTTGCATCCCAGGGATGAAGCCCACTTGATCATGGTGGATAAGCTTTTTGATGTGCTGCTGGATTCGGTTTGCCAGTATTTTATCGAGGATTTTTGCATCGATGTTCATCAGGGATATTGGTCTAAAATTCTCTTTTTTTTGTTATGTCTCTGCCAGGCTTTGGTATCAGGATGATGTTGGCCTTGTAAAATGAGATAGGGAGGATTCCCTCTTCTTCTATTGATTGGAATAGTTTCAGAAGGAATGGTACCAGCTCCTGCTTGTACCTCTGGTAGAATTCGGCTGTGAATCATCTGGTCCTGGACATTTTTTGGTTGGTAGGCTATTAATTATTGCCTCAATTTCAGAGCCTGTTATTGGTCTATTCAGGGATTCAACTTCTTCCTGGTTTAGTCTTGGGAGGGTGTATGTGTCCAGGAACTTATCTATTTCTTCTAGATTTTCTAGTTTATTTGCGTAGAGGTGTTTATAGTATTCTCTGATAATAGTTTGTATTTCTGTGGGATTGGTGGTGATATCCCCTTTATCATTTTTTCTTGCATCTATTTGATTCTTCTCTCTTATCTTCTTTATTAGTCTTGCTAGTGGTCTATCAATTTTGTTGATCTTTTCAAAAAACCAGCTCCTGGATTCATTGATTTTTTGGAAGGTATTTGTGTCTCTATTTCCTTCACTTCTGCTCTGATTTTAGTTATTTCTTGTCTTCTGCTAGCTTTTGAATGTTTTTGCTCTTGCTTCTCTAGTTCTTTTAATTGTGATGTTAGGGCATCAATTTTAGATCTTTCCTGCTTTCTCTTGTGGGCATTTAGTGCTATAAATTTCCCTCTATACACTGCTTTAAATGTGTCCTGGAGATTCTGGTATGTTGTGTCTTTGTTCTGAAAATAAAGGGATGGAGGAAGATCTACCAAGCAAATGGAAAACAAAAAAAGGCAGGGGTTGCAATCCTAGTCTCTGATAAAATAGATTTTAAACCAACAAAGATCAAAAGAGACAAAGAAGGCCATTACATAACGGTAAAGGGATCAATTCAACAAGAAGAGCTAACTATGCTAAATATATATGCACCCAATGCAGGAGCAGCCAGATTCATAAAGCAAGTCCTTAGAGACCTGCAAAGAGACTTAGACTCCCACACAATAATAATGGGAGACTTTAACACCCCACTGTCAGCATGAGACAGATCAATGAGACAGAAAGTTAAAAAGGATATCCACGAATTAAACTGAGCTCTGCACCAAGCAGACCTAATAGACATCTACAGAACTCTCTACTCCAAATCAACAGAATATACATTCTTCTCAGTACCCCATCACACTTACTCCAAAATTGACCACATAGTTGGAAGTAAAGCACTCCTCAGCAAATGTAAAAGAACAGAAATTATAACAAACTGTCTCTCAGAGCACAGTGCAATCAATCTAAAACTCAGGATTAAGAAACTCACTCAAAACCACTCAACTATATGGAAACTGAACAATCTGCTCGTGAATGACTACTGGGTACATAACGAAATGAAGGCAGAAATAAAGATGTTCTTTGAAACCAATTCCTGAAAATTTAAATGTTATTAATATTAAAAGCATATCAACAATTATTTAGGGGAATCTGTGATTTAAAAGAATGTGGTGTAGAAGACTCAAATTTCTTATGGTGTTGATTTTACTGATTTAAATTAAGCAACTGTCAACATTATATGTTGATACAAAGTTATTTAAAGATAAGCAATAATCTGAAAAAGAAAGGAAAGAATAAATAAATAAAGCAAAATAGCACACAATGAGATCCTCTTGTTTGCCAAGCTTGACACTGGCTACTGGGGTTTCATCTGTAAGCAGAACCACTTGTGTTCAGTTGGATGATCTGATCTTCATTCTTTTTGTCTCTGTGTGGAAAACAAAACAAAGCAAACAAACAAGCAAAAACTCTTTATGTGTCTGGAGAAAAATGCCTTTTAAAGACGATATGTGATGCATCCTATTTCATAAAAGTCTTGGGTCCCAGAGACACAATGTATGGATATTTTTGGAAGATGAAACAGCAAGTCCTTTCTTGGAGAAGGGGAAATATTGTTATAAATTGTTAATGTGAAACTGATGAGCCCTCTCAGGGATGTGAGGGGTGGGCTGGCACAAGAACCATTGGCTGGGGCTTTGTTAACGTCACTGAGGCACACAGGTAGAAGGTTCTCACAGCTGCCTCCAGAACCCCGGCCATCAGGGACTTTTAGACCAGGAAAACATGTGGAAGCTACACTGCTTCACTCTCCCACTCTTCAATTGGATGTAGAAGTTTTCTTTTTTTTCATTCGCTCAGGTAGACGTGTTTTCCAATCTTTAGTGAGGTTTCTGGGCAAAGTTCAAGTCTCTGGTTGAGACCCTAGGTGGCTTGCTGACTACTTTGTCATAACTTCTTCCAGGTCCTAAGGTAACTCTGGCCCACAGAAGTTGCTCACCAAAGAATTGTACCACCGTTCTCCTTCAAATAATTTTCTACTTGAATTAAATCATTTGAAAATTGCTTACCAATGTTATTCAGTTTTAGGTTACAGTAATAGACCAACCCACTTACATTTCTTCATCATCCATATTTTTGCTCTTGCAACAATTAGGGTCTCTAATTTTCTCTGAAATTTTAAAAATATTTGGTATTTTCGTATAATTATATATCCATTTATGCCACCGAACAAAAGCGTGCTCTCACAATTATTGTTGCTGTCTCCTATTGGGCTGGTAAATAGGGTGATGCACAGAGAAGTACACTTTAAGAAAATGTACACTTTAAGAACCTCAATAATGTACGAAAAGACCACACAGTTACATGAGCATTTTGAAATGACAGGAAATTACAAGAGAGAGAATGTAAATGCAAATAAGTTAATTAAATTTTAAACAACTACGGACTTTTAAAGCTTAAATCTTAGAAGGGGCCTCAGCCATTCACTATGACACATTAATTTTTTGAATTGAATGAAGATGGTTTTAAAAGAAGTTTACTGAAATAGTACTTTTTTGTTTGCAAGAAAAAGATATTTTTCTCATCAACTCATATGAGGAAATCATGGGAATGCTAGAAGTGACTGCTGCTGGCCTCATATCCTTCCACCTTCACCACCAGAAAAGTTTTTCCCAGCTCAGTGTAGAAAAACTATTGGCCTGGTGCAGTGGCTCATGCCTGTAATCCCAGCACTTTGAGAGGCCGGGGTGGGAGGATCATGAGGTCAGGAGTTCGAGACCAGCCTGGCAAACATGGTGAAGCCCCCTCTCTGCTAAAAATACAAAAATTTGTCGGGCGTGGCGGTGGGTTCCTGTAAATCCCGGCTACTCAGGAGGCCGAGGCAGGACAATCACTTGAACCTGGGAAGTGGAGCTTGCAGTGAGCCGAGATCGCACCTCTGCACTCCAGCCTGGGCAACAGAGCAAGACTACGTGTGAAAAAAAAAAGAGAAAAAAAGCTATTGCCAGACTTGGATCAGAATTTCATTCCTAACAGTGCTTCTCAAACTTTAATGTGCATATAATCACCTTGGAGCTTTTTAAAATACACATTCTGCTTGGGAAGCTTAGATAGGTGAGGGTAGAATCTGAGATTTTGCATTTCTAACAAGCTCTCAAATGTGGCTGGTGCTGGTGATCCTCAGAATATAAAAAAAATAATACTGATGTATGCTTCCTACTCCTATAGATTCCAGCCTGGACATTTGGAATTTTAAATTCCCCCAGCAAAGTTTGAGAACCACTGCTTTTGAGTATGACATTTCAAAATTTCCTGATCAGAAAACTCACTTGGGGTACCTGTTTGAAAAAAAGAATTGCTAGGCCCCATCTCAGACTCAATGGGTGTGAATCTCCAGAAAAAGGACCTAGAAAGCTGTATATTTAACAGCTGATTTTTCAGTCTCAGGAAAGTTTGTCAATCATTGTCACGGAGCAGTCATAGAGACCTGGGATGTGATGTATTACTACTTACCCTGGTGGATCATGAATCCACTTGTAAGCCAATCTAGTGTGTACTAGGGAAAAAGTGTCATGCCGCACATCCCTTTAGACCTAATTTGAGGAGTGTTGATGGAGAAGAAAATTGGTTCTTCAAAATGATAGGGGTGTGTGAATTGTCACTCTGGGAATTACTGTGAGTTTGGGAGTCTGCCCCTTAATTTGTGCATAGTAGAGTTACCTTCCAAAGGAGGAATTTTAATGGCCACATTTTCAGTTATTTTGTAAGCAGATGCTATCTGTGATTTTTTTTTTGTTTTAAACATGTATTTAATATTTTGAAATTTTAATTTTTAAATTATGATTTTTATTTGACACTCAAATTGTAGAATTGGCCACTTTTTTTTTCTTGAGACAAGGTCTCATTCTGTCACCCAGGCTGTGGTGCAGTAGTGCACTTACAGCCCACTGCAGCCTCAAACTCCTGGGCTTAAACAATCCACCCACCTCAGCCTCCCAGGTAGCTGAGATGACAGACATGCACTACCATATCTGGCTACTTTTTTTTTTTTTTTTAAACATTTTTTAGTAGAGACGAGGTCTTGTTATGTTGCCCAGGTCGGCCTTTAATTCCTAGCCTCAAGTGATCCTCTGCCACAGCCTCCTAAAATGTGGCCGTTATATTTATAGAAGGGTTTCTTATCAAGTTACTTTTGGTGGTTTTAATTAGTGATGTTGATAAGGATTCAATATGTGTATATGTAATATATAAATGTTGTTTCTTAGCAAATATCCTTGGAAATTTTGAGTTAGAATGATGAAAGTATGCTAGATTGCTAAAACTAAAAACTGTTGTATTTATGTTGTTTAGACATGTATTGACCCATTCTGAACGCCAGGCACTGTTCTAAGACACAAAATATCTCTACACCACCAAGGTAATGCAGACTCTTCCTGAAAGCATTGAAGATGCTTAGTAAAGTGTATAGGCTTCTTATTCCTTACACACTTGTCCCTTTTAAATGACACCGATTCTTTAAAAGGTACAGAAGAGTGGGATTCAGTTTGAGGGAGACATTAGTTTTGTGGAAAATAAGCATTCTTTTTCTGATTCTCTTTTTCTCACACATTAGAGTAGGCATAAAGGGTATTTTGTTAGTATGAAATTTGATTGGAATGCAATTTTGATTTATTCAGGCAGAATAAGACTAGTATTGTTGCTGCCCATTTAAGTTTGCAGCCCATCTTTCAAAGCATTGTCTGCTCAAGGACAGTACTTGTAGTACTTAAAGACACAAAAGCAGCAGGCATGCAAACAAAAACTGCCTTTTTACCCCCACCTGGTTATTTTGCTTCACTTCTCTTCATCTGAATACACATAAGCTTTTCTGAGGATGTTTAGGAAGAGCAGACTGTTATCCCTAAGTGTCAAGTGGAGTGGCGAACCTATTATTTGCTTTGTTTGACACAGAGGAGAAACTCAATGAATATTTTTTTCAGTGAACAAACTGGTTCATATAATTTCCTCACCTAAACTGAATTAAGCCTGTGGGAAAGGGATTGTGGAGTGCTTTTTAAAATCTTTCCTTTTATCCATCCATCTTATCGTTTTTTTTTTAATTAACCTCTACTAATTCTAAGTCTAAGGTAGTCTGACTTGTGGCTTAAAATAACTGAGTGCCTTCCACATACCACTCATTGTTTTTGTTGTTGTTGTTTGCTTTTGGTAAATCAAATGCAGGATTTAATTTTGAAAATATTGTTTCTTCTTGTTCTCCAAGCATGAAACAGACTTATTTATTCGTTTTATTTTTGCCTTATGCTGAAGGCATAAGCTGAAACTTAGGTGGTTGGGAAGGTATCTCAAAATATTTGATATAGATCTCTTTGTGACTTGGCGTATTCATCCTATAGTTATACAAGGTTTCTTGGAGCATTTCTCATTCAAAGCACAAAATACATTCTTCGACGAGAACAAATAAAAATACAGTGTACAGTCTGATTAATTTCTAAAACTTTAACAATTTCTAGACATTTTTGTTATCAGTCCGACTTTATAAGGAACTTCTCTGTATACTTACTTAGTAGATACACTTTCTAATAGCATCTAATATTACTGACACTGTGCACATTTTTACACATAACTTGCAGAAGCTTACCAAAAACTGGAATAAAAACATTGAAGAAAAACTTTGAAGAAAAACTTCAGTTGTAGAAAGCTTAAGTAACACAGTGCATTAAAATGTTGTGACCCTACTCTATAACAGGAATTCTCCTAGGCACTCTGCACATATTCTAATTCGTAGTATAGTTGTAAGGTATATGTAAGTAACCATCTCCATCATAGGCAAGATAACCCATTTTTGCTAGTTTAAGTGGAAAAAGGATTCATTAAATTATTACACAGAATCTTTGGAGAGGCCAACAATTCACATTTTGATGTAATTAAAATCACACCACAGTTGGATATAGCAGGTACAGAGATTTGACACACTCTGCCAGTATCTAGATCCTGGACCTCTGCCAGTGCTGTCTCTGGAGCATAAACACCTCCTGCCATCCTCATCGCAGTGATTCTATGGGGAGCCACTTTTCTTGAGTCATTCTCTTCAAATTCAAAGTTTCATACAGCGGTGGGAAAAACCTATGTCACATGTCAGTATTCCACCTGCAATGGAGGCTGGGAAAATGATATTTGTCTCTCTTACAAACATGAAACTTAGGATGTGGAGAACCCCCAAATCTAGGAAGGATATTTAAAAGATTCTGGGCAAACATAAAATGTCCACTAGAATAGATATTGAAAACCCATGATGCAGATGAAAAATGAAGGCTTAGTGAATTTCTCAAAGTAAAGCCTGACTTCAAACTCAATTCTACATGGCTCCAAGGCCTAAAGCTATCATGCTTAGCAGCAGTGTCTTCTGTATTCAGCATTGCCGAATTGCTCTAATTAATGGCTTTTTGATCAGAATGATTTTCTTTAACACAAGAATATTATTAGTGAGTTATAACTGTATTTTTTTCAACATTTATTAAGGCTTGATTCTATGTTCAGCAATGAGTTAAGTTTTGGAAATGCAAAGATTAAAAAAATTTGATGTTTTCAAAGAGCATATAAAACTTCAAAGAGCATATAAAACAAGAGTTACTCCTATTTGGATGTGTGTGTTTGTAAGGGCACTCCAGAGAAGCAGAACAAATAGGATGTGTATGTGTACAATAGTCCCCTTAGCTGCCGTTTTACTTTCCCTGGTTTCAGTTAACTGTGGTCAACCAGAGTCCAAAAATATTAAATGAAAAATTTCAGAAATAAACAATTCATATATTTTAAATTGCACACCATTCTGAATACCATGATGAAATCTTGGGCCATCTGCTCCATCAAGCTCTGGATATGAGTCGACCCTTTGTCCAGTGCATCCATCCTGTTTCTACTTCCCACTCATTAGTCACTTAGTGGTCATCTCAGTTCTCAGATCCACTGTTGGGGTATCACAGTGCTTGTGTTCAAGTAACTTTTATTTTACACAATAGTAGCCTCACAGCACAAATGTCATGTAGCTAACTTATAAATTAAACTTTATCTCAGGTATATATGTATATATAGAGACAGGAAATAACATACCGTGGTTTCAGGTATCCACTAGGGGTTTTGGAACATATCCCCCACACATAAATGGAAACTACTGTATGTATGAAAAGGGATTTATTTTCAGAGAATTGGCTCATGTGATTATGAAGCCTGGCAAGTCCAAGATCTGCAGAGTTGGCTGGCAGACTGGCAATCCAGGAAAATGTGATGCTGTACTTCAAGCCTGAAGGCCATTAGGCTAAAGACACAGAGAAGAGCTGATACTGCAGTTCAAGTCCAAAGATCTGCTGGCAGAATTTCCTCTTGTTCTAGGGAGATCAGTTTTTGTTGTATTCAGTCCTTTAACTGATTGGATGAGGCTCACCCACATTATGAAGAGCAGTTTGCCTTACTCAAAGTCCACCAATTTAAATGCTAATCTCATCCAAAAATACCTTCACAGAAACATTCAGAATAATGTTTAGCTACATATAAGTGCACCATGGCCCAGCCAAATTGACACATAAAATTAACCTTCACAATTATTCATAGACTTTATAAGGCATTCTTCTTCATCCTTTGGAGACAGAGATCCCAAAATGACGAGCATTAATTAGGACTAATTTTAATATATCTATATTTATATTTATCTCCTGTGTTCTGATTTCACTTTACAAAATTTAGAGGTGTGAAAAAAAAGCAAAACTTTAAATTCTATTGCCATTATTAAAATATAGTAAAATTTGGGAGGAGGGTTGGCATTGTCTTGTCTCAAGTACTTGATATGTGGCAAAATAAGTATATACCATTAGAATTTAATTTAGAACACAAATACAAAGCATTATTGGCTAATTTTCTCTGAATTTGCTCACACTGTTTTTGAGAAACTTACTTTCAGAATGACAGAGTACGTCTTAAAATTGTGCTTATGTGTCATGGGAAAAATGAAAGAGATTTCTAGATGAATACCCAGCAAGTAATAGATGTTAATTTTAAATATTCGCTATATATCTATCCTCAGTATTTCAGTCTGTTGAATCAAATCAACTCAAATATGCATTGTAATCTAAGTTAGCCTGTTATGTGCATATATACACATCCCTATAAACATATAAATATATATGTCTATATATAAAATAATCAATTTTATAAAGTAAGTTTTGAATTTATAAAGAGATAAATCTTTAACACTGTAACAAGTGTTTTTCTCTAATATTCTTGGGAAATATCCTATTTTCCTGAATTAATCTAACAAAAAAGATGAATCAATTTTACTTTATACTTATTTAAAAGCATCTTTTCTAAAACAGTTGGTTTTTTTTCAAATTGATAAAGTGGATTTTTAATAATCTACAAAGCCAAACATTTGCCAAATGTGAGAAAGAACAAAAATTGTTGTCTAGACACTGAATTTCCATCAGAGTTGAAGGGGAATTTTAGACTTCTTGGTTGTAAATACTGTTTAAACACATTTGCATAGAATTAGGTAATCATTATTGCTAAAATAAATTTTTCTCAGTGTGAATAAAGTTATTGTAATGCACCTATTTCTTTAATATTTATTTTTTTGCTACACTAACTGTATATTAGGCTTTCAAAATAATAATTCCGACTTTGTTTTTTACAGATCTCATTCGGAAAAGAGCCTCTAGAAGGTTAAATAAAGCCATTCTATTTTCTCAAAATATCGCTAAACTAACAATGAAGAAAACTTTATAAAATTTTAAAAGGTCAAGGAAAACATCTTATATTTGAAATAAAAAAATAATTACTAAAACCATATTTTTTATTTCTTACAAGAAGTGAACAATAATTGGCCAAGAATTCAAGAAGGCTTAGTAGACTTTGCTTGTTCATATATAAAGTTAGATGCTTGAGTGCCTTAGGTTTTCTTTTCCATGCTCTTTTTTTTTTTTTTTTCTCTTTTTATGTAGGAAGTTTGGGTGGTAAGAATCCACATGCTCACTAGAATCACCCAACAGAACATTAGAACTCTGCTCTTTTGAAGGATGAATAGAGTAAGTTACTACACACATAATTTTTGACTTATATTAAAATTGTAGTTAAATATAAAAAGCACAGAGGAGTCAATTTAAGGTTATGATTACCTATATACAAATGTAATGTCTACATATAAAATAAATTACAAAATTTTTGCTTATAATTAGATTCAAAATGCGCTTTCACCAAAATATGTAATGTTGTATTATAAGCATATAATTACGAGATTAATTTACAATATTGTCATACAAAGTTTTTTTATTGAAGTGAGGAATTACAAGTACCAGATAATGCTGATTCCAGTGAGTTTGTCTGATGCTTTACATTTGCTCTGTATTTAAGCACTTCTTTTCTATCCTACTTAACTAGATTTTCTTAAATAAAATATTATAAAATTTAGATGAAACAGTTTCCTACAAATCATGAATCTCTACTGAAGGGCTGCTATAAAAAGTCAGGTGATTGAGAGAGCTATGTATTTTATAGTGATATGGAACAGATCAATACGATTAGAGCTAAGATATTTTCCAAATTGTTAGTACCCAAAAATAATTATTCTGATGACAGGTAACTCTTAAAAAACACAACAGAACAAGAACAAGACAACAAAAACTCTTCAATTTGCATGAAATATATCTGCTTTTCTCGGCATAAATGATAGGCTAGCCTCATTTTTAGGTTTTCTGTGAAAGTTGATCTATTATTATCTGCAACAAAATAATTTGATATTTAAGAAATCTTAAAACTTTGATCTTAGAGAAAATAATTAAAACAGGAAAAATGTAGGTGTATTGGAAATAAATAGTCTCCCTAGTTGAAGTTAATTAGAGGAATCTGCTGTTAGAGCTAGATAGTTGGAATATGCCACTCTTTTTCTACTCTTGGGGTTGTCTGTGTTTATCTTGCATCTCTGTAGCCACTTAGACTTCGCTACCTGAAAGGTAGACTAAAAAGGGGTCATCTGTGTGTTCCTTTAATAGATTATGTTGGTTGTATTTCAAATTCTAGTTATAAAATCTAAAATTTTTATATCAAATATGTTTGTTACAAGAAGTATGTGAAAAATTATGTTTATAAAGGCAGGTTGAATGTTTTGGAAAAAACTTGATATAAGTAATTTTCTGTCAAATTAGACTTGGGTGAGACTGTTACAGGTAGTTAGGCATGAGTGGGTCAGGAGAGGGCGCTTCCTCTCACACACTAGAAATGGTTCCATAATTATTGCATTGCCTCTTAAAAAGTGATAAATTGGCACCCGACGCCAGGGAGACGCCATTTCTTGATGATCCACACTTGTTAACGTTAAAGTGTTAATTAAAGACCAGCCCCAGGGAGAATACACTTCCTGGTTATGCACATTAAGAGACAAAAATGATGAAGTATGATCTCCTAGGTACACTCCACCTGAAAAAGGAAGAAAGCCTCAGATGGGCATGCATATAATCCCTTAAAAACACTGCATGTGCGCATTTCCCAACGGTAGGGGAGGCTCTGAGCATGCGGGCAGCCCACCCTAAGAGAAGAATCATGGGAAAGAGGCGAGCCTACAAAAGTCCTAGGACCATAGCGACATGGGGCACTTGACTTTCTCTCTCTTTAACCTTCAGGGGCCCACTTGGATCTCTTCCAGGTGAACTTTCCTTTCTTTCCTGTTCTAAGGCCTTTTAAATAAACTTCCACTCCTGCTCTGGAACTTGCCTTGGTGCCTTTTTCTGCTTTATGGCCCTCAATTGAATTCTTACTTCCGAGGAGACAAGAATTGATTTGCCACCAGATAACTCATGTAATTCAGATCTCTTCCACTGGTAACAAGACTAATCATACCTCACTGCAAACCCTAATTAGCTTCTAGAAGGATTCTGCCCAGAGTTTACATAGCAAGTATATTTCCCACATTTCTAAAAAATAGACTATAACTTAATAAATAAATAAATACAAATTATATTTATATCACATTATATAATATGTAACTATATTATATAGCATTATATATGATGAATTAATATACATTATGTTTTAGGTTAAAATAAAAATGTTTTCGTTATGTATCTATTACTTTTTATGGTTCCCTTATTTGACTGGGTTTTAAATAAACTGGCCAAAAGAATTTCTAATTTCCATGTTTTCATTTCTTAACTAAAGAAATACATGAAAAATATTCTCATGTGTGGAGAAGAAACTTGTCAAAGATAGCTAGAAATGTATATTGAGGATGATGTGTTATTGTAGATTTTCCTTTTCTAAATTAAATAACTCAATTTTTTCAGCACCTCATCAAATGTATAGCAGAATGAAAAAAAATCATAAGACCATAGTGGTATACTCAGTTCTTATTAATTATCTAAACATTCTATTTCACTGTTTATTGTGAATTCAAATAATAATAACAATAAACTGTAGTTGGTCCATTTACCTGAAACTATACTTGTAATTGTCCCAAGTAGTATTAGCAGTAGACCTTCTTAAATATAAGAAATGAAATTCATATATAAGTACATGTTTTTCTCCTACAGTCATACATGAATTAGATGGAGGACCTTTGTCAGCCTTCTCTACATTCTACCAGAAGACAGCAATGGAAAGATTTCATCCTGAGTAGGGGCACATTGTAAGATGTGTGCCCTGCGTAAGGGTGCTGGCTGAAGGTCTGAGTGTTACAGAACCATGCCCCTGGTATTGGGCTAAGTCTGTCCCTAGGGAGAAAAGTGCCTTTTTTTTTCTAATTTTCACAGGGGGAAGTGATGAGCTAGCTATTGCACTGCAGGAAAAAAATCATTTCTATTATTTCTTGGAGCTAGAAAACATATTTGGACTGCTTATAATTATAATAATCTTGGTAATATTATCACTGGTCAGTGAAATGAGAGTCCTTTGAATTCTTCATCCATGTGTCTACTATAACATATTACTCATGTGCTCTGGTAACAATATATTTTAAAAGTGTATTTTTATAAATATGTCTTTATTTTTTGAAGTAAGAGTTTTGTTATTTCTATTTTTATTATTTCCTATTATTATTTAAAAACATTCTTTTCCAGCTTTATTGAGGCATAATTGACAAATTGTATAAGTTTGGGGCATACCATATGATGATATAATGTGAAATGATTGTCAAAATCAAATGACTTAATATATCTAGCGCCTCACTTAGTTACCATTTTTTTGTTGTTGATTTATTTTCTTTTGTGGTAAGAACATTTCATATCTACTCTCTTAGCAAATTTCAAGTATACAATACAGTATTGTGAACTATAGTCACCATGTTGAATATTAGCTCCCCAGAACTCATTTCTCTTGTAACTGAAAATTTGTATCCTTTGACCAACACATCCCCAGTCCCCCTAACCCCTAGCCACTGGCAACAACCACTCTGCTCTTTGTTTCTGAGAGTTCAACTTCTTTAGAGTCCACATATCAGCGAGATTATATAGTATTTGTTTTTCACTGTCTCACTTATTGCCTTTAGCATAATATCCTCAAGATCGTTCCTTTAGCATAATACCATCAAGATCCATTTATCTTGTTTTTCCTATTGCAAATGGCAAGATTCTTTCCTTTATAAGACGAATAGTAGTCCACTCTATATACATATGTACTGTAATTTCTTTGTCTATTCATCAGTTGATGGACACTTGAGTTTTCATGTCTTGGCAATTGTGAATAATGAGATGAATATGGGAGCGCAGGTCTCTTCCAAATACGGATTTTGTTTCCTTCGAGTATTCATCCACAAATGGGATTGCTGGATTATATGGTAGTTCTGTTTTTAATTTTTTCAGGAACTTCCATACTGTTTTCCATAATGGCTGTATCAACTTACAGACCCACCAAGAGTATAAAAGTGTATTTCTTATTGCTAAATTCTACAGGGAAAATTCGACAGTTTATTTTTCATTGCATTTATTCTTCTATGGTTTTCTATTGAAGTACTATTTTAGAATTTGGATTCATAGTTTGAAAGCAGAACTCTTTGTAAGCATTTTTTCCCTCACAACATGTATAGAGGGATAATACAGGTATTTCTAAATTTAGCTAACATTACTTTAAAGATATAATTCCAAATTTTCCTGAATTAGATCAGATGAACAGATTAATTTTGCAGTCTTCCTCAGCTTTTCAATCTTATATTTTGTTGTTCTCTATTGTTTGTTTTACTGTGTACAGCCTTAATCTTTATTTGAAACTTTTACCTTCCAAGTGCCTAGTTTTAAATGATAACAACCAGAAAATTAACAATCGCATTGGAAGAGCAAAAATTCTGCAAGGGTCATAAAACAGAATATATTTCTCTAAAAAGAAAACTCAACATTTAAGTGGAAACATGTGTACAGATGATGCTTCTCTGATTATTTGTTCTGCCAAGACCTGGTTTAAATTGTATATGTCCTTTGGAAGGCCACTGTTTTTCTTCTTCTTATACCACTTTGAGTTTTATTTTCACTTTTGCTTATCTGTGAAAGTTACTACAATTTGTACTTTTTGGCTTCTAACCTCATATTCCAACTGACTACGCATGAGTAGAAAGATTAAAAACAACAGTTACAGGCAAATGCATATAGACTAATTGGGAAGATGTTGCTTGTATATTGTATATTTATCTTTGTTTCTGTAATGCTCTTTGTCAGAGCCCATTTACCTCATGCCGTGCCTGGAACAACAGCATCATCATCCTAATATTCTTTCCAAATAAATCCAGATCAAATTATAGACTATAACTGAGTATGTGGTGAGTCTGCCAAGTAATTAAACCACTCACTGGTGCTAACATCTGAAATTCAATTACCTTTGTCACTGGGAATATGATGACAGTTATGAGTCCAGTGAAAAGTAACTTTTTTTTTCTAAAATCTAAAATCTTTTTTTTTCTAAAATTTTTCATTATGGTTATATTTTGAAAGGACTGTAATGTGAAGGGTTGTCTACTCTAGATCTTCCTTCAAATGATGATTTTTAGGATGCTGTTACTTTTCTGGTTGGTTTCTTTGGAGATTTTGTGTGGACTTGTTTATACATAAAGCATACAAACAATTTGGGTTCTGGTTCTGGAGAAGTATCGATTAGAGGGCAGTGAACAGGGAGAATGTTTCTTTTCAATAATCTTGTGTCAACAGTAAGTTCTGTGAAAGCTGTTTGGTGTTTCCCCCTGCTTTTTCTCTGAGTTATATATTCACTAGATTGGCAGTTCAATATTCTTCAGAAGAGAAAGCAAGCTCGAAGAAATAGTCTCAACTAATTTATCCAGCAAGTGTTCACTGAAGTTCTATTCTCTACTATGTACTGCGAATGTCCTGGAAAGACAATGGGGAGCAAACTGAGTTGTTACCTTTATGGAAATTATAGTGCAGTAGATGTCGACATTAATCAATACTTTCAATGTCCAGTTATGTTTTGAAAGAAGTATATTATTTCCGTGGAGGTGACAATGCTGATCGATCTGAGGTCAACAAAGTCTTCCTAAGGAATTAAGTGTAAATTTATAGACAGTGGGTGGAAGGACCATTCTAGGACTAGGAGAGAGTATATGCAAAAGTTTTGATATGGGGAAAATGTGGCCCCTTGTGAGAAAGAAAACAAAACAAAACATGATAAAATCCAAAAATTACCAGAAGAAATACCTTTAAATACCTTTTTGATTCTAATATGAAGTTTTAAGTTTTTTTTAAAAGAAAAACTTATGGAGGGTGGTACCAAGACGGCCAAATAGGAACAGCTGCAGCCTGCAGCTCCCAGCATGAGCAATGCAGAAGATGGGTGATTTCTGCATTTCCAACTGAGGTACCGGGTTCATCTCACTGGGACTTGTTGGACTGTGGGTGTTGCCCACAGACTGTGAGCCTGAAGCAGGTGGGGTGTCGCATAACACAGGAAGTGCAACGAGTTGGGGAATTCCCTTTCCTAACCAAGGGAAGCCATGACAGATGGTACTTGGAAAATCAGGACACTCCACCCTAATACTGCGCTTTTCTAATGGTCTTAGCAAACGGCACACCAGGAGATTACATCCCATGCCTGGCTCGGTGGGTCACATGCCCACAGAGCCTTGCTCACTGCTAGCACAGCAGTCCAAGATCAAACAGCCAGGTGGCAGCAAGGCTGGGGGAGGGGCATCTGCCATTGCTCAGGCTTGAGTAGGTAAACAAAGTGGCCAGGAAGCTCGAACAGGGGGGAGCCCACCTTAGCTCAACAAGGCCTGCCTGCCTCTGTAGACTCCGCCTCTGGGGGCAGGGCATAGCTGAAGAAAAGGCAGCAGAAACGTCTGCATACTTAAACGTCCCTGTCTGACAGCTTTGAAGAGAGTAGTGGTTTTCCCAGCATGGAGTTTGAGATCTAAGAACGGACAGACAGCCTCCTCAAGTGGGTCCCTGAACCCCGAGTAGCCTAACTGGGAGACACCTCCCAGTAGGCGGGGACTGACACCTCATACAGCCCGGTCCCTCTGAGACAAAGCTTCCAGAGGAAGGATCAGGCAGCAACATCTGCTGTTCTGCAATATTTGCTGTTCTGCAGCCTCTGCTGGTGATACCCAGGCAAACAGAGTCTGGAGTAGACCTCCAGCAAACTCCAACAGACCTGCAGCTGAGGGTCCTGACTGTTAGAAGGAAAACTAACAAACAGAAAGGAATAGCATCAACATCAACAAAACAGACATCCACAACAAAACCCCATCTCTAGGTCACCATCATCAAAGACCAAAGGTAGATGAAACCACAAGGATGGGGACAAACCAGAGCAGAAAAGCTGAAAATTCTAAAAATCACAGCACCTCTTCTCCTCCAAAGGAATGCAGCTCCTTACCAGCAACGGAACAAAGCTGGATGGAGAATGACTTTGATGAGCTGACAG
The DNA here is from genome assembly GCF_000001405.40 of Homo sapiens. Taxonomy (NCBI): domain Eukaryota; kingdom Metazoa; phylum Chordata; class Mammalia; order Primates; family Hominidae; genus Homo; species Homo sapiens. The sequence continues at coordinate 48,575,226 of NC_000014.9, read as the reverse complement.
AAGTAGGCTTCAGAAGATCGGTAATAACAAACTTCTCCGAGCTAAAGGAGGATGTTCGAACCCATCACAAAGAAGCTGAAAACCTTGAAAACAGATTAGACAAATGGCTAACTAGAATAAACAGCACAGAGAAGACTTTAAATGACCTGATGGAGCTGAAAACCGTGGCACGAGAACTACATGACACATGCACAAGCATCAGTAACTGATTAGATCAAGTGGAAGAAAGCGTATCAGTGATTGAAGATAAAATGAATTAAATGAAGTGAGATGAGAGTTTAGAGAAAAAAGAGTAAAAAGAAATCAACAAAGCCTCCAAGAAATATGGGACTATGTGAAAAGACCAAATCAACGTCTGATTGGTGTACCTGAAAGTGACGGGGAGAATGGAACCAAGTTGGAAAACACTCTTCAGGATATTATCCAGGAGAACTTCCCCAACCTAGCAAGGCAGGCCAACATTCAAATTCCAGCAAATACAGAGAATGCCACAAAGATACTCCTCGAGAAGAGCAACCCCAAGACATATAATTGTCAGATTCACCAAGGTTGAAATGAATGAAAAAATGTTAAGGACAGCCAGAGAGAAAGGTTGGGTTACCCACAGAGGGAAGCCCATTAGACTAACAGTAGATCTCTCTGCAGAAACTCTATAAGCCAGAAGAGAGTGAGGGCTAATATTCAACATTCTTAAAGAAAAGAATTTTCAACCCAGAATTTCATATCCAGCCAAACTAAGCTTCATAAGTGAAGGAGAACTAAAATACTTTACAGACAAGCAAATGCTGAGAGATTTTGTCACCACTGGGCCTACCTTACAAGAGCTTCTGAAGGAAGGACTAAACATGGAAAGGAACAACCAGTACCAGCCACTGCAAAAACATCCCAAATTGTAAAGACCATTGATGTTAGGAAGAAATTGCATCAACTAATGAGCAAAATACTCAGCTAACATCATAATGACAGGAACAAATTCACACATAACAACATTAACCCTAAATGTAAATAGGCTAAATGCCCCAATTAAAAGACACAGACTGGCAAATTGGATAAAGAGTCAAGACCCATCAGTGTGCTGTATTCAGGAGACCCATCTCATGTGCAGAGACACACATAGGCTCAAAATAAAGGGATGGAGGAAGATCTACCAAGCAAATGAAAAACAAAAAAGCAGGGGTTGCAATCCTAGTCTCTGATAAAACAGGCTTTAAACCAACAAAAATCAAAAGAGATAAAGGCCATTACATAATGGTAAAGGGATCAATTCAACAAGAAGCGCTAACTATCCTAAATATATATGCACCCAATACAGGAGCACCCAGATTCATAAAGCAAGTACTTAGAGACCTACAAAGAGACTTAGACTCCCGCACAATAATAATGGGAGACTTTAACACCCCATTGTCAACATTAGACAGATCAACGAGACAGAAAGTTAACAAGGATATCCAGGAATTGAACTCAGCTCTGCACCAAGCGGACCTAATAGACATCTACAGAACTCTCCACCCCAAATCAACAGAATATTCATTCTTCTCAGCACCACATTGCACTTATTCCAAAATTGACCACATAGTTGGAAGTAAAGCACTCCTCAGCAAATGTAAAAGAATAGAAATTATAACAAACTGTCTCTCAGACCACAGTGCAATCAAATTAGAAATCAGGATTAAGAAACTCACTCAAAACTGCTCAACTACATGGAAACTGAACAACCTGCTCCTGAATGACTACTGGATAAATAACGAAATGAAGACAGAAATAAAGATGTTCTTTGAAACCAATGAGAACAAAGACACAATGTACCAGAATCTATGGCACACAACTAAAGTAGTGTGTAGAGGGAAATTTATAGCACTAAATGCCCCCAAGAGAAAGTAGGAAAGATCTAAAATTGACACCATAACATCACAATTAAAAGAACTAGAGAAACAAGAGCAAACACATTCAAAAGCCAGCAGAAGGCAAGAAATAACTAAGGTCAGCGTAGAACTGAAGGACATAGAGACACAAAAATCCCTTCAAAAAAATCAACGAATCCAGGAGCTGGTTTTTTGAAAAGATCAACAAAATTGATACACCGCTAGCAAGACTAATAAAGAAGAAAAGAGAGAAGAATCAAATAGATGCAATAAAAAATGATAAAGGGGATATCACCACTGATCCCACAGAAATACAAACTACCATTAGAGAATACTATAAACACCTCTGCGCAAATAAACTAGAAAATCAAGAAGAAATGGATAAATTCCTGGACACATACACCCTCCCAAGACTGAACCAGGAAGATGTTGAATCCCTGAATAGACCAATAACAGGCTCTGAAATTGAGGCAATAATTAATAGCCTACCAACCAAAAAAAGTCCAGGATCAGATGGATTCACAGCCAAATTTTACCAGAGGTACAAGCAGGAGCTTGTATCTTTCCTTCTGAAACTATTCCAATCAATAGAAAAAGAGGGAATCCTCCCTAACTCATTTTATGAGGCCAGCATCATCCTGATACCAAAGCCTGGCAGAGACACAACAAAAAAAGAGAATTTTAGACCAATATCCCTGATGAACATCAATGCAAAAATCCTCGATAAAATACTGGCAAACCAAATCCACTAGCACATCAAAAAGCTTATCCAGCATGATCAAGTTGGCTTCATTCCTGGGATGCAAGGCTGGTTCAACATACGCAAATCAATAAATGTAATCCAGCATATAAACAGAACCAAAGACCAAAACCACATGATTATCTCAACAGACGCAGAAAAGGCCTTCAACAAAATTCAACAACCCTTCATGCTAAAAACTCTCAATAAATTAGGTATTGATGGGAGGTATCTCAAAATAATAAGAGCTATTTATGACAAACCCTCAGTCAATATCATACTGAATGGGCAAAAACTGGAAGCATTCCCTTTGAAAACCAGCACAACACAAGAATGCCCTCTCTCACCACTCTTACTCAACATAGTGTTGGAAGTTCTGGCCAGGGCAATCAGGCAGGAGAAAGAAATAAATGGTATTCAATCAGGAAAAGAGAAAGTCAAATTGTCCCTGTTTGCAGATGACCTGATTGTATATTGAGAAAACCCCATTGTCTCAGCCCAAAATCTCCTTAAGCTGATAGGAACTTCACCAAACTCTCAGGACGCAAAATCAATGTTCAAAAATCACAAGCACTCCTATACACCAATAACGGACAAACAGAGAGCCAAATCATGAGTGAACTCCCATTCACAATTGCTTCAAAGAGAATAAAATACCTAGGAATCCAACTTATAAGGGATGTGAAGGACCTCTTCAAGGAGAACTACAAACCACTGCTCAATAAAATAAAAGAGGACACAAACAAATGGAAGAACATTCTATGATCATGGATAGGAAGAATCCATATCCTTAAAATGGCCATACTGCCCAAGGTAATTCATAAATTCAATGCCATCCCCATCAAGCTACCAATGACTTTCTTCACAGAATTTTGAAAAAGTATTTTAAAGTTCATATGGAACCAAAAAAGAGCCCACATTGCCAAGACAATCCTAAGCCAAAAGAACAAAGCTGGAGGCATCACGCTACCTGACTTCAAACTATACTACAAGGCTACAGTAACCAAAACAGCATGGTACTGGTACCAAAGCAGAGATACTGACCAATGGAACAGAACAGAGCCCTCAGAAATAATATGACACATCTACAACCATCTGATCTTTGACAAATCTGACAAAAACAAGAAATGGGGAAAGATTCCTCATTTAATAAATGGTGCTGTGAAAACTGGCTAGCCATATGCAGAAAGCTGAAACTGGATCCCTTCCTCACACCTTATACGAAAATTAATTCAAAATGGATTGAACACTTAAATGTTAGACCTAAAACCATACAAACCCTAGAAGAAAACCTAGGCAATACCATTCAGGCCATAGGCGTGGGCAAGGACTTCATGTCTAAAACACCAAAAGCAATGGCAACAAAAGCCAAAATTGACAAATGGGATCTAATTAAACTAAAGAGCTTCTGCACAGCAAAAGAAACTACCATCAGAGTGAACAGGCAACCTATAGAATGGGAGAAAATTTTTACAATCTACCCATCTGACAAAGGGCTAATATCCAGAATCTACAAAGAACTTAAACAAATTTACAAGAAAAAATCAAACAACCCCATCAAAAAGTGGGTGAAGGACATGAACAGACACTTCTCAAAAGAAGACATTTATGCAACCAACAGACACATGAAAAAATGCTCATCATCACTGGCCATTAGAGTAATGCAAATCAAAATCACAATGAGATACCATCTCACACCAGTTAGAATGGCGATCATTAAAAATTCAGGAAACAACAGGTACTGGAGAGGATGTGGAGAAATAGGAACACTTTTACACTGTTGGTGGGAGTGTAAGTTAGTTCAACCATTGTGGAAGACAGTGTGGCGATTCCTCAGGGATCTAGAACTAGAAATACCATTTGACCCAGCCATCCCATTACTGGGTATATACCCAAAGGATTATAAATCATGCTGCTATAAAGACACATGCACACATATGTTTATTGCGGCACTACTCACAATAGCAAAGACTTAGAACCAATGCAAATTTCCATCAATGATAGACTGGATTAAGAAAATGTGGCACATATACTTACTTGGAATACTATGCAGCCATAAAAAAGGATGAGTTCATGTCCTTTGCAAGGACATGGATGAAGTTGGAAACCATCATTCTCAGCAAACTATCACAAGGACAGAAAACCAAATACCGCACGTTCTCACTCATCAGGAATTGAACAATGAGAACACTTGGACACACGGTGGGGAACATCACACACCGGGGCCTGTCATGGAGTCGGGGGAGGGTGACGAGATAGCATTAGGAGAAATACTTAACGTAAATGATACTTTAATGGGTGCAGCATATCATCATGGCCCGTGTATACGTATGTAACAAACCTGCATGTTGTGCACATGTACCCTAGAACTTAAAGTAAAATAAAAAAAAGAAAAACTTAGGAAAAACTTCTTAATTTTCATCTTTTCAATTGTAGTATCAGATATCCATTTGTTAGAGCCTTGTAAATTTTGATTTACTTCAAATGCTGCCTCAACTTGAATTGATTTAGCAAACTTTTTTCATTTCAGCATACCTTATTGCTTTGACTTTCCTAGCTGTTAAAGTGCATTTCAACTCCCACGCTTAGCAATCTGAAGTTGTCGCTCTTAATAGCTTGTCATATGCTTCAATCTATAGCAAACTAAAAGCTAACTAAATTTTATCTAATCTATTTGTCCAAGAATTTATCATCAAAATAAGGTGAAAAAGTTATCTTCCCATATCCTTCCAGGTTCTCTGTAGTCCCTTTTCTTTCATCATCTTCTGCCAAGTGTTCTTACCAATCACCCTGAGTTTTCACGTTATGATTCTTTCCTTTCTGCTACTTATTTATGACTGTGTTCTATTAGTTTCCCATACCATTCTGAAGGAAAGGAATGTTTCAAACTTATCTGTGTTTGTGGCTTAGCACAGTGCCTGGAACGTGCTAGATATTTAGTAAATACACACTTTTTTTTTCCAGAAATGTTGATGAGAACTCTTTATTTTTCCTTCTTTGTTTAGCAGGGTTATTTAGGAGAGGCTCCATGAAGGCAGGAATTTCATTTTTGTCTGTACTTTATGCCTTTTTAGGATAGTGCCTGGCATAAAGCAGGCATTAAATAGTCATTGGAAGAGATAAGGATTGATTAACTAATATAATGTTTGTATTTTCTAAAGCATTGGATATGAATTTAGAAAACTTGAATTTTTATGGTCATGCAATACAATGATTTCAATAAATGTTTTCTAAGGCAAAAGCTACTATGACATACAATTTACTTTCAAATAGTTTTCTGTTATTTAGAAAATTAAATGCAGTGTAAACTTTTTAATACTCACTACACATACCTTATATAGTGGAGGTTACTGCTGAGTAATTAAAATATACATGAATAAGTAACATTTCAAATCAAGATCAGATATCTGAGATCCTTAAGTGACTACATTTACTGATTATTTTGGCTATGGTCCAAATACAAAATATCATGGTTATTAAATGTACTTGTTGGCATTTAATCTGTTAATTATCATTTAAAGAGAAAGTCCTTGACATTTCAAGAGTTATTTCCAATCATTGCTGCTAGATTGTGCTACACTTCTTTTCCTTGCACAAAAAATTACATAAGGCTGTGATGGCATATATTGAATAAATATTATTATCTAAAGAGAAGAATTTCCTGTAACAGCCCACACTCATACAAAAATGGACCAAGAATGCCTATGGCATGAGAGTTACTCACAACTACTTTAGCAATGCACTCTCTTGGGGAATACAATCAGAATGACAACTGTGTCTGAGTGATTGATTAGCAAGAAGTTCTAGGCTTCTTAGTTCAATCTCTCATCTAGAAACCGGTGAAGCAGGAATGATTCCTTCCAGAAATCATACTCTGATATCTCAATTTTCCTCACGGAGTTATAGCCAATGCTAAATATGTTTTCAAGCACAGGCTTTAACAAAAGATTTCTCATGTAAAAGGAATTCATTTCTAACTTTAGAAATTCAACCTGTATCAATACTCTTAGGGAGATATCAATCAATTTCAAATATAAGAACTTGTTTGGAATCAGATTCAAATAAAAGTACTGTAAAAATAAGACAACTGGGGTATTTGAATACTGAATAGATTTTGATATTAAGGAATCATTGTTTCCTTTTTATAAGTACAATAGTGACATAATTACTGCTTTTAAGATAATCCATCTTTTCAGAGATCCAAACTGATACATTTACAAATGATGTAATATCTGGAATTTGCTACAGGTTGATCTAGTAAGAGGATGGAGAGAGTGGGTGAGGTATAAATAAAATAGAATTGGCATTAAGGCAATAATCACTAAAGCTGTGTGATGTGTTCATCATGTTTATTAGTATTCTTTCTTCTGCGTATGTTTTACTTTTCCATGACAGTAATTTTAAACAAAATAAAAATTATCTTACATAAAAAGAGAAGGATAAGTAAGGAAGTAAAAGTATGGGCTTCATGCTAAAGGTAAAGAGAAATAAAATCAGCCCACACAGAGCTTTGTCTCCTCAGCTCTGTCCCATATAGTCACAGAACTGCCATTTTGAGGCAAATATTTTTATATTTTTTTCTGTAATTTTGTCTGTCTCACTACATTTTCAGGTTATTGAAAGAAACCATTTTTTACAAAATACTTTTGTATCTCCTACAATATATAACAGCAACAACCAATTACTTAGTATTGAAAATGTGTGGTTTAATTTGCTAATAATTTTTTAAGTAAAGCAAAATGGAAATTTCTGTGTGCAGGAACCACAGGATGCAAATTACAGCTCAAGGCAATGTCAGTGGGGGAATACATTAAGCAGATAAAAGCTCAGGAAGGATTTTATTTTAGCAGACTATCCAAAACCAGAAAGAGATAAACAGAATGAAAATCTCAAAAAGACGAGTAGTTGTTAAAAGGGTGATCTACAAGCAGCGTAAGAGAAAATTAACTGGGGGTCACCTAGAAATATGAAAAAATACAATTGATCAAATGGTAAAAGAAGTTTATTTAGTGCCTAATGTGTGCCAGGAACATGAAGTATGTCTAAAACACAACATAAAATAAAATTCCTATCTTCATGAAATCTCCCTTAAATACATTAAATAATTATGGTTGCAAAATGTTTTTTAGAAGAAAAACATGTAAACATTTAAATTAAAACACGTCAGAGAATTACAGTTCCATTTAGTAAATTTACATTTTATTCTAATGCTGTTAAATGTAATTTTATTTATGTTGGTACAAATTATGTGATGTTTGCAAATTGCTACCTTACATGAAGAATCAATCTAAAATTTTAAAAAATACACTGTTGAATGAAGTAGCTAGACATTTTAAATACAAGTTTATCTCCATTTAAAATCTTAGCATAATAGATAAACTTTACAAGTAAAACCTATCGCTTTTTATATTTAGTATCATAAATACTTTTTTGGTGTGTGTTAATTTTGTATATTTTCTATTTTATTTTGAAGCTGACTTAGCTGAGGTTTAAAGCACTCATTTATTCTGTTGTAGATGCAGGTGATTACTCCCTTTACAAAATCCTTTTGGGGCCCTTGAGTCCCTATCCTTGAACCCGCTTCCACAGTGTGGAGTGTACTTTCATTTTCAATAAAACCCTTCATTCTTTCCTTGCTTTATGTGTGCATTTTGTCCAATTCGTAGTGCAGACACCAAGAGCCTGGACACCCTCCACCGGTGTCCTATTTTGGTGAGCCAGCCAGGAGGAAGAGGTAAGCCCGAAGTTTGGAATTTGTTTTTCTCTTTTCTCCTTTTCTTTTCTGCTCCATACAGGGGAATTTCTCTCTCTGTGTCTTTTAATTTCAAACTCAGGACTCTTGGTGGGTAGCGTGTAAACACGGAAGCAACTGCAGGTTTCTGGCCATGGCCGGGGAAACTAGGGTTTCCATGTGGATAAGCCAAACCACCACCACCCAGGTCGCTTGAGATACCTGTATCTTTCATTTTTTGTCCCTCTCTTTCTTTTTCAGTCTTTCAGTGACTGTTTCCTAGTAGCTCCTTGGAAATTGAGGGCAATTGGTTGGGGTCACTCCTTGGTACTGCCTAAAGGCCTAGGAATGAATGGGAATAATTGCCCTGCCCAGAAGTGGGAAGGACTCTGTTTTTTTATTTTTTTCTGTGTCTGGTCACTGATCCCTACATGTGGCACAGCTCAGCCAAACTCGCACATGTTTCAGGTGACTTAAACCTCCTTTTCTTAAGCTAAATTCTTTCCTTGTCATACTCAACTGGCTAAGGACAAAAAAGCCCACCCAGCATCCAGTTCCTCTCATTACGGTTCATGGCTATGCCTATGAAGCTCCTAGTAGGCTCTGGAGGGAAACCTGCATGTGGCACTGGTACCCACCTAATGTCAGAGACGTCTGACACTCTTAAGTTTGGACCCCAAAGGAGGATGCTCTGGGGGATCCTGAGGACCTTAGCTTCCCCAAAGGAGACCCTCTCGGTAGAGGTTCTGAGGTCTAGTAATAAGCCTTCCTTAGAATTTTCTTTTACAGTTGCAAGGCTGCTTGGCCCCCACATTCTTTAGAATCTGGAGTTTACTGTCTAGTGGGAAAGTGAAATGGTGTTGCATGTATGCAAGCTTTTGTGCTGCTGTCCTAAGCAGGGGGCCTGGTTAATGTGTGACGTCCTCCTTTGGTATTGTTGGGCCCCAGTGCTCTTTGGAGACTGGGGAGGTTTGGCCTTTAAAAATCAAACTGCCATGGAGAATGTTGTGGCCAAAATTTTGGTTCACAGCTTTCCTTGGGTTATCTATTGGGACAAGGTAAAACTGGCAAGCTTGGCATTGCTATTCCATGGCTAAGGTTCCAAGCTATTGGATCTTCATTTATGCATGTGTATACCTGTCTAGATGTGTTTATTTGCATGTGCCCTTATTGTTATATGTTGTGTCTACCGAACTGTCTTATAAGTAAAAGAGCACTCATAAGTAAAATAAGTCTAAGCAATTTTCAAATTCACATGACTTAAAGTATAACTTTACTAAACAAGCTAGCTTTAAAACTATTGGTGGCATAAAAATAGAAATGCCTCCAGAATTTTGTCTGAATTTTATGTTTGTATTTGCTAGATATTTTTAAATGTCAGTGGTAATTCAAGCTGGGAGCTGCTTGGGGCAAGCCTGCCTCACTTTCTATTCAAAGTCTCACTGAGATAAATGCATATCTGATTGCTTCCTTTGGAAAGGCTAATCAGAAACTCTAAAGAATGCTACGCTTGTCTCCCACCTACCTGTGATTTGAAAGCCCCCAAGCCCCCTCCCCGCCTCCAGTTGTCCTGTCTTTCTGGACTGAACCAATGTTGATTTTACATATATTGATTGATGTCTCATGTCTTCCTCGTTAAAAGTAAAAATTAAGTACAGAGAATGGGATAAATGTTTCAGGTAAAATTTTTGCATAAATTAAAATCTTAAAAAGTTATTTTTGATGCTCATTTAATATCTGGGACATTTCCAATTAAGAAGGGATTGTGGTATGGGGAAACATGTTTCTAAAATTGTAGAATTGTTCTTATCTATAAATTTCCATATTTGATAGTTCAGGATTTCTTGCTTTTTAGGGTTTTGCTAATGTTTAAGGTTATTAAGATAAAAATTCTAGTTAACACATAATTCTGTATACAAAATGTGACAGAAAAGGTTATGTTATTAGTGAAAAAGAATAATTTTGTCTAATTCAGAAGTTATCTAAAAGTTATTTCAAGTTATAGATTTGAAAAGGTTATTTATGAAACAGTGTAGTAAAGAACCATTAAATAGGGGAGAAAGATGTGGAAAAAGTTTAAATAATAAAATATTCTTTAAAACCTGATAGAGAGTTGGAGACATTTGGCTAATTAACATTTTCATAGTTAAAGCTCTTAGTCTTGATTAAAGTAAGAAGTTTTGTCAAGAAATGCATCTGCAGTTTGGCAATTCTTTTTTTAAAATAGTTAAGCATGAAGCTGGATTTCGTGTAGAGCCAAATTTCACACACGTGCTTGCATTGCTTCACACTATGTCTACCATTTTGCATGGATAGTGCTAGAGTAACTATTGGTCATGTGCTTAAAGTGAATTTCTTGATTGCACAGGAGGTATAATAATATTGGTGAACTTAAGGATATTGAATTCTATATCAATAATGAAATATTCATTATGCAGGTTTTCTGGGAACCTACGTAACACTGTAGCCTCCAAGGTAAATTAAGTAGGAAAACTTAGAGTTGGTTTCTGGTTTATTTATTTTTGATTCTAGTTTTCATTTGTTTGCTGTTTACTCTCCATTTATCTTGAATTCCTTGGCTGCCTTTGTCTGGTCTGCAAGAATTGATAGAGCACACCAGCCTTTTAACCTAACTTTGGATTTTAGGCTTCCTGAATGTTCAAGCATGTTGAGTATACTTTTGTAAATAGAATTTGAGTTATATTTCTGTTTCTGCCCAATTTCTTCATAATTCATATACTACTTGTGAATATTCTTAATTCATGGCAGGGGTTTGTTTGCATACAGTATAGCAGGGTTGCTAGGGCCACTCAGGGAGAGAGAACCCAGAAACCTGGCATGCTGGCAAAAGGCAAGGATTTCTTACCAGTCAGTATCTTGCCTCTTTCTCTCTGTGCAAACTGGTTAAATATGTCAGAAATAAATTTTTGGTGCCACAAAAGAAATAGCACTCAAACATATATTCAATTTTCTCAGCAAGGCAATTTTACTTCTATAGAAGGGTCTGACTTGCAGATGGAACAATGGAGAGAGCACAGCTAAACAAGGGAGGGAAAGGGGTTTTTATTCCTGAGGGAGGTAGCCCCTAGTGCTGTGTCATTCCCCTGTTGGCTAGGGTTGGACTGCACAGTCTAAGCTAATTCCGATTCACTATTTTAAAGAGAGCAGGGGTATGAGTCAGAGTGGCGGGATGAATAGTTTGGTAGGAAAGACGGTTACTGAACAGGTGACTCAGGATGACTCAGGATGGAGCAGGTGACCAGGGGTGACTCAGGATGGAGCAGGTGGTAGAGACTAGGAGGGAGTTGTTTACTGAAACTAGGGGCAAGGAGACAAAAGAATGAGGATCTTAAACTTTAAAGTGAAGAACAAAGAACAGGGAAGCTGAGCATACTGATACACTGGTTCTTTGGAGAGGATCTCAGAACTCATTGTACTTAACAATTTACAGGCTAAAACCTTTAAAGAGGAATTTATTATATCCTACAATTTCCCTTTCAATTTTCATAGCACTTCCTCTTCAAACTTTTTAAATATGTCTTAGCTTTGCTGCTCTACTTAATCCTCTCAAAGAAAAAGCTTATCTGAATAAGGTGGAGGAGAGTTAAGGAAGGTTTTAGTAAGTGCTGCTTTTATAAGTCTTTGCACTTGTCCACGGATGCATGGTATGACACAACACCTAACAAGAATAAGTACACCTATTATTCCTGCAAGAGAAGTAAGAATTGAGTTTATGAATTCTTTCCGTTTACTGAACTACCTTTCTAGCCACCCTGAGAAAGGGTTATCGACTCCAGAATTTTAGCTAGTTCATTGGATAAAGCAATAAGTCTTTGTAAGGCCCTTGTTATGCTCCCAGTGGGGTCAGTATTGTTTGGGATAAAGGTACAACACTGAGTTTCAATCATAACACAAACAGTGCCTTTTGTGGCTAATATCATATCTAGGGCCGTTCTGTTTTCCCAGGCCATCTGGCTAGTGGGCCCCAATTGTTCTGCTATCCGTTTGACAGCATCCCTTGTGTAATTAATAAACCACTGCTGATTATAATAGACATAATTTATCCAATCTATATTATTAATTTAAATATTGACTTAAATCCCGCAGCTATTTGATCTTGGGCTTTAAATTTATCTGGTATTCCTCACGGAACTCCAATAGCATTTATATCAACATGGGGGTCAAAGGACTCATGTAAGGCACTTCTTCTTTTATGATTTTATTTTTTATCCTGTTGATGGAATGCTAGATTTGGTAAATCTCCACAGGGCATCACAAGGCAAGCATCAAAAGTAATAGTTTGGGGTGAAATTGTCCTAGTTACATTAATAACGAGAGGACTAGCAATAGAAGGGGAAAAGAAAGAGATGCAATATAAGAGGATCAAACCCCTTTTAGCATTAGCTTGGGTGGAGTTGGCCCTAGAATAGCTGTCCATGATTCTGGAGGGGGTGGTGCTCTTTTGACCCAGGTGAGATGAGTCCATCCTCTTTCTGCTGTTTGAACTGCTGTCTCGGTGGTTAGAAGCACTAGGTAGGGTCCTTCCCAAGCCAATCCGAGGTTTCCTTCCCTCCAACTTTTGAGGAGGACATGGTCCTCAGGCTGATGTTGGTGTACTGGAAACACTGTGGGGGTACCTGTGCCAAAAGGCCTTTAGTGCTGAGGGAAGAGAAAGTGGAATATAAACCAAGTATATAATTTCTGAGAAACTGATCTTTTGTTTTGAACGTGGGAATGTCTCCAGTGGAGTGCAAGCAGGGCAATCTATACAACATTTCTTAAGAGGATAAGCCAACATCTCTCCAAGGAGCAGTTCAGATTCTCAACAGGGCAATGGGAGGGCATCTTGTTCATGGTAACCGAGTCTATCGGGGGAACCAGCCCTCAGTATTTCAATGTAGGTTCTTTCTATTTTCCCCAAGTGTCAGCCGGTCTGAGAAATAAAGAGAAAGAGTACAAAGAGAGAAATTTTACAGCTGGGCCTCTGGGGGTGTCATCACATATTGGTAGGACCATGATGGTGATCCCGAGCCGCAAAACCAGCAGGTTTTTATTAGGGATTTCAAAACGAGAGGGGTGTACGAATAGGGAGTGGGTCATAGAGATCACATGGTTCAAAGGGCAATAAAAGATCACAAGGCAAAAGGGCAGAGCAGGATTACAAGGCAAGGGTGAAATTAGAATTACTGATGAGGGTGCATGTCCCGCTGGGCATGCATTGTCTTGATAAACATCTTAACAGGAAACAGGGTTTGAGAGCAGACAACCAGTCTGACTAGAATTCACCAGGCTGGAATTTCCCAAACCTAGTAAGCCTGAGGGCACTGCAGGAGACCAGGGTGTATTTCATCCCTTATGTCAACTGCATAAGACAGACACTCTCAGAGTGGTTGTCTATAGTCCTACTACTGGGAATGCATTCCTTCCCCAGGGTTATCAATTATTAATATTCCTTGGAGGAAAAGACTTCAGCGATATTTCTCCTACTCATATGTCTGTTTTTAGGCTCACTGCAAGAAGAAAAATATGGCTGTATTCTGCCCAACCCTGCAGGCAGTCAGACTTTATGGTTATCCTTCCTTGTTCCCTGAAAATCACTGTTATTCTGTTCTTTTTCAGGGTGCCCTGATTTCATATTGTTCAAACACACATGTTTTACAAACAATTTGTACATTTAACGCAATTTGTACATTTGTACATCACTGGGTCCTGACATACATCCTCAGCTTATGAAGATGACGGGATTAAGAGATTAAAGTAAAGACAGGGATAGAAAATTATAAGAGTATTGATTGGGGAAGTGATAAATGTCCATGAAATCTTCACAATTTATGTTCTTCTGCCACGGCTTCAGCCAGTCCCTCCATTCAGGGTCCCTGACTTCCCACAGCATCATCTCTAAGACTAATTTGGTTAGGTGGCTTTTTTTATAGTTTGGTTCATTCTTTCCACTCTTCCTGATGAAAGTGGGTGCCAGGGAGTATGATATTCCCATGTTATATCCAATACCTGGGCTAATTTCTTAATAACATGTGCAGTTAAATGAGTCCTATTATCTGAATCAATGTTTTCTATTAATCTAAACTTGGGTATGATATTTTCAACTAATGCCTTGACTACATTATTAGCAGTTGTACTTGAAATGGAAATAGCTTCTACCCAATGAGTAATGTGATGTATTACTAATAAATACTTTAGACGACCAATTGGAGGCATCTCTGTGTAATCAATCTGTATACTTTGGAATGGCCTTAAGCCTGGACTCTGTCCCACAAGGGGTAATCTTTTTATAGTTTGTTTATTGGTTTTCTTACATACTAAGCAACCGTCCTTAAACTGTTTCACCGGGGTATAAATTCCTATGCACCCATAAACTCTGAGAACTGCGTCACATGTGGCTTGGGGCCCTCAATGGGTCCCTTGATGCAGTTGGAACAAGATTTGCCTCATAAGGGGTTTGGATAACATTTCTCTCTGGTCTAGCAGTACCCATTTCCCTTTTGAATTCTCTTTAGCACCTGTTTTTATTAGTTTTTAGACCAAACAAAGCCAAACACCATTTTATATTTGACAGTGCTTCCTGTATGATTTTTATACCAGATGAACTAAATTTTACCTTTATATTAGTGTATTATTAATGTTAAACTCAATTTTAATAAAACCTTGTAGACATATTTATCCAATTTTAATGTCTGACCATAAGGTAAGATTTTTATAGACTCTTTTTAACCCTTTATAATTTTTATTAAAGAGCAGGTTAGTGCTTTAAGAAAAGCCTGTTGTGCTTTTATTTTAATGTCCAGTTCACAGAAAAACTGGGCGGGGTGATACCCCTTTAACTTTAGCCAATATGTTTACACACAGAATTTCCTTTACAATTAACGTTTCAAAACTTGCTTAAACCTTCAAAACTTTTTTTAAATCTTTTAATGTAGGTAAAAGTCCGCATTCTTATGCCTCCTTATAATCCTTTTACCTAAGGTATATTTTACTTTCCTTACACACTTTGCACATAAACTGTCTCTTCAATAGTTTTACATTCAGGAGGCCTAATTACTTTCAAATTGTACAACATTTCTTGCATAAATTATCTTTTATAACATTTTCATGACTTTCACAGACAATCTTTGACATGCCTTAACTTTCTGATGTAAACATCCCTTTCTTTAAACAACCAGTTAATTTACTTTAGGACAAGAATTTACCACTTAAGATTCTTTTTACATAAATTCTCCTCTTTTTTAATGTCAAAGATGATAACCATTCTTTTCCAAAGCAGACTTCCTTCATGTATGTGGACTAGACTGCCTAAGGCCACAAGATTAGAAGTTAGGATGATACATGTTACGTTGTTAACTTTTAGCAAACTTTACTTTTGTTTAAAACCTTGTAAGTTTGGGATTTTAATCATCCTTTGCTGTTAATAAGACCTCATTCAGTCCAAATTTTTTCCAAATGTGTGAGCCACTCCAAAGGCATACTTAGAATCAGTGTAGATGATTCCTTCCTGGTTCTGTAAGTACTTTAAGGCTTGGCTGAGTGCAAACAGCTCACACATTTAAGCAGACCAATTATTAGGCAATTTTCCTAAATCTATTTCTACAAGAGTTTCTCTGTCAATTACTGAATACCCATTGTGTCTTTTTCCCTCAATCACCTGGGAGGAGCCATCTATAAATAAGTGTCATCGCGTCCTGAAGGGAGTTTCTCCTAGGTCTGGTTGGACCTTTGTGTGGTAATTAATTAAATCTAAACATGTGTATTTTCTCTTTAGATTTAGATCCCCTGTTATGAAACCTGCTGGGTTAAGTGAATTATCAATGGTTAATGTTAAATCATCTTTTTCTAACAGAATAGCCTCTTACTTTAAGATTCTTAAGTCAGTAAGCTACCTTTTTCCTTTTTGACTTGGGATAGTTCTGACCTGGTGAGGTGTGCTCACAATGAGGTTTCCTCTAAAAGTTATTTTTCTACTTTTTTCTGTTAGCAAAGTAGTTGCCACTACAGATTGAATGCATTTGGGCCATCCACAGGTTACTTGGTTAAGGATTTTTGATAGGAAGGCTATGGGTTGTCAGTGGCCTCCATGCTTTTGGGTAAGTACTTCTAATGCTATGCCCTTGCTTACACTGACAAAAAGATGGAATGGCTGCTTGAGGAGAGTAGAGCTAGGACAGGAGCAGTTACTAATAGATGTTTTAACCTTTCCACCTGTTGGATTTCTGGTAATTGCCAACTGAGGGAGTTTGGCCCGTCTTGCATGAGCTTTTTGCAAAAGCGTTTTGTTTTTAGGGCATAAGAGTCTCTCCATAAACAACAGTATCCAACTAATCCTAAAATTTTCTAAGTTCTCATTTAGTCTCCAGCAGAGGAAGGCCCAATGTAGGTAAGAAACTTTAATGGTACATACGTTGCCTCATAATCAGTTAAAACGAAAACATTTAGCCCACATCGTGGGTTAAAGAGAACATTACCAGGAGGCCTTCACTCTTCTATAAGGGTATCATTTGTTAGGTCCTTTATCCATGGTTTAAAGTAAAAGAGGCAATGATTAGAAATGTATTCCCCATGATAGGCTCTATACCAAATTCTACTATAATGTCCTCAATTATACAACAGACTTTAAATTCTTTTGTGAGAGTTATGATAGAATTGGCTAAACAAAGAAGTATCTGTACAGCTGCTAGCCATTGTGGCCTATGGAGAAATACATCAAATGAAGATTATAGAAATTTAGTGGTACGGGATTAGCAAAGAGACTGCTTAGTTAAGTGAGTAAACTCTTTATCTAGCTCATTCTTTGCTCTATTTGATTTTAGGAGGTTTGGCTTGTGGGGACCTTGAATAAGAAGCATACTCCAAACTCTTGTTATTAATTCTCCCAATAGTCATAATAATAGTCTTCCTGGTGTGCTGTATTCTCTCAAATGTTTGAAATGCTTTCATGCAGCCATCTGTAGAATGTCATATGGTCTCTCTTCAACTGGAATGACAGAAGCTAAAGAAATGTGCACCCATGAGGCCACTATAGCCTATAAATGATGTGCTGGGACCGGAAACCCAAAATGATGGTAACTGAGAGTGGCACTAAGGCCCTAAGTTTTGGTCACACCATCACCTAAGTGAGAACTTCACCAAAAAGGGGGAGTTTTTTTAAACAAAATTCTGGGAGGCCATTTTTTTGGACTAAGCTCATGGACTAGGCCCTAACAGACCAAACCAAACCAAAATGAAGTCGTTTGGACTAAGACTTTAAGGAAACACATAGATTCTAGAGCAGACTAGGTTTTGCTTTTTCTCCTGCAAATCTCTATAACAAACATTCTTGACAGCATAGTTATCTATGAAGTCCCCCGGAAGTTCTCATTAAGTCTTTTAACCAAATTCATTTCCTCTCATCTAGAGACCATCAAGCTTCAGATGATCAGGCAACAAAGGCTCCAGCCAGTTGCAGGTGAAGACAGCACCCCTGGCCTTCAAGGAGCTACCCTGCCTTCTCTAGACAGAGCAGGACGAGAGTTCCATGATCCCCATCAGGTAGGGACTATGCCCCAAGCCAGCATGAAGCAGTTACAGAAAAAAGACTATCAGTTTCTCTGCCTCCCATAAAGATTGACGGGGATCACATCTCTCAGTGGGTAGATGAGGCAGGAAAATAGGGTCTGGACGCAGGGAACATAAGGCCAATTTACGCTTTGGCTATGACAGGAAATATCCTCTCCATAGGGAATAGGCCAAGTAAATAACTTTGTGACTTTATCATTTTCATTTACATACAGCATACCCCAAGTAACCAATGGAATCCTCTAGAGGGCATTTAAACTCCCCAAATTTCTATAATGGGGCCCTTGAGCCCCTATGCTTGGGCCCACTCCCACATGGTGGAGTGTACTTTCATTTTCAATAAATCCCTTCATTCCTTCAAAAAAAAATTGGAGGGAGCACTATCTCTATTTCCCAGTGTGATTACTAATTTATTGTCATTCGACTAGTCAGAAAGTCAAAAAGTAACAAATATTTATTTACCAGCTATTATTTATAATGATGTAAAGCCAACCAATTGCTAGCCTCAGAGAACCACGGTCGAGTGGAAGCCTGAGTCAACCCTTTGTTCTCTGATTCAGCTTTCTTACTAATCAACAATAGCAGTAGGGAAGGCTGTCCTCCTGATTTTAACATATCCTATATTTCAACCATTAAATGGGTCCATCCCTGTAATTAAATTTAGACCATTTTAACACTCCAAGGAGGAATTCTATACCCATAAACAATCACTTATTATTCCCCCCTACCACTAGTCCCTGACAGCCCCTAATTTCTATTGCCATAGATTTATTTTTTTCTGAACATTTTACGTAAATGGAATTATAAAATCTGTGGTCTTAAATGATCGGCTTCTTTCACTTAGCGTAATGTAATACATATGTTAGTACTTAATTTCTTTCTATGACTAAATAATATTGCATTATACAGATATTCCACATTTTTTAAATCCATTCATCAGTTGATAGATGATATGGTTTGGCTCTTTCCCCACCCAAATCTCATTTTGAATTTTAATCCCCACATGTCGAGGGAAGGACCTGGTGGGATGTGACTAGATCATGGGGGTGATTTCCCCCATGCTATTCTTGTGTTAGTGATGTAGTTTTCACAAGATCTGATGGTTTTAAAGGCGGCAGTTTTTTTTCCTGTGCTCTCTCTCTCGGTACCATGTAAGACGTGCCTTGCTTCCCCTCACCTACCACCATGATTTAAGTTTCCCGAGACCTCTTCAGCCATGTGGAACTGTGAGTCAATTAAACTTCTTTTGTTTATAAATTGCCCAGTCTCAGATAGTAACTTTATAGCAGTGTGAAAATGGCCTAATGAAATAGATGTTAGTTTATGCCTACTCTTTTGACTATTATGGATAATGCTACTTTAAGCAGTGATTACAAGTTTTTGTGTGAACACATGTTTTGATTTCCCTTGACTGTGTACCTAGGTGTGGAATTGCTGGGCCATGTGGAGACTCTATGTTTAGCATTTTAAGGAACTGCCAAACCATTTTCCAAAATGGGTGCAACATTTTATATTTCTAGTAGGGACGAATTAGCAAGCCAAGTTGTATCCTTGATGGCACTTATTACTGTGTATCTTTTTTATTATAGCCATCCTAGTTTGTGTGAGGAGGTATCTCATTGTAGTTCTGATTAGTATTTACCTAATAGTGATGTTGTGAATATGTTCATGTGCATATTGTAATTCGTAAGTTTCATTTGGAAAAATATCTATCCAAATTCTTTCCCATTTTTAAAAAGTTGCTATTTTTTGCAATTAATAAATTTGATTCTCAGAACATTATTAAGTTTAAGGGAAAATCAAACAGAAAGGACAGAAAGTTACCAGGTATTCCCTATCACAGTCACACTAACCCACACTTTCCCTGTTACGAACATCTTTCACTGGTGTGGTACATTCATTAAAATTGATGCATCACTATTAATCAAAGTCCACAGTTTACATTAAGGCTTATGTTCTATGTGTTCTAACAAATGCGTAATGTCATCATAAGCACCATAAAACTATCATACAGTATAATTTCAGTGCCTTAAAAATTCCCTGTAGTCTACATATTAATTCTTCGCCACTCCTCCTCAAAACCCTGGCAACCACTAATCTTTTTATTATTTCTAGACTCTTATGTCATTGGAGTCATACAATATGTAGCCTTTCAGACTGGCTTTTTCACTTAGCAATGTGCATTTAAGGGTCTTCCGTGTCTCTTTTGGTGACTTGATATTTCATATGTTTTTGCTTCTGAATACTATTCCATTGTGTGGATGTGCCACTGTTCATCTATTCATCCATAGGAGGACATCTTGGTTGCTTCCAAGTTTTGGCACTTATAAATACAGCTGCATTCTGAGGGATGAGATACTGGAATAAAAAGCTTCATTGATGGTCTCCCCTGTAAGGATACCTAGTTAACACCTTCATAAGAAACAAAATCAGGTGAGCACTCATAGTACCTGTTTTTAACTTAATATGGCTGAAAGAGGTACTGAAGAGATAGAAAAAAAGAGTCCTGAATTGCTGATGCCACCCCTCCCACACCCCCAGCAGCAGCAGCAGCAGCAGAGTGGTGCAGAGAGAATCTATGTGCTGGGAGATGGAAAGCACAGCAATTGTGAGTCATTGAACTCAGTGCTTTTCTGTTAGAGCAAAAAGAAAAACAGACCAAACTTAGCTGATGCCCACTCACAGAGGGATCAGTTAAACCAGCCCTAGCCACAGGAGAATCACAGATCCCAGTGGTCCAAACTTGAGTGCCCCCAAACCTTGACACTGAGGGCGAAAATGCTCTCATCTTGTAAGTAAACTTGAAAGGCAGTCTAGGCCAGAAGGACTGCAATTTGTAGGCTAGTCCTAGTACTGAACTAGTCTGAGAGATAGTGGACTGGGAGGGCATGCAACATACTGAGACACCATCTGGGGAAGTCAAGGGAGTGCTGGAATCACCTCTACCCAAGCCCCAGGCTGCACAGCTCATGGCTCCAAAAGGGACCCCTTCCATCTGCTTGAGGAGAAGAGAGAATAGTGGGGAGGACTTTGTCTTCCATCTTGGACACCAGCTCAGCCACAGCAGGATAGAGTACCAGTCAGAGTCAGGAGGCCCCTGTTCCAATCCCTAGCTCCCAGAAGACATCTGTAGACACATCCTTGGCCAGAAGGGAACCTGCTGCATGAAGGAAAGTAGCCAATCCTGCTAGCATTCATCACCTGCTAACTAAAGAGCCCTTGGGCCCTGAATAGCCAGCAACCATACCAACGTACTACACCAAGGGCCTTAGTGAGCCTCTGAAACTTACTGGCTTCAAATGAGACTCAGCACATTGCCAGCTATGGTGGCTATAGGATAAAACTCTGCTTGAGAAAAGAAGAGGTAAAAGTAAAGGTAAAAGTAAAGGGTAAAAGTAAAGAGGTAAAAGTAAAAGACTTTCTTTGTCTTACACCTTACGTACCAACACTACCACATTGGGATGAAGCACCAAGCAGCATCTTTGGGTCCCTGATTCTAGGACTTGACTTTTGTCTGGCATTTTTAGACCTGCCCTAGGCCAGAGAGGAGTCCACTGCCCTGAAAGATAACTACCAGGGTAGGCAGCATTCACTACAATGCTGTCTTAAGTCACCACAAGCTGACTTAAGAGACCTTGTTCCTTAAGGAAACATTGGTGGTAGTCTGACAGTACTCCCCATGGCCAAAGGTGGCAGTGGCTATGAGGTCAGGCTCCTTTGCCTTTGAAAAAGAGAGGGATCAATGGACAGTACTGCATCTTGTGGTTTGAGTGCCAGCTCAGCTATAATACAATAGAATACCAGGTAGACTTCTAAGGTTTTTGACTCTAGTCCCTCAATCCTGGATGACACTTCTAGACTCACCACAGGCCTGGGAGATCTCACCACCATGAAGGGAAAGACTCAGGCCTGGCTAGCTTTGCCACCTCTGATTGTGGAGCACAAGGGCTTAAGGGAACATATGCAGTAGCCAAGGATTGGATACAGCAGGCCTTGGGGAAGACCCAGTGCTGTGCTGGCTTCAGGTATGACCCAGCACAATCACAGTGGTGGTGGCCACAGAAGTGCTTATCTTACTCTAGCCCCAGCTTTAGGTGGCTCGGAACAGAGAGAGACTCTGTATGTTTTGGAGAAAGTAAGGAAAGAGAGAGTCTCTCCCTGGTAATCCAGAGAATTCTCCCAGATCTCGTCCAAGACCATCAAGATAGTACCTCTATGAGTCTGTAAAAACCACAGCATTACCGGGGTTGGGGTGCCCCTAAAGCAAAATCAGCTTATGTCACATAACTGAAGTTCTTTCAAATATCTGGAAAGACTTCCCCAGAAGGATGGCTACAAATAAGCCCAGAGAGTGAAGACTAAAATAAATATATAACCCTACAATTCCCAGACACCAAAGAACATCTACTAGCATTAACACCATCCAAGAGAACATGACTTGGCCAAGTTAACTAAATAAGACACCAGGGACCAACCCTAAAGAAACAGAGATATGTAACCTTTCAGACAGAGAATTCAAAGTAACTGGTTGAGAAAACTCAAAGAAATTCAAGATAAAAAATAGAATGAATTTAGAATTCTATCAGGTAAATTTAACAAAGAGTTTAAAACAATTAAAAAAATCAAGTAGAAATTCCAGAGGTAAAAAATGCAATTGGCATACTGAAGAATGCATCAAAATGGATCAAGCAAAAGAAATATTTAATGAGCATGAAGACAGACTTGGAAATACATAGTCAGAGGAGACAAAAGAAAAAAGGAATAAAAAACAATGAATCATACCTACAGGATTTAGAAGATAGCCTCAAAAGGGCAAATCTAAGAGTTATTGGGCTAAAAGAGAAGGTAGGGAAGGAGATAGGGGTAGAAAGTTCATTCAAAGGGAAAATAACAGAGAACGTCCCAAACCCAGAGAAAGATATCAATATCCAAGTACAAGATGGCTGTAGAACACCAAGCAGATTTAACCCAAAGAAGACTACCTCAAGGCATTTAATGATCAAACTCCCAAAGTCAAGGATAGAGAAATGATCCTAAAAATAGTAGCAGAAAAGAAACAAATAAATATACAATGGAGCTCCAACACATCTGGCAGCACACTTTTCAGTGGAAACTTTACAGGCCAGGAGAGAGTGACATGACATATTGAAAATGCTAAAGGAAAAACAAAACAAAACAAAGCTTTTAAACTCAGATAGTATTTCTGGTGAAAATATCCTTCAAACATGAAGGAGAAATAAAGACTTCACAGACAAACAAAAGCTAAGGGATTTCATTAATGCCAGACCTGTCCTATAAGGAATGCTAAAGGGAGTACTTCAATCAGAAATACAAGAACATTAATGAGCAGTGAATAATCAGCTGAAGGTACAAAACTTACTGGTAATAGTAAGTACACAGAAAAATGCAGAATAGAATAACACTATAACTGTGCTGTGTAAACTACTTTTATCCTAACTAGAAAGACTAAAGGATAAAGTAATGAAAAATTATAACTAAAACAACTTTTCAAGACATAGTCAGTAAAATAAGATGTAAATAGAAATAACAAAATGTTAAAAAGCCCAGGGACAAATTTAAAGTGAGTTTTTGTTAGTTTTCTTTTCTCTTGTTTGTGTGTTTGTTTATGCAAATACTGTTAAGTTGCTTTCAGGTTAAAATAATGAGTTATAACATAGTAATTGCATGCCTCATGGTAATCTCAAACCAAAAAAACATAAAATGGATACACAAAAAATCAAAAGCAAGAAACTAAATTACATCATCAGAATAAATTACCTTTACTAGAGAAAAGAATGAATGAAAGAAGAAAGAGAAGACCCAAAACAACCAGAAAACGAGTAACAAAATGGCAGGATAAGTTCTTACTCAATAATAGTAACAATGAATACAAATAGACTAAACTCTCCAATCAAAAGACATAGACTGGCTGAGTGGATGAAAAAAACAAGACTCATTGATCTGTTGCCTATAAGAAACACACTCCACATAAAAAGATACACACTGACTGAAAACAAGTGGATGGAAAAATATATTCCATGCCAATGGAAACCAGAAGGAGCAGGAGTCACTAGACTTACATCACACAAAATAGATTTCAATGCAAAAACTATAAGAAGAGACAAAGAAAGTCACTATACAATGATAAAGGGGTCAATCAGCAAGAGGATATAACAATTTTAAATATATATATGCACCCAGCACTGGAGCACTTAAATATATAAAGGAAATATACTTAGAGCTAAAAAGAGAGATGAGTCCCAATACAATAATAGCTGGAGACTTCAACACCCCACTTTCAGCATTGGACAGATCTTCCAGACAGAAAATAAACAAAGAAACATCAGATTTAACCTGCACTATAGACAAAATAGCTCTAATAGATATTTACAGAACATTTCATGCAAAAGCTTCAGAGCACACATTCTTTACCTCAGTACATGGGTTATTCTCAAGGATATATGTTAGGTCACAAAACAAGTCTTAAAACATTCAAAAAATGAAACAGCATCAAGTATCTGACCACAATGGAATAAATCTAGAAGTTAATAAGAGGAATTTTGGAAACTATACAAATACATGGAAATTAAACAATATCCTCTGAATCACTACTGGGTCACTGAAGAAATTAAAAAGGAAATTGAAAAGTTTCTTAAAATAAATAATAATGGAAACACAACATACCAAAACCTATGGGATACAGCAAAAGCAATACTAACAGGAGAATGTATACCTATAAGTGCCTACATCAAATAAATGGAAAAAAACTTCAAATAAGCAATCTAAAGATGCATATAGATTGTATCTTTTCTTGTTTTAAAGAACATAGTACCTAATAGGTAGTTTTTCAAGCTTTTCCCTCTTCCTTGCTTTTGTTTGGAGTCACCAGTGTCTACTGTTTCCATCTTTATGTTCATGTGTACTCAATGTTTAGCTCCCAATTATAAGTGAGAATGTACAGTATTTGGTTTTCCGTTTATGCATTAATTCACTTAGGATAATAGCCTCCACCTGCAGCCATGTTGCTGCAAAGGACATGATTTCATTCTTTTTCATTGCTCTGTAGTATTCCATGGTGTATATGTATTACATTTTATTTCTTTATCTAGTCCACCATTGATGGGCACCTAGGTTCATTCCATGTCTTTGCTGTTGTGAATAGTGCTGCACTGAACATGTGAGTGCAGGTGTCTTTTTGGTAAAATGGCTAATTTCCCTTTGGGTATATACCCAGTAATGGGATTGCTGGGTTGAATAGTAATTCTATTTTTAGTTTTTTGAGAAATCTCCAAACAGCTTTTCCTAGGGGCTGAACTGATTTACAATTCCCACCAACAGCGTATAAGCATTCATTTTTGTTCTGCAACCTTGCCAACCTGTTATTTTTCACTTTTTATAATGGCTGTTCTAACTTGTGTAAGGTGATTCCTCCTTTTGGTTTTGATTTGCATTTCTCTATTGATTAATGATGTAAAGCATATTTTTTTGTCTGTGTTTTGGCTGCTTGTATGCCTTCTTTTGAGAAGTGTCTGCTCATGTTCTTGGCTCACTTTTTAATGGCCTTGTTTGTGATTTTTGATGTTGTTTTTGTTGATTTAAGTATCTTGTAGATTCTGAATATTAGTTCTTTGTCAGGGGCTTAGTTTGCAAATGTTTTCTCCCATTCTGTAGGTTGTCTATTTACTCTTCATAGTTTCTTTTGCTTTGCCAAAGTTCTTTATTTTAATTAGATCCATTTCTGTTTTGGTCACATTTGCTTTTGAGGACTTAGAAATTCTTTGCCTAGGTCAATATCCAGAAGAATACTCCGTAGGTTTTATTCTAGGATTTTTATAGTTTGAAGTCATATATTTAAGTCTTTATTTCATATTGAGTTAATTTTTATATATGGTGAGAGGTAGAGGTTGAATTTCATTTTTCTGCCTATGGTTTTCCAGTTTTCCCAGCACCATTTATTGAATAAGGTATCCTTTCCCATTGTCTTTGTTGACTTTGTTGAAGATTAGTTGGTTGTCAGTGTGCGGCTTTATTTCTGGGTTCTCCATTCTGTTTCATTGGTCTATGCACCTCTTTTTTTTTTTAACAGTGTCATGCTTTTTTAGGTACATAGCCTTATAGTGTAGTTTGAAGATCAGGTTGTGATAACTTTAGTTTTATGTTTTTTGCTTAGGATTGCTTTGGCTATTTGGGCTCTTTTTTGTTTGGTTCCATATAAATTTTAGAATAGATTTTTTTTTTTCTAATTCTGTGAAGAATAACATTGGTAATTTGATCAGAATTGTGTTGAATCTACAGATTGCTTCAGGCAATATGGACATTTTAACAATACCATTTCTTCCAATCCATGAGGATGTAATGTTTTTCCATTTGATTGTGTTCAATGATTTCTTTCAGCAGTGTTTTGCAGTTCTTGTTGTAGAGATTTTTTTTTTTTTAACCTCTTTGGTAAGCTGTATCCTAGGTATTTTATTTTTTGTGGCTATTGTAAATGAGATTGCATTCTTGATTTGAATCTCAGTTTAAATGTTATTGGTGTATAGAAATGCTACTGACTTTTATACATTGATTTTGTATCCTGAGACTTTGCTGAAGTAGTTTATCAGGTCTAGGATTCTTTTGGCAGAATCTTTAGGGTTTTCTAGGTATAGAATCATATCATTGGCTAAGAAAGAGAAGTTGACTTTCTCTTTTTCTATTTGGGTGCCTTTTCTTTCTTTCTCTCGACTGATTGCTCTGGTAAGGACTTCCAGTACTGTAACAAATAAGAATGATGAGAATAGACATCTTTATATTGTTCCAGTTCCTAAGGGGAACTTTTGCCCATTCAGTATGATATTTGTGGGTTTGTGAAAGATGGCTCTTATTATTTTAAGGTATGTTTTTTCAATGCCTGCCTTGTTAAGAGTTTTTATCTTGATAGAATGTTGCATTTTATTGAATTTTTTTCTGCATCTATTGAGATGATCATATGGTTTTCATTTTTAATTCTGTTTATGTGGTTAATCATATTTAATGATTTTGAATCAACCTTGCATTTCAGGAATAAGGCCCACTTGATTCTGGTTATTTATCCTTTTGATATTGCTGGTACCTTCAGTTGGCTAGAATCATGTTGCAGATTTTTGCTTGTATGTTTATCAGGAATACTGGCCTGTAGTTTTGTTTTTTTCACAGTGCCTTTGCCAGCTTTTAGTATAAGGATAGTACTGGCTTCACAGAAAGAGAGAGGAATCCTTCCTCCTCTAATTTTTGGAATAGTTTCAGTAAAATTGCTACTGAAATTTTTGTACACCTGTTAGAATTTGGCTGTGAATCCATCTGCTCTGGAACTTTTTTGGTTCATAGGGTTTTTAAATTATAATTATTATAAATATTTAATTTATAAATTATATATTATAAACATATTATAATTTATTATAAATATTATAATTATTACTGACACAATTTTGGAATTTGTTTTTTGTCTGTTTATGGTGTCTGTATCTTCCTGGTTCAATCTTGGGAAGCTGTGTGTTTCTAGGAGTTCATTTCCTATAGATTTTCTGATTTGCACATATAGAGATATTCATAGTAGTTTCAGAGGATCTTTTGAACTTCTGTGTGATCAGTTGTAATGTCATCTTTGTCATTTCTGATTGTGCTTATCTGAATATTTTCTTTTTTTCTTTGTTATTCTAGCTAGTGGTCTATCAATCTTGTTTATCCCTTCAAAGGGGCAACTTTTCATTTCATTGATTCTTTATATAGTTTTTTTTCTCAATTGCATTTAATTATGTTCTGATTTTTATTATTTCTTTTCTTCTACTAGCATTGAGTTTAGTTTGCTCTAGTTCCTATAGTTATAATATTAAGTAGTTAATTTGAGATCTTTCTGTCTTCTTAATATAGGTGTTTAGTGCTATAAACTTTTCTCTTAACACTGCTTTTGCCATATCTCATAGGTTTTGGTGTATTGTGTCGCTATTTTCATTTGTTTCTTTGAAGAATTTTTTTGATTTCTGCCTTAATATCATTGTTTAGGTTCCATGTGTTTGTGTGCTTTTTAAAGTTCCTCTTGGTATTGATTTCGAATTGTAGTCCACTGTAGTCAAGGAGATGCTAGGTATAATTTGGTTCCTTTTGAAATTGAGCTTTGTTATGACTCAGCATGTGGTTACTTAGAATATGTTCTGTGTGCAGATGAGAATGTATATTCTGTGGTTCTTGGGTGAAGTATTCTGTAGATTTCTATTACGTCCAATTGTTCAAGTGTCAAATTTTAGTCCAGAATTTCTTTGCTAGTTTTCTGCTTTGGTAATCTAACGCTGTCAGTGGGGTGTTGAAACCCCCCACTATTATTATGTCACTGTCTAAGTGTTTTCTTAGGTCCAGTAGTAATTTTTTTTTTTTTTTTTTTGAGACAGAGTCTCACTCTCTCACCAGGCTGGAGTGCAGTGGCTCAATCTTGGCTCACTGCAACCCCTGCCTCCCAGGTTCAAGCAATTCTCCTGCCTCAGCCTCCCAAGTAGCTGAGACTACAGGCGTGCACCATCACCCCCAGCTAATTTTTGTATTTTTAGTAGAGACGGGGTTTCACCCTGTTGGCCAGGATGGTCTTGATCTCTTGGCCTTGTGATCTGCCCACCTTGACCTCCCAAAGTGCTGGGATTACAGGTGTGAGCCACTGCGCCCCGTCCAGTAGTAATTGTTTTATAAATCTGAGTCCTCCAGTATCAGGTGTATATATATTTAAGACAGGTAAGTCCTTTTTGAATTGATCCCTTTATCATTAGATTATGCTCTTCTTTGTGCTTTTTTTAAACTGTTGTTTCTTTGAAGTCTTTTATCTGATTAATAAAACAACAGTCCCTATTCTTGTTTACCTTTTATGAAATAGATCCTTCTCCATTCCTTTACTTTGAGCCTATGGGTGTCATTATGTGTGAGATAGAACTTCTGAAGACAGAAGAAGTTAGGTCTTCTTATTTTAATCCAATTTGCTACTTTATGTCTTTTGAGTGGAATGTTTAGGATACTTATCTTCAATGTTAATATTGTTATTTGAGTTGTTATTCCTGTTGTGGTGTTCTTCATTAGTTGCTATGTAGTCTCAATTGTATAGTTGCTTTATAGGGTCTGTGGGCTACATACTTAGGTGTGTTTTTCTGGTGGCATGTATCATTCTTTTGAGTCCATGTTTAAGACTCCCTTAAGCATCTCTTGTACAGCTAGCATGGTGGTGACAAGTTCTCTTATAGATTGCTTATCTGGAAAACCTATTTCTTCGTTGTTTATAAGGCTTAGTTTGGTGGGCTATGAAATTCTTGGCTGAAATTACTTTTCTTTAAGAATCCAAAAAGTAGGCACCCAGTTTCTTCCAGAAGGTATGGTTTCTACTGAAAAGTCCACTGTTAGTCTGACGGGATTCCCTTTATAGATTACATGGCACATTTGTCTAGTTACATTTAAGATTTTTTTCTTTTGCATTGACCTTGGAAAGTCTGGTGACTATGTGCCTTGGGGATAGTCATCTAGTATAGTATATTGTAGGAGTTCTCTGGATTTCATGTATCTATATGTCACCTCTATAGAGAGAATGGGGAAATTATCCTGGATTATATCCTCAAATATGTTTTCAAAATTGCCTGCTTTCTCTTCTCTGTCAGGAATGCCAATTAGCCACATATTAGGTTACTTTACATAATTGCATATTCCTTAGCTTTAGAATGGATAGCATTAAAAAGTCAAAAAAATAACAGATGCTGGTGAGGTTGTAGACAAAAGGGGACACTTATGCACTGCTGGTGGAAATGCAAATTAACTCAGCCACTGTGGAAAACACTTTAGCGATTTATAAAAGAACTTAAAATAGAACTACCATTTGACCCAGCAATACCATTATTGGATATACACTTAAAGGAATATAAATCCCGATACCAGAAAGACACATGCACGTGTATGTTAAACACAGCACTATTCACAATATCAAAGATATGGAATCAACCAAGATTCCCATCAAAGTTAGACTGGATAAAGAAAAAGAGGTACATATATACCATAGAATAACACACAACCATAAAAAAAAACAAGATAATATCCTTTGCAGCAATATAAATGGAGCTGGAGGTCATTGTCCTAAGCAATCTAATATAGGAACAGAAAACCAAACACCAAATATTGTCACTTATATGTTGGAGCTAAACAATGAGTACACATGGACACAAAGAAAGGAACAATAGACACTGGGGCGTACTTGAGTTTGGAGGGTGAGAGGAGTATGAAAAACTACCTATGACTGAAACACCAAAAGCAATGGCAACAAAAGCTAAAATAGACAAATGGGATCTAATTAATCTAAAGAGCTTCTGCACAGCAAAAGAAACTACCATCAGCATGAACAGGCAACCTACAGAATGGGAGAAAATTTTTACAATCTACCCATCTGACAAAGGGCTAATATCCAGAATCTACAAAGAACTTAAACAAATTTACAAGAAAAAATCAAACAAGCCCATCAAAAAGTGGGCAAAGGATATGAACAGACACTTCTCAAAAGAAGACATTTATGCAGCCAACAGACACATGAAAAAATGCTCATCATCACTGGCCATCAGAGAAATGCAAATCAAAATCATAATGAGATACCATCTCACACCAGTTAGAGTGGTGATCATGAAAAAGTCAGGAAACAACAGGTGCTGGAGAGGATGTGGAGAAGTAGGAACACTTTTACACTGTTGGTGGGACTGTAAACTAGTTCAACCATTGTGGAAGACAGTGTGGTGATTCCTCAAGGATCTAGAACTAGAAATACCATTTGACCCAGCCATCCCATTACTGGGTATATACCCTGGGTATATACCCTGGGTATGTACCAAAGGGTTTATAAACCTTTGGATTTATAAACCCAAAGGATTATAAATCATGCTGCTATAAAGACACATGCACATGTATGTTTATTGCGGCACTATTTACAATAGCAAAGACTTGGAACCAGCCCAAATGTCCATCAATGATAGACTGGATTAAGAAAATGTGGCACATATACACCATGGAATACTACGCAGCCATAAAAAATGATGAGTTCACCTCCTTTGCAGGGACATGGATGAAGTTGGAAACCATCATTCTGAGCAAATTATCACAAGGACAGAAAACCAAACACCGCATGTTTTCACTCATAGGTGGGAACTGAACAATGAGAACACTTGGACACAGGGTAGGGAACATCACACACTGGGGCCTGTCATGGGGTGTGGGGAGGGGGATGGGGGGAGGGGGGTGGGGGGAGGGATAGTATTAGAAGATATACCTAATGTAAATGACGAGTTAACGGGTGCAGCACACCAACACGGCACATGTATACATATGTAACAAACCTGCACGTTGTGCACTTGTACCCTAGAACTTAAAGTATAATTTAAAAAAAAAAAGAAAAACTACCTATTGGGTACTATGCTTACTACCTTGGTGATGAAATAATCTGTACACCAAACCAGCATAACATGCAATTTACTTGTGTAACAATCCTGCACATGTACCCCTGAGCCTAGAGTAAAAGTTATTTTTTATAAATGAAAGTGCTTATTCATATTCTACTTTTTAAGGAGTTTGTGAAGAATTAGATTTAATTCTTTAAATGTTCTATAAAATTTACTAGTGAAGGTATCTCAGCTTATTCTTTGCTTTGTGACAAGTCATTTAAAAACATCAATCAGTCTCTTTATTTGTTATAAGTCTACATAGAATCTTTATTTCTTCTCCAGTCATTTTCAGTTAATTTATATTTCCAGGAGTTTATCTATTTTATCTAAGTTTTTTGCTAATTTGGCATACAAATGTTGATAATATTTTTTTAATTTTTTTTATTTTTCATAGGTTATTGGGGTACAGGTAGTATTTGAGTACGTTAGTAAGTTCTTTACTGGTGATTTTGAGATTTTGGTGCACCCATCACCTGAGCAGTATGCACTGCACCCTATTTGTAGTCTTTTATCCCTCGTCCCCCTCCCACCCTTCCTCTTAAGTCCCCAAAGTTCATTGTATCATTCTTATGCCTTTGTGTCCTCATAGCTTATCTCCCACATATCGAGAAAATGGGATGTGTTTCCATTTGTTTGTGTCGTCTATGATTTCTTTTAGCAGTATTTTGTAGTTTTCCTTGTAGAGGTCTTTCACTTCCTTGGTTAGGTATCTTCCTAAGTATTTTATTTTATTTTTTGCAGCTATTGTAAAAGAGGTTGAGTTCTTGATTTGATTTCCCACTTGATCACTGTTGGTGTATAGAAGTGCTTGATATAATTTTAATTTTCTTAAGTATATTGAGGCTCGTTTTGTGGCCTATCTTGAAGAAAGTTCCATACGCTGTTGAATAGAATGTGTATTATTTCTTTATAGTCCTTTTTAGTTATTTAATGTTGAAGTTTTTTCCTCCCGTTCTTGTCTCTCTTCTTTCTTTTGGCTCTCTTCTTCTCTGATGTATATATTGTGCTTAATGGTGTTCCACATTTTTCTTAGGCTTTACTCATTGTTTAAATTATTCTTTCTCTTTGCTTAGATTGAATAATATCTTTTAATATATCTTCAAGCTCCTGATTCTTTTCTTCTGCCATCTCAAATTTACTGTTGATCATTTTAGCAATTTTTTTTTTCGTTTTGAGTATGGAGTTTTCAACTCCAGAATTTCTAATTTCCACTTGGCACTTATTTAATAATTTCTTTCTCAATCTTTATATTCTATATTTGATGGGAAATTTTTGTCATATCTTCCTTTATTTTCTTTAGGTTTTTTTTAATTATCTGAATATATTTGTAATATCTCCTAAGTTTTCGTTTATAAGTTAATCATGAGGGCCCCCTCAAAAACAGTTTGTATTGTCTACATGTTTCTTCTGTCACATTTCCCTGTTTCTTTGCATGTCTTATAAGTTGTGTTGAAAACTGGACACTTTTGACAATATGTTAATAAATTTGATAAATTAAAAACAATTTATCAAAACTGAATGTAATATAGAAAAATTGAATTACTCTGTATTTATTAAAGGAAGTAAGTTCAAAATTGAAAAACTTTGCACAGATTTTAACCTAAACTCATGGAGTAATTTGCACTAGTTTTGTCTTTCTGTAATGAACAACTAGATAATTTGAAAAATATAATAGTTATTTTCACACACATTCCATCAGCCAATAGATGACTGTGATCATGAAATGAAATAATCAACCAAGGTAAGCTTGCATCACTGTAGATCCTATAATCCTGGAGACATTGACAAGATAATAAGAGAATGTTAGTTTTACTATTTATCAAAATTAAATTTTAAAACTCAGATGAGGTCAGGCATGGTGGCTCACGCATGTAATCCCAGCACTTTGGGAGGCCGAGGCGGGTGGATCACGAGGTCAGTAGATCGAGACCATCCTGGCTAACACGGTGAAACCCCGTCTCTACTAAAAATACCGAAAAAAAAAAAAAAAAATTAGCCGGGCATCGTGGCGGGCGCCTGTAGTCCCAGCTACTTGGGAGTCTGAGGCAGGAGAATGGTGCGAACCCAGGAGGCGGAGCTTGCAGTGAGCTGAGATCTGGCCATTGCACTCCAGCCTGGGCAACAGAGTGAGACTCAGTCTCAAAAAAATAAAACAACTCAGATGAAATGTAAATATTTCTTGTAAGACACACATAATAACGTATTTAATGGTAAAAGACTTAAGTGCTAACTTCTAAAATCAGAAAAATGTAGTAATATTTGCTCCCATTTATTTTATTCAATATTGTACTGAAATGCCTAGTCAGTGCAAGAAGTCATGTAATAAAAGGCACATAGTTTGGAAATGAAGAAGTAAAACTCCTTTTATTTGCAATGACATGTTTGTCTACACAGCTGATTCTAACATTTATATAGAAATATACAGAGCCTAGAATAACCAAAATAATTTAAAAATAGAAGAACAAAGTTAGAGGTTTTACAGTACTTGATTTCAAGACATACTGTAATGATACAGAATTAAATAAGGTGTCACCTTGGCATGTTGGCATAAGACATATAGATCAATGTAACAGAATAGAATTCAGAAACACACACACGTGTGATAAACTGATTTTAACATGGATAACAACGTAATTCAATGTGAGAAGATCATGTTTTCCACAAATTGTGTTAGAACACCTGAGTATTCCTATGGAAAAAGAAATGCATTTCAGTATCTACTTCATATCATATGAAAAATTAACCAAAAATGAATCATAGACCTAAATGAAAATCTAAAACTATAAAAATCTAGACAAAAACATGGAAGAAATTCTTTGTGAACTCGGAGTCAACAGCAATTTCCTAGGACAAAAAAAGCTCACCCACAAACTGATAACAAAATCAACAAATTGGACTTCATTAAAAAGTCTTCTTCAAAGAACACATTAAGAAATGAAGAGTAATCCAAATAATGACAGAATATATTTAAACTTATTTCTGACAAAGTGCCTATCAAAATATATAAAACCTCTTATAACTCATGAATTAGGTAACAGCCAAACAAAAATGGTCAAAAGATGTTCAATATTTTTAGTCATCAGCTCGATGCATAATAAAACATGTTACATCCATTTGAAAGATAAAACTGAAATGATGATGATACCAATTGTTCATGCGAATGTGGAGCAAATGGAATCCTCATACATTTCTGATGGAAATGCTAAATGGTATGGCTACTTTGGGAACTAGTTTCCCAATGTATTATGAAGGTACAAATACATTTATCACACAATCCTACCAAGAGATATAAAAGCAGGTGACTGCATGGTAACTTCTATGTAATTACAGCAATTTGTTCATAAGACCCACAAACTAGAACAGTACATATGCCTATCAACAGGTAAATGAATAAACCAACTGTGGTAATTCATTCAAAGGAATACAGCACAGTATTAAAAAGGAATAACCTTATACATATATAATATATATAATATCTTACATATTAATAGATAATATAGCTTATATATTGTATTTTATATATAACATAAACATAATGAATCTCAGAAATCATTATGTGTAATGAAATAAGGCAAAAACAATAAAGAGCATACCCTATGATTCTATTTACATAAAGTTCCAGAATAGGTAAAAGTAATGTATAATTATGGAAAGAAAGATCGGCAGTAGATTAATCAAGGAATAAGGTTGTGTTTACAAGAAGTTATGTATTTGTCATAATTGATCTCTACTCACACATTTTACTTGATTATGTTTTATTGTAAATAAATTATACTGGAACCAAGTAGGTTCTGAATATAATACATGTCATGAACAAAATGCATTCAGATGGAACAAAAGAACCTAATAAGAAGTAGCTCTTTCTCCAGCCTAGAGGCAAACATTATGAACAGTTTGGGGTGTATTTTCCCAGAAATATATGCATATGGATACATTTATAAGTGCACAATTGAATTTTTAAATATCAAAGGCATATTTTATACCAAAAAGAGCATTTATAGATTTCTATAGCAATGTTAATAGAATTGTAAATTTTAAAATTATATTTTCTTTCACTATTTGAAATAGAGGGCAATGACAATGTTGTATTAAGTTTTGTTTCCTCACTGCCTTCACTTTTTAGTCAATTATAGTGCTTTGAATATAATAATAGGTCAAGGCATAATTGTTAACTGTATAGCATGTTAGTCTCTTCAATCTCTCCATCAGGGGGATAGAAGAATATATACTTTAGAAAAGGAGTGCATGAAATGTAGTAATCAGAGCTTGAGAGAGAGCTATTTTAGAAGTTTATGTAGCAAATCAAGATTTTAAAAAACACTCTGCTTTACCAAAATTTTTACATCCTAGCCATTTGATTTCTAAGGGTTATTTTTCCTTTGAAAATTAGTAAGCAAAGTAAAGCACCATAATTTTTACTACTGATTTATATAACCCTGAAAATTTGATCTATTTATGGAAGATTAAAGATAGACCAACAAAATTTTGGTAAATGGTAAGTAATGAGCAGATTTCATCTTATCTGCCCCAAAATGATTTTTTAGCACTAAATCTTCTTGTTATATTCACATGCATATTTAACTGAAGAAAACATGTTTAATGATGAATATGCATTAAAGAGTAGAATCGGTTGTATATGCAAAGAAAATGCTTCGAATGAATAGGAGAGCAGATCACTCACATTTTATAAATATGGGAAGCCTGAGCTATTTTATCTAATGATTTGTTAAATTGCAAAAGTACATTTTTTGTTAAGTGTTCCAAGAATGTTCTTCTTATTTTTCTTATGTATTCATTTTAATTAACAACAAATTGTGCACATCCCTTAGGATTGATGTAACTTTATAATATAAGATTATATTTACCTAGAAC
The DNA here is from genome assembly GCF_000001405.40 of Homo sapiens. Classification (NCBI taxonomy): domain Eukaryota; kingdom Metazoa; phylum Chordata; class Mammalia; order Primates; family Hominidae; genus Homo; species Homo sapiens. Next base: position 48,538,995 of record NC_000014.9, on the reverse strand, counting down.
TGGTAAAGTAAATGAAACCTGATTACACATCTGATAAATAGGAAAAAATCTCAATTTTTTCCCTCACTTATTTTATCAGACACAACTGAGAAAGTTTCATACAATTTCTTTATTTTTTAATGAGATTCACAGAGGGCTAATTTAAGATGTGGATTCATGAAATAATTTTTAGGGTCACAAAATGGATCGTTAATAGAGCCAGAAGTAGACACATATTTCCAGTCTATCAAAATTATCTAAATTATGTAATAACTTGATTCCAATATTATATTGTCTCCATTTGTATTAATCTACAGTTGGGATTTTGAAAGCATCAAGACATTGAGTAACATTGCCTTATGAAAAAAAGCAAATTCACTTTACATAAAAAGTAATGTCTAAATTAGGCATTCACTGTTGGACATCTTCAAACTTTATTTTGGTACATATTACTGGTGAAACTTTGAATGGATTGGTGAACTTTCTGTGTTTTGAACAGAAGCAGACACTGACTGCTGAAAGAACAAAGTATGGCTTACATGACAAGAATGAGACCTATTGGGGAGGATTGGGAATTGTGGAGAAAAAGTAGGTTGTGGAGCACATATGAGGAATTAATCATAGAATAGAATACTGGATAGAGGTCAGTCTTCCAGCAGAATCAGAACACAGCCTATAAATCTCAATATGAATCTCAGTGGGTACAACATCCAATATTTTGTATTCCATATCCACCCAGATTTTTCATTTTTTGCATCAAAAGGTTGAGAAATAAAATGGAAATTTGTGTTTTTATCTGAAATGTTTTTATCAATATCATGTTTGAAATTATGATGGAAGTATTTTATGGGATGAAATTACATTAAGAACACTTAATTTTAAGTAAAGTTTCCTTTAAATCTAATCTGCAATAGATACTATATTCACTTTCTAATTAATAATAAAGTACAGACTCCCATATTACTCTGTCATAGATACCATGATTAGAAATCACTTTAATTCTTATAATTTTTATTAGCATTTTCATCCACAATTGCAATAATCTTGTATTTAAATATTATGATATTTTTACTACATACAAGCACTCCTTTCTCAATATGGCAAAAAGAGTTATTTCACTGTACATTTAAAAATATTGAACTTGATAAACAATAAAGTTGCCATTTAAAAGAATTCATCTCAAAATTAGGGAGAAATAAAAGAAAATGATGACTGAACAAAATATATTCTCAAAATGATTGCCACTCCTGCTTCATGTTAGAATTCATTGGAAGATACATCAATATTATAAACAGTATATTTTCTTTTTCTAAGTAATAGCACAAAACAACTGGACTTGCTCTTTTCAACAATGACTGTTTTAGGTTTGAAACTGATCAGAACTGTACTTTTCTCAGGAATAAGCCTACACACTAGAAAACATAAATTAATGATCCTCCTGTGAAAAGCCCTGAGGATGCCGTATTGCTCTCTTGGCCCTTCTCTGGCATGACACCTAATGGTCTCTTGCTATCTATTGTTTGCACCTTGAAGAAATAAGATTATTTATGCCAGCCTTGCAAATAAGTACACAGCAATTTATCAGCACAGAATTGTTTTGTCAGCCTGTCTTATCCCATAGTTTTGCCAGCTAATGAACAATAACTTATTTTACCTCAGTAACCTAGCATAAATCACTGGTTGTTCTCAACCAATGTCAGTAGCAGTATCATCAAAGTTGATAGCATATAGTCTAAAAAGGAAAGTCTAAGTAAAGTAGATTAATATTAGCATTTATTTTTTAAAATAGTATAGGCATTACGCCCATAAAGTTCTGTGCCATTTTGGTCTGTATAATATAAAATACTCTTTTACATGCAATTTAATCTGGCATATTGATCCTATGAATTTTTTTCTCTTCTCCTTCCCCAAACTTCACTAAAACTATGTTATTTTTTTTAAAGCAACTTCTGGTTTCCAATCCAACATGTAAGAGAGAAGCTGAAAGTTACCATTGCATCCTAACAAAAAGAATAAACTGAAAACTCAACAACTTTTCTTAGATTTTTCAGAGACATGTGGTCACAGGGCAAAACACTGCTCCCTGCCAAATTAGAGAGACCTATGAATAAATAGCCACAGCTTGCTGGAGCAGAAACCCATGAACACAAACATCTGCAGGAACCAGCGCTGAGATAGGGAAACCTGAACTATAACTTGGGAATTGCTGGAGGCTCAGAGTGGGCGAGTCTGAGACATAAAAAATTAAGGGTGACCTAGTCATTAGGGTCCCACACTTTTGTAAGTTTTATCTCCAGAAGCTTGACTAAGTTCTTGTAATAAATACTGAAGAAAAATCCTCTTACGCTTTTGGCAGAGGGAGAAGAAAAGGAACCATTTGAAATAAACCAGAATATTCTGCTGTTTTCAGCAGGTCTCCCCTCAAGAGAAGCTATTTGACCAGAGCCTAACCAGCTGGGGCCTATCAGAGCCTTACTTGCATGGGGAAGGGAAATACCCAACTCCAGCGCCCTCTAGCCATCCATCCTAACTAAAGGATGGGGAGGCACTGAAAGCATGTGTGACGTTCACAGTCCAGAGGTACAGGCTCAGTAAAAGAATGAGGCCTATTCATAGAACCATAGAATGCTTCCCCTCCCTCCACACTTTACCAATACATTAATAAAGGCTCACTTAGAGCTGTTCCATTTGCCAAGGACATGCCTGTCTATCAGGTAAAAAATAGAAGACATATAAAATAGGCAAGACCAAAAGCCCCACAAAACCCCGCAAAACAAGAAACAAAACAAAACGAAAAAACCCCAAACTCTACAGTTTAAAGAGACAGAACACTCATCTGAACCAGACTCAGATATAGCAGGGATGTTGAAATTATCAGACCAGGAATTTAAAATAACTATGACTAAAATGCTAAGGGCTCTACTGAGTAAAATAAACAGCATGGAAGATCCGATGCACAATGTAAGCAGAAATCTGGAAATTATAAAAAAGAACCATAAAAACTGCTAGAGATTTAAAAAATACTGTAACAGAAATGAATGCCTTTTCTAGGTTTATTGGTAGACTGGATGAGGCTGAGGAGAGAAACTTTAAGCTTAAAAATATTGCAATAGAAACTGCCAATACTGAAAAGAGAAAAAAAGGCTGAAGAAAAGTCCGACCAGAATATCCAAGAACTATGGGGCAACTACAAAAGGTGTAACACACATGTAATGGAAATGCTAAAAGAAGAGGAGAAGAGAAGAAGAAATATTTCAATTAATGTCAGACATCAAACCACAGATTAGAGAACACTGAGCAGGATAAATACTAAAAATACTATACACCTAGGCATATCATTTTCAAACTACAGAAAATTAAAAATAAATTTTAAAAACCCTGAAAGAAACCAAGGAAAAACAAATCATCTTAACTATAGAGGAGCAAAGATAAGAAATACATCTCAGAAACTCTGCAAGCTAGCAAGAAGATAGTGGAATAAAAAATGTAAGGCATTGAAAGAAAAACTTCTCAATCTAGAATTCTGTACTCTGCAAAATTATCCTTTGAAGGAAACATAAACTTTCTCTGACAAACAAAAATTTAAGGAATTTATTGCCAGTAGACCTGCCTTGCAAGAAATGGTAAAAGAAGTTCTAAAAATGATAAATACCACAAACTCAGATCTACATAAAGAAAGGGAGAGCATAAGAGAAGGAGTAAGTAAAGGTAAAATCAAAACAGTTTTATTATTCTTAATTGATCTAACAGATAAATTTTTTTCAAAATAATAGAAATAATATATTAAATTAGTTTACATATATATGTATATATAAATAGCTGTTTATTCTCATATATAAGTGAAATGTATAACAGCAATGATAAAAGAAATAGGAAGAAAGGATTTTTTTTATTTTAAGGTACTTGTGTTGTCTTTGAAGTGATATAGTTTTATTTGAAAGTGGACTAAATTATCAATGCATATGGCAGACTGTAGGGCTACTATTTTTAAAAGTTAAAAAAATGGAAGCATGATTAATGTGCTATAAAAGAAAGAAAATGAAATTATATAAAATGTTCAATTGAAGCCACAAGAGGTAAGAAAAGTGTAGGAAAAAATAGTAAACAAGGAAAAGAGTAACAAATAGAAAACGCTAACAAATATAAGTGATATTGATTCAACTACATTACAATAATTACTTTAAATTTCAATAGTCTAAATACACCAATTAAAAGAGAGACACACTGTCAGAGTAGATCAAAAAATAACACCCAATTATGTGTTGCCTACAAGAAAGACTTACATAGATTCAAAGTATTGGATGGAGAGAGATGCCAGGCTAAAATAAATTAAAAGAAAGCAAGAGTAGCTATATTAATTTCAGACATCAGACTTCAGACAAAGGGCAGTTATCAGGGATAAAGTGGTACGTTACATGATGAGAAAGGGGTCAATTCTCCATGAAGTCGTAATAGTCCTTAACATGTGTATGTCTAACAATGGAGTGTTATTAGTACATTTGGGTTGCTATAACAAAAATACCACTGAATAAGAAGCTTATAAACAACAGAAATTTATTTCTTACAGTTCTGGAGACTAGGATGTTCAAGATCATGGCACCAGCAGATTTGGTGTTTGGGGAGGGCCTGTTTCCTGGCTCATAGACAGCTGTCTTCTCTCCATACTCTCACATGGTAGGAGGGACAAAGGATCTCTCTGGAGTTTTTTTAATGGGAATACTAATTTCACTCATGAGGCTTCCACCCTCAAGACCTAATCACATTACAAAGCCCAACTCCTTCTGCCATCACTGTTTTAGTCAGGGTTCTTCAGAGAGATAGAACCAACAAGAGATGATCAATCAATCAATTGATCGATCAATAGATGATAGATAGATGGATAGATAACGGTAATTATAGGGGAATTGGCTCACACTACTGTGAAGGCTAGGAGGTCCCATGATACGCTCTCTGTAAGCTAGAGAAGCATGAATTCTGGTAGTGTGGCTCGGTCCAAGTCCAAAGACCTCAGAACCAGGAAAGCCAATGGTATAACTCTTAGTCCAAGTCTAAAGGCCTGAGAACCTGGGGGACCACTGGTGCATCTCCCAATGTCAAAAAGCCAGAGAACCTGGATTTCTGATGTTCAAGGGTGGGGAAAAAGTATCTTGGCTCTAGAAGAGAGAAAGAGAGAATTTGCCTTTCAGTTGCCTTTTTATTCTATCCAGGCCCTCAGCCTATTGGATGGTGCCTGTCCACCTTGTGTGAAAGCAGATGTTCTCTACTCAGTCCACTGATTCAAATTTCAGTCTCTTTTCAGCAACACCCTCACAGACGTACCCAGAAATAATGCTTTACAAGCTATTTGGGTATCTCTTAATTCAGTCAAGTTGACACCTAAAATTTACCATCACAATCACATTGAGGATTAGGGTTCAACATATGAATTTGGAGGGACCAAAAGTATTGTCTATAGCAGTATATATAACTGAGATAAAAACTGCTTGAACTTCAAGGAGAAATAGATGACTCCACTGTCATAGTTGGGAACTTAAACACCCTTGAATCAGAATGGACAGATCCAAAATGCAGAACATCAGTAAGGACATAGTTAACTCAACACCACTGTCAGTCAACAGGATGTAATAAACTTCTATGTATGTATTTATTTATGAGACAGAGTCTCACTTTGTCACCCAGGCTGGCACAATCTCAGCTCACTGCAACCTCTGCCTCTCAGGTTCAAGTGATTCTCCTGCCTCATCCTCCCCAGTAGCTGGGTTTACAGGCATGCACCACCACAGCTGGCTAATTTTTGTATTTTTAGTAGAGATGGGGTTTCACCATGTTGGACAGGCTAGTCTTGAACTCCTGACCTCAAGTGATCCACCCGCCTCAGCCTCTCAAAGTGCTGGGAGTACAGGCGTGAGCCACCGCACCTGGCCAGGATGTAATAGACTTCTATAGACTACTTTATCCAACAACAGCACAATACACATTTTTCTCAAGCTCACATAGGATATTCACCAGGACAGACCCCATTCCGAGTCATAAAACACAACCTTAACCAGTGTAAAATATTAATAATCTTGCAATGCCTGCTTTAAGACCACAATCAAATTCTACTAGAAATGAATGATAGAAAGATAGTTGGAGAATCCCAAAGTACTTAGATATTAAATAATAAACTTGTAAATAACATATAGGTCAAAAATAACCTCAAGAGAAATTAAAATATACTTTGAACTAAATGAAAATAAAACTAAAAATTAAAATTTATGTAACACAGTGAAACCAGTGCTTAAAGGAGAATTTATGGCTTTGGATATATATGTTAAAAAAAGAAGAAATATCTAAATAACCTAAATTTTCACCTTAGGAAACTAGAAAGGGAAGACCAAATTAAATCCAAAGTAAGCGGAAAGAAAGAAATAATACAAATTTAGAACAGAAATCAATAAAATTTAAAACAAGAAATCAGTAGAGAAAATCAATAAAACCAAAAGCTGTTTCTTTGATAAAATCAATAAGCCGTAGCCAGGCTAAGTAAGAAAAACAGAGAGGACAAAAATTACTAATATCAGAAGTAAAAGAATGACATCAGTATAGATCCCATGAGCATTAAAGGATAAAAAAGAAATACTATGAACAACTGTATGCCTACAAATTTAATAACCTTGGTAAATGGACCAATTCTTTGAAAGACACAATCTGCCAAAACTCACACAAGAAGGCATAGATACTCTGAATAGGCCTATATCTATTAAGTAAATTGAATTAATAATAACTTTTCAAAACAGAAAGCACAAGGCCCAGATGGATTTACATGTGAATTCTGTCAAACATTTAGGATATTATACCAATTTTCAGCCATCTCTTTCAGAAGATAGAAGCATGCCAGTCATGGTGGCTTATGTCTGTAATCTTATAACTTTGGGAGGCTGAGACAGAAGAATTGCTTTAGCCCAGGAATTCAAGAGCAGTCCAGGAAACATAGCGAGGCCTCATGTCTAGCAATAATTAAAATATTAGCTGGTCATGAAGGGTGGCATGTGCCTGTAGTCCCAGTTACTCAGGAGGCTGGAGCAGGAGGATCCCTTCAGCACAGGGGGTAAAGGCTGCAGTGCACGCCAACCTGAGCAAGAGTGAGACCTTGTCTCTAAATTAAAACAAAAATAAAGAAAGAAGAAGAAGAAAAGAAGAAGGAAGAAGGAAGAAGAAGAGGAAGAAGAAGAAGAAGAAAAAGAGGAAGAGGAAGAGAAGAAGAAGAAGAAGAAAAGAAGAAGAAAAGAAGAAGAAGAAGAAGAAGAAGAAGAAGAAGAAGAAGAAGAAGAAGAAGAAGAAAAAGAAGAAAATAGAAGCAGAAGAAATACTTCCTAACCCATTCCCTGAGGCTAGCATTACCTTAATATCAAAACCATACAGAGACAAAATAAGAAAAGAAAACCACAATCTGATATCTCTCATGAACATAAATTCAAGAACCTCCAAAAAATGTTAGCAAATTAAATCCAATAGTATATAAATATACCACATGACCAAGTGGAATTTATTCCAGGTATGCATGACAGGTTCAACATTAAAATTAATGTAAACCATCATATCAACAGACTAAGAAGAAATATCACATGGATAATATTGATACATACAGGAAAAGCATTTGACAACATCAAACACACATTAATGATAAAAACTCTCCGTAGAGAGAAGAAATAGAGGAGAACTCCCTTACTCCATGAAGAATATCTTCAAAAAATGTACAACTAGCATCATACTTAATAGTGAGAAACTTGATGTTTTCCCAGTAAGATCAGGAGCAAAGCATGATGTCCCCTCTCACCACTTGTTTTCAACATTATACTGGAAGTCCTAGCTAATCCAATAAGGCAAGAAAATGAAATAAAAGGTATACAGGTTAGGAAGGAAGCAATAACTCTGTTTTTGTTCACAGATGACATGATTACACCGAAAATGAAAAAGAATTTACCAAATTAAAAAAAAACAGCTGGTACTAATACAACATCACAGCATTAAAGGTTGCAGGAAAAAGGTTAATAAAAAAAAAAGCCAGTAGCTTTACTATATATCAACAATGAACAAGTATAATTTGAAATGAAAAATGAAAGACACTTTATATTACAAGTCCCCAAAATGAAATGCTTGGATAAAAATCTAACAAAATGTGTGCAAGGAAAACTACAAAACTGTGATGAATGAAATAAAAAAAGAACTAAATAATGGAGCTATTTAATGTTCATAAATCAGAAGACTCAATATTGTCATGATGTCATTTCTTTTCAACTTGTTCTATATATTCAATGCAATCTTCATTCAAATTCCAGCAAATGATTACATGGCTATTGATAAACCATTTCTAAAGTTTATATATAAGGAGTCAAATGACCCAGAACAGCCAACATAATATTGAAAGAGAATGAAAACATGGGAAGACTTAATACTAAACTTCAAGACATACTGTAAAACTACTATAATTGAGGCAGTGAAAAAATGGCAAAAGTATACACAAATAAATTAGAGGAACAGAAGAGATGGTCCAGAAATAGACCACATAAATACAGTCAACAGATATTTGACAAGGAAGCAAATGTAGTACAATGGAAAAAGAGAGTCTTTTTAACAAATGGTACTCGAATGACTCGACATCGATATGCAAAAAATAATACAAACACAGACCTTATATCCTTCACAAAAATTAAAAGTTGATTGTAGACCTAAGTGTAAAATGCAAAACCATAAACCTTCTACAAGATAATATAGGAAAAAATTCTAGATGACCTTTTTGGATAACAACACTAAAGACATGCTTCATGAAAAAATTTATATGTTGGACTTCATTAAAATTATTATTTCCTGCTCTGCAGAAGGCATTGTTATAAGGATGAAAAAAGAGGCCATGGACTAGAAGAAACTATTTGCAAAACCAGCTGAAGGACTATCATCTAAAATATACAAAGACCTCTTAGAACTTAATAAGAACACAAACAACCCGATTTTTTAGAAAATCCTTAACAGAAATCTCACCAAAGAAGATACACAGATGGCAAATAGGCCTATGAAAAGATGTTCCACATTAAACGTCATCAGGAAAATGCTGATTTAAATGATGAGACATCACTACACACCTATTAGAATGGCCAAAATCCAGGACACTGACAACACCTAATGCTGGCAAGGATGAGAAGCAACAGGAACTCTCATTCGTTGCTGGTGGGAATGCAAAATGGTACAGCCAGTTTGGAAGACAATTTGGCGGTTTCTTACAAAACTTAATATCCTTTGACCATAAGTTCCTGCAGTCATGCTCCTCAGTATTTACCCAAAGGAGTCGAAAACATATGCCCATCTGAAAACCCACATATGGATGTTTATAGCAGCTTTATATGTAATTGACAAAAGTTGGAAGCAACCAAGATGTTCTTTGGTAGGTGAATAAATAAATAAACTGTGGTGCATCCAGGCAGTAGAATATTATTCATTGCTAAAAAGAAATGTGCTGTGAAGTTATGAAAACACATGGAAAAAATTTAAATGCGTATTTCTTAATGAAAGAAGCCAATCTGAAAAGGCTAAATACTGTATGATTTCCATTATGTGACATTTGGGAAAAGGCAACATTTTGGAGGCAGTGAAAAGAGAAAAGATCACTGGTTGGCTGCCAGGGGTTAGCAGGAAGGGAGGGATGAATAGGTGGAGCATAGATGATTTTCAAAACAATAAAGCTATTCTGTATGATACTATTGTGGTGGATGTGTGTCATTATACACTTGTTCCAAACCCATGAAATACACACCAAAAGCAGCCTCTAGTATAAACTATGAACTCTGGGTGGTAATAATGTGTGTCAATATGTGTGTCAATCATTGGCTGCCAGGGGTTAGCAGGTAGGGAGGGATGAATAGGTGGAGCATAGAGGATTTTCAAAACGATGAAGCTATTCTGTGTGATATTATTGTGGTGGATGCGTGCCATTATATGCTTGTTCCAAACCTATGAAATACACACCAAAAGCAGACTCTAGTATAAACTATGAACTCTGGGTGGTAATAATGCGTGTCAGTGTAGGGTCATCAATGGTAACATTTATACCTCTTTTGTGGGGGATGTTGAAAATGGGTGAGGCTATGCATGTGTGGGGACACTGGGTTTTGAGAGATGTTTGTACCTTGCTTTCATTTTGATGTGAACCCAAAAGTACTCTAAAAAATAAAGTGTATTAATAACAAGAAGGAAAAAAAAAGTCTTAGGCTAATAAGAGATCAGGGAACAGAAGAGATGATAACATACTAGAAATTATAGAGAGGATGAAAATATTTATAATGGCTTAGCAAACTACAGACCAGCTAAACATTAAGCAAGCTCTGGTAACTGTGTTGGGCGGGTGGAGAAAACATATATCAGGCTATTCTGGAACCTTATATCCAGGAAGGCTATAATGCCCACTTCTTGAAGTATATTACAGTGGTCACAAGAGAAAGATAGTTTGAATAATGTTAGAGTCCAATGTACATGTAGGTGTTAGACAACCATACATTCCTTCTCTCAAAATGATTATTTTCTAGAGATGTGAAACCATATAAATGGATTTGAGACAACAATCAGGGCTGAAGGGGGAGGTAAATCACAATTTAAAAGAATATCGTTATATAGTTATCTCCATAACAAACAATAAAACGATCACACTCTGGGTTTCTTATTATATTCCTATTCTTTTGCTGGATATGCAAGCAAAGAAATCAGGGTTTTTGTTTGCTCCACAGCCTGAGGGCAGCAAGGGCAGTTACCACTGCAGTGACAGTGGCAGAGAAATATCACTTGTCTCTGGGAATTCTACCTCAGAGAAATGCAGAGCCACTGTCAATTGAAGGGGTTAGGAGTTGGATAAGGCAGCTGCATTGGAGGCCCAGGTGATGAGTAGCAGGGGCAGGGACCCATGCTGAAAACGAGGCAGCTGCAGGTCTGCTGGAGGCCTGCAACAATTCTTGGAATCTTTGCTCCCTCCACAGCCTTAGGGGCGGGAGTGTAGCAGGCCTGTTGGTTACCTCTAGGAGCTTTCTCTCAGAGAAATGGAAAGCTGACACTAGCCAGCATGCTCAGGTGTGGGTGGGGTGGCTGAGCTAGGATCCCAGGCTAGTAGGCCTTGCCTGGCAAAACAATTGACAGATTCAATGCTATTCCTATCAAACTACTAACTACATTTTTCACAGAATTAGCAAAAGAGGAAAAAACAATTCTAAACCCATTTGGAACCAAAAAAGAGCCAAAATAACCAAAGCAATCCAAAGCTAAAAGAACAAAGCCAGAGACATCACATTACCAGACTTCAAGGTTATGCTACAAGGCTACAGTAACCAAATCTGCATGGTACTGTACAAAAACAGACACAAAGACCAATGTAACAGAATGGAAAACTCAGAAATAAAGCCAAATACCAGAACATCTTCTTCAACAAGGCAGACAAAAACAAGCAATGGGGAAAGGACTCCCTATTCAATAGATGGTTCTGGGATAACTGGCTATCCATATGCAGAAGATTAAAACCCGACTCCTTTTTTTCACCATATACAAAAATCAATTCAAGATGGAGTAAAGATTTAAATGTAAAACCCAAAACTATAAAAACTCTAAAAGAAAACCTATGAAATATCACTCTGGACATCAGCCCTGGCAAAGATGTCATGATGAAGACACCAAAAGCAATTGCAACAAAAACAGAAATTGGCAAATGTGACCTAATTAAACTAAAGAGCTTCTGCACAGCAAAGGAAATTACCAACAGAGTAAACAGCCTACAGGATGGGAGAAAATATTTGCAAGCTATTCATCCAACGAGGCTCTAATATCCAGAATCTACATGGAACTTAAACATATCAACAAGCAAAAAACAACTCCATTAAAAAATAGACAAAGGACATAAACAGACACTTCTCGAAAGAAGACATTAACGCAGCCAATAAGCTATGAAAAAATGCTCAACATCACTGATTATTAGAAAAATACATATGCCCACAATGAAATACCATCTCACACCAGTCAGAATGGCTATTATTAAAAAGTGAAAAAAATAAGATAGGGTGACAAGGTTGTGGGAAAAAGGGAATGCTTATTCACTGCTGGTGCAAATGTAAATGAGTTCAGTCATTGTGGAAAGCAGTTTTGAGATTTCTCCAAGAACTCAGAACTACCATTTGACCCAGCAACCCGTTACTGGGTATACACTCAAAGGAATATAAATGGCTCTACCATAAAGATACATGCATGCATATATTAATTGAAGCATTATTAACAATAGCAAGGACATAGAATCAACCAAGATGTCAATCAATGGTGGACTAGATAAAGAAAATGTGATATATATACATTGTGGAATACTATGCAGCCATAAAAAGAATGAAATCTTGTTCTTTGCAGCATCGTAGATGCAGCTGGAGGCCATTATTCTAGATGAATTAACAGAGGAACAGAAAACCAAATACCGTGTGCTCTGTCTCATAAGTGAGAGCTAAACACTGAGTCATTGAGTACACATGGACACAAAGAAGGGAACGATAAATACTGGAGCCGACCTGGGAGTAGAGGATTAGAGGAGGACGAAGATTGAAAAACTACCTAGTGGGTACTACACGCATGACCTCGGTACTAATGTACACCAAACCCCCATGACATGCAATTCACCTATGTGACAAACCTGCACATGTACCCCATGAACCTAAAATAAAAGTTGGAAAGCAAAAACAAAGTTACTTTCATTTGGGTATCTTCTTATTTGCAACCAAAGTATCCTGATGGATATAGAAAATTTATCAGTCATTTATAAGTTTTTTAGCCATTTGTAAGTCAGTACTTGACAAATCTGCTTCAATATATTTTGCTTCCATAGGTAATGAGAAATTTGAGAAAGGTACCAAGACTTGATTGAAGTCACACTGTTACTTCATCAAAGTAGATTTTTTCATTCAAGTGTTTTTTTTTTTCATTCAAATTTCTTTCTTACACTATTCCCTGGATCACCTCTGGAAGAATTATAAGAAGCAGAAAAAAAAATGGCAAAATCCAATGATCAGAAATAAAAAAGAAATGGTTTGGGTTTGGATAATCCACAAATTGCACAATACGTCTTGGAACAATTAAGTTGATTATCATTCAGAAATGGTTTAGCTTCAGATATTCCTCTCTGTCTGTGTATTCTGCTTATTTGCATATGCTTTCAATATAAATCAAACCCAAACTCTTTGGCAGAAATATGTTTACCCACTAGATTTTGTCATTTTACTAGGGACTCTGAAGCCTTTGCTGAATTCACAGAGTTTTAAAATAATTTATGCATTTCCCAGAGATTCCTGGAGCAGAGTGGACACTAGTGGAAACACTAGTATGCATATAGAAATATTGATGAATATAAAAAATTAACAGTTTGAATTTAAATGTTCAGATATGTAGCAATATGGACAATTAAAGTGCCTTAATTTTCCTACTTTCAGAAATTAAGTAACAATGGGAATGTGACACTCTCATAATTAATATACACTCTGCATTGTACTTTCAATTTAGACTGTCTGCATGCCATACAGATATGTGGCCTCTACTTTCAGATGTCAAATTTCACATTATTAACACCCTCCCCACTGAATCTTCTTTTCAAAGTGTAGTCTCCTGATACCTCTGTCCAGCAAATCTAGCTCTTGGGTCTGCTTTGCTTTGATTCATAAATGGGCAACACATTGTCTAGCATTCTCAAGATGTGAATTCTAGGTATGGCTTTAGTAGAGAATATGGGTCTTGAACTTACACAAACTTGTGCAGACTTGTTCAGATCACTTCACTAATGGCATTGGAGTTCCTCAGGGCTATCATAGGCCACACTCTCTTCTCACATTGTCTTTTCATTGATGATTAGATCAATTTCCCATAGCTTTAAAAACTTATTATAATTTGACAATTCTTGAATTATCACCAGGCCAGCCATCTCTTCTGAACTCCTTATCTGTATAGATACTTGCTTTTTGACATTTCCACTTGAATGCTCCATTGGCACCTCACATTTTTAATGTTGCAAAACTGAACTCTTATTTCCTTTTGTAATAACGGATTTTTGACATTTTTCATTCTCCTGGCTGTCCATGTCAGAAACATGAAAATTATCCAGATACCTCCCTTCTTCCCGTTTTCCACAGCTAATCAACTCACATCCTACCAAAGCTTTCTCCTGATGTTTTCTTATGCCACCTTTGTCTAAGTCACTATCATCTTTTCCTATGACTTATTGCAAATATAAATCTGACCACAGAAATGCCTTGAGAAAACTTAATGCTTCCAATTGCTCCTAAGATGACATTCAAAATGATTAATAAAATATACAGGCTGGGCATGGTGGCTCACGCCTGTAATCCCAGCACTTTGGGAGGCCTAGGTGGGTGGATCACCTGAGGTGAGCAGTTAGAGACCAGCCTGACCAATATGGTGAAACCCTGTCTCTTCTAAAAAATACAAAAATTAGCCGGGTGTGGTGGTGTGCTCCTGTAGTCCCAGCTACTCGGGAGGCTGAGACAGGAGAATTGCTTCAACCTAGGAGGCAGAGATTGCAGTGAGCCCAGATCACTCCACTGCACTCCAGCCTGAGCAACAGAGTGAGATTCCGTCTCAAAAACAAACAAACAAACAACAATATACATACAAAGCTCTGCATAATGGATTGTGTAACTTCTGTCACCAGTCACTCTAATTTTGTCCTATATTTTTGCCACACTGATTTGCATTTTTTCCTGCTTCTCTTAACATGGCATGTTTCTTACTTTCCACCCTCAGAGACTTCATGTGTGTTGTTCTCTCCTCCCAATTTCCTACTTTTTTCTCTACGTCTAATCACCATGCCTGACTTAATCCTACATAACAAGCAAGTTTCCACTGAAGTGTCATTTGCTTAGGAAGGTCTCATGTTTTGTCTAACTTACCAGCAAACTTGATTAGATTATCTTCTTTTATGGTATTTCCTAGGACACTAGACTTTTATTCATGATAAGATATTTAATAATATATATTATCTAGAGTTTTTTTTACAGAGTCAGCTTTTGAAAGAAAAATCTCTATAATCCAAATTACGTTTTGAAATGTCTTAGAAAGGTATAATATTGGAGGCCAGTATTTCATTTCCCTGTAAGTCCAAGTAGGTCGTTCCTCCAAGAATGATACAAATGACTGTTTCTTTAGATCTGCCTTCTATGAAGCATTTTGTGATTAAGTGATATATAAATAAAAAACAGTATCTTTAGACACTAGACATGCATTCCACATGACACAATGCCATGTTATTGAAGGTCCTCAGAATCTAAGAGAAGATCAGTTTCCCACAATTTACACTTTCTAATCCCTGCACACCAGACAGTATGTGATTGCCTAAACTATTTATGCATATGATTCAATTCTAAGGATGGGTTAATGAAAAACATGCCATATTTCATTTCTTCAGTGCTTGTGATTTCATGAAGAAACTCGCCTCAGACTTTGCATTTGATGTTGAGACTAACAATGCCACACACACCAAAAGTTGTGAAAGGTTTATCACTCACATAAGTGTTTCTGGAGGGAACAGTATGACTCCCAACTAGGTCTGAAAATGTCTTGAGAGAGAAAGAAAACCTGACAGGCTCGGGGTACTGATGGTGTTTAAGAGGTGGAGCTTGGGTGAGGCATCTAGTATGTGGCTTGAATGTCATGTGAGTGCCAAAGGGGAGGGCACACAGGCTTTCTTAGCTTGCCCAGATGCAAGGTAGAGAGAAAAGAGGAGTGAGACTTAAAAGCTGTACCAGTCAAACATAAGAAATGGAGCCACACTCTTTATTTAAATGATGAAGCTATTAATAAAAGGGTGAATAATAAAATGATTTTACATTTGGCCCTTTAGAATGTTTGCATTTACTTCTTTTCCTCCCTCCTCTTCCTCCTCAGCCCAGGTTTTTTGTTTGTTTGCCGTTTGCATGTTTGGTCCTATTAACCCAGGATACATGTTAAGCTAATTTTCAAACTTGGTATGTCCTGGGATCTGCAGGTAATGGGATTTCAAACCAAACAGCCACAGGAGGGCTAACCTTTGGCTGTAGACATGGTTCAATTTTTCCACCCAGCTGTCAAACAATTCTCCTCATTATCTTGTAGCTATTAGGCAAACGTGAACCTTTCACTGAAAATGTAGTCTTTTACTATGTCCTGGGTTTACATAGCGGTCTCAATTTAAACTCCCCACCTTACTTCTGTTTCTTGAGTTTCTTCTAAAACCCAAGGCTCTAGATTCTTAAAACTGGCAAGAACCATCAAGAAATCAGGGTGTCAGGACCTACCTACCCTTATTTTTCTTATAGCCTCTTTTTTTTTTTTTTATCCCTAGTCATTTAGATAATGTGTGTTTATTATTTAGAAAATTTTTCCAAGTTTGAATTCGTTTTCAGGACATTTATTTCACAATAATGTTAGAAATGAATATTAAAGCCTTTCACTTACATCCCATTCTCTACTTAAACCAAATAGGTACATTTTAGCAAAACCTTAATATTTGTTTTGCATATAAGAAGAAGTGTCAGATTCTGATAAAAACAGAAGTTGAATATTCCAACTCAGAGTGCTCATAGAGCATGGATATGTGCATATTTATATGAATACTTATGAGATATTAACTTTGTCCTGCAGTTTACATAATTTGCAAGACAATCGTTGGATTTTTTGCTTCACTGTAGGGTTATGAGGAATGACAACATACAATGTATAAAAAAGGAAGGTATATACAAATGTTGCATGTGTCACATTGTTTTTTCAAATGCTTCTGAACTTAGAATATATGTAATATTTTACTTTTTATTAATTTTTTGGACACTCATGTCTAAGGAAATGTTCTAAGTTTTGGGTGTGTAATGGTGAGAACTAAAGTTATACAACTTGTTTATAACATCGTGAATAAAAATTTAATTTATTAAATTAAAATTTCATGTACAATTGTACATTAAATTGTAGAAATTTGTATTTTGCATGCTTATTTTCATTCTGAGAAAAGTGCTGAGATTACAGGTGTGAGCCACCGTGCTGGCCCGAAAACTTCCAAATGATACTTTTTATAGAAAATCAAATATGGCTAAAATAAAATATATTAATTTTCATTTTAAAAATATTGATTTATCTATTTTTACAATGACAAAAATTATATACATTATTGTGTACAACATGTTACTTTGAAATATGTATGCATTGTGAAAAGGCTAAATCTAGCCAATTAATATATGCATTACTCACATATTTATGATTTTGTGGTGAGAACACTTAGAAATTTTTCTTAGTAATTAAAAAAAAACATTGTTATTCACCATAGTCACAATGTTTTGCAATAGACCTCTTGAACTTATTCCTCCTATCTAATTGAAATTTTGTATCCACTGAAAATTTTGTATTTTTGTATTCACTGAAATTTTGTATCCACATCACCCCAATACACCTCCTCTCCTCCAGTCCCTGGTAACCACCATTGTATTCTCTACTTGTGTGAGTTCAATTATTTCAGATTCCGTATGTAAGTGATAATTGTCTTCTGTGCTTGGCTTACTTCAGTGACAATGTTCTCCAGGTTCCTCCATGTTGTCACAAATGTCAGAATTTTCTTCTTTTTAAATGCTGAATAGTGTTTTATTTTGTGTATTTGCCACATTTTCTTTATTCATGCATCTATTGATGGGACATTTAGGTTGATTCCAAGTTTTAAGCACTGTGAATAATGCTGCAGTGAACACAGGAGTGCAGATTTTATTTCCTGTGGATATATGCCCCAAATCAGGATTGCTGCATCACATGGTAGTCCTATTTGTAATTTTTTGAGGAACTTCCGTACTGTTTTCCATAGGTGCTGTACCAACTTGCATTCCCATTAATAGTGAGCAGAGGTTCACCTTTTGTCACATACTGTCCAACATGTTATCAATTATTTTTTATTCAGTTGATAAGGAAAATGTTTTAAAATAAAGTCTCTATGCAGTTTCCATTAACATTCAATAAGCATTTTAATGCTTGAGAAAAATTTAATCACCCATTTATTAAAACTGTCATTTTGAAAAATTTAATTAACTGGTAATTCATAGAATCTATCTTAGAATGCACTCTCCTATGCATTTTTTCAACATAAAGCACATTTAGAATTTGCTTTCCTAAACTTGTAAATACATCGATATTTGATTGTGTAAAAGACAATTTGATATCATTGATCTGACCAATATTGCACATATAAAATCAGTTTGGAATTCATCAGTAGGAGGCTGAAAATAGTCAAGTCTAATGAGATGATACCTTACAAATGCTAGACTTAGATTTTCTTTTTTTTTTTGCCCTAGAAATGTTGATGTATAAGGTTTTAACTTATGTCTTCAAAAGTTTTTATAATTTGGGGACCAAAACACACAAAACCAACACTATCAATTTAATTATTAATTATATCCTATTACTTTATAGGACCAACTTCAATCAGTTAAGTGGTTCAATTTAATAGTTTTATTCTATTTCAGCCACCTCATAAATAATTTCATAGATTCCAAGGGTATAAATTTAACAAATGATAATAGGAAATTTCTTTTCAGTATTTTTAAGATATAGTAAATTATTGGAAAAATTGCATGGGCGTGTCATAACTGTTTCATTGTAGCATTCTAACCATACCAATTTCAATACTTTCAGAAATGCAAGTGAACTTAGTTTTGGTTGTAAATGGTAATTTTTTTTTTTAACCTACTGACATTTGTCTTTTACTATTTCAGAGTGAAACCAGAGCTTTGCTGGGCATATCACTATTGAGACTTAATTAAAGATTATATGGAACTTTATCCCTCCCTTGAACACTTGACATATTTGTTTGTGTTTAAGTAATTAAGTGCGATTTTGTGTTTTTTTTGACTTTTTATGCATTCTTTCATCCTTTTTAAAAATGTCTCCACATTTTACACTTTATGAGACATACAGTACTATTATATTTAATTCTCCTTAAGAGAATATTATTCAATTGTTTAATTCACAATGCAGAGAGTGAAACCATATAAGATGAATGGAGTAATAAAAATTAAATCTTTTTGTATATCCTAGATGTAAATCTAATTATAGGCAGTTTAGTTGTTCTCAAGCAGAATATTTGTAATATGGCTTAACACTAAAATGTATCTTAGTTCTCTACTGACTTTATATGTGAAAATCTGAATAACTTCATTAAAGTAGATTAAAAAGAATTTACCTTGAAAAACTATAAAATGAGGTGTCAATTGAGGCTTCTAAATTCAAAGGAAGGATTACTTGCAATTGCCCTCAAATTAGTGTAATCTTCCCATGCAGCCCACAACTGAAATGTTTTCCACCTGTATTTCTCTTAATTTTGTGTCAACTGTTTTTTCGAGATACTTGTGTTTACTAGCATGCTGAGCTGATGGAGCAGAAAAAACACATTTTCCATAAGCAGTCACAAAAAGATTAATTGGTACCAGCTTGTTAAGCAACACACTGTATTATTTAAATAAGCTTTCTGTGCCTTTTTCTTTTTCTAAGATTGGGCAGTATAATTCTCAATAAGACCTATACAGGAACTCAATCACGTAAGTTAGGAGAATCTGTAGCGCTAAGGCAGGGCTGACTCTCTCCTATGTCAGCTGTTAACTATTGAAATAATTTCCCATTGGTTGGTGCAAAATTCCTGTCCCAACCCCTCAAGGTCCTTTGTGCTACCTGCCACTATGACTACTTCCTGAAGATTCTGAGGACCTCTCTACAATCTAAGGGGAATTTCTGGTACAGCAAAAGCCATCCAGTACCCTTCTCTTGTTTCTGTTCTTATTGGTTGTTGCTTTTTCTCTGTAATGATTGTTAGATGTGTTGAATAGCATCCCTGGTTCTATGAGATACAGTCCTAATAGAAGACAAATTCTATGTCACTGTTGGTAAAATGACCCATTACCTGGTACAAAATATGCTTTAAAAATATAACAATGAGAGTCAACCAAAGTTTGAGTAAATAAACCCAGAGATACATTATTCGCACATTTAGATGTTAAACATTGATCAAAGTATCTGACATTGAGCCAAACAAAGAATGCATGTCTCCTTGCTTCTTCCCAAATGCAATATTGGGTCCATAGAGCAATTAAGATGGTGTGAAGTGCCTAGGGAGTTAATTAACTGAATTCTTTTCAAAAGTCTGACCCGTATGCTGGAGGGAATATGACCCACCACAGAAACCCAGGGAATTCTTCCACCTCCATACCTGCGCAATTAACTAGAAATTTTCATTCCTAATATCTTGATAATAGATTAAAAATTAATGATCATTATATGGAATTCTTTAGTTATCTCTCAGAGGTACATAAAGGCGGAGGCTACAAGTCAGGAGACACTTGATATTTTGAGACAATTAGAGTGAAATGGAAGGAACAATATAGTAGGATTTTGACTCTTCCAGTGACTACTTGTGGACCTTTGATGACAATTTCCTTGATCAAATGGGAATTCTAATACAACTTTAAAGAACTTTTATGGAGATTGAATATGAAACATATGTAAAACATCCAGGTTAGTGGGTGGCACACTTCGAGAACTCAAAAAGTGGAACTATTGATATTATGTATACTAATTAAGGCTAATAATCATTGTTAGTCTCCTTGTCATTCGAGTATTTTCATATTTTCTTCTGTTAATTATGACTGTAAAAATGTCAAGAGCAAAACAATACAAGAAAAGAGAAAATAGGAAAAATATCAAGAAAAGAGAAGATGAAGCACTGTTAGGGAGTAAAGGGACTGTTTATGAATGCTAAAGACAGTGGCATTCATATGAATTACCTGTTCGGGTAACTTCCTAACTTGTTCTATTAGTACTGTGCATACGTGGCAGGCAGTTCAGTCAATGGCTGTCCATTTCTTCTCGCCTCTCTCTCCTTCCTTTTGGTATTTATTCCCACTTCACCACCAGAAAATATTTAAAATATTACTTAGAATCTTTCTTATTCTAAAAAATTTTGGTAGAAACATACATAAGCCATAAAAACATGCCTATTGTGCCCCAAGTCTCAGCCATATGTTTTTCAACTTTTCCAATTCTTGGCTTGTTTCTCAAAAACCTTAGATGCAGGGGGAAAAGTGTCCCTGAAAACCTGAAGCAATTTCATTGTTTTAATAGCCAGAATTCCCTTTTGTCTTATATTCCACTCTAGTTTTCGCCAGGCCAAACTTGTCTTAGTAATGCAATTAAAATCAACCAATTCTGATTTGAAATATCTTCACAGGATAATTTAAAATATACAGTTGAATTTTGTTAATAGAAAGTAATAGTTTGTATGCTTATTATCCTGAGTTGTCAGATGATACATTTTTTAGAATGCTATCCATATTGGTGAGTGTTCTATGTGCATTTGGGAAGAATATGCCTTCTGCTTTTGTTTGATACGTGCCTTTATTAATGCATTTGAAAAATATTTTTATTTTTTTCTAAGAATTCTTCTTTTGTGTAAGAATTCTTAGCAGCAATGTTTGCTCAATTGTACTGATCATTTTTAGTTACAAAATATACCTTTTTAATAGGACTTAATGATATATCAAATTTAGTAGATTTAATTCACTGTCCTATACTGTAGATATAGAACCAACTTAATTGAAATCACTATTAGATGGCCTAGTTTATGTTTCTATTTAATTTATGTTCTTCTTCCCTGTTCTTGATTGTAATTTTTCTTGAACCCTTTTGTGTTCTAATGTTTAAGTATACAAGATATGCTACTTTCACAAAGTGAATTGGGTTCATTAAGTCTTCTATGGTTCAGAAAAATTTATATAAAATGCATATTAGCTATTTTATAAAAGTTGAAAATAACTCTCCTATAAAATTATTTGGTTTCAAAATGTTTTTGGAGGTAGTTACTTAGTCATTTACAACAAGCCACCCAGGATATTGGTATTCAATGAGAAAATTATGTTCATATAATTCTAACTATCTTATGCTTCAACTGGATTATCACCTTTATTGTATGGTTTACTGTAGCTACATTTCTTACATTTTTAATCTACTTGTCACTTTAAAAATATTCCAGTTATGTTCATTTACTGTTTTTGGTTTTTCAAGTAAAATTTCCAGGCTAGATAATATTTACTTATTATATTTCTTCATAAAACATATTTACACTTCTATTTTTATCAATTCTTAACCTTTTCTGGTTTTAATTCACTGGTATTTGCTTTTATCCTTTTCCTTATGTTGGTTTTGTTTCATTTTTTCTGCCTTTATAAACTGAATGCTTACATCAATATATTTTTTTTCTAACTTAATAAGAAGACATTTAAAGTTAAGTTTTAAATTTTTGGATAATTTTATGTATAACCTATAATATTCAACATCTAAGATTCAGAAGGAGCTATTTGCTATAGTGTTTGTGTACCTATCTTCAAAGGGAAGTTCATCTGACTTCTAAGTAATCATATTCTCTACTGTCCATAGCTAATTCTCTGAGGAGTAACCATTTCACCCAAGTGAGATAATATCTAGACTGACCAAAAATAAATGGAGCAATTATATATGTATATGTGTGTTTGTATATACATATATGTGTATATATATAATGTGTGCATCATATATACACATAATTATACATATAAACATGCTATATATGCACACATGTATAAACGTGTATGTGTGTATGAGTTTTTTGTGTGTGTATGTGTATACACTCACACTCTATAAATACATATTTACATACATATATACTACATCTATATATCCATATATGCTCATAATCATTTGTACACATACTTTTAGTATATTAATATTAATATTATACACACACAGATGGAAATAAGTCATATTCTCTATGTTGCTATTTTTTAAATTGCCTATAATTGAACTTTGTGTATCTTCTTTAACTCACTATATTTACAGATGGTAAGGAGTTGAGTTGGGGTTTAAAGATTGACACATGATTAGTCTTTTTGGGGTATCATAAGATTGTAGTGATTGTTGTTTATATGATAGCCACATTTCAGAGTTTGTATTTTAAGATCTATATTTATTTGTTTTTTCAAAATATTTTCATTTACAAATAAGGATTTAATATACTCACAGTGTACAACATGATGATTTGATGTATGTATACATTGTGTAATGATGACCACAGTCAAATCAACACATCCATCACCACCCATGCCGTCCATTAGATCTCCAGAACTTATTCATATTAAAACTGAAAGTTTGTATCCTTTGACCAACACATTCTCATCCCTGCCCCCTTAACATCTAGCCACTGGCTACTACCATTGTGTTCACTGTTTCTATGAATTCTACTTCTTAAGTTACATGATACAGTGTTTATCTTTTTTTGTATCTGGCTTATTTTTCTTAGCATAATGTCCTCCAGGTTCATCCATGTTGTCACCAATGGCAGGACTTCCCTGCTATGGCTAAATAATTCATATTATTTACCAATTGTGGTAGTATATACCACAATTTCTTTACACATTCATAAAATATTTAGGGATATATTTAATCTGGGAGTTGAAAGATCTGTATACTGAAAACTATAAAGCATTGATAAAAGAAATTTAAGAATAAATAAAAAGACCTCCCATGGATTGGAAGAATTAATATTGTTAAAATGCCCACACACAAAGCAATCTAGAGATTCAATGCAATTGTTATCAAAATTTCAATGACTTTTTTTCACAGAAATAGAAATAAATACAAAAATTTGTATAAAGACTTCAGATAGTCAAAGCAATTTTGAGAAAAAAGAACAAAGCTGGAGGCATCATACACCTTGATTTCAAACTATACAACAAGGCTATAGTAATCAAAATGGCATACTACTGACATAAAAACAGACACACAGACCAATGGAACAGAATAGAGAGCCCGGAAATAAAGCCACACATACACGGTTAACTAATCTTTGACAAAGATACCAAAATACACAATGGGTACAGAAAAATCTGTTTGATAAATGGTGTTGGGAAAACTGAATATCCACATGCAAAAGAATAAAATTGGACCCCAGTAGTATATACAAAAATTAAAATGAATGAAAGACTTAAATGTAAGGTCTGAAACTGTAAAACTCATAGAAGAAAGCATAGAGAAAAGCTCCATGTTTAACATTGATCTTGGCGGTGATTTTGTTTAACATGACAGCAAAAGCACAGACTAAAAATACAAAAATTAGCTGGGTATGGTGGCGGACGCCTGTAATCCCAGCTACTGGGAATTACACCTGTAATTCCCAGGCTGAGGGAAGAGAATTGCTTAAACCCAGGAGGCAGAGGTTGCAGTGAGCCAAGATTGTGCCATTGCACTCCAGCCTGGGCAACAACAGCGAAACTTCGTCTCAAAAAATAATAAATAAATAAATAAATAAATAAATAAATAAATAAATGGGATTATATCAAACCCAAATGCTTCTGCACAGCAAAGGAAATGATCAAAAAAATGCAAAGGCAAGCTTTGGAATAGCATAAAATATTTGCAAACCATATATTTGATAGAAGATTAACATGCAAGATATATCTCACACAACTCAATAGCAAGAAAACAAATAACCTGATTTTTAAAATGGACAAAAATGAAGAGACATACAAATGGACAACAAGTATATGAAAGGGTGCTCATGTCACTAATTATCAGAGAAATTCAAATCAAACTCACAATGAGATATCACCTCATACCTTTTTGTATGGCTATTATGAAAAAAGAGATGTGTTGATTAAGGTATCACATAAAGGGAATGCTTCTACACTGTTGGTGGGAATATAAATTGATATACTCATTATGAAAAACAGTGTTGGGGTTTCTCCAAAAAAATGGTAACATCATATTATCCAGCTTCTGGATATATATCCAAAGGAAATGAAATCGATATCTCGGAGAGATATTGGCACCCCCCATTGTCACTGCAGCATTATTCACAATAGCCAAGGTATGAAAACAGTCTACGTGTCCAGAGTTTATTTTTATAATCTATTTTTTGTTCAACACTTGTGATTTTTCAGGGCTATTTAAAATGAGTTTATACTCAGTAAAGTATGAATTATGACATATGTGATAATCATACTAAATATACTATTTCTTATTTTGGTCTTTGATATATTTTTGATATCTGTTATATACCAAGATCACTTTATAGTCTTCTACCAATATTGCACTTGTATCATTTTCTTCTGATATTTTTAGTTATTTCAGTTTTGTGTATTCTAATGTTACATTACCAACCAATACATATTCATGATTACTAATCTTCACTATGTACCCATCTAATTTACTAATGGAGAGCTACAGTCTTTTCCTCATTTTAAGATTTTTGCATTGCTTTATAAGTGTAAAGTTAATTTTGCTACTCTCAATATTTTATAAAGTATTTATGATTTTCTTTTTTAAACGTTAGACATGAAAACAGCAGTTTCTTGTTTAAACAGTCATTTTGTTTTAGGTTTACATAAACATTGTACACTCACTTAAAATAGTACCTAATTCACAAGTTTATAAGGATTGGAAAAATGTATATTGAATTCATAATTGTAAACTCAGTGCACATTAGGCATTCAACTAGCCATTATATAATTCATTAAATATTATTATGATCATTATCAACATACTTTATTCTTGCTAGTACTTTGGTTTATGTGACTGGCAACATACTCTATACATTTTATTATTTAAAAAACATCTTCTAGTGATTTATAATTTATTTTTCTTGTCTATATATCATTACCTATATCTTAAGCAGTATTTTTCTAAGTTTTAAAATTAATAATAATTTATATTTTCACTATACTTTAGGTGAAATTGGACATTCAACATGCTTTATCTATTATTAACTCACTTCCTTGTATTTGATAATATGTGAGAACTTTAAATCTACTATGATTTATATACTGAACAACTGAATTATACATATGATCCTTTTCATGCATAACATTTTGAAAAATGTGCATTGTATTTGAGCAACACACTTATTCAGCTGTAACTACATATTTAACTATTTTATTATTTTATTAGTCTCTGCCATGATAGAAAACATTTCCAATATTTCAGTGTCTTGCAACAGCAAACATTTATTTCTTGCTTGTGTTGTGTAATAGCTGTTTGGCTGTAGCTATGCTGAGTTGTCTTGGCTCAATTGCACTTAGCAAGGCTCACCTCCTTGTAACTTCTCAATCTAGAACCCAGGCAAAAGGAGTCGCCACTCTTAGGTACATGCTTTTCACATGATGAAGAGGAATAGGGCAGAGTGAAGCCATGCAAATGCATGTAAACTTTCTGCTTTGATTGTTTGTATGTCAGTCAAGTCATTTTTAAATTGGAAAATGAAGTCACATGGCCAAGCCAAAGTTCAATGGGAAAACACATTTCTCCTACAGGGAAGTATGGTCAGAGGGGAATAATAACTTTGAATAAATAATGTAATCAACCACAGCTGTCTAACATAAAACTAAAGTCTTCCGCTAGAACTTCCTCTATCTTTTAAAATTGTTCTTTCTGAAGTACATCTGAGACTTGCATTTTTAAGGAATGTATACTTGAGTAATATATTTTTGCACCCTTGTGCTTTTAGAATATCTTTTGGATATTTTTCTCCTGGGTAGGTGTGAATCTCTTGGAACACTGAAATTTTTCTCTTAAAATTTTTTTAGATGATAGTTCTTTGGATCAGGGAAGAAGGCTAAAAGTAGATGGAAATGGTAAAAAGCACAAGAGACATCTATATTTAATAGAGAGGAGGAAATGAAATTTTTGTAAAATATTAAAAAACTAACAGAATGAAAGTTGGTACAGCATAGGTAAATATTTTAGTAAATATTTCAAGAAGGGAATGGTAATAGAATCAAATGCTGCGGAGAGATCAAATAAGATGATTGGACAGAATCTATTAGAGTTAATGAGAAGGATACTATTGCTTTCTTGAGCGTTATATGGAAGATCTTATTCTTCAGTGCATAGATGAGTAAATGAGAAATAACTGGGACATAAACAAATGCAGACAGTCTTTCATTTGACTGTGAGAGAAAAATCAAGTCAAGGAGCAAGGGCACTAAAGGAGTTTCTTTTTAAATGTGGGAGCATGTTTAAATATAGTTGGAAAATTTAGGAGAGAAAAAATATATGATAGATTATAATTTTTGGAGCAATATGTTAAGGAGATAGTAGTAGGATTTTGGATCATGAAAAGACAAGGAAATACATCTTTTCCATTGTAACAGTGGAGAAGGAAGAAAAGATGGATGGGGATATAGACAGGCATACACAAGAGGTGTTCACAGAAATGAAGTCTTTATTGTTCAATAGAGCCAAATGCTTCTATGAAATGAGACATATTCACTTTACTGGTCTTTTGTGAAACATGTGAAAGGATATTTGAGGCAGGTGCTAAAGAATGCCAGCTAAAATAAACATCAATTTCTTGGCTTGAGAGTCCAGTTAGGTTTAGATACCACAACTGGTTGTTTTGTTTCATTTTGCTTTCCAATTTGTTCTGAGGTTTCTAGGTATTTTGGAGCAGGAGTGTACTTTCATCAAATTTAGATCATATTAAACACCATAGATATAAAAGACCTATTTTAGCACAAAGATGTCATTACTAATATTAAAGAAAATACAGCACCACATACTATATATCAAAATTTTGTAAAACTGGGGTATGTCTTATATAATGTTTTATGTGGCATCAAATATTGTTTGGACATTCTTTAGCCTTATTAATATTTTTCCTGGGTTGTTTCAGTCTTCCCTTTGTCATCATAGTTCCAACTCATTTTTCTTTTGACATGTTAACTTCAGTGTGGTGGCACGTAAAGTGAAGAGTTAATGTGCTATTTCAATCTTCCTCGTAAATGTTACATTTTATTTTAACATGCAATGTTTTTTAATACTCCCTTTAATGCTTTAGAAACTTTAGTCTTATTTTATCCATTTAAATTGCTTTTCTGTTTTTTTTTTTTCTTTTGGTGCATTTCTCTAATTTATCTTTTACCACCATATTCCTTTTTATACATAAAAAACTTAAAAATAGTGTTATTTTTATTGTAAACATAATATAAGCTTATTGCAGAAATTGAAATAATGCTGAAAAATATAAGATTAATAAAACAAAAAGCTTTGAATAGAGAAATAATTTTTGCTAACATTGTTAATATTGTGCCAGATAGATTTCCACAATTTTACATAGAGGGAATATACTTTTTATGTTAGATATAACTCAAAAGCATTACGTTCATTTTTAAATGCCAAAAATAGGGATCTACATTATCATTTTAATTAAAAACTCTTCTATTGCATGGATTCCAAATTTTTGAAAGCTTAAATAATGGAGAATGAGGTTGTTCTCAATATTGTACAATTATATTCACAAGATATGTTCACAATACTATTATTACTATTAGTATGAATTGTTTTACACATTTTTAAAAAATATAATTAGGCTGGGCATGATGCCTCACACCTGTAATCCCAACACTTTGGAAGGCCGAGGCAGGTGGATCACTTGAGGTCAGGAGTTTGAGACCAATCTGGCCAACATGGCAAAACCCCATCTCTACCAAAAATACAAAAAATTAGCTGGATGTGGTGGTGGGTGCCCATAATCCCAGCTAGTAGGGAGGCTGAGGCAGGATAATCGCTTGAACCCAGGAGGCAGAGTTTGCAGTGGGCCGAGATCGCACCATTGCCCTCCAGTCTGGGGACAGAGCAAGACTCCATCTCAAAAAAAAAAAAAAAAAAAAAAAAAAAAGTTAAGATAACATTCTTAGCACTATTATTGGGATTACCTTAAATTTATAGATTATTAGGTAGAATTACCTGATGTTGAGCTTTCCCATTGAAGACTTCTTTTGTATCTATCAGTAGTCTTTTCTTCATATTTACTTTTTCACATTTCTTCCTAAGTTTGTTACCAACTATTGAGGTCTTTCATGTTCCTGCTAGTGCCATTTGGGTGCTTTTATATGTAGCATCTTCTAATGTGTTTTTTCCCTGAATTTAAATAAGTAATCATTTCTGTAAACCAGTTTGTGCTCATTAATCTTACTGAATTCTCTTGTTATTTGTAACTTTTTTGGTTGATTCTCTCAGATTGTTCAGACATACAGTATTATCATGTGCAAATATTGGTAGTTCTACATTCCAATTTTTGTAACTTTTATCTCTATCTCTCATCTATGACAATGTTAGAAATGATTGTTGACTTGTTCTTTTCATGACTTCAGTGGAGAACTTTCTAGTGCTTTCCCATTAATCAAGATACTGACTTCATATTTAAGATACATATATTCTATCATATAAGCTTTAAAAAATACAGATTTTTGAGCTCACTTCATAATTGATAAATCAAAATCTTCAGGTTGTTATATAGTGATTTTTATTAATACCATAAATAATTTTTTAAACTAGGGCCAAAATGCATAATTTCAACTACTATATTGCTTATACAAATGCTTTGTCAGACTTCTCTCTCCTACCCTTACCCTTCAAGTCACTTTTATCTATAAATACAGTCTCATTTTCAGGTGAATTTCAATGCAAAATTTTAAACTCGGATCAATTTAATTCTTCCTTTCTTTCACTGATTATAACCTGACTCCCTCCCTCCTTTCTCCCGTTTCTCAAGGCTAATATGTGACCCTGAGACTCATAATTAGGAAGAGAGCATGATGAATTACCTAAGGTTTTCTTTTTATTTCACTTTTTATTCCTCTGCCCCACCTACACCACAAAGCCCTAGTGCTTGTGTAATAGGAATGTAGCATTATAGTAAAATAGAAAAAATCTCTCTTCCCTAGCTGGTACAGTGTAGTTCTTTCTTGGATAACACTAAACTTTCAGCATATCTTCCATGATGGCAGGCTCACAAGTTCTTGTTCCATTATGGGGTGCATATGTGCGTTCTTCAGTGTCCCTGTGGGAACTCCCCATGGCATAGGTTGCGGACGTAAGAAGTATATTCTATCTAATACTTCAAGCTACCAACTCCTTTCAACAGATGTCTATCCCACCATATTTTACTTTTTAGCCTCTCAAGAAGCCTTCTTAGGCAGACTCCCACAAAACGCTTCAAGCCTGGTAATCTGCTTCAGCATTCATTCATCTAGTCCCCGGAAAACGCATGTCTGGTTACTTCCACAACTGTCGATGCTTGGTTTGTGCTGAAAGAGGTCAGTTCTCTGCCTCATCATCTTGGGAAGATACAAAGTTATCCAGGCATGAATCAGACATCCATCCAGGCATATAGATGCCAATCTCTCCTTGTAGCAACCCTGGTCTCTTTCTGAAGGGTTCTCTTAAAACCCTTTAATTCAGCGGAATGCACCAGAGAGTGCCTGTTCCTCTCTCCCATGGCAAGGAGAGAGGAAAAGTGAAAGCTCTCTAGTCCTAGGCCTATAACTCCTTACTTTGATGACTCATTCTACTTTCAAATTCTCTTCTTAAATAATTTGAAGGTAGAAAACCAGGTAAGAGGGCAAGACTCATTAAGCTACCTTTACCTGTCTAGGAGCTTTTAAGTGTTCATGTATGCAGGGCATAGCCAATAATTTTTTTTCCAAAATTTAATCCTAGAGTTGATTACATTAACTTAATAACTATCACATGACACTATATTTTTTATTTAGTAGCTATGGTTTAATATACTAAATCTCTGTCAATAAACCAAAAGAGTTCTACTGTATTTCATTACCAGAATTTGTAATGAAACTCTTTCATTTCAAGTACTTTGGTGTCATTTCAGATTGCTCAGAGTGAATGATTGACATATGTTCATTTAAAGCACTTCATATATATCCTTCTGGATTAAGAAAACATTCCTTTAAAAAGCACCGTGTAATATTAATTTTCTTAGAGATGTTTCTGAAGGAAGTAAATGCTGTCGTAAGAATTCAAACTTCTCAATAAAACTTTAGTTATTGAAAGTATCAAATATATTGAATTTTACTTTTCACAAAAGAAGCTATAAAATGATTGTAGAACTTCCTCAGGATACACAACCCTATGGAGTTTCATGACATAATAAAAAACTTATGAGATTAGGAACCTGTGGGTATTCCATTTTATTTTAGTAGCATGTGATTTTATAATTATTTAAAATCATTAGTTGTAAATATTTTTTTAAAATCCTTCTAAATGATTTAGGGATAATAGAAAATGAATTGGCTCATGATATTGAAACTTAAAATGTAGATCTTGGCTGCCATCTCAGAGGCTCTCCATTTATGATGACAAGGTGGTTAGTGGCACCTTGGGACACACAGAAAGAGATTATCAACCCCCGGGGAAAAATGGCCTCTCATTTACAGCATTTCCACTAAATGTCCCAAGTTTAGTAGTTATTAGCAAAGATTTGGACACATGCTTATCCTTGTTCACTTATTACTGATAAGGACATAAATTGGTTAAAATTTATTAAACCAATAAATGGGTTAAAGCAGCCCATGTTTTAGAGAATGAGTAGTGCCAATTTCTTCCAAACCATACATTTTAAGAATATGTAGTTCCCCAAAGGAAATATGATTTCTGTTACCAACAAATACTAAATAAAAACAACAGATGCCTACTGGTGTATGAGTTTTGGTGTTACCACTTTTTACTGGCGCATAGCAGTAAATATATAACAATGTATTTCAATCTCAAACCCTATACAGTTCTAGATTTTTAGGGTAGAATCATAAAGTGATAAAAGAATAAAATCTATAAGCTAAATGAAAATAATTTTAAGTAATTAAATACTATAAAACAGAATAAACATAATAGGAATATAAAAAACATACCTCATTAAAGAAAAAAGATTTTTTTGTTTTAGTTTTTAAAATTCTATTTCTTATTTTTATTGATTTTTCTATCTATCAGTTATTTAGAAGTGTATATTTAAATGAAGTTTTAAAGTTATCTTTCGGTTATTGATTTCCAAATTTATTTTTCATAGACATAGAGAGTATTTTTATCTGATGCAATTATTGAAATCTATTGCTTTATGGCCTTATCTGTGGTCTTTCACATAAATTACATGTGTTCTTAAAAGAATATGAATTCTCTGTCAGGGTCAGGTGCTTCTTCTATACGTGTATGTCAATTAAATAAATATTTTAAACTTTGCTCTTAAATTTTTTCATTTCTCACTTGACCTTTTTGCCTTTATATCTTGACTCATGAGTTATTGCTTTCAAATAACTGATTGCATCTTTTGAAAATGCGACGGGGAAATCAGCTATTTGTGTTGAACTTCCTACAATGCAATTGCTGTTGGGCATTGCAAATATTAATTAATTAATTAAGTCTCACTCTTGATGCACAGGCTGGAGTGCAATGGCACGATCTCGGCTTACTGCAACCTCTGCTTCCCATGTTCAAACGATTCTCCTGCCTCAGCCTCCCGAGTTGTTGGGATTACAGGCATGCACCACCACACCTGGCTAATTTTTGTATTTTCAGTAGAGACATGGTTTCGCCATGTTGACCAGGCTGGTCTTGAACTCCTGACCTCTGGTGATATGCCCGCCTTGGCCTCCCAAATTGCTGGGATTACGAATATGAGCCACCTTGCCCGGCCAAATATTAATTTAAAAGAAAGTTGTTGAGCATTGCTAAGAAATTGTCTTTTGTGTTTGTTATTTTATATAAATTTCGTCACACATTGGTTTATGTGTGAAAAAGAGCAGAATATTCATTTGGCTATGTTTGATAAAAAATTTCTTAAAAATTAAATGTACCCATATTTTTAATAAAGCAAAGGCTGTAGGGAAATTAATCACACTCACAGATAAACATATTTTCTGCTACTCTCACCTATTTTTCTATTTAAACTCCTAACCAAATCTTCCCATGGCAATTTACATTGTCATTGTTAGATTAAATCATTGCACTATGATGAATATTTGACATGTCTTTATTTGTCATTTGGTAATTTTCTAATGTTGATTTTATTATTTTTCATTACTGTTATTGTTAAATTTTAATCAGGTGTAATTAATTAGATGACCTCAATTAGATATAACTAAAATTAGATTAATTTAAATAATCAAGCCTTAGTACAGTGTAGGAATAAAATTTCAAAATAGTGGCTTTAAAATATTTTAATCTGTTGCTTATGATGACCTCAATAGTAACTATGATTTTTGAAAATAGTAAAGCAGCAAATAAAGTTTTTAAGAAACAAACAGCATAAATTTTTCTGGGAGATAAAAATAATTTAAACACCAATGTGAATTTATAAATAATATTCAATAATGCATATAACAGAATAAAAAACTATATCTACTTATCTGTGTATCTATCCATAATAGTATCATATATCTGGTATGCACTATGAATATAATTTTAATAACTGACATCATCCATTTGCAAATAACTTTTAAATGTAAGACTTGTCAAACAGCACTTAAACCAGACAGAAGAAATAATAAGGGCAGTGTTATTTCAGTCTAGTTTAACTATCAAAATTATTTAATAAGCTGCCACACTAGAAAGTTGGTTTTGGGCTATTTTAAAATAATTCATATTTGTTCATTAGTACTGCCTGATAAGCTATAACCATGAAGTTTCAACTGCAAGAGTGGTCACTATTATTGCCTTAAAATACAGTATTTTGTGACTTGAAACCTATTCTTGTTTCTGTAAAAACTACTTTTAAAAGTATACTTTTAAATTATATGTATTAAATTATCAACACAATGGTGTTATTTATTTACTTTTATTTTTATTTATTATTATTCTTTTTTGAGATAGAGTTTCGCTCTTGTTGTCCAGGCTGGAGTTCAATGGCGTGATCTCAGCTCACTGCAGCCTCCACTTAAGTTTATTCAGAGCCACTACTAAGTGGCATTATAGTGTAGCAACAGTCATTTCAGCTTACACCCACATGCTGAGTTGCTCCATCTGTGAACCGGTTGGGGCTTGTTTCTTTATTGTCAGCTGGATAATGTGGGGATAGCTCACTCCTTCTTAGTTATAGGTATGAGTTGAGGGAATGGTGCTGGTTAAAAATGATAGGTGACATAGGAGTCTGAGTTGCCTGTTTCTACAGTTTACTTGTACCCTTGCACCCTGCTTGTGACAACGTGAATACCATGTCCATCTTCCCTTGGGTTGCTGCTGGTTTACCCTTAACTTATGGTGTGTCTGAGAGAGCTCATCTTACGATGAAAAGTCTTGCTTACATATATGATCACTTCATGGTGCCTACCATTCAGGGCACATGCTGCAGCTGTTTCTCTAATGATATATAATTCTCTGAGGCAAATGACATGGACTTAACTTGAGAAAGCAAGGGTCTATGTTGCGTTTTACCTATTGGTATTTGTCATAACATCCACACTGGGTCTTTTCCCATTATGGATACCTCGATAACCATAGGTTCTTAAGTTATATAGCTCAAGCCCCACAGGATTAATTGTACACAGCCTAGAGCTCCCAAACAGTTCTTCCATAAACTGATTTGCCACCCCAAGCCCCAATTCACTTCAGTAGTCTTCTGTCTCATTCACTGAAAACATTAGAGCTGTATTCTCAAATACAGAATATGCTCCCTCCAGAACTCAAAGGGGCCTTTCAGGTATTGTCTTTGCTTCTTAGTGATGGGAGGTACAAGGTGTGATAAGTTTTCTTTTAGTTAAAAAGAGATGTTCTAGCATGATCCAGAGCAGTAAACTTCTAAAAACTTCTGTGATGTTGCAAGGACATATGGTTATCCTTGTATCTAATGGAGCATTTGTATCTTACCAAGGACCCTGATGTACTTGTCAACTCTGGCTCATCTGATGTGATTAGCAGGATGTCATTGATATAGTAGACCAATGTGATATTTTGCAGCTATTATGGTTGACATGCATTTGGATAATATAGAGTTACAGCATCCTTGAAGCAGACTATTGTCCTTCCTATGTGAGTACATGCTGCATTTGGTCTTTTCCTCTCTCCTGTTACGGATAAAGAAGGCATTTTCCAGATGAATGACCACATTGATACCATGTATCTAAACTGTGTTACCTGCTTGGCAGAGATAACAGCTAGTATAACAACTGAAGCTAAAGTTACTACTTGGTTGAATTTGTGACAGTCCACGAATAACATATACTCAAGGATTTATCTAGTTGTTTGTTTGTTTGTTTGTTTGGTAGAAGCCAGATTACTTAATAAAATTTACAGTGATGGAGACCATCACACCCACACCCTCACCCTTTGCAATTTGAGAGGGACACTCATCTCTGTATTCCCATGAGGAATTATTTTTGGTACACTATCATGACATGGGAAGAAAGGGGAAATTTCAGGACTTCTACTTGGCTTTCTCTACTATGATAACTTATCCCGCATAATATGACATGAGAGGGTTCCACCAAATACCAAGTAAGTCCATTTTGAAGACTAGGGAAGTGAACACTTGGGGGTATTCTGTGGGCTCAGAGGACCCATTGTAGGCCAGATCTGGATCAGGACTCCCTTTATTAGTGGCCCCCATATCACCTCATATTAAAAAATTGAGAAGGAAGAAGCACGCTGGTGCTTTGGGTTGTTAGGTGTATCTGTGTCAACTCACCCTGAGTCTAACCATCCTTGAACTCTCTGAGTATAATTCTTTCCCCAGTATGCTAATATCTGAGTAAGTTGACAAAGATCCCTGAGGGGAATAACTCTGTCTGATCTTGCAGTGTACTTTCAGAGTTCTTCCTCCTTTGAAACAGCCTGTCCCTTCAGCCACTGGCTTGCAGATCTGAAAATAAACCTAGAGTTAGGTGTTAGACAAGGAATTGCGACCTTACATTAGGATGGTTTCCCTCAGCCTCCTTAATGCCTTTAGAAATTCATAGAGGGAGCCAATCTTTGTTCGACAGCCATCTATTTTGCCTTTGGGGGGAACTGTTTTCAATTAATAATAAAAATGATTTAATATCTATGGTTTCATAGTATATTTTGAAATCTGCTAAACTGCAAAATTTCTTGATATTCTTAAATATTTTCTTTTTGAGGTGAATGTAAAATTTCTCAAAAAATTCGAGAGAATTTAATTAGGCTTTCAGTGAATATATAGGTTTTATGGTTTAAAAATTTTATGGTTAAAGCTTTGTGATTTTCTTTATGTATATTTTACATATTTCTCTTTACCTCTCCCAACTTCTCCCTCTTCTCTTTTCTCTTTTTCTTTTGTATTCACAGATATTTTATATTTAAGTTGTTCTAGTAAATAGTATTACTTTTCCATTATTTTAAAATTGCTTATTAATGATAGTTAAGAAAACTACTGAATTTTGAAAGCATATATGGCCACCATTCTAAACCATTTTAATTCTAATAATTTTACAATTTATTTTCTTGATTTTCTGAACAATCTGAATGTTGTCTGGATACAAGTTTTGTCTCCCTCTTCCCTTCATTGACATTTATAGGTCTTTTTTGTTCCCTTATCAATGCATTGCAATAGAACTGTCAGTGCTGTATTCCCTCTTATTTGATTGCAGGAAAGTTATTTTATTTCTGTCTTAAATGGTACTATTTCTAGTATTTCACCAGAAAATATGGTTTATTTATAAATACAATTTTCTTCTGTTTCTGCTTTGCAAATAGTTTTATCAATTTGGGAGATAAATTTCATCAGATGATTTTTAAGCAAGAATACCATTTTTACTCAACTTTTTAATCTGCTAAAATGATGGGATAAATTAATATTTTTGTAAGGTTGCACCATCCTTATATTTCTGGGAAAAGTTGTAGTGGCAATACATATTTAAATATTTAAGAATTGCAAATTCTCACATATCTGTGAGTATAAATTTTCGATATTTACATTTTTTTAATTTCATCATTGCTTGGTTTTGGTATGAGAGTTATCTCAGCCTCATAAATGATTTAAGAAACTATCCAACATTTTCAATGCTGGACAGTTTACAAAATATAGACAGTGTTTGCTTTAGAAGACTTGTAGCTCTCAGTAGTCAGAGTCTAGCCCTGGTATTTTTAGTTTAATTCTTAAATATTTTTAAATGTTTCTTTAAGTTAATAGTCTATTCAAATTGAGTTGCTTTTGATTATGTCTTATCATATGTACTTTTTTACTCTACTATAAAGAATATTTTTACTGTAACTATATACCGCAAAAATATTCCTATGAGTCTCATGTTAGCATTTTATCAGGGGATAAAATTGAGTTCAGATAGTAGTTTTGTTAAAAATCTATATATAGTCAGGCCAGGCACGGTGGCTCATGCCTGTAATCCCAGCACTTTGGGAGGCCGAGGCAGGTGGATCACGAGGTCAGGAGATCAAGACCATCCTGGCCAACATGGTGAAACCCTGTCTCTACTAAAAATACAAAAATCAGCGGGGCGTGGTGGCAGGCGCCTGTAGTCCCAGCTACTCAGGAGGCTGAGGCAGGAGAATTGCTTGAACCCAGGAGGCAGTGGTTGCAGTGAGCCGAGATCGCACCACTGCACTCCAGCCTGGGCGATAGAGACTCCATTGCAAAACAAAAAACAAAAAACACCCAAAAAACTATAGTCAAAAATTTATAGTTAGTTTGTGTCAAAACTGAATTCCAAATTCCCATTTTTTCAAGAATTCACTTGTTCAATTCAATTAAGCTAAATTCCCATTTTGTGGGAATAACACCGTAAGAGTAGGCGGGTAGCTCCATTTATTGACTTTGTTGTTATGAAGCAAGTCTCTCAATTTTTGTAAGTTTATTTCCTCACATATGTAATTAGGTAAGTTTTGAAAATCATTTCATTGTAGGACTATAGAATACATTCCTAACTTCATATATTATTTCAAATTATATAATTTTCAATTTAATGTGAGAAGGTATTTTCTAATGAGAGAGAATTCTTATTAATAATCTTGCTTCTGCAAATATAGAAATCTGACTGAGAAAACATCTGTTACATTTTATGGGAAAACCTGAAAAACAGTATTTTAAACCTTGACTCATAGTTCATTTAATATATTCAACTAAAATAGCATGGTAAAATACAGAAAAATGGTCATAACTAACTCAATTGATTTTGATTTTTGGAATATTTTATTAGAAAAATTAACAAATATATGTGAACAGAATATATATTTATTCTTTGGTGAAAGTGAAAGTACTTAATTATCCAATGTGTTATCAATAATGTCACAGATTTGCATAAAATAATTTATGGCAGTTGAGAATTTTTTTTCCCAAAAGCAGTATAAAATTAGACCCATAATATCACACTGGAGTATTTTCACATAATTAAGTTTTCTGCATTCTTTACTTAATATTTTCATTGTCTTGCCTGCTCATCATGATTAAAAGGGTATATGCTCTAATTTGTATGGCTATGCAAATGCCTGGAAAATTTTAGCTTTAAAGAAAATTATGCCAACACAGGAATCTATTTAGTCTTTATTGAAGAAAATATTGTACACAACAAAAGCAAATCTGCATGTTTTGCTATTTAAATCCATTTGTGAGCTAATAAAAATAATTCACTATATAATTTATAACAATGTAAGAAAGTTATGATGACAACAAAACATTCATTTTTATGAATCTATCACAGAAGGATTTATTATCCTGTCATAGAAAATGTTTATATTTGCATGACTTGCAGAACTTCATTTTATATATGGTTATATGGTTAATTTTAAGATTTATTTTGAAGAACACGGGAAATTACAAGACCATTTCTAAGAAAATTCTGTGAAACACATTTTTCAATATATTTTTTATTTATGCTTATGACTTTCATGTTTTTTCATTGTAGGCTTTCTCATTTAATTTGTGTCAGAAAGCCTAATTTAATGGCTTACTGGAATTTCAGAGTCCAGTTCTCTAAATAAGCATTTTATTAACATTCATATGGAAAATTCTATGAACTATGTCATGATGACATACGTTACTTTTATTTATCTTGAGAGTGGAAATATGTTCTTTTACTCTATTCTTGGAACTTATAGGGTAAATGGATACAGTGAACAGCCCCTTGGTGTTTTCAGTATTAAAGCAATAATCTTAGTATTAAAATAGTAGTTCTTAGTATTACAATAGTTGTTCTAAAGACTTTGCAAATACACTTATATCTATGATGATGGAAAGTTAAAAATATAAGGAACAGATCTGAACAAATTATCACTTGACAGGTAGAAAAATAAATCTGACTCACAGGAAAAAAATAGATGAAAGAAGAGAAGAAAAACCCTTAATGATAGCTATTTCATTGGATTTGATTACAGAGAAACTTTTTCTTTTTTCAAATTGGGAATGTGTTTTGAACTATATGTATTATCAGGAAAAATACACAACAAAGGTGTGTGTGTGTGAAGATTATAACCATATATATTCATCTTCTCTTACTTTAAATGTGATGGTTAATTTTAAATGTAACCTTACTTGGCTAAGGGATGCTTGGGTGGTTGGAAAAACGTTTATTTTTATGTGTTTCTGTGAGGATGTTTCCAAAAGAGATTAGTTTTTAGATCAATAGACCTATTAAAGAAGGTCCAGCCTCAGAAAATGTGTGTGGGCATCATCCAATCCATTGATGGCCTGAATAGAACAAAAGAGCAGAGAGGAGGGGTTAATTTTCCCTTTCTGTATATGTTTGAGATGAGAAATCCATTTTTTCCTGCCTTCGGACTTGATCCAGGACCGACACCATCATACCCCACCCCTCTCCACCTCAGGCCTTTGAACTCAGACTGAATTATACCACCAGTTGGTGGCCTTCCCAGGTCTCCAGCTTGCTGACCACAGATACTGAGG
This sequence comes from Homo sapiens, assembly GCF_000001405.40. Lineage (NCBI taxonomy): Eukaryota > Metazoa > Chordata > Mammalia > Primates > Hominidae > Homo > Homo sapiens. Next base: position 48,499,280 of record NC_000014.9, on the reverse strand, counting down.
CATCTCAACTCTATGATCATGTGAGCCAATTCTCATAATAAATCTCTCTCTTTCTGTCTCTCATATAAATATTAATATATAATATTTATTGTGAGAATATATGTATACACAGACTTATGTACACACGCACACGATATTGGTTCTGATTCTCTGGAGAACTCTAATACACTGTATAAGGACTTTTGTCATTGTCAAGCTCTTGGAACCTCATGACCCGTGATAGTGATATAATATCTGGGCAGTGTGTGGTACCTTTTAGAACTTACAGTTTGCTTGTTATGCCTATAAGAAGATAAGATGGCTACAGTTCTTCAGAGCAAATGATGCATATGGGCCTGAAGGGTTTGGAAATGAACTATCCACCTTTTCTTCTCCTAAGTGTATTAGTTTCCCATTGCTGATGTAACATGTTACCATAAATTTAGTCGCTTAAAACAATGCAGGTATTTTGCCTTGCAGTTCTGGAGGTCAGATGCCTGAAATGGGTATCTCTGGGCTAAAACACAGGTGTCAGCAGGGTTATGTTCTTTTTCTGAGGCTTTAGGGGATAGTCTGTTTCCTTGTGTTTTCCAGCTCCCAAAGACCTCCCATTTTCTTTGTCTTGTGGTCCTTTCCTCCTCTTCAAAGCCAGCAACATAATATCTTTAAATCTCTTTGACATTAACCTCCTGCCTCTCTCTTCCACAATTTAAAGACCCTTGTGATAATATTGGGCTCACCTGTATAATTCAGGATAATCTTATCTTAAAGTCCTCTGATTACTTATACTAATTCCATTTAAAACCTTAATTCCCCATTGTCATGTAACATAACATATTTATAGGTTTGGGGGATTAAGGTATGGGCATTTTTGGAGGGGATCCAATAGTATACCTACTATACCATTTCAAAAGCCTTGTCCTATTATTACATTATTAATAACTTTAGAGACAGCCAAGGGAGTATTGAGTCCACTTGTGTCTTAGTGTGTTACTGCTGTTATAACAAAATACCATAGACTGGGAAATTTATAAACAACAGAAGTGTATTTCTCACAGTTCTAGAGGCTGGGAAGTCCAAGATCAAGGTGCCAGCAGATTTGGTATCTGGTGACGACCAGTTCCTCCTAGGTAGCATTTTATCTTTTTCCACATATGGCAGAAGGGATTAAGAGGCTCCCTTAAACCTCTTTTATAAGTACATAAATTTCATTCATGGGAGCAGAACACTCATGACTGAATCATCCCCTAAAGGTTCCAACTTTTAATAATATTCCATTAGATATGAGTTTCTAACATATGAATTTTGTGGCGACACAAACATTCAGACGACAGTAGCTTGATACAAGAGCATCAAAGAAATATATTATAAGAAACACTGGGTAGAGAATAATAAGGTGTAAATTCTAGTTCTACCTATGTCCTTGAAGATAATGAATTGTTTCCAGAGAGTCACACTGATGCTTGTGAGTCTAAATTCCAAATATGGATTATGGAATTTCTAAATTCTCAATAGTTCCTCTCATAAGAATTTATATTTATAAGAAAGAAAAAATATCAAGTCAAACAAGAGGCTTCTAAAATTGGAAGACTAAGTAAATAAAGAGATTGCAGTATTATCCATTGCAAGACTCCAAAGGGGAACACAACTGATTTTTCTCCCACCCTTCAAAAGTAGTTTACAAATAAGTTATTTCCCAGTATTTCCTCTACTAAATTGCATCATTCATCCTAAAGGAAATGCGCAGAGCATAAAAGATAAAATAACACTTGTAGGCACCGGAACAGACTAATAAAACACCATCCTGATTTTCTTGAAAAGGAAACCACCTAAGGCTAGAAATAGTTGAGTATGGTAGAAAAATGAAAAACTGAGTAGACTCAGATGGCTCCCTTATAGGGCTATTTTATGGCATGATTTATGGACTTAGGACTGGGTAAGCCATACTGAATGTATATTCAATCACAGCAACAATAAGTCACAAGGATGCACTTTGCTGACGATCATTCAAGACCATGTGTATTTATTTTCAAAAATAAAATCTATACATATCTAAGTCAGCAATTTTCAGATGGTTAATTTTAATTACTATCTCTTATGCTTAGAGTTTATTTATTATACACCTTGAGAATCATAAAGGCATTTATCTGCTAGCATGCAGCATCAATGCATCCTGCATTAAAACACATGATTTAACTAGCAAAACTTGTAGACAAAGATTCTCCTGTTTGACAGTTAAACAAGTTTTCTATTTAACAGATGTTTAGCCAAATATTCTGGGTGATAGGTTAGGATAGGTTGCTAAAGGAGTCACAACCATAGTTTTCATCCCTGTGTAGACCAATTTGCATACTACATTGCAAATTGTATTAACCATGCCTTTAATTTAGTCTTTGAAAAGTTGTATTCATAAGACATTGTTGGTAACTCATAAACACCACCATTGAACATAAAATTTAAAATCATTTTTGACTAAAAATGCACCTATCATGTCACTTTCATAAATACAAGCACTCTTTTTTTCTTTTTCTTTCTTTCTTTCTTTTTTTTTTTTGAGACAAGTTCTCTCTCTGTAGCCCAGGCTGGAGTGCAGTAGTAGTGTGGTCACAGCTCCCTGCAACCTCCACCTCCCAGGCTCAAGCAATCCTCCCACATTAGCCTCCAGAGTACCTGGGGCTAAGGGCATGCACCACCACGCCTGGCTAATTTTTGTATTTTTTTTGTGAGGGAGGGTAGACACAGGGTTTCACCATTTGGCCCAGGCTGGTCTCGAACTCCTTGTCTCAAGTGATCTGCCAGCCTTGGCCCCACAAAGTGCTGAGTTTACAGGTATGAGCCATCATGCCCAGCCTGAAAGCATGTTCTTAATGTGGGCTCTACCTCGAAGGAATACTACAAAAGATAAAATTATAGAAAAATTGTGAGTAAACTGAAAACTAGATAGAAAGTATTATGTAAAACAGTTGATGCAATTCCAGGTGGCTATAGATTCTGGTATTTTCCTTTCTCTAAAACTAAGAAAGAAATTTTTACTTTTAATATAAATAATTACCCTTTAAATTGGCAACAAAGACAATAACAGTAAATAGTTCTTATGCATATTGGATATTTCCTTTGGCACAATTTGAATATGGTAGCTAATTGACACGATGACAATTACTGACAAGATATATAATAATAATATGTATGGAAATGCTCAATATATTTATATAAATATAAGCATACATATATAACTTTGGGTTGTTTTTGATTAATATATGTTAAAGCTATAGATATTAAATATAGATTAATAGATATTAAACATATGTATCATTTCTTCTGAACAAAAAGAGGCTTACTTTTGTTTTATGATTTCCCTCAAACATGTGGTAGGACTACATAGAAAGGTATCAAAAAGCCAAAATGCCAATAGTTGCTTCTGTTTTAACAGCAGAAGGTGAGATAAAATGAGATATGAGTTTGCTGATACAGAATGAACAAGGAAGAAGTAGCTTCCTGGTGCTCTTAGGAGAATAAATAATGTTTTGAAACACTGAGTGCAAAAACACAAAGAACAAGCTGGAATAAAGAGTGCCTTGGCCATCTGTTTGGCTGTTAGAGTGAGGCATGATTCAATAAAGCTTTTACACTTAAAATTAAATAAAAATTATTGGCTCTATTTAGTATTGTTAGTATATTACATGCATACACACACACAAAGTAAACATTAAAAAGAATCTAGTTCTTTCTTCAGGCAAAGATGAACACAGGAGGATTGTTCCTCAATTTTTTTTTTCCCAAGACAGGATCTCACTCTGTCACCCAGGCTGGAGTGCAGAGGTGCGATCTTGGCTCACTGCAACCTCTGCCTGCCGGGTTCAAGCAATTCTCATGCCTCAGCCCCCTGAGAACCTGGGAGACTACAGGCACCCACAACTACACCTGGCTAATTTTTTGTAGTTTAGTGGAGATAGGGTTTCACCACGTTGCCCAGGGTGATCTCGAACTCTTGAGCTCAGGCAATCCACACTCCTTGGCCTCCCAAAGTGCTAGGACTTTTCCTGAATTGTTGATAGGAATTTGTGAGAACTACAAGCAAAATAGATGGTGTATTAGTCCATTCTCATGCTGCTAATAAAGACATACCTGAGACTGGGTAATTTATAAAGGAAAGACGTTTAATTGACTCACAGTTCAGCATGGCTGGGGAGGCCTCAGGAAACTTACAATTTGGCGGAAAGGGAAGCAAACACGTCCTTTTTCACATGGCAGCAGGAGGGAGAAGTGCCAAACAAAAGGGGGAAAAGACCTTTATAAAACCATCAGATCTTGCGAGAACTCACGATCATGAGAACAGCATGAAGGTAACCACCCCCATGATTAAATTACCTCCCACAGGGTCTCTCCCACAACACATGGGGATTATGGGAACTACAATTCAAAATGAGATTTGGGTGGGGCACAGACAAACCATGTCAGATGGAATAGTCAGGCATCTGCATATACTGTGGATTTATCCCTCTTGTTTCTCTAACTGATTATGAGACTTACCTGGATTTCTACAAGTCTTTCACTTCTGAGAACTTATGGGTCTAACCAGGAACTAGATTCCATACTGGTGTGAAAAAAGTCTACAAATGCATGTCTTTAAAAGTATATGCTTAATTATACATTTGTTTATTTCAACAAATATTTTTGAGGGCTTGCTATGCATCCAATACATTTCTAGGAGCTGTTGATATGACACATCTCAGAAACTTAGACATGGTCAGAAAGCCGCTGGAGTTGCCATTTGCCAAGGATGCAATAAAGACTATGACTCTCCAAAAGTTGGTATCAAAAACATTTCTCCTACTTCTCACTGTAAAGAATGGATTTCTGTGATCTATGTAAAATATAGAAAGCATTTTCCTTAAATATACAAACAGGTGGTTCGCACTAGGGAAAATATCATTGGCTTAAAGTCATTCATGGAGAAGATCTCAACCTTACTAGTAAGGAATGAAATGCAAATTAAAGAAGCAGTTTAATTCTTTATATTGTTTTGCAAAACTTAAAAAGTTCGTGAATATCATGTGCTTGCCAAACTGTGAGGAAAATATCAATCTTAATGCATTCGTGGTGGGATTTTAGACATGAAGTCATTGCCACTGTCAGTGCCTCATAAAATTAAGATTAAACAAACTCTATGAAACTGCCTACCCACTCCTAGGTGTATACTCTAGAAAGGGCTTCCAGATATAGCAAATAAAAATACAGAACACCTATTGAAATTTGAATTTCAGATAAGCAAAAAATGATGTTTTAGTATAAGAATGCCCCATGCAATATTTGGGACATACTTATACTAAAAACCTGTTTTTTAAGATCTAAAATTTAAATTTAATTGGGTATCATGTACTTCATCTGACAAATGTAACCCCAGAGAAGCCATCACTAGGTTATAAGGAATTGTAAAAAGATATTTATTGCAGCATTCTTTATGGATGTCATCCATTGGGGCAACCTAAATGTCCACTGCCAGGAAAATTAAAAAAGAAATTACAGTTAATCTGTCGTGTCAACCTTTCTTTTCTTCATTTTTTTTTTCTTTTATAATAGTTCTTTTTTAAAACTTTTAAGTTCAGGTTACATGTCCAGGCTTGTTACATAGGTAAGGTTGTTTCATGGTGGTTTGTTGTACAGATTATTTTGTCACCAAGATATTAAACCTAGTACTCATTAATTATTTTTCCTGATCCTCTCCTTCCTCCCACCCTTCACCCTACGATAGGTCCCAGTGTGTGTTGTTCACTCTGTGTGTGTCCATGTGTTCTCATCTTTTAGCTCCCATTTATAAGTGAGAACATGAGGAATTTGGTTTTCTGTTTCTGTGTTAGTTTGCTAAGAATAATGGCCTCCAGCTCCATGCATGTCCCTGCAAAGACATAATCTCATTCTTTTGTATGCCTACATAGTATTCCATGGTATTATGTGTACCACATTTTCTTGATCCAGTCTATTATTGATGGGCATTTAGGTTGATTCCGTGTCTTTGCTATTGTGATTAGTGCTGCAGTGAACATATGCCTGCATGTTTCTTTATAATGGAATGATTTATATTCCATTGGGTATATACCCAGTAATGGGATTGCTGGGCCAAATGGTATTTCTGTCTCTAGGTCTCTGAGAAGTAGCCACATTCTCTTCCACAATGGTTGGAATAGTTTAAAATCCAACCAACAGTGTATCACCATTCCTTTTCCTCCACAACCTCACCAGTATCTGTTACTTTTTACCATTCTGACTGATGAGAGATGGTATCCCATTGCAGTTTTGGTTTGCATTTCTCTAATGATCATGATGTTGAACTGTTTTTCATATGCTTGTCGGTTGCATGTATGTTTTGAAAAGTGTCTCTTCATGTAATTTACACACTTTTTAATGGGATTGTTTCTTTAAATTTGTTCAAGTTTCTTATCAATGCTAGATATTAGAACTTTGTCAAATGAATAGTTTGCAAAATTTTTCTCCCATTCTGTAGATTGTCTGTTTACTCTGTTGATAGTTTCTTTTGCTGTGCTGAAGCTCTTTAAATTAATTAGATCCCATTGTCAATTTCTGTTCCTCTTGCAATTGCTTGTGGCATCTTCATCATACAAGCTTATGATAATTCATAGTTTACAAAATTCTTTTTAATCTTTTACCAAATCTAACAGACTCTGCCTTCTAGTAAGTCCATTTTGACTGATAAATATTTTTATTCCCACTGTCTTTTTCTACGTTTATTACTTATTTTAGTGTTTTTTCTTTTACTTTGTGGGTTTGATACAGCTGTCATTTATTTCATGTTTTTTCTTTTATTCATTTAGATATTATTTTATATTTTTCTTTTTATCCTATTAATCATAACCATCACTTCCCCCTGCTTTCCTAATTAGTTACACCTGACTCTCCTTTTATTAATGGACAAAATACTAACTATTTCCTTCAGAAAGACACATTGTCCTTCCCACAACATACTAATCCCTCCACCTCATCTCTCTACCGGCTTCCTCACAAAAAGTTGTTTCACCTCTATCCTACTCAATTCATACACACAGACTACCCAGCCAACTTCAGTTATTATAACAGCATAGTTATTAGTTTCCATAATTTTATATGTCTACCTAGTGCAGTTTTTAATTTACATAATATATTTTTAAATTATAGAATTTCCATTTTTGTATGTTTTTCCTTATTCAGCTGATATTTTCTATTTGTTCATTCAATAAATATTTTACCTTTATTTTCTTGAGCACAGTTAAAATAGATATTTTAAAATTCTTCTGTGCCATTGCAACAGTTGCTTTTTCTCAGGTCCACCTCCTCCATTGACATTTTCTATTGGCAATGGGTTGGATTTTCCTTTTTCTTTGTATTTGTAGTAATTTTGCTATTGTTTAAAAAATATTTCTATGGAGACTATTTAGTTTAGTGATCTCTGTTTTGTTTTAGTCTTGTTTTACCTAAGGAGGACTACCGCTAATTCAGAGACTATTTTTACTTTCTATGGGCTGCTTGCCCCAGGGGCCAGGCGGAGATATGGCAGTTCACCAACACAATTTGTGGTCCCCCTCCCCTTCTCTTTTCTAGAATTTTTTCTCTTACTTTCTAGCCATTGTGTTATCTCAAGTATCTGTCCTGGTCTTCCAAACCAGTAAGACTGCAGGGTGTTTATCTGTGTTAAATTTTAGTTTTCCCTAAAAGATTAATAAAAACAACAAAACTTGGAAAGTGAATTTTAGTTGCTTTTGTTTATAAAAGCCGATACGGTTTGGCTGTGTGTCTCTATCCAAATCTCACATTGAATTGTAACAATCCCCACATGTCAAGGGCAGGACCAGGTGGAGATAATTGACAGTGAGTAAGTTCTCAAAAGATCTGATGGTTTCGTAAGGGGCTTCCCGCTTTGCTCAGCTCTGATTCTTTCGCCTGCCAGCCTGTGAAGAGGTGAGTTCCGCCATGATTGTAAGTTTCCTGAGGCCTCCCCAGCCATGCAGAACTGTGAGTCAATTAAACCTCTTTTCTTTATAAATTTCTCAGTCTCAGGTATTTCTTTATAGTAGCATGAGAATGGACTAATACAAAATCTGAGCCTGATAAAGCTGAAAAATAAATTAAAATTCTAGCAATGCTTCCTCAGTGTTTATGGGCTTGGACTTACTGCCTGGCTTAGGGCCTTCGCCTATTATATGAAGGATTGTTGGTGTTTTTTTTTTCCTATGTGTAATGTAGATAGCAAACATTCCATGCAATTGTTAGGCAGTGTGATAAGGACAAGGCCCTACATCTGAACAATGAGGGAGAATCCTGTTGTTCTGTATTTTATCACGCATTTGGTATTGCCAGATTTTCAGATTATAGCCATTGTTACAGATACTTCATTGGTATTATCTCTATTCCATCCTTTATCTTGTAAAATTTGGTCTGCTTAAGTAGCTACTTTAAAATTCTCTTTCGCATTGTTCTAGTATTTATAGTTCCCGGGCTGAAAGTCATTCTATTTGGTGTATTCCCTCAGGATATTTTTTCCTCTCACCTATTTGTAATCTTTGACTATGAGCTTATCTTCAGTGGGCTAATTTTCACTGAGACTCACTTTGGCCCTATGCTATGGAATCATCTCTATAGGGCGGTATTATATTTGTCACTGATACTTTCTCATGCATTTTTTCAATTCAGAATTAGTCTCATGCTTTTGTCCCCCTACATTTTGTTAATAGTTTCTCGTTTTGAGGTTATCCAAGCCAAATGAATAATGTTATTTTGACACCACTCACTGTTCCTGATGTAAGACTGAGTTTTAAAATATTTTAATATTTTTTTCCATGATCCAAAATCTTTTTGATAGAGAGTAGGATCTCGGGTTAATTTTTGTAGCTGAGGCTACCCCCTGGGCCTCTGGAGTGTTAGAACTTCTGGCCCTTGGAGCAGGTTAGGTTTGGTGTGGCTTTGAAGGGTTATCCAGGCCTTGTGGAAATGCAGGTGTGCTTGGTGCTTGCAACAGCCAGAGAGCAGAACGGTGTGATGGCCCTTGAAAATCCAGGCCCAGCTGGAGCAAAGTGAGTGTTTTGCCTCCAGCCTTTAGGATGCAGTTGTGGGCCAGCTACTCAACCACAGAGCACACACACCTGCAATTTGGGCACCTCCTGAACCCACACATCGTCCATTATGGTCCCCAAAACCACAGTAGTTTTGTTTTCCCAGTCAGAAAGTTTCATCTGCTGGATCATCCAGGAAAGCAATAGAGGTAGCCATTTGGTGCAACCCATAAACAGCCTCTTCAGCACAACTTTGTTAAATGTGGAGTTGGTTTCTCTGGCCATAAACCTGTACAGCCTGACCAACAGCCTTAGGTAGATGTCCTGGCTCTTGGGCTCCTTGAGTGGAACCTTTCTATCCTTGTGGTAGATGTTGACTTACAAGATGGCACCTTCTGTTCAGCCAGGTTCAGAAAGATACTCAACTGGTTATTTTCTATCCAAAATTCTGGCATAGAGAAAGTTTCTTATAAGTTCTGCTATTATCTAAAATCTATTTGTTTGTTTCTTTGTTTCGGTATTTTTTAAGAAAGACAACACTTTGTGACTAAGGCTTTATTCAAGAAGCCAAGCTCCAGGTACCCAAGTGTAGAGCTCTGTAGTGAGCATCCCTAGTATTTAATAATAGAACATGTTAATTAAAAAACAAGCTCCCAGGCCCACACTGAAGTGATTGTGTTTCAGAGGATCCGTATGTAGACCCGTAAATCTATATGAAGCTAAGTAATTCTGGAGCATAGTCCAACTTAGAAAATACTGTTCTAGTAGTACTTTTACATATCTTTCCTAGAAGTGGTCCATGAAGAAACTTTTTGTAGATTTAACATAGTTATATTAAGTAAGCCACTTAAATATACATCCAAAACAGAAAATAATGTGGTAATTGTAGTGCTATTTGTAACAATATTTCCCTTTAGACCATCTGCATTCCTCTTGTCAACCCGTTTGAATTACGTATCATGAATGCCACAGGTGAAATAAGCCTTTGATTTTTAAAGGAACTGCAGTTTGCAGATTTTTTGTTAGCATGGCATAACGTAGCTGACCTTTCATGTAAATATCCCTGTTCATAAATACATATAAACCAAATAATTGTCATCTGGAATCCCCTTCACATTCATAGCCTGGTGAAGGTTGATGACAAAGTAAAAAGTGCAAAGTAACTTTGGGAAAATTATTGTAATTAAATTAAGGGGCCCTATAGTACTCTTTTGCTTTGTCTCAAAGGATTCTACCAATGCCAGGGACTAGAGTTATTTTCCTCTGTCCATGGCATATTATTTGACCATAAAAACTACTGTGATGTTTTGCCTTATTTTTGAATGATCTATGTAAATTTCTGCATGTAAAACTGTTTAATACATTCTGATTCATTTATAATATTTCATATTATGCCCCCTTCACCTTTCACTTATTCAGAATCCCTCAGTGACGAGGCATCTAGGTAGTCTCTATCATCTCACCCTAACAAATACTGTTGTAATGAATATTCTGGACCCTATGGCATGTGCAAAAGTATCTCTAGGATAAATATTACTGAATGGGACTTCTGGGCTACTTGAGTGTGTAGACTTGTTTTCACTCTCCAAATTATCTGAAGTCACTGGAATTAGTAGTGTAGGACACTAGAAATCAGAGAATTGTGTACTGAACGGGACAGAAGTTAGTGTCAGGGATCCCCATGAGTTGTTGGTTGTGGATTGGTCAGCCAAGAGAGATTGGCCACCATGGATATGAGAGAAGGGCAGATACACTAGAAGTCAAGCATTGCTAGTGGTAATGGGAGCTCTGGACAAGCCAGAATAGAGAGGCTTTGGTAACACCCCAGTAACAACCCTGGCATCCAGCTTATATTACATAGCCTGAACCTTAGAAGAAATTGTCTCACTCTAAATTAAGGCCAGCGGTTGGCCCACCCTAACAAAGCCTAAGTTAAATCCTAATGAGATCCTGAGAAGAGACAGAATTGAGAGCTTATATGAGTTCTAGTAACTTAGAGGAACTCAGGAAACAATTTGGACTTTTCTCAGCTCTACCACAACACGTGTAAAGTTAGTTTTACACAAGTTCAAGGCTATCCAATAATTGAATTGCCCACAATAACAAAAATAAATATTTCAGAATACTAGCAATATCTATCATCTCAGAAATGTTATCACAATGATCAGCATATAATAACAATTTTCTAGACATTCAAAGAAACAAGAAAATGTGAATAGTCCAGGGAAAAGGCCATCAATAGAAACCATACACTAATGGATTTTGCAGCCACAGACATTAAACTGGTGTTATAGTAAAGAACTAAAAGAATTTTCAAGGATTGAAGAAAAACATGAGCTTAATTAGTGAACAGATGTAGATTTTTCACAAGATAAATAAAAACTACAAAAAATAGAGTTTCTAAAATTGAAAACTACAACTATGAAAAATAAATACCTGGCCAGGTGCAGTGGCTCACACCTGTAATTCCACACTTTGGGAGGCTGAGGTGGGCCCATCCCAACATGGTGAAACCCTGTCTCTACTAAAAATATAAAAATTAGCCAGGCATGGTGGCGACTGCCTATAGTCCCAGCTACTTGGGAGGCTGAGGCAGGAGAATCGCTTGAACCTCCAGGAGGTGGAGGTTGTAGTGAACTGAGATCGTGCCACTGCACTCCAGCCTGGGCAAGAGAGTGAGATTCTGTCTCTAAACAAACAAACAAACAAACAAATACGTATAAATTCCAAGATGACCTTAACATCCAGTTGAAGATAGGGATAGAAAGTCAGTGAACTGGAGGACAGATCAACAGAAATTTTCCAATCTGAAGAACAGAAAGAACAAAGATTGAAGGAAAAGAATCTCGGATAGCTGCAGAATAATATCAAATGGTCCAGCATACATGAAATTGAAGGTTAAGAAGGGTAAGTGAGTGAGAATAAGGCAAGAAAAATGGCTAAACATTTCTCAAATTTAATGAAAAACATTAACGTATATATACTAGAAGTGCAGCACACTCAAAGCAGAATATATAAAGTCATACCATAAAAGCAAAAGAAAAAAACACAGAAAAACTCAAAAGAGGACAGAAAATAAATATAAAGGAATAAAAAGATAAGTATTAATTTCTTACCAGAAACAGAGTAGAAGACAATAAAAAGATATATTCAATTTGCTGAAAGTTGAAACATATTTAGCAAAAGTATCACTCAAAAATCTGGCTCAAGTAAACATATTTTCTTTTTATTTAAAAGCTGGAGGAATTATTCACCAGTGTGCCTACTCTACAATAATGCTAAAGGAGTTTCTTCAGACTTAAAGAAAGTATTATCAGATAGAAGCCTGAATCTTCAAGAAAATATGAAAAGTAGGCTGAGCATGGTGGCTCACACCTGGTGTGACAATATTAGTATCAGAGAAAATAGATTTCAAGACCAAAAATGTAAAAGTAATGCTAGTTGGAGTAATTCATCATAAAGGTATTTCAATATTATGCATACCTCTAATAAGAATTTCAAAATTCATAAAGCACAAATTGATAGAATTGAAAAAAGAAACAGACAATCTGAGAACGTAATTGGGGGTCCTCTCTATCATTTTAACTACCTTCTCTCAGATAAAGCAATGGACAAAAAATCAAGTGTAATATAGCTCTACCATTGAACCTCAATGATATTTTTAAAATATTACACCCAACCCAATGATAGAAAATTCACATTCCCTCAAAGGCATATGAAACATTCATCAAAATATATAAAATATATTTTGGTGTATCTTTTTTTTTATTAAACTTTAAGTTTTAGGGTACCTGTGCACAACGTGCGGGTTAGTTACGTATATATACATGTGCCATGTTGGTATGCTGAACCCAGTAACTCGTCATTTAACATTAGGTATATCTCCAAATGCTATCCCTCCCCCATCCCCCCACCCCACAACAGGTCCAGTGTGTGATGTTCCCCTTCCTGTGTCCATGTGTTCTCATTGTTCAATTCCCACCTATGAGTGACAACATGCGGTGTTTGGTTTTTCGTCCTTGTGATAGTTTGCTGAGAATGATGGTTTCCAGCTTCATCCATGTCCCTACAAAGGACATGAACTCATCATTTTTTATGGCTGCATAGTATTCCATGGTGTATATGTGCCACATTTTCTTAATCCAGTCTATCATTGTTGGACATTTGGCTTGGTTCCAAGTCTTTGCTTTTGTGAATAGTGCCGCAATAAACATACATGTGCATGTGTCTTTATAGCAGCATGATTTATAATCCTTTGGGTATCTACCCAGTAATGGGATGGCTGGGTCAAATGGTATTTCTAGTTCTAGATCCCTGAGGAATTGCCACACTGACTTCCACAATGGTTGAACTAGTTTACAGTCCCACCAACAGTGTAAAAGTGTTCCTATTTCTCCACATCCTCTCCAGCACCTGTTGTTTCCTGACTTTTTAATGATCACCATTCCAACTGGTGTGAGATGGTATCTCATTGTGGTTTTGATTTGCATTTCTCTGATGGCCAGTGATGATGAACATTTTTTCACATGTCTTTTGGCTGCATAAATGTCTTCTTTTGAGAAGTGTCTGTTCATATCCTTTGCCCACTTGTTGATGGGGTTGTTTTTTTTTTCTTGTACATTTGTTTGAGTTCATTGTAGATTCTGGATATTAGCCCTTTGTCAGATGAGTAGATTGCAAAAATTTTCTCCCATTCTGTAGGTTGCCTGTTCACTCTGATGGTAGTTTCTTTTGCTGTGCAGAAGCTCTTTAGTTTAATTAGATCCCATTTGTCAATTTTGGCTTTCGTTGCCATTGCTTTTGGTGTCTTAGACATGAAGTCCTTGCCCATGCCTATGTCCTGAATGGTATTGCCTAGGTTTTGTTCTAGGGATTTTATGGTTTTAAGTCTTTAATCCATCTTGAATTAATTTTTGTATAAGGTGTAAGAAATCACCTTACACCTGAAGTGGAAAGGATCCAGTTTCAGCTTTCTACATATGGCTAGCCAGTTTTCCCAGCACCATTTATTAATAGGGAATCCTTTCCCCATTTCTTGTTTTTGTCAGATTTGTCAAAGATCAGATGGTTGTAGATATGCAGCATTATTTCTGAGGGCTCTGTTCTGTTCCATTGGTCTATATCTCTGTTTTGGTACCAGTACCATGCTGTTTTGGTTACTGTAGCCTTGTAGTATAGTTTGAAGTCAGGTAGCATGATGCCTCCAGCTTTGCTCTTTTGGCTTAGGATTGACTTGGCAATGTGGGCTCTTTTTTGGTTCCATATGAACGTTAAAGTAGTTTTTTTCCAGTTCTGTGAAGAAAGTCATTGGTAGCTTGATGGGGATGGCATTGAATCTATACATTACCTTGGGCAGTATGGCCATTTTCATGATATTGATTCTTCCTACCCATGAGCATGGAATGTTCTTCCATTTGTTTGTATCCTCTTTTATTTCATTGAGCAGTGGTTTGTAGTTCTCCTTGAAGAGGTCCTTCACGTCTCTTGTAAGTTGGATTCCTAGGTATTTTATTCTCTTTGAAGCAATTGTGAATGGGAGTTCACTCATGATTTGGCTCTCTGTTTGGCTGTTATTGGTGTATAAGAATGCTTGTGATTTTTGCACATTGATTTTGTATCCTGAGACTTTGCTGAAGTTGCCTATCACCTTAAGGAGATATTGGGCTGAGATAATGGGGTTTTCTAGATATACAATCATGTCATCTGCAAACAGGGACAATTTGACTTCCTCATTTCCTAATTGAATACCCTTTATTTCCTTCTCCTGCCTGATTGCCCTGGCCAGAACTTCCAACACTATGTTGAATGGGAGTGGTGAGAGAGGGAATCCGTGTCTTGTGCCAGTTTTCAAAGGGAATGCTTCCAGTTTTTGCCCATTCAATATGATATTGGCTGTGGGTTTGTCATAGAGAGCTCTTATTATTTTGAGATACGTCCCATCAATACCTAATTTATTGAGAGTTTTTAACATGAAGTGTTGTTGAATTTTGTCAAATGCCTTTTATGCATCTATTGAGATAATCATATGGTTTTTGTCTTTGGTTCTGTTTATATGCTGGATTATGTTTATTGATTTTTGTATGTTAAACCAGCCTTGCATCCCAGGGATGAAGCCCACTTGATCATGGTGGATAAGCTTTTTGATGTGCTGCTGGATTCGGTTTGCCAGTATTTTATTGAGGATTTTTGCATAGGTATTCATCAGGGATGTTGGTCTAAAAATCTCTTTTTGTTGTGTCTCTGCCAGGCTTTGGTATCCAGATGATGTGCTGGCCTCATAAATTGAGTTAGGGAGGATTCCCTCTTTTTCTATTGATTGGAATAGTTTCAGAAGGAATGGTACCAGCTCCTCCTTTTACCTCTGGTAGAATTCGGCTGTGAATCCATCTGGTCCTGGACGTTTTTTGGTTGCTAGGCTATTAATTATTGCCTCAATTTCAGAACCCGTTATTGGTCTATTCAGAGATTCAACTTCTTCCTGGTTTAGACTTGGGAGGGTGTATGTGTCCAGGAATTTATCCATTTCTTCTAGATTTTCTAGTTTATTTGCATAGAGGTATTTATAGTATTCTCTGATGGCAGTTTGTATTTCTGTGGGATCAGTGGTCATATCCCCTTTATCATTTTTTATTGCATCTATTTGATTCTTCTCTCTTTTCTTCATTATTAGTCTTGTTAGCGGTCTATCAATTTTGTTGATCTTTTCAAAAAACCAGCTCCTGGATTCATTGATTTTTTGAAGGGTTTTTTGTGTCTCTATTTCCTTCAGTTCTGCTCTGATCTTAGTTATTTCTTGCCTTCTGCTAGCTTTTGAATGTGTTTTCTCTTGCTTCTCTAGTTCTTTTAATTGTGACGTTAGGGTGTCAATTTTGGATCTTTCTTGCTTTCTCTTGTGGGCATTTAGTGCTATAAATTTCCCTCTACACACTGCTTTGAATGTGTCCCAGAGATTGTGGTATGTTATGTCTTTGTTCTCTTTCGTTTCAAAGAACATCTTTATTTCTGCATTCATTTCGTTACGTACCCAGTAGTCATTCAGGAGCAGGTTGTTCAGTTTCCATGTAGTTGAGCGGTTTTGAGTGAGTTTCTTAATCCTGAGTTCTAGTTTGATTGCACTGTGGTCTGAGAGACAGTTTGTTATAATTTCTGTTCATTTACATTTGCTGAGGAGTGCTTTACTTCCAACTATGTGGTCAATTTTGGAATAAGTGTGGTGTGGTGCTGAGAAGAATGTATATTCTGTTGATTGGGGTGGAGAGTTCTGTAGATGTCTATTAGGTCCGTTTGGTGCAGAGCTGAGTTAAATTCCTGGATATCCTTGTTAACTTTCTGTCTCGTTGATCTGTGTAGTGTTGACAGTGGGGTGTTAAAATCTCCCATTATTATTGTGTGGGCATCTAAGTCTCTTTGTAGGTCTCTAAGGACTTGCTTTATGAAGCTGGGTGCTCCTGTATTGGGTGCACATATAGGATAGTTAGCTCGTCTTGTTGAATTGATCCCTTTACCATTATGTAATGGCCTTCTTTGTCTCTTTTGATCTTTGTTGGTTTAAAGACTGTTTTATCAGAGACTAGGATTGCAACCCCTGCCTTTTTTTGTTTTCCATTTGCTTGGTAGATCTTCCTCCATCCCTTTATTTTGAGCCTATGTGTGTCTCTGCACGTGAGATGGGTTTGCTGAATACAGCACCCTGATGGGTCCTGACTCTTTATCCCATTTGCCAGTTTGTGTCTTTTATTTGGAGCATTTTGTCCATTTACATTTAAGGTTAATATTGTTATGTGTGAATTTGATCCTCCCATTATGATGTTAGCTGGTTATTTTGCTCGTTAGTTGATACAGTTTCTTCCTAGCCTCGATGGTCTTTACAATTTGGCAGTTTTTGCAGTGGCTGGTACCGGTTGTTCCTTTCCATGTATAGTGCTTCCTTCAGGAGCTCTTTTAGGGCAGGCCTGGTTTTGACAGATTCTCTCAGCATTTGCTTTTCTGTAAAGGATTTTATTTCTTCTTCACTTATGAAGCTTAGTTTGGCTGGATATGAAATTCTGGGTTGAAACTTCTTTTCTTTAAGAATGTTGAATATTGGCCCCCACTCTCTTCTGGCTTGTAGAGTTTCTGCCGAGAGATCAGCTGTTAGTCTGATGGGCTTCCCTTTGTGGGTAACCCGACCTTTCTCTCTGGCTGCCCTTAACATTTTTTCCTCCATTTCAACTTTGGTGAATCTGACAATTATGTGTCTTGGAGTTTCTCTTCTGGAGGAGTATCTTTGTGGCATTCTCTGTATTTCCTGAATTTGAATGTTGGCCTGCCTTGCTAGATTGGGGAAGTTCTGGATAATATCCTGCAGAGTGTTTTCCAACTTGGTACCATTCTCCCCGTCACTTTCTGGTACACCAATCAGACATAGATTTGGTCTTTTTACATAGTCCCATATTTCTTGGAGGCTTTGTTCGTTTCTTTATTCTTTTTTCTCTAAACTTCTCTTCTCACTTCATTTCATTCATTTCATCTTCCATCACTGATACCCTTTCTTCCATTTGATTGAATCAGCTACTGAGGCTTGTGCATTCATCATGTAGTTCTCGTGCCTTGGTTTTCAGCTCCATCAGGTCCTTTAAGGACTTCTCTCCATTGATTATTCTAGTTAGCCATTCGTCTAATTTTTTTTCAAGGTTTTTAACTTCTTTGCCATGGGTTCGAACTTCCTCCTTTAGCTCGGAGTAGTTTGATCGTCTGAAGCCTTCTTCTCTCAACTCGTGTATCTTAAGACTAAAATCTTAGAGTATGTTTTCTATGTGTGTTTACCAAAAGTAAATTGGAAATCAAAAAGTGAAGATATTCAGAAAATTCTTAAATATTTAGAAATTAACTACACTATCAAATAACTCAATCAAAAACAAAACCACAAAGGAAATAAAATACTCAAACTGAAAGATAATGGAAACACAGCTTATCAACATTTGTGGGATACTGCTGACGGTGTTTAATGAAAAAATTCATAGTTTAAAAGCCTACATTATAAAAGAAGAAATGGTAAAAATAAATCATTTAAATTATCACATTAAGAAGCTAGAAAAAAAGAACAAGTTAATTTCAAAATAAGTATGAGCATGAAAACAGTGAAGATTAAGCTATAAATCAATGTAATAAACAGACATAGACAACAGTAAAAAGGCCAGAGGTTTATTCTTTGAAAATATTAATAATATGTCTAAAACTCTAAACACAATTAATAAAAGAAAAATAAAAGCAAAAATATCAGGAAAGAGAGGGGGGATATTATGAAAAGGAGGAAATACAAATTTTGAAGGCTACAAATGGAGTATCTTGAATAACTTTACTACCTGAAATATAACTGAGATTAAATGAATACATCCCTTATAAAAAGTAATTGACCAAACTAACTCAAGAAATTAAAAAGAATATATTTAATGAAGAAAACTCTGGTTTTAGACAGTTTTAACAATAAATTCTATAAATCTTTAAGACAGAAACTTTACCAGTCAAACATTTATTCATTTTTTTAAAAAGGTGAAATTCATGCTTCTAATTAGATTTTATGAGCCATAAATAACCATCATACCACGTATCTCACAACCTTTATTGAAGAAAAAATGTGAATATATATTTGTCATGACATAGATGTAAATATCTTCAACAAAATAACAGCAACTAATGACATATAAAAACATTAATATATCTCAACCAAGTGTGGTTTATCCTATGAATGCAGGATTAGTTTAACATTTGAAAATAAATCTATTAATAATCACCATAATAGAATAAAAGAGGAGCACAATACCCTTTCATAATAAAAACATTCAACAAGGTAAGAATGGAAGAAAACTTCCTCAACTGATGATGATCGAAAACCAGATAGCTATATAAAACTATATATCTCATGGTAAAGGACTGACTAATTTATCTCTCCGATTGGGGACAAGACAGGAATGTATACTTTAACTACCTCTGTCAACATTGTACTAAAGATCCCAGCTCATGAAGTAAAACAAAACAAACAAAAATTATAAATATACTAGAAAGAATGTCCAGTTGTGTATACTCGAAGACTACATAATGTCTGTAAAAAATTTTAATGATCAACCAAAAATATTTTTTAAACTATAAGATGTAACATTTAGATATGATAATATTGGAGGATACGAAGTTAATAAATAGAATTTCTTTTTTCTTTTTCATTCTTTACCTATAATTTCTATTAGACAAATACAATTTTCTTGTGCTATATTTAAAAGATAAACATTCTATTTGCATTCTTGTATTGTTTACCCTTAATTTAAAATTACGCATTTATGTTTACTTATTCCTGTCAGGATCTTGACTTTATTAATATCTATGGACTCCTCTCAAACAGGATAAGCATCTATACTTGTTCCCACCTAATCTTTTCACTCTCTGAATCTGCCATGCTAGTATTATGCAGATTTTAGCTGATAGTTGATATTTTTAAGCATTTTACTAAACAAAAATATACATACAGGAGAGTTCGTATATCATAAGTGATTTATAAATTTTCACAATCCATTCATGTAACATGTTCTCATCACGAAGCCAAGCAATACCAGCTCCCCAAAAAACACATCTCAGGCTCCCATCCAGTAACTGCAACTCTCTGCATCTTTTCTAATTTCTAACAGTTAGTTTTGCCTGTTTTTGTTTTCTATATATATATGCTAATGAGCATATGCTTTTCTGTGTCTGACTTTTTAAGTTCAAAATTATGTTTCTGAGAGTCATCTATTTTCTGCATTCTGTAGTTGTAGATAGCTCATTCCCAGTGATGTGTAGAATTCTGTTATGTTAATATGGCACAGTTATTTATCCATTCTTTTATTAAGGTAAATTTCTTTTTAATTTTTCTAGTTATAGCTATTATGAATAAAGTTTCTATGGACACACTTACACATGTCTTTGGTGAATATGCACTCATTTCTCTAGGATATATAACCAAATATGTATTGCAGGATCAGAGCATATACATATACTCAGCTTCAGTAGATACTGGTAGTATTTTATTGTGGTACCAATAATCTCACAGCAGTGTATTGGAATTTTGAGTGATTTCCTTCTGTTTTATTTTATAAATAATGTTTTACCAGCTATCTGGATATTCCTTAGCCCCATCAAGTCAATTGACCATCATACTGATTGTGGAGAGAAGGGGCACTATTGTGTAGAAAAAGAGCACATATTTGCATCCAAGCTTTTTTATTTACTGAGTATGTAGGCATAGACTCACTTCTTTTCCCATCTATACACTGAGAGTGAGAATATATACATAAAGCCTTGTTGTAAGAATTGTAGATGATGTAAGGTATCTGAAATGGAGAGTAGCCCAGAGTATATGCTTAAAAATTTGAGTTTCTTTCATCTTTGCTGCATACACATCCTCTATTATGTGCTCACTAAGGGCTTTGGAAAATGAATGGATCCACTGTTAAAAAAAAAAAAAGCAAGCTTCCCATAGCTGTTGCTTCTGAAGTTCAGCAAGAGGTGTCACTTAAATCCCCAAAGAGAGGAAGACAGTCACGTTATGTAGACTATTGATCCTTAATTAGGAGAGAGACTGAAGTGATTAGATATTCTTTGCATGCTTTTTTAGGCTGAAATGAATCTTATAAAAACTCTATTTAACTGATTTTGAGATTCCAGTAAAAAACATATGGACCATTAACAGCTTACTTTACCGATTAGAGATGTTGAATGTAACCAAAAGGTCATCTGTTCCTAGTTTAGAAAGTAACAGATTCTTATGATAATCTTCTAACTCATAACTCCTATACATTTTTATCATAAGAAATGATTGCTTCTCAGATCTTGGTTTTCTTGCCTCAGCTCTACTGGCTTAATAAATACCAACTTTGAATTCACAGACTAAATCTGCAGCTTAATTTTGAAGATTTCACAATTGGCAGCATTTATTCCATAGGGCTCACTTACCTTTAAAAGCAGGACATTTCTTGGATAGCGGCTATCAGCTTCCTTGTTTTCATTAAAGTTAGGATTATTCTGCATTTGCTAATTTCAGGCAATATTTTCCTGTTTTGCTGTAAATGAGTTAAAGGAATTATATACTTTTTTTTTTGTACACACAGTAAGTGTGTTTTAAATTGGCAGATTTTAGCTGTGGCTGAGGAACAAAATGGCCAAACCGATGGAAGAACTAACACAAAGTGCACATGACTGGCAGAACAAATATAACAATTTAGAAATAACCTGTCCAGCACCAGATATTTCAAAAGAATACAGACAAATGGTGATGTGCTAGTCATACATGCATATGCTTTATGTTTGAGAAGAAATATGCTCAAAAATCTAGAAAGGCCAGGCACGGTGGCTTGTGTGTGTAATCCCAGCACTTTGGGATGCCAAGATGGGAGGTTTGCTTGAGCCCAGGAGGTCGAGACTAGCCTGGGCAACATAGTGAGAACCTGTCTCGACATAAAATTTAAAAATTAGCCAGATGTGGTGGCTCATGCCTATAGTCCCAGCTACTTGAGAGGCTGAGATGGGAGAATCACTTGAGCCAGGGAGGTTGAGGCTGTAGTGAGCCGTGATGGCACCACTGCGCTCCCGCCTGGGTGATGGTGAGATCTTGTCTCAGAAAAAAAAAAAAAAAAAAAGGAAGAAAAAAATAAAAGAAAAACTGGAAAGGCAGACTTGGAATCAACTGAAATTAAATTTAACTTTTTAACAACCAATCACTACTCACATGCCTCAGTAGTAATTAGGCTACTAAAAATATAATCACTTAACTAAAGACAGTAAGTTAATAGAATAATTTACTTTCATATTTGAATTTATTCTCTGAATAATTCACTTTGAATATAGCTTATAAATCGCTTCTCCATCTTGATGATCCTCTAATTCTGCAGAACACACTCAGCCCAAAAATGTGTGTATGGTCCTTTGGTATGGTTCTTAGTTTTTATCATTGAATGATCAATATTCTTTACCTTTTCAAGTATTATTTTCAAACACTTTCATATCTCAAACCAGGTTCAAAATCAACCTGCTGTAGCAAAGGTTCCTGGGGATTATAACAGGATATATATTCTGCCTCTATTAAATACTTCGGATAATATTTCACTAATAATAAATGATCTTATCTTTTTGTTCCTTTCTATTTCCACCTCCATATTAGCACAATTCTAGAGGATAAAATATATATACATTTTCCAAATACTATTTCATTTTATTTTGTTTGTGATAATATATCTTCTAGAGGCCAATAAATAAATAGAAAAATATATCTCCCCTACCAATAGATAAAGTAACTATTTAACCAGTGTTTTCTTTGTAAGGTTTCTTAGCATGATTTCAGAAAAGGGAGATGTTATGTTGCTAGTTGCAGTTGTTGCATAATTCTTATTCATTTAATCATCACGTCAAATATATAGAAAATAAAATGTATGTTAGAAAAGCATCATTGAATAAGTAAATATAGAATTGGTATTAAGTATATTTTTGATAAATTGCACATATGGACTCTTCAGTGTTATCTTTTTTGTTAGGCAACAGTCTCTACAAAGGTTATAGTGAATGCAGACAAGCTATTCTAAACCTATAGAATTGTGATTTAGCTCTTAGGACTAATGTTCCAATGAAGTAAATGTTATTATTACTCAATTCATTACACTGAACTCATAGGCTCAACCACAGGTTACCCTACCTAGGGTCTGGAGTATTTTTTCAACATTCTGCTCTCCCAATCCCCATGTTCTCCAAACCCTCATTGGCTAACAGTCAGCATTATCTAGAGAATTCATATAATCAACTAGAGTGAGCAATGTTGGTATCTTCTATTCAAAGCGTTAACTTTTAAAGAAATACTGAGATTAATTCTGACATCAATATTCAATACTAGAAAATTTGCCTTAAATAATTGTATGTTTCTGGATAAGGCTGGTATAGGAAAATATGAACAAGTCAAAGTGTCTAGTATCCCAATTTGTTGAAATAAAAACTCCAATTACAACATAATCATGTGCTGGAATATGACAGGAATAATTCTAACCAATCTCATCATATCTAAATGACTTTCCCCTTAGCTCACTACTCCAAACCATATTTGCCTTTAGCTGTTAGTCAAAGAAAGCAGGCCTAGTCCTGTCTTGGGGTCTTTGCAGTTACTATTACCTTTACTGAAATGTGTTTCTCCCAGACACCCATAGGATTCTCTCACTCAAGTTTCTGCTCAAATGTCCACTTCACAGGGAAGCCTTTCATCTCCAATTCCCCACATGCCCCTCAAGGATAGGTGTCTTATGCTACTTCCCTACTTTACTTTTCTCTCTGTCAATTATCAATAAATTAAATAACATTATTTACCTATATATATATTTTTACTGTCTGTAAAAGGTAGATTCAGTAAAAGGTAAATTTGTGAAGACAAGAAAATTTTGGTCTGATTTGTTCACTTCCTTATACCCAAGACTTAGAGCAGCTCCTTTCTGCTATTAGGTTATCAACAATATTTGAGTATGAGATAATTAGTGATAAGAATTTTTATGAGCTTTGTGAAGAACTTTTATATTATTTTGTATATGAGACTTTTTTTTTTTTTTCCTGAGACGGAGTTTCACTCTTGTCACCCAGGCTGGAGTGCAATGGTGCGATCTCGGCTCACTATAAACTCTGCCTCCCGGGTTCAAGAGATTCTTGTGCCTCAGCCTCCTGAGTAGCTGAGATTACAGGCACCTGCTGCCAAGCCCAGCTAATTTTTTTGTTTTTTTTTTTAGTAGAGACGAGGTTTCACTATGTTGGCCAGGCTGGTCTCAAACTCCCGACCTCAGGCAATCCACCCGCCTCGGGCTCCCAAAGTCCTGGGATTATAGGCGTGAGCCACTGTGCCTGGCCCGAGACTTTTTAATAAAGAAAATATGAATTTGAAGAAATCAGAACATGCTTGGAAAAGCAATTTCAGTCTAACGCTGTTATTTTTTATCTTAAGTGTTAATAATGAGCATTCCATTCTAATCTTTAATTTCAACATTTTGAAGGATGTTAAATAGTAGCAATATTAGAAAGGTGATGAATTACGTAAGATAATTCACCCATTAAAAATTAATAATATCATGGGATAGTTTCTGCTATAGAAAAGAAGTATCATGAAGCCAATTTGTATTTCAGCTTTTAGCAATGGCACCTTGATAACTTGCACTATGTTTTTATAAGGATAAGCAGAGCCTGAAGCTTCCTTGATTTATTCAAAATTCTTAAAAAAATTTTCATCATCTCAGTACTTTTTTCAGACTAATATTTTATCTGAAAATATTGTTATTGGGAAAGATTACTTATTGAAAAAAATAGTAGACTTGCTTCAACATCTTTGGCCTACATCTTAAAATATGTGAACTAAAAAAATAATAATAACATTACCCCGTGCCCATTCATTTAATTTTTTTTCCTATAAATCAGAGCTCTGTGTCTCTGTGTCAGCTCTGTAAACTGAATTAAATTAGATCTCTCTGAATTTTCTCTTCACTAGTTATCTATGTTTAGTCTTTAATAGCAGTTTAAAAATAATGGGGAAGCGATACTGACCTCATCTGGGTAGGGTTAGTGATTGTTCTCATCATCTGTTCTTCTTGGAACTATTTTTCTTGTTAATGTTTCATCACAACATCCTTACAACACAATTTTAAGGCATTACAAAAGAGACCTCTGTATGATCATTTCGTCATTGATTTTCTATTTTATTTATTCTTATGTAGAAAGACTAATTCTATAACACTAATTCAGAAGTGGCTTATAAGTCATACATAAAACTAAAGTAAGTGGGTACAGAAATCTAGAAAGCATGATAAATTAACAAGAATAAATAAGATGAAGCTGGGAATAAGGTTAGTACCCAAAATGCACACCAGAAAAAAAAGTACGTTTTTTCATTGTAGCTCACTATTTTATTTTTAAGCTTTAACCAAAACAAAGAGGAAAACACAGTAAAATTTATGTGATAATAAACATGATAAGCTTTGAAGTCCTTATGATAAAAGCTCAGTAATTCAGGAGAACATCTATAACTAAGATTGATAGCCAAGAGGTTTTCCCTGTGAGAGCTCAGAAAGAGCCCACTCTTTCATAATTAACTACATTATCAGAGTAAATTCAGCAATTCATTTCATAGTTCTGTTTATTCAGCCATGTGTAATATGCCCTAACCAAAAGATGTATATGTAGATAGTAGGATGAGTTAATTTGGAGTTTACCATTTTATGTTTTTTTTTCTCATTCTTTCACCTAATACGACTCTGCATTAAGTAATGGAATTACAATAATGAACAACAGAGCTAGGGTCTACATTGTCAAGGAGTTCATAACCTAGGAGGAAAGAAAGATATTAAACAATTAATTGATTTTGTGATAAGCATTAGTAAAAACTTTATAACATGCAGTAAGCATTAATACTACAGACTCATAACTAGTCTTGGGTAGAGGGATGTGCATAATACATCTCAGTCTTGGGGAAAAAAAAGCAAGATTATTTGATTATTGTTTGCATGATATATCTTTTTTTCATTCTTTTATTTTTAACTTATTTCTGTTCTTATATTTTGAATTTTGGCTTATTGATTTGCTCTTTGCTTGTGGATAGTAAAATATTTTCCTTTAATTGAGGTGTTTAGGCAATTTAAGTTTAATGTGATTACTATTATGTTTGTATTTTAATCTATTATTTTTCTCTTTATTATTTTTCCTATCTATTCTTTGTCCTATTTTTCACTTCTTCTTTCTTTTGAACTTTAAAAAATGCTTTTATTTTATCTCCATTATTGATGTATTAGTTATAAAGTTTGTGTGTATATTTGTTATTTTAGTGACTGCTTTATGGATTATAGTACATATATTTAACTTATCAGTTCTACCATCTAATAATATCACTTTAACTATGAGAATCATACAATAGTATACTTCTGTTTTCCCCTCATGGCCTTGGTGCTATTGTCATACATTTTACTTCTACAGATATAATCAGACCAACACTACATTAATACCACTTTGTTTAAATGTGAATTATCTGTTTATAAATTTACCTATTTAAGTAATAAAGATAATAAACTTACCCTCTTAGTTACTACTGCCAGTTCTCCTTATTCCTTTGTGAAGATCTGTATTTCCATCTGAAATCATTTTCTTTCTACCTGAAGGATTTCCTTTAATTTTGTATCTTCTGAAAATATATACTTTTTTCAATTTCTTCTGAAAATCTTCTGAAAATATATACTTTTTTCAATTTCATATGCGTTTAAGGCTCTTCACTTCACCTTCTTTTTTGAAAGATATTTTTGTTGGCTATAGGATTATAGGTAGATGTTTATTTCATTCCGTATTCTGTCAAGCTGTTCCATCTCAGAATTGGATGCCCTTATCCTTTCCAAGCAAAAATGCCTTATTTTGAACTCTGGCTTATAATCTTCAACTCTACACACTTTTCTCCATGTGCAGAGAGGATTTTAAAGACAATACATATAATATAGGTACTCTATGCATAAAAAGATTATAAAAAATACAAAAATGTATACTTGTATTGTATATGCTCAACATTAAGTAATAAGGTAAATCTATATGGATGCTGATAGCAGTTGCTTCTCCCATCAAACAAAGACATTTGAAGTATTTTTTAAATGACCAACTAAAAACAGCAAGTGTCCCTAAGGGAATCAGGCCGCAGAGGTTAATCACTGGAGTTTAGCATCCATATCATCGTAACCACAAAGATAGCATAATGCTCCTTATACAAATTAGAGTCGTATGAAGGGAAGTTCCTACCACTGAAACAGAGAGCTAATAACAGTTCACCCTCTATTCTGTGGAATCAGCAAGGAAAATATGTAAAGGAAAGAAAATTATAAAAGATTGACAATTAAATACATATGTAAAAATAGTAATAGATTTAAAAATAGCAATACATATTTTTGGAGTATAGTTATTAAATGTAAAATTTAATAAACATTTTAAACAAAAAAAGGTTTATTTAAAGAGAAAATTGATACTGTAATTGACAAATATGAGCAAATAACCAAGAATACTGGAGGGATGAAGAAATGTAAAACACTAAATAGCCATTAAGAAAGATTGGGGGTAACATGAGAAGGACAGAAGCTCTCCTTGTATGTTTGGCAGTATACAATAGAGAAAAGGAAGAGAAGCTATATTTGAAATCGTATTTGCTGAAAAAATATCCAGACTAAAAAATAATTCTGACTTTTCAAATAGAAGAAAAGTCTTGGACAACAGAAATACAAATCTGTGTCCAGATACACCATTCTGAAACTATAGATTATGAAATGTGGAGAGAAATCTTAAAGGCTGCATAAGAAAAAGACTGGATAAAGTGAACAAATATTTCTTACCATATCTCATCAAAAATAATGAATGTCCACAGACAATAGATTAATATCACTGAAGCACGAGGGAGGATATATCTGTTCAACATTAAATAATACTTTTTTTTTTTTTTTGAGATGGAGTCTTGCTCTGTTGCCCAGGTTGGAGTGCAGTGACGTGATCTCGGCTCACTCCAACTTCTGCCTCCCAAGCTCAAGCAATTTTCCTGCCTCAGCCTCCTGAGTAGCTGGGACTACAGGTGCCCACCACCATCCACGGCTAATTTTTATATTTTTAGTAGAGATGGGGTTTCACTATGTTGGCCAGGCTGGTCTCGAACTCTTGACCTCGTGATCCGCCCACCTCAGCCCCCCAGAGTGCTGGGATTACAGGTGTGAGCCACTGTGCCCAGCCAACCTTAAATAATTCTATACCCTGCTAAGCTATCATTTAAACATCATGCAAAAATACAAACATTAAGAAACAAACTTACAGACCAAGACAATTTCCTACTCCTATACACTCACTGAAAGAACAACCAAACAACAAACTTCTGTAAGAGAGATGGAGATGTAAGAAGCAAGAAAAATGACCTAAGAAATATGTAAATATTATAATAAGTAAAATAGCTGATTACATAGAGAGGTTTAGAAGCAAGATGTAAATAAATTTTTGATAAATTATCAGTTTTAATAAATCTGTCTGTAATTGATTTTAGCTATAGTTATCTCTAAAATGATCAAACTAGAATGTATAACTTCCGAAGAAGCAAAAAGTAAAAATAAAAAAGGGAAGAAAAATCAATAAATATAATTAATGTTTTTAAAAGAAGATGTGAAGAAATTGCATGGTCATTGGGATAACACCAGATAAATTATTAAATATATTTCCAAGTTTATAAACACTCACAAAATGTTAAACAGATTACACTTTCCTGAAGACAAACAGATGCTTTCGTGTTGGATTAAAAATATACTTTATCTTATTTTGCTAATTTATCTTTTACTACATTTTCCTTCAATGTGGTTAAAAAATTTGGTTTAATAACTTAGAAAGTTGAAAGAGATAGAAAATAACATGCTAAGAAAATGTTCATGCTAAGAATATAACATGCTAAGAAAAAGTTAGCACAGTTACATCTGACAAGTGTACCTGTATCTTAAGACAAAAATCAAAATTAATCACCAGTTACTGAATAACAAAATTTAACTAAGCTATAAGAATAATTTTTATATTAATATGGAATAAAAATACAAAGTAAAAATTAATAGAAACGGCTGTATTCAAAATTATGTAGTAAAATTTAATTTCTTTTATGAAAAAATTGGGTAATACAATCAAATATTAATAAGGATAAGATAAACTAACAAAGCAATTAATATATTTATTTAAAACTCCGCATTGTAATAGTAAAAACTTTTTTCTAGATCACAAAGCGTTTATACAAAATCAGATCTTTTACTAGACCACAAAGAAAATATACACAAGCATAAAAAATCAAGAGTCCATGAAATATATAGCCTATGGCCAAAATGTGATAGAAACCAATTACAAAAAGTCCAGAATTTTTATATTTTTGAAAATTAAAACAAGGCAAAATAATTAATCAAGCAGAATGAGCCAACCTCTTAAAAGGTGAAAGAGGAAATGATCATGTCAATGTTTTGAACTGAATGGCAACAGTGCCATTATAAGTAAAAACTAATGGGACATGTCTAAAACGATATCTGTAAAATAACTTCTAGTCCATGTTTTAATAAAACAAATAACTAAGAAGGTTTAATTAAACCGAGTGATCATTTGTGCTTCTTACCAAATATTTCGGGCATTTGCGCTTTTCTGCACACATGATAGGATTTTATTTCTGTGCCTCTTGAAATTAGGTGTCAGTATGTAACTTTTTAGGCTGATGAATTTTGAGAGTCAAAATTCAGTGTGTAATGTTTGGGGAGAAATTCCAAGTGCCAGTTTCTGAGATACTATAATATTTGTTTTTCTACTGCTGCAGTGATTGTGGAAATGTGTGCCAAGAAAAGGCATTTCTCAGCTTGGTTTTTATGTAAGTCTGAACAACACTGTTGACACCAAACGTGTAGGCCTTTTTCCCACACCAACCAATTATTCAACACCAGCTAGAAGTCCTACGATTCAATTCAATTTTGACACTGCCTGAAGTTGGCATCATATCCTGCAAGTTAAAGGGCTCAGTCTCACAAGACTGTCTCCACTTCAGATGGCAATTAGAAGTCCTGCGGTTCCTGTACTTCTGACAGATTGGCTATAAATCTGAGGTTTCCATTATTCCCTCCTTGGGTTCAGTAATTTACTAGAATGGCTCACAGAGCTCAGGAGGCCACTTTATTTACTATTGCTGGTTTATTATAAATGATACAACTCAGGAACAGCCAAATGGAAGCTATGTATAGGGCAAGGTATGGGAGAGGAAGGGTGCATGTGGCTCTTCCATGCACTCTCCTGCATGCCGCCCTTCCAATACCTTGATATGTTCACCAGCCAAGATGCTCTCTGAACCACCTTGTCCAGGGTTTTTATGGAGGCTCCATGCATGACTGATTAAATCATTAACATTGATAATTAACCCAATCTCCACTCCCTCTTCCCTCCCCAGAGGTCAGAGAGCTGGACTGAAAGTTCTAACCCTCTAATCATGTTTTGGTGTTTCTGTTGAAGAGCTGCTATCCTAAATTTATCCAAGGGTCCTCAGCCACTAGTTATCACATTAGCATACAAAAAGGCACGCTTATCACTCCAGAGATTCCAACAGTCTTAGAAGCTCTTTAGAAAGTGGGTACTAGGCCCAGCTACTTGGGAGGCTGAGGCAGGAGAATGGCGTGAAACCAGGAGGTGGACCTTGCAGTGAGTCGACAGTGCGAGACTCCGTCTCAAAAAAAAAAAAAAAAGAAAGAAAAAAAAAAAGAAAGTGGGTACTAGGACTAAGTATTATTACAAAAGATTTTCTATCACTCGTATCACTCAGGAAGTTACAAGGGTTTTAAGAGCTCTGTGCCAGGAACCAGAAATGAAGATTAAATGTATATTTCTTATTATATCACAATATAATAATAAATATAAGCAGAAACTCTCTGTCAACATTGAATATGCAACATTAACAAAAATAATTTTTTATGTTTATTTCACTAAGATTTGAAGATTGATAGACATAATATAGACTAGTGGCTGTTATTCAATTTAAGAAGTTAAAAATAGAAAAACAGACATGAAAAGACTAGTAAAATAGATAAATCTCTGTAAATATTGTTCCGGGACAAAGGAAGTGAGATGTAAATAAACAATATGTAGATTTTAAGAAGGGACCAATTTCCACATGCAATATAGCACAAGAAAAAATTATGAGACACTGTAAGACATTTTATACCAAATATTTTGAAATAAATCAAACAAAATATCCTAAAAATATATAAACTAGCAAAACATTAAAGAAAATACCTGAATTAAAGTCAAGCCATAAAATAGTAAATTAGGTTTCAAAATATCCCTCAAAAAGGCACCCGAATAGGTAGTTTCACGTTAAACAAACCATCAAGCATTTCCCCCATTTATATTAGGTGTTTCAAAGAACACATACAATAAAAGTTTCACAACTCAATTTGTAAATCCAACCTAACGTTGTTAGCTAAAAACTGGTTGAAAAACACTATCAAAATGGAAATTATGGAACATTAAAATTATTAAAATTCTTATAAACAGTGAACTGGAATAACCTTAGTTTGAGCTCGTACTCTCCAGTTGCCTGCAATCTCCATAGTAATAAGGGATAAGTAATAAGTTTTATGTAATCCTTGTAAGTGCTGCAAATAGATTGAAGCTATTGGCAGACATACTGACCCACTCAGCCAGGAAGTAGTTGCACAACGATGGAAGGGTGAACCTTAGGGTGGACTCTTGCATCCCATTTTCCCATTTTGGATAACCAACCCACTGCTTTTCCCAAAGTGGCTTATACATACTAGAATTTTGCATGTGCCAAGATTTTGAAAAGAGCTGGGATCACCCTTCTCATTTCTTACACTCACCCCAATTCAAATATTTGTTATCAGCCACGTCCCTGTGAACATTTTAGTGTGTAATCATGGAGTATCTGGGAATTAATTCTAGTTTCAGAATTACTAAAACATAATTGATACTAAGAATAAACTTGTGTTGGGTGCTGACTTTGGGTGTAATTAAAATGGTAAATCTGAGTTGTACAATTTTAGGTTCACTTTCAGTGTTGTATAAATTCAAATACATGATAAATGTGAAAAGATATCATTGAAAATGTACCTAATTATTTTAATATGCCAGTTATTATATTAGCTTTTTACATTATTTTATCCTTCACAGAACACAGCTCTCATCAAAGTAAAATATGGAGTCCCGATTGAATTGGTTGTAACGTTCTGAGGAGGAATCACTGAGACTATTATCTCGAAAACAAAGAATAAAAGGTCATATGCCATTCATAAGGAACTAGTGGTTATTTTTATATGTGAAGGAGAGAATGCCAGCTACCTACCAAATTTTATATACGACACCAAATATTTTCTTAGTGGTGTTTTAGGAATTTCTGGTATAGTTTCAGTTCCATATTATGTTGAATATGTGATAGAAGTATTTCACATATACCAACATTTGAAAGTAGTGTACATCTAATTTCTTTTATTATTCAGTAATGTTTTTATTATTCTGCTTTGTGATTTTTACTTTATTGTCATCAGAATAAGTGAATGTATTAAAAATTTCTCCCAAAGCGTTTTTCCTTTAAGCTGTTTTGTCATTTTATATTGACTTGTTTTCTGTTGAATTACTTTATTTGGGTGCTATTCCCAACAAAATGAAACTTTGTACGTTTAAAATCTTTTAGAGTATTTTAAAATCCATCACCTGTCACTTAGTGAGCAGTATACACTGTCACATTCTTTATAAAGCCAATTTCACTCCTCTTGTAAAACTGTGGTATAAAATAGGCTAATCATAGCCTACTGAGCTTTTGTACTTTGGTGTTATTGATTTTAGTGAAAAGAGACATATTTATTTAAAGTTGGAAGTTAAAAAAAGGCAAGGTTTTTAATTGCTTAAAGCATTTTTAGCAGAGTTCAAGTTTTGGCACTAGAAGTGAAATAAATACAAAGATTAATTTTAATCTAATTATCATCTATTTTTTTCGATTGTTTATGAAAAAAGTATTCTGCCACTGTGGCAGAAAAGGATTGAATCTATTCCCAACATGATATTCCCAAATTTTTTGCTTTTATGATATATTTCTGGCAATGGAATTGTGATGTGTTATGCTAATATGCATTTTTGATGTTTAGAGATCATTTGTTATAACTGCCATTTAATTGGTCTTGCACTGTGCCAGCCAGCATATAATCCACATAATAAACATTCAAGAAATAGCTATTTCATGAATGAATTGAATTTAAAATTTTATTTTATAATTGAAACATCAAAAACCTATCACATAAGCATTTGTTTCTCCCATTGATATCATTGATATGTCTTGCTCTCTTGGCATTCTGTCTTTCCCATCTTTAAAAAAAAAAAAATTACTGATTCCTCACTGTTACCATTACTTGAAATTTCACCTTTCAAAAAAGTGTCATTACTGGTTACTACCTCCGATTGTAATTAAGGAAGGTGATATTTTAAAGAAATTCATTATAGTTTGTTTTTCCAGGAATGTACCGATTAAATATTTCACCCACAGGGAAGTCTATGGGCAACAGCTTTTTCTCATTATGTCCCACATCAGTCTTCTATTTAGAGTGCCAATCTGATGTTGTCTTTTCTTCTTGAACTGGTTTTATTCCAGTTCTTCTGTCTTCCTTGTGACTATTAACATTTTGGTCAATTTTTTTCTAATCACTTAACTCTGTTCTGTTCCATGGATTCCTTAGTTCTTCATACAAATTGAGCTAGTTCTGGGTATGCAAAGTTTTCACTGCTGCTCCAGCTCCACGGGAAGGAGCCTGCCAGTATAAGTCTAGTCTTTCTCCCAGACGGAGAGTCACTTGGAATATGTTGAAAACAAGGTTTTGTGAGTTTGATAATTTACTTTCTAAACATTTGTTATAGTAAGTAAATTATGAGTCCAGAAGATTGAGAATGTCTACATAAAATCTCAGGTAGAATTTTTCATCCTCCTTTCCTTGTAACGTTTTGAATCTGTAACTTACCTAATTAATTTTGGAATGCAAGTTGTCAAAAATTTTAAAAATCAAGCTATATTTATATTTATCAAATAAACACTGTTCATTAATATTGACCTTAATATCCTATGTATGTCCTCAAGTTACAGACTCAGTATCACAATTGTGTTTTCACTGAGCAAGTGCTTAAAATGCGTATGTGTCCTATTCAATTTATACTATGGTTATTCACATTGTCCTGTATAAAGCAAATATAAATTTAATATATAAATAATTTCATAACCCACAGCATAGGAACTTTTATTTAATAAAGGATTTTTAAAAGTTTACATCTGAGGAAGAAGAGATTTGAATTTTGTGATGTCATCTTATATCTGATGAAAAGAAATTTTGTTCAAAGCTGATACCATCCAGGATAAGTGTTTTCACTTATTCCCAAACTACATTTAATTGTTACTTATTTTGCATGGCAACAATGATAATGGAAGCATTTCCAATTTTCTTTTTAGTAACACGGATTGCGTTTATTTTTGTTATTAAGATTAGGACTCTTCATTTTTATTTCAAGCAGTGAGATGATATTTTTTATAATCTGCAGAAAACAAGTCCCTCTCAGATTTCATTTAATTTTGTATCAATACTTCAGATGTTTTAATTCTACCAACTAAGAACTGACTGGAATCCCGAATCACTCGACACATTGAGGAGAGTAATTATCTTTGATATAGATTTATCTTTGGTTACATGGGTTTCAACATACAATTTTTATTTGAAAGTTGATTTGTTATATTCATGTGCAAAACCATGTGAAATAATTTAAACTAAGTATGTTTCTGGCAAGTTTGAAAGTTTGACAATTTCAGAAGAAAAATAACAAAATGCTTTTGTGGGAGAATTTTACATTGTTTTGCTGCATTCCCTCTCCACCACTTATAAATTAATCGCATTCAAATGTATACATTTGCTAAGTACATAATAAAAATGTTTCCTTGTAGCTTTTTAAAATTTTTATTATTTTAAGGAAAAATCCCGTATATTTCACTATACATATTCCTACACAAAGTAATATGTACAATAAAAATGTATTCATAACTTAATTTTAAAATGCTCATATGTAAGGAATGGTTAATTATTTTGAACCAGTGTTCTTAAAGGTACTGTAAAGTATGATTGAGATATTCAGTTTGAGAACAGATTTGGAACTTTCACATTATATTCTGCACTGAATAATTTTTTTCCCAATTTGTGCTTAGATGTGTTCTTCTTGTTTCAGGGCCTTTATTACTGAATTCATAGCTTTTTAAAAAATCAGTAATTTATCAAAATATATTGGATCATTTTCTTTAACATATACTCCTTTCTGTTACTGTCTCCTGCCGGCCCCCAATCCTCCCGCCAACTGCTATAGGCCACAAATATTAACACTCTGATGTGTATCCTTGCACAATGTACTCCATGGTCCCTTAACTGTATACAAATGCATTCACACACACACACATATATTTAATTATACACCTATGTATTTTGGTTTTCTGTTTTACAAAAATGGTCTGTAGTATAGACACTTCTCTTCACCTTGCTTTATTGATTTTTGGTATTATATATCTGTAAGTCTTACTTGCATAGTTTTTACATCTTACTTCTCTAGTTTTTAATGTCAGTATAGTGTTCTGTTGGTGAATCATGGTTTAGTCAACCCTCTGCTTATTGATGAGATTTACGTTGTTTCTAATATTTTATCTTCCATAACCATCTTTATGTCTGGGTACTCATGCAATTAAATATATTACTAGGAGTAGATTTTAAGGTCAGAGGGTATGGACATTTTAATAAGTATTCTAATATTACTTCCACCAAAAGCATACCCATTATATATTTATTGATATATAAAGTAAATATAAGCTTCTTTATATCCACCAGTATATAAGAGCATATATCCTCTGCCTGCCCTCACTGGCACTAGTGATCAGAATAGTTTCTTTTTAAATTTTTTATTTTTCCGACTACTTGGGAAATTGAGAATGTTTAGATATATTTTGTAACATTTCATTTATTTAGATTTGCTTTTCTGTAAATCTTACATTCATATTCTTTGCACATATTTTTACTGCAGTCTTTCTCTTTTAGTTATCAATTCATAAAATGAAATTTACTTTGAAGATGTTATACTGGGAATATTCTTATACTTTTTTCTTACACTTGCTTTAGATCCTTTCAAAATTAATAGTCAGGTTTCATAACATGATACTTATCACTGAAGTGTTAATTATAGAAGAATACATACATTTAAAAGTTGCTAAGCAGTATATGTGCTTTAATTCTCTCTCTAGCCCTTCTAATTCCAAGATATAATCACTGGCAAAAGTTTGGAGTTTAAAAAAACATCCTTTAGACATTCTCTAGAACAGGTCTGCATATGACATTTTCTTTTAGCTTTCTTTCATCTGGAAATTATTTTATTTTATTTCTAAGGGATATTTTCACTAGATTTGAATTCTGAGTGGAGAATTCCTTTCTTTCAGCAGAGAAAACTTGTACACTTCTTTATGGTCTTTATGATTTCTGATGAGAAACTTGCTGTCATTAGAATTGTTTGCATGGGTAATTCATAGTTTCCCTCTGCCTGATTTCAAGATATTTTCTCTTTAATTTTCAAAAATTTCATCAAGAAATATCTAGGCACAGATTTCTTTAGTGTTATCTTATTTGCAATTTGCTTAGTTATTGAATTTGTAGTTTATGTTTTGCTTTTCACCTAATTTGGGTAGTTTTTAGGCATTTTTTCTTCAAATATTTTTTTCAGCTCCAAAATATCTTTTCTTCTTTTGCTGGGACTCCAATGAATAATTATTTTAAATAATTTTTGTTATTGTCACACAACTCCTAGACACTCAATTTATTCTTTTTTCAATATATTTGCTCTTTGTTCTTCAGATTGCATAATTTCCATTGCTCTCTCTTCAACTTCATTGATTGATTCCTCTGTCATGTACATTCTGCTATTGAGCATTCTATGAGGTTTTTTTCTTTTTAATTTTCATTATTGTTTGCTTGTCTATTTATTTATTTTAGGCAGGGTCTCATTCTGTCACCCAGGCTGGAGTGCAGTGGCACAATGATGGTTCACTGCAACCTTGAACTCCCAGGCTCAGGTGATCCTCCAACCACAGCCTCCTGGGTAGCTGGGACTACAGGTGTGCACCACCACACTCCACCAGTATTTGTATTTTTTGTAGATACGGGGTTTTACCATGTTTCCAAGGCTGGTTTCAAACTCCTAAACTCCAGCAACCCACGTTAGCCTCCCAAAGTGTTGGGGTTACAGGTGTGTGCTACCGAGCCTGGCCTTGATTATTGTATTTTTAAATCCTAAAATTTCATTTGGTTCTTTATATCATCCATTTCTTTGCTGAGATTGTTGATATTTTAAATTTGTTTCTAAAGGGTTTCTAATTGCATTTTAGAGTGTTTTTATGATAGCTATTTTGAAATTCTTGCCAGTAATTTCACCACGTGTGTCATCTTAGTGTTCATTAACTATATTTTTCCATTTGAGAGGTTTTCTTAAATATATAACAGTGATATTGAGGTGTTCTTTTGGCTGTGCTATAGTCCCTAGTTATTCAATAAAACACTAATTTATGTGTTGTCATGAATGTATTTTGTAAATGTGATTAAAGTTCACAATCAATTGACCGTAATTAAGGAAGACAATTTAAAATAATCTAAGTAAGCCCTGATTTGATCAGTTGGAGGGCCATGAAAACATAGTTGAAACTTGCCTACAAAAAAAAGTCTCTGGACGATGGCTATAGTCCATGTACAATAGCTCCAACTTGCTCTTCTTGACAAGTATCATATGAATTTAAATTTGTCTAGTCTCTACAATCAAGTAAGCCAATTTCTTGCAATAAACCTCGTAATATACATCTCCTACAAGTTTTGCTTTTCTTGTTAAACCTTGGCTGATACACCTGATACTTAGAGTTACAGGCAAGTTTAGACTTTTTCCTGAACATTTTGTGTATTATGCTATAAGATGATGGTTTCTTTACAAATCTTTTATTTTAGTAGGCAGCTAATTTGCTTGGCTACAGAATGCATTTCCTGGCTCGTTTCTGTTGGTCTTGGTTCAAATGTGGGGGGGTTGTCATCTCAATCGTGAGAGGATTGGAGGTGGGAGTTACAGACACAAGATCTGCTGGGGAGGAGCAAACGGAAAACAAATTGTAATGAAAGAATATATAAAACATCAAGAATGAAGAAAGAATAATGGAAAGAATAAACATGTAAATAAGTATAACAGAGTGTTCTCCTCTGGAGATTTTAAGATTGTATTTGACAGTCAAAAGCTAAAATTATAATATGACTTTAGTTCTTAATGTATGTATAGGTAACATTTCAGACAATTATAAAAAGAAATGGATAAAGAAATGTAAATGACGATAAGGTATCTGTGTGCTACTTGGAATTGTAATATGTTGATACTAGTAGTAGACTTATACTGCAATCTTAGCAATCACACTGCAAGGTATTTACATATATGAATTTACATATATGAATTTAAACGTTTTAAATTCACATGTATTTACATATATGAACTTAAAACGTTTAAATTCATATATGTATTTACATATATGAATTTAAAACTTATGTTCAGACAAAAATTTGTCCATGGAGGATTATAGAAGTTTTATTTACAATCTCTAAAACACTGTAAATAACTAAGATTTTGTTCAACAGATGAGTGATGTGTGAAATAATACTTTATACTATTCAGTGATAAAAGGAAATTAGCTTTTGATGCAATAAAAATATAGCTGAATCTCAAGCACATTTTGAAAAAACAAAGCCAAATTTGAAAGACTACATGTCACATTATTCCACACATATAGCATTCTGGAAAAGGCCAAACTATTGGCATGAAAAATTGTTTGTTTGTTTTTCTTTTTTGGAGAAGACAAAGTGTTTGCTACAAAAACAATCCACAGGGAAATGTTTAGGGTTATTTAACTCCTCTGTATGATACTTGATTGGTGCTACATGACTTTACACATTTGTCAACATTGTTGAACTTTATATCACCAAGAGCGAAATTTAATGTAAGAAAATTTAAAAACCAGACTGTTGAGGAACCACAGAAGGGAAAATAGCCTGTTACAAATGTGGTATATGTTAGAGAGGATCTAGAAATAGTGACACATTTGTACAAATAAGCATACCCAGCGCTCAGGATTTAGTTTCTATATATCCATTCTCCAGTTGAAGGAACCAGAAATTCTGGAAGTAATTACTGATGCTACACCTGGGGCAAGGAAAAATACATGATGAACCTGGATCACTTTATATTACTAAAAGTTAATAAG
This sequence comes from Homo sapiens, assembly GCF_000001405.40. Taxonomy (NCBI): domain Eukaryota; kingdom Metazoa; phylum Chordata; class Mammalia; order Primates; family Hominidae; genus Homo; species Homo sapiens. Next base: position 48,460,370 of record NC_000014.9, on the reverse strand, counting down.
TGTTGAAACAAAAAAAATAACTGATAGGAACATTTCCAAATGATATAGAAGCCTATCAGAGATTCCAATGGTCAATGCTGGAATAATTTGAGCAATGAAATATATAACATAGCATTGGATTATAACCTACAGTATTAAATAAATATCCATCAATCCATATTGACACACAAAATTCATTGAGTAAATAAATGAAGGAGAAGGAACACACCTTCCTTCTAGAAAACAGTCCAAATAATTTATGCAGATATTTTGTAGATATTTCCTACCAGGAGATAAAACTTAATTCTTCTCCCTGTGAGTGTAGCTGTGAGCTGGACTTACTAGTTACTCAAAAAAAAAAAAAAAAATGTATGGAAAGGCAAGAAGAGTAACTTTACAGTGGAGAAGTCTGGTACCTTCACCTCAAAGCAACTGAGGTTATCATCACCAGTAATAAGTTATGTTGCTATCATGCGATGCAATGAGAAGGGTAGCTTGCCCTCTGTGGTATTCATCCTCAAAATCCACAACCCCAATACAACCATGAGAAAACATCACACAAACTCAAAGGGACATTCTAAAAAATACCTGAAAAATATTTTTAAGAGTATCACTGTCTTGAAAAACAAGCAAAGAATGAGAAACTGTCACAGACTAATAAATTAAGGAAACATGATAACTAAATGCTATGTGACATCATATATTGGATCCTGGAAGAGAAAAGGATATTAGTGGAAAAGCTGGTGAAATCTGAATAAAGTCTTGTTTCATTTAATAATGTTGCACTGATATTACTTTTTTAGTTTTGAAAAATGTGCTATGAGTATGTTAACATGAGGAGAAGGTGAATAAAGGTATGAAGAAACTCTGTATTATCTTTGCAACTTTTATAATTACTCCAAAAGAAAATGTATATTAAAAATAAAAAAAGCATTCCTAAAAATCCAAAATTGCTTCAATTTTTTTGTTTTCAAAAATTTAATGAAAAAATAATTTTACATGTACTCTTTCAGATAATACTGGAAAAGAGAGCCATTCTCAAATATCTTTATTAGCCTAGAGTATCCTCTTTTAATTGATAAGAACATAAACATAAATGAAAATTAAAGGGCAAGTTCTCTCAAGAATGTAGATACAAACAGTTTCTACAAAATGTAAGTGTGTTTTATCTAGCAATGTATCATATGGCTAATACACCACACCAAGTTGTGTTAATTCTAGGAATGATTTTTTAACATTAAAAATCAATCTGTGTAATTCACCACATCAACAGAATAAATGAAAAATAATTTGATCACTCCAGTAGAAGCCAAAAAAGCACTCATTCATGATAGAAACTCAGCAAACTATGAATAGATAGGGAAATCTTCAATACAATAAATTACAGTTGAGAAAAAAACTCAGCATGTATTATATTCAATGATAAAGTACTGCAAATATTGTCTTATTATCAGGAACATTGTATGAAGGATCTTTACCATAACTTTTACTCCACTTGATACTATATTATTTAGCTAGCTAAATAGACAAAAAAAATTAAGTCACTAGTCTAAATAATTTTACATGTAAAATGTACAAAGGGATACAATATTATTAAGTTTTTTTGCCAGAATTTTTGTTTGTATATAAGATTAATTTACAAAAAAAATCCACATAGCATCAGCAAAGAATTAGCATATGTGATTTTAAGACATCATTTGTAATAACATCATAAATTATCACATATCTAAAAATAAGTATAGAAGTTTAAGCCCTTTATAAATAGTCCATAAAACTTCACTGTGATAAATTTAAAAAGCTTAAGTATATCAGATTTATAGATTGAAAGAATCAATATTGAAAATATATTACTTTCTTTCACAATTGACCTAAATAGTACCGGTTATTTCAAATAAGTATCAGTATGATACAATTGACAAGCCACTATAAAAATGTTGGTGGTATAGCAAAATGGATAGAAATTGCCAGGATAATTCAGAAAATTACTTATAAATTTTGGAGATTGAAACTACAGATCAAAATTGTTACATATATAGACATTATTAACAATATAATATTCATATCATGATAGAATACTAGATAAATGGAATAGAATGTAGAGTCCACAACAGACCATAAATATGTGTTTGTGACAAATTTACATTGTGAACTACTGGGAGAGTGTGTTTTCATGAAGTGAATTCATGTGGAAGAAATAACTTTGACCCTTATCACATGGCATGCAAGAAATTAATTCCAGACAGATCATAGATAATGTCATAAAGATAAAGCAAAAAATGCAATATAAATCTAGGATAATAGCTTTATGATCTTCAAGTCAGCAAAATTTATTATGCAAGTTATAAAAACCATTAGATGTAGAAAAAATAATTTATAAATTGGAACTTTAGTTCATCAAACAACACCATTAATAGGATAAATTGAATGAAAAAGCAAGCTACATGTTGGGAGTAGAAATTTTAATTCGTAGTTCAAAAACAAATAGGATCTTTATCCAAAGTATATAAAGACCTTCTGCCTGTTAATTAAAATATATATGTAAATGTCTCTAACTTTTAAAATAGGAATAGTTAAAGCCAATAAACATATGAAAAATGTTATTATCACTGCCATTAGGCAATTACAAAATAAAATAAAAATTGAGATACTGTGATATATACAACATTAAAACAACAAAAACTAGCAATATGACAATATCAAGTGTGGGAGAAGATGTGGAACAAATGGAAATATTTTATGTAAGTGTATTGGAAAGGGAATTCGTATTTTGAATGAGTAGCTGATTGAATTAACCCTTTAAGATTTTTTTTTTTCCATAACTTTGGTATCTCATGAAGGATGAACATAAGGATCATTTCTTAATAAAGCTTCAACAGCATGCAAAAGGCCACAGCATACTTTGGCGCTACTTAATCTTGGTGTTCTGTGGCCCACGAATATATATGGCTTTCATCTTATCTCCTGACATTTTCTCTTAAACTTCTTTCATATTCTGGTCAAGTATACTACGTCCTTTCACATAGTTTTATATCCCAACATGTATTTCCCCTTTATCTGGAAAAGTCTTCTCCTTTTCTAGGTATCAACTTCCTTTTCTAGGTATCAACTTCATCTTCCAAGACCCAGCTCAAAGTTTCTTTTCAATGTGCAGCCTGTCTCAACTTTCTCAGGCATTGTTGCCCTTTCCACTGGACTTTGTAGTCTCTTCATTACATTGAACTAGTTAAGAATTCTTATTAGCTAGGAATTAATTTTGCCAGAAAACACTTTTGTGCTTTTGATACCTGGTGCAGTTGTTTTCTTGTTTGTTTTAAAAGGATGTATTAATTGCTATTAATAATCAGTTACGTATTTGTTGCAGTAAGTCCCTAGATACTTTTTCTTTGTATTTACCACCATTTTCATTCATCTTATTACTTGGAATTCCACAACCCAGTGCTATATTTCCTTCAATATGCAATTTGAAGTTGTATAAGCTTCATACAGGCTTTAGAAACCATGGAGTAAATGAGACATCCAACAAACAAACCATTTATAGTATTCTCTGTCATAACCCTTTCATAGATAGTTTCTGACAGTTACATTAAGGCAGAAATGCTTGAATTCCTCTGGCATTTGTCTTTCAGTTCCTTTCATTATTCCAATTCATCATTTCTGGACGTTTCTGCTAATCCCAAGTTAGTACTATCTGTAGGCTTTTACGGCTTTTCAGATTTATTTCTGTAATAATAATACAATTTATAAACTTCCAAAGCAAGCTATTATTATGGTTCTAGAATATGGAGAGGATACGATGATGTTGAAAAAAATGGTGTTTTTCTTAGAAAAAAATTGATATCAAAGCTCCTCTTCTGTTGCCTGAGGAAAAAGCTTTTTCTATAATATATTTAAACATGGGGCAAAATATTTCTTATAGATATAAATTTGAGATATTGTATTAACCAGTCCTGTGCTGATAAGCTCTCTTTCTAAAACAAAATAAAGAAAGAAAACAGCTGATTTGTACATTTGCTAATGTTCATGGTGTAATGCTCCACCATGACTAATTTCAAGCAACCAATTGATATCACTGAATTAGGGAGAAAGGCAAAAGTTTGGCTACAAGCAGGGCTGCACCACACTACTCATTGCATTCTCTTTGCATACATGTAATAAAATTTCTCATATTCCCTCTGAACCCAGGAGACAGTGAATGCTGGGATGAAAGGATCTCAGACCTTGTACTCAGCAGTTTAGAGAAAGTTTATTCTTCAATTAAACTGGAAATTGGACACTCTCAATCAATGGGGTTTTCCTACTGGAAGTTGTAAGTGAAAGTATTAAATAATAAATTTAATTACAACTATCTATGGAGGAAATAATTTTTAAATGCCTTGTAATGATTGAAGATATAATCAGATTTTGCGGAACACCTTTATTGAACAATTTTTTAATTATTATAATAGGCAATCTTTTGAAAACTTTTAAATATACAGATAAGTTGCATAGAAAGTAAAGAGAGTTCTGATATACCTTTCCTCACCAATAGCCCTCTACACCCACCCCCCATCCCCACACACAGTTTCCCCAATTAGTAACCTGTTGGATTAGTGTGGTACAGCTGTTATTATACAATTGATGAGCCAATATTGACACATTGTCTATAGGATGCATATAGAGTTCACTCTTTGTGTTGTACATTCTATGGATTTTGCCAGATGTATAATGTCACATAACCACTATTGTATGATATAGAATAGTTTCACTGCTCTAAAAATCCTCTGTGCTTTGTTTATTCTTCCCTATCTGCCCAGAAACCCTTGGCAACCACAAATCTTTTTATTGTTTCTATAGTTTTGCTTTATCCAAGATACCATAAAATTGGAATCATATAGTGCATAGCTTTTGCAGATTGGCCTCTTTTATTTAACAATATGCATTTCTGTTTCCTCCATGACTTTTCAAATCTTGATAACTCATTTGTTTTCAGCTCTAAGAATATTCTATTGTCTGGAAGTACCACAGTTTATTTATCTATTCAGCTATTGAGGGATATGTTGGCTGCATCCATATTTTGGCAATTACATACAAAGTTGTTATAAATGTTCATGTGCTAGTTTTTATGTGGACATACACTTTCAACTCATTTGTATCAATACCTAGGAACACAATTGCTGGATTATATGGTAAAAGTATGTTTAGTTTTGTATGAAACTGTCAAGCTATCTTTCAAAGTGTCTGTACCATTTCACAGTCCCTCAAAAAAAAAAAAATAAATAAATGAGAGTTCCTTTTGCTCCACATCCTTGCTAGGATTTGCTGCTGTCAGCATTTTGGATTTTGGCCATTCTAATAAGTATCTTTTTTTAAATTTGCAATTCCCTGATGACATGTCAATCGTCTTTTCATATACTTATTTGCCCGATGCATATTTTCTTAAAAGCTATGCTTTGAAGTAAGAACTTACAGAATTAGCTTAATCTAAGCATTGTTAATAAATGGAGAGCAAGTTTAACACATTTGGAAATTGTGTCATGATAGAGCAAGTACAACTTATTTAAAGATATCTACCTGTTTTATGAACCTAGGATGGAGAAGTCACTTTTCATTCATCTCAAGACAGAATCTAAGAAAACACATGCTTAATGTATCAGAAGGCTCAGCTGGAAAAAAGGAAAATTTGACAGGCACTCATATGCTGAAATATTATAATACATGTATATTCCTTCCCATTACTCAGCTATGGTCATTAAGGTGGTGATGTATATTTAAAAAGGATTTCCAATTCAATTCTATCTAGAACATTTCACATCTATGCTATTTTCTAAATTTTATCTCCACAAATGTGTTTGGAATTTGCATTAAAATTACTAATATTTTCATTTTCATATTAGTAATTTAGTGAGGCTACAGCCTATCAAAGCCTTGTAGGGAAAAAACAGTTTTTCCAAAATAATCAGTTATAGCAACAAAGAATCAAAATGATTCCTAGGTATTTTATTCTCTTTGAAGCAATTGTGAATGGGAGTTCACTCATGATTTGGCTCTCTGTTTGTCTGTTGTTGGTGTATAAGAATGCTTGTGATTTTTGTACATTGATTTTCTATCCTGAGACTTTGCTGAAGTTGCTTATCAGCTTAAGGAGATTTTGGGCTGCGACAGTGGGGTTTTCTAGATATACAGTCATGTCGCCTGCAAACAGGGACAATTTGACTTCCTCTTTTCCTAATTGAATACCCTTTATTTCCTTCTCCTGCCTAATTGCCCTGGCCAGAACTTCCAACACTATGTTGAATAGGAGTGGTGAGAGAGGGCATCCCTGTCTTGTGCCAGTTTTCAAAGGGAATGCTTCCAGTTTTTGCCCATTCAGTATGATATTGGCTGTGGGTTTGTCATAGATAGCTCTTATTATTTTGAAATACGTCCCATCAATACCTAATTTCTTGAGAGTTTTTAGCATGAAGGGTTGTTGAATTTTGTCAAAGGCTTTTTCTGCATCTATTGAGATAATCATGTGGTTTTTGTCTTTGGCTCTGTTTATATGCTGGATTACATTTATTGATTTGCGTATATTGAACCAGCCTTGCATCCCAGGGATGAAGCCCACTTGATCATGGTGGATAAGCTTTTTGATGTGCTGCTGGATTCGTTTTGCCAGTATTTTATTGAGGATTTTTGCATCAATGTTCATCAAGGATATTGGTCTAAAATTCTCTTTTTTTGTTGTGTCTCTGCCTGGCTTTGGTATCAGAATGATGCTGGCCTCATAAAATGAGTTAGGGAGGATTCCCTCTTTTTCTATTGATTGGAATAGTTTCAAAAGGAATGGTAGCAGTTCCTCCTTGTACCTCTGGTAGAATTCGGCTGTGAATCCATCTGGTCCTGGACTCTTTTTGGTTGGTAAGCTATTGATTATTGCCACAATTTTAACCCAAATGTCCAACAATGATAGACTGGATTAAGAAAATGTGGCACATATACACCATGGAATACTATGCAGCCATAAAAAATGATGAGTTCATGTCCTTTGTAGGGACATGGATGAAATTGGAAATCATCATTCTCAGTAAACTATCGCAAGAACAAAAAACCAAACACCGCATATTCTCACTCATAGGTGGGAATTGAACAATGAGATCACATGGACACAGGAAGGGGAATATCACACTCTGGGGACTGTTGTGGGGTGGGGGGAGAGGGGAGGGATAGCATCGGGAGATATACCTAATGCTAGATGACGAGTTAGTGGGTGCAGCGCACCAGCATGGCACATGTATACATATGTAACTAACCTGCACATTGTGCACATGTACCCTAAAACTTAAAGTATAAAAAAAAAAAAAGAATCAAAACGAATAGCATGAAAGCCCCTGTGGAACTGTCTGGCTCCTCAAAACTGTTGTGGACATCAGAAAATCATGTTGGGGGAGAGTCGAATGTCTCTTGCCAATTTCATTCTTTTGAATAAATAACATCTTTAGTATGCTTTCCATTCCTCAACATTTAAAAATAACACACTCAAAACAGTATGTATATGCAGTCATAAAAGTTGGGTAACATTAGAATAGGTTAAAAAAACACATAGAAGAGGAAATTAAATCCTAAATAATTTGAATAAATAAAGACAGATGTTAAGAAAGAAAAGATGCCAGACTGCTTTCCTAAGAGACAGATCAACAAATGAGAGAACTCATAAAAGTTATAGAGACATCACCTTCCTTATAACATGCATGTGGAGCAGTGATATAAGCTTCCCAGAAAATTGTGAGCGGATCACTAGGAACAGCTATAAAAAGCACATTACCATAATTCACTTTGTTACCTAAGATAGACATTTACTAGGTTACACAGAAATAAAAGTGTAATTTTTTATCCAATTATGGAAGAATTAAAATAGCACTCAGAATTGAAATAGGCATTTCAGGTTGACAGATTTGCTGAAAGTCTATGTTGAAGAGAAAATACTATATTGGTAGTTACACTTTCAAGTATGTTAACACCACAGTCATTTGGAAGGAAGAAAATCTGTTTACTCTTAACTATCCATGGTTATCTGCAAAAATAAAAATACAGAATTGCATATAGTGAATTGTAAATATGGAAATTATGTGTATGGATGAATGATCAACATCTCTGACACTGCTTGCAAATCACGTTATTTTTAAGGTACAAAATATTTAATGTTCTCATGAACATGACAGTATAAACATTTTGAAAACATAGTAATAAGATAATATACTTTTTTTTAGAATAGTATACAAGGAAATAGACTTTTCTATCTGATGTTCTCGTAGGCCTATTTATTGCAGTAATCACAGCAGCACTTTTGCTGACAAATAATTCTGTAAACATATTATTTCACTTTGTAAATAAATTCACCAGAATGGTCACTACAATGTCTTATTGGTTTCTGAACTTCTCAAAGAATGCATTTTTTATTATTAAATTTGGATTATTTACAATACAACAATAGAGGATGGGGCAAAGAATTTTTATTAATTATGTATTAACATCTTGAATATAAACACATTGAGAAAAAATGACAAGTAATAATCTCTTCTAACTGGTCTATAGTTTTAGTGTTACTGATCATTATTCAATAGCAACCAGTCACATCACATTTTTCTCCTGAAAATATGGTTGGTCTTGTCCTTCTCTAGTGTTTAGTCTCTTTTCCTTCACACTAATGTAGTGAATCTTGCACTTGTCTCTGACCAACATTTTCTGCTTTTTGATCCTGGACAGCTGCTTCCTGCTATTCATACCAGTATACTAATTCCAGAGACCTCGTAGGCTCTGTCTGTAAATCTTCAGATTTCAAACATAATTTCAGAGACATATTGTTGATGGTAAGTTTTAAACTTCAGAGTTAAACCCTTCACTTGGTCTCACTAAAATTAGCACTAGGCAATAATATCAGCTAGTACCTCTCTGATTTAATGTGAATAAAAAAATTAATTACAATGCAATGAGAAAAGAAAAGGAATTAGATTTAAATATACTGAAAAAAGAGAGTCCAAATCTTCAGAATTGTATCTTGGTTGCCTATCTATAAAAGAGGAGAAGAAGAAGAAAGAAGGAAAAGGAGAAGAGAGGAGAGGGGAAGGGGGACAGAATTGTAAAATTTGTCCCCCTTTCTGAAAAATTATTTAAAAAGACTTGGAAGTTCATAAAAGTGGCATATTATAAGATACCTACAGGCTCTCCTATATAGCAGCAATAAGGAAAAATGGTGGCGAAGACCTTGAACTCTGCCATTAAGCAGTATTTAGTTCAAACCAATAAACACACCAAGAAAAAGAGCATGCATTCTTCAAAAATCACAAAATACATTAGGTTTTACATGACAAAGACAATATTTGCACAGATCGTACAGAGTATTTTTAGTCATTAATTTCATGAGTGCTGAAATTTTACCTAAATGTTGGTATGATTTATATCCTTATCTATCTTTATCTTGGAAATATGGGTCAATCATTTCCATAGAGGAACTTGTTAGGAATAGATAAAGGACATTTTTTGACAATAAAATTTTATTTTATATCTAAACCATTTTAATAGATGAGTTATTTAAATATTAACCAAGTATCATGTAGAAAATCTGGCATAGGATAGGTGATCTAGACAAGTTCATCAATATTGATTCCTCTACTGTGAGGGAAAGAGGGAGATACTGTTATATACAGGGATACAAGAAATATTTATTCTAATATTTCTAATATTCTAAGTCTCCTTGCAGCCAATAAGTAGTCCTAGTCAATGGGGGTATATATAGAAATGTTATTTGGCAAATTCTGAGAACCTTCCATCCTTGAGTGAAGGGTGGCTCTAAGCCCAAGCAAAATGCTCTGAAATCAGACTACTTAGGTTTGATTACTGATATCTGCTCTTAGTTTTGTGATCTTAAGTCACTAAATATCTCTGCATGTCAGTTTCTTCATGTCTAAAATAGGAATATTTACATGAGCTTCCTCATAGTGTCACCACAAGTATTAAGATATCACATGCAAAGTCCTAATACAATGGTTGGCACATACTTAGTGCTTAGTAAGTTTAGTTACTATGCTATAAAGCTTTTCCTTCTTACTTTTGGTGAATTTGATATTTTAAAAATTTAAATAGTACAGGCTTTCAAAGAGTTTTATGACATTAATATCTGTACCAAAAATCATATAAATTATAAGGAGGTCGAGTGATTCAGATAACTTCTATTCTGCTACCATCCTTCCTCCAAGGTCTGCCAGAAGTCTTCAAGGCAGAAGGAAAATGAATAGCTGCACATCTGCATAATGGCATTCCTTCTGTATTTTCAACCCCAGCTATTTGAATTAAAATGTCTAATTTAACACAAAAACTAAACTCAAGAAGACCAAAGCAAAACAACAACAGTAACAAACCATATTCAGACTTTTAAGCCATCAATAGGCTGATTTTGAAAACCTTGTATTTGGGAAAAGTGAAGTAACTTTCTGTTTCCTAATCCATTATATTTAAATTTCACTTTAGAAATTTTAACATTTGGCATGCACAGCAACAGCCCTTGCCTAAATGTCATTATCTAAAATTGGAATGTTTTAAACTTATTTCTAAGAAAATTTTTCTTAATACAAAATGTTTCGATAAACTTTATTGGTTTCCAGGGACACAAGTTTCGCTGTTACTGAACGTGACCCTCTTTTCCCTTACCACAGAGTTTGTTCTCTTCTGGGGATCAACTTTCTATACCTCAAACCACAGCTCTGTAGAAGAACTGGTGGATCAGAGTGCAACCCTGGCCTCTGTTTGAATCCTCTCTTCATTCAGGCTCTTCACTAAAATGCCCCTCCCTGTTTTGCCTAGGACAGTCAGCTCTAGTCACCTCTTCCTCTCCTGTGCCCTTAGACTTTAGCTTGTTCTGTGGCTTGCCTGACATACTGGAGCACCACCACTTCTGCCTGGCTCAGATCCCATTGGCCTGAACACAGTGCACACTTCTTCCTTTACTGTGATGGTCCCGTGCCTCTAGGTGTCAATCTGTGAGACAGGTGACCTCCCAGCATCCAGGGCTCTTCCAGAGAAACAGAGTTTTTCCTGCACAATCTGCCACTGCCCTTCGTCATTACTATCCCCATAGCCTCTGTCGTCCCAGACAACAAATAAACTATTCTTCAGTCTCTTTAGATCAAAGTTTTTCAGCCTTGTTATTTTTGACATTTTGGACTGGATAATTATTTGATGGCGGGGGTAGGGGGGCTGTCTTGTGTATTCTAGATGCTTACCGGCATCCCTGGTACCACCCACAAGATGCCAATAACACTACCCTACCCCAGCTTTGTGGTAACATTCGAAATGCCTTCAGATTCTGCCAAATATTCCCTGGGAGGAAAAATTGTAACCATATAAGAAACACTGTTCCAGAGAAAAATCCTGCCATCCTCAAACATTACTCGTCAAAACATTAAGTTATTCCAGAGGTCGTCTGAATTTTTTAAGGGCTTTAGTATTTTGGAAACAAAAGTTACTAGAGACCTGCAGAGTATTTCCTGTTTTCCATCCAATTCACATTCCTTATCATGATGAGGTAATAATTCCAAATCTGTTTCATTAAATAAAGTGATGAAAAGGGGGAAGAACATACAAGGCAAGTTTAGGAATAAAACATCAATTAATATTTCAAAAATATTCTATCACATGAATGTGTTCTTATAGGTCCATTCTTTCGTGGCAGTGGGAAAGACAAAGGGTATTTAAATTACATTCGGAAGGAAGCAGGAAGTCCACATGATTCCCTCATTGATATGTTTCTCCTACAGCACACACGCCGTATAACCTCAGGATATTATTGTGCAGTAGTAGCTCATGCCTACTGTGAGATTACAAAATCCATCTCTTCTCTTTGTACTTCTGTCTTCCATTTTAGTGACTTTTCATTCCCAAGGTTCAGATTCTAAGTGGGGCTCTTCTATTATTTTCACTCTTTCTACTCTTCTAGCTGTGAATAGAGCTGAAGGAACAGATTTTGACATTACTAATGCACATGGGGCTGTCTATTACACAAGACCGTACTGCAACTCCTTCCTTCCATTGAATGTAGTTGTTCTATCTTACCACTTCTTTCCCGGCATGTGAAGTTTTCTCTTACCTTAGTTATCTCCCTAATGTTGCTATCAATTTCCTCTTATTTTTTATAGTAATTTTTAAGTATAATTTTTATTCCTCATCTTGACTGTTTTTCATTTTACTTATTTTTTTATTATACTTTAAGTTCTGGGATACATGTGCACAACGTGCAGGTTTGTTACATAGGTATACACGTGCCATGTTGGTTTGCTACACCCATCAATTCGTCATTTACATTAGGTATTTCTCCTAATACTATCCCTCCCCCAGGCCCCCACCCCCCGACAAGCCCCAGTGTGTGATATTCCCCTCCCTGTGTCCATGTGTTATTATTCAACTCCCACTTATGAATGAGAACATGCGGTGTTTGGTTTTCTCTTCTTGTGTTACTTTGCTGAGAATGATGGTTTCCAGTTTCATCCATGTCTCTGCAAAGGACATGAACTCATTATTTTATGGCTGCATAGTATTCCATGGTGTATATGTGCCACATTTTGTTTATCCAGTCTATCGTTGATGGGCATTTCGGTTGGTTCTGAGACTTTGCTATTGTGAACAGTGCTGCAATAAACATACGTGTGCATGTGTCTTTATAGTAGAATGATTTATAATCCTTTAGGTATATACCCAGTAATGGAATGGCTGGGTAAAATGGTATTTGTAGCTCTAGATCCTTGAGGAATCTCCACACTGTCTTCCACAATGGTTCAACTAATTTACAGTCCCACCAACAGTGTAAAAGTGTTCCTATTTCTCCACATCCTCTCCAGCACCTGTTGTTTCCTGACTTTTAAATGATGGCTATTCTAACTGGCATGAGATGGTATCTCCTTGTGGTTTTGATTTGCATTTCTCTAATGACCAGTAATGATGATAAGCATTTTTTATAAGTTTATTGGCTGCATAAATGTCTTCTTTTGAGAAGTGTCTGTTCATATCCTTTGCCCACTTTTTGATGGGGTTGTTTTTTTCTTGTAAATTTGTTTATGTTCTTTGTGGATTCTGGATATTAGTCCTATGTCAAATGGATAGATTGCAAAGATTTTCTCCCATTCTGTAGATTGCCTGTTAACTCTGATGATAGTTTCTTTTGCTGTGCAGAAGCTCTTTAGTTTAATGAGATCCCATTTGTCAATTTTGGCTTTTGTTGCCGTTGCTTTTGGTGTTTTAGTCATGAAGTCTTTGCCCGTGCCTATGTCCTGAATGGTATTGTCTAGATTTTCTTCTAGGGTTTTTATGGTTTTAAGTCTTATGTTTAAGCCTTTAATCTATCTTGAGTTAATTTTTGTATAAGGTGTAAGGAATGGATCCAGTTTCAGCTTTCTGCATATGGCTAGCCAGTTTTCCCAGCACCATTTATTAAATAGGGAATCCTGTCCCCATTTCTTGTTTTTGTCAGGTTTGTCAAAAATCAGATGGTTGTAGATGTGTGGTGTTATCTCTGAGGCCTCTGTTCTGTTCCATTGGTCTGTATATCTGTTTTGGTACAAGTACCATGGTTACTATAGCCTTGTAGTATAGTTTGAAGTCAGGTAGCATGACGCCTCCAGCTTTGTTCTTTTTACTTAGAATTGTCTTGGCTATGCGGGCTCTTTTTTGCTACCATATGAAATTTAAAGTAGTTTTTTCCACTTCTGTGAAGAAAGTCAGTGTAGCTTGATGGGGATAGCCTTGAATCTATAAATTACTTTAGGCAGTATGGCCATTTTGATGATATTGATTCTTCCTATCCATGAGCATGGAATGTTCTTCCATTTGTTTATGCCCTCTTTTATTTCCTTGAGCAGTGGTTTGTAGTTCTCCTCCAAGAGGTCCTTCACATCCCTTGTAAGTTGGAATCCTAGGTATTTTATGCTCTTAGTAGCAATTGTGAATGGGAGTTCACTCATGATTTATCTGTTATTGGTGTATAGGAATGTTTGTGATTTTTGCACGTTGATTTTGTATCCTGAGACTTTGCTGAAGTTGCTTATCCACTAAAGGAGATTTTGGCCTGACACGATGGGGTTTTCTAAATATACAATCATGTCGTCTGCAAACAGATACAATTTGATTCCTCTTTTTCTAATTGAATACCCTTTATTTCTTTCTCTTGCTTGATTGCCCTGGCCAGAACTTCCAATAGTATGTTGAATAGGAGTCGTGAGAGAGGGCATTCTTGTGTTGTGCTGGTTTTCAAAGGGAGAGCTTCCAGTTTTTGCCCATTCAATATGATATTGGCTGTGGGTTTGTCACAAATAGCTCTTATTATTTTGAGATACGTTCCATCACTATCTAGTTTATTGAGAGTTTTTAGCATGAAACGCTGTTTAATTTTGTCGAAGGCCTTTTCTGCATCTATTAATCATGTGGTTTCTGTTATTGGTTCTGTTTATGTGATGGATTATGTTTATTGATTTGCATATGTTTAATCAGCCTTGGATCCCAGGGATGAAGCCCACTTGATCATGGTGGATAAACTTTTGGATGTGCCAGTATTTTATTGAGGGTTTTTGCATCGATGTTCATCAGGGATATTGGCCTAAAATTTTCTTTTTTTTCTTTTTTTTTTTGAATGTCTGCCAGCTTTTGGTATCAGGATGATGCCGGCCTCATAAAATGAGTTAGGGAGGATTCCCTCTTTTTCTATTGATTGGAATAGTTTCAGAAGGAATGGTACAAGCTCCTCTTTGTACCTCTGGTAGAATTTGGCTGTGAATCTGTCTGGTCCTGGACATTTTTTTGGTTGGTAGGCTATTAGTTATGCCTCAGTTTCAGAACCTGTTATTGGTCTATTCAGAGATTCGACTTCTTCCTGGTTTAGTCGTAGGAGGGTGTATGTGTCCAGGAATTTATCCATTTCTTCTAGATTTTCTAGTTTATTAACATAGCGGTGTTTATAGTATTCTCTGATGGTAGTTTGTATTTCTGTGGGATCGGTGGTGATATCCCCATTATCATTTTTTATTGTGTCTATTTGATTCTTCTCTCTTTTCTTCTTTATTATTCTGGCTAGTGGTCTATCAATTTTGTTGATCTTTTCAAAAAACCAGCGCCTGTATCCATTGATTTTTTGAAGGTTTTTTTGTGTCTCTGTCTCCTTCAGTTCTGCTCTCATCTTAGTTATTTCTTGTCTTCTGCTAGCTTTTGAATTGGTTTGCTCTTGCTTCTCTAGTTCTTTTAATTGTGATGTTAGGGTGTCAATTTTAGATCTTTCTTTTGTGGGCATTTAGTGCTATAATTTTCCCTCTACACACTGCTTTAAATGTGCCCCAGAGATTCTGGTATGTTGTGTCTTTGTTGCCATTGGTTTCAAAGAACGTCTTTACTTCTGTCTTCATTTCATTATTTACCTAGTGGTCATTCAGGAACAGGTTGTTCAGTTTCCATGTTTTTGTGTGGTTTTGAGTGAGGTTCTTAATGCTGAGTTATAATTTGATTGCACTGTGGTCTGAGAGACAGGTTGTTGTGATTTCTGTTCTTTTACATTTGCTGAGGAGTGTTTTACTTCCAATTATGTGACCAATTTTAGAATACGTGCAATGTGGTTCTGAGAAGAATGTATATGCTGTTGATCTGGGGTGTAGAGTTCTGTAGATGTCTATTAGATCTGCTTGGTCCAGTGCTGAGTTCAAGTCCTGGATATCCTTGATAATTTTCTGTCTCATTGATCTGTCTACTATTGACAGTGGGTTGTTAAACTCTCTTACTGTTATTGTGTGGGAGTATAAGTCTCTTTGTAGGTCTCTAAGAACTTGCTTTACGAATCTAGGTGCTCCTGTATTGGGTGTGTATATATTTAGGATAGTTAGCTCTTCTCGTTGAATTGATCCCTTTACCATTATGTAATGCCCTTCTTTGTTTCTTTTGACCTTTATTGGTTTAAAGTCTGTTTTATCAGAGACTAGGATTGCAACCCCTGCTTTTTAAATTTTTTCCTTTCCATTTGCTTGGTAAATCTTCCTCCATGACTTTATTTTGAGCCTATGTGTGTCTTTGCATGTGAGATGCTTCTCCTGAATACAGCACAACGATGGGTCTTGACTATTTGTCCAGTTTGCCAGTCTGTGTCTCTTAATTGGGGCATTTAGCCCATTTACATTTAAGGTTACTATTGTTATGTGTGAATTTGATCCTGTCATTATGATACTAGCTGATTATTTCACCTTTTTATTGATGCAGTTTCTTCATAGCATCGATGGTCTTTACAATTTGGCATGTTTTTGCAGTGGCTGGTACCGGTAGTTCCTTTCCATGTTTAGTGCTTCCTTCAGGAGCTCTTTTAGGGCAGGCCTGGTGATGACAAAATCTCTCAGCATTTGCTTGTCTGTAAAGTATTTCATTTCTCCTTCGCTTATGAGGCTTAGTTTGGCTGGATATGAAATTCTGGGTTGAAAATTCTTTTCTTTAAGAATGTTGAATACTGGCCCCGACTCTCTTCTGGCTTGTAGGGTTTCTGCCAAGATATTTTAATTATTTTTATTTATATGAGTTGTTCTAAAGTCCTAATTCTTGTGTCCTGTGGAGGATAATTCTGCTTTATGTTTCTTATTAAATTGGGATTATAGTATTTCTTTTCTACTCAAATCAATTCTTCTTAAGTTTGTTCTTATGAGTTTATAGGATAATTTTTCTCAGAAAAAAACATTTTGTGGTCATTTTTGACTGTTTTTGTTCTCTCACAACCTATGTTCTTTGTGTCATTCAGGAGCAGGTTGTTCAAGTTGTGTCAGAGAATTCTGGGGGGTCTCTACTTTTATCATATGTTCACCAGCCAACAACTGTTATTTTCCAAGTGCGGTTCCAGTGTCTGGTACAAGCCAGTAGGTACTTAATAATGTTTGTTGAATGAGTGAATATACAGATGAAAATAAAGATGTTATTCCTGGCTAACAATCAGTTCATATACCTAATAAGCAAGTGTGTGAAAAATCAATAGCAATGCTAATGATGCAATAATTTATTTTGCCTAAAATATGTAATAAAAATAGTACAGTTGACTATAATCATATTAACCACCATTTCATTGGCTGTTAAGAAAATGCTGGCAATATCATCAGATAACCAATTAATACAGTTACAAATTAAAATATTTTCTTATCTCTTAATGAAAATATCTTAACCGTACACTGATGATTCCATCATACTGGGAAACTGTTGCTATAATTATACAATTCACCACAACATTCACTAGGGTCACTATTTATTTATTTATTTATTTTTAAAATTATACTTTAAGTTCCGGGATACATGTGCAGAATGTGCAAGTGTGTTACATAGGTATACATGTGCCATGGTGGTTTGCTGCACCCATCAACCCATCATCTGAATTAGGTATTTCTCTTAATGCTATCCCTGCCCTAGCCCCCAACTCCCCAACAGGCCCTGGTGTGTGATGTGCCCCTCCCTGTGTCCATGTGTTCTCATTGTTCAGCTCCCACTTATGAGTGAGAACATGTGGTGTTTGGTTTTCTATTCCTGTGTTAGTTTGCTGAGAATGATGGTCTCCAGCTTCATCCATGTCCCTGCAAAGGACATGAACTCCTCCTTTATATGGCTGCATAGTATTCCATGGTGTATATATATGTGCCACATTTTCTTCAACCAGTCTATCATTGATGGGCATTTGGGTTGGTTCCAAGACTTTGCTATTGTGAACAGTGCTGCAATAAACATACGTGTGCATGTGTCTTTATAGTAGAATGATTTATAATCCTTTAGGTATATACCCAGTAATAGGATTGCTGGGTCAAATGGTATTTCTAGTTCTAGATCCTTGAGGAATCTCCACACTGTCTTCCACAATGGTTGAACTAATTCACACTCCCGCAAACAATGTAAAAGCGTTCCTATTTCTCTACTTCCCTCTCCAGTATCTGTTGTTTCCTGACTTTTTAATGATCACCATTCTAACTGGCATGAGATGGCATCTCATTGTGGTTTTGATTTGCATTTCTCTAATGATCAGTGATGATGACCTTTTTATTCATATGTTTGTTGGCTGCATATATGTCTTTTTTTTGAGAAGTACCTGTTCATATTTTTCACCCACTTTTTGATGGGGTTGTTTGATTTTTTTCTTGTAAATTTGTTTAAATTCCATGTAGATGCTGGATCTTAGCCCTTTGTCAGATGGATAGATTGCAAAAATGTTCTCCCATTCTGTATGTTGCCTGTCCACTCTGATAATAGTTTCTTTTGCTGTACAGAAGCTCTTTAAAGAGATCCCATTTGTCCATTTTGGCTTTTGTTGTCATTGCTTTTTATAAGGTTAAATATCCATTATCATTGTCCTTTCCAATGTTTTTCACTTTGAATGTAAAAAGTAGAAAATTAAGCACTCAACATTTTTTCTTGTAATTACATTTTCTCAGTGTTGCTTAACTTTTGGTCTGCTGTTTGTACATATTAAAGAAGAAAATTGAACTCATAGAAGAATTTTCTGTAAGAATACATGTTTTCTTTTCTTTTTTTTTTCTTTTCCCTCAGGGAACACGGTGCCTAAAAACTGGAAAAAAAATAAAGATCACTTGTTAAGTAAATTAGTGAATCGGTATGAGATGTGATTCAAAATCAGAATTATATATTTGTTGGCTTCTAGGGTCTTCAATTATATTTTTCCCTTTTAGATATTTTGCATTGTTACTATAAATTATGCAAAACACTTTTCTTCAACCTGGGTGCATTTCTTTCTACATAGTTTTTTTTGTTTGTTTGTTTGTTTGTTTTTATGTCATGGTTTGTTACTCCTAGCAACCCCTCCCATCAGTTACACTGGCCTAATATTTTCTTGGTCAGAGTATGGTCCACCCCTTTATCAAATCCCTCTGACATTTACCTTGTGTATGGAGAGTAGACTGGTCAATAAGATTAATCAAAAGTAAACTATGTAAGTGTGCTTTAGCTGCATGGAAGTCATGGCAGGGGGTTAAACAGGTAAAGTGCTCATCTACTACTTCTGCGTTTGGGCCAACTTTGAGAGAACTGCATATGGAACTTATCATCTATTTATATCATCAAGCCAGATGGCTCATCATATATTCCTCAACTGATGCTCTGTGTCTCATTCTCTTCTTTCATTCTTTGCAAGATGAAAATTTGCCTCATTAGCTCAATTTGCTCAGAGAGCTAGACACCTGTTAAATTTCCTTTTATATTTTCCACTCTCAGTAGGAAACAGTTTGATTAAAATGTGTAGTTTCCTCTCTTGTTTAAGATATGAAAGTGTTCTTGGTAGCTATAGCTTTTTGTAGACCTTGAAGTAAATGCCAAACTAAATTGCAAACACAATTAAGTTTGCATTAATAGTAATTTCTAATGACAAAATTATTTCATTCAAATATATATATATATTTTAAAATGACCATTAAATGCCAGGTATCTTTTAAAATTAAAACTGTGCTAATAATAATGATAATCCTTAAATAATGAGAGAATTTAGTCAACCAAGGCCCTTGAAAGGGAAAATATGACAACTTTCCCATGTCATTTGCAATTACAAATCATTTAATAAGCAAGTACATAAAATGTAATCAAAATAGTTTAAAGTGCTTTAATAGTACTGTGAAAATTTATAATTTCAATGAAAACTGATTATATCTATCTTTCCTTTTCAAATATTTAAGATAAGGTTTTGTTCTGCATCCTCTAAATCCTAGTAAATATTAAACTACTTTATTAGTAATGTTAAACACAATGAATGCTATCCCTCCTCCCATCCCCCACTCCCCCCACCCCACAAAAGGCCCCGGTATGTGATGTTCCCCTTCCTGTGTCCATGTGTTCTCATTGTTCAATTCCCACCTATGAGTGAGAACATGCAGTGTTTGGTTTTTTGTCCTTGTGATAGTTTGCTGAGAATGATGATTTCCACCTTCATCCATGTCCCTACAAAGGACATGAACTCATCATTTTTTATGGCTGCATAGTATTCCATGGTGTATATGTGCCACATTTTCTTAATCCAGTCTATCACTGTTGGACATTTGGCTTGGTTCCAAGTCTTTGCTATTGTGAATAGTGCCGCAATAAACATACGTGTGCATGTGTCTTTATAGCAGCATGATTTATAATCCTTTGGGTATATACCCAGTAATGGGACTGCTGGGTCAAATGGTGTTTCTAGTTCTAGATCCCTGAGGAATCACCACACTGACTTCCACAATGGTTGAACTAGTTTACAGTCCCACCAACAGTGTAAAAGTGTTCCTATTTCTCCACATCCTCTCCAGCACCTGTTGTTTCCTGACTTTTTAATGATTGCCATTCTAACTGGTGTGAGATGGTATCTCATTGTGGTTTTGATTTGCATTTCTCTGATGGCCAGTGAAGATGAGCATTTTTTCATGTGTCTTTTGGCTGCATAAATGTCTTCTTTTAAGAAGTGTCTGTTCATATCCTTTGCCCAATTGTTGATGGGGTTGTTTTTTTGTTGTAAATTTGTTGGAGTTCATTGTAGATTCTGGATATTAGCCCTTTGTCAGATGAGTAGATTGCAAAAATTTTCTCCCATTCTGTAGGCTGCCTGTTCACTCTGATGGTAGTTTCTTTTGCTGTGCAGAAGCTCTTTAGTTTAATTAGATCCCATTTGTCAATTTTGTCTTTTGTTGCCATTGCTTTTGGTGTTTTAGACATGAAGTCCTTGCCCATGCCTGTGTCCTGAATGCTATTGCCTAGGTTTTCTTCTAGGGTTTTTATGGTTTTAGGTCTAACATGTAAGTCTTTAATCCATCTTGAATTAATTTTTGTATAAGGTGTAAGGAAGGGATCCAGTTTCAGCTTTCTACATATGACTAGCCAGTTTTCCCAGCACCATTTATTAAATAGGGAATCCTTTCCCCATTTCTTGTTTTTGTCAGGTTTCTCAAAGATCAGATAAGTTGTAGATATGTGGCATTATTTCTGAGGGCTCTGTTCTGTTCCATTGGTCTATATCTCTGTTTTGGTACCAGTACCATGCTGTTTTGGTTACTGTAGCCTTGTTGTATAGTTTGAAGTCAGGTAACGTGATGCCTCCAGCTTTGTTCTTTTGGCTTAGGATTGACTTGGTGATGCGGGCTTTTTTTTGGTTTCATATGAACTTTAAAGTAGTTTTTTCCAATTCTGTGAAGGAAGTCATTGGTAGCTTGATGGGGATGGCATTGAATCTATAAATTACCTTGGGCAGTATGGCCATTTTCACGATATTGATTCTTCCTACCCATGAGCATGGCACAAGACAGGGATGCCCTCTCTCACCACTCCCATTCAACATAGTGTTGGAAGTTCTGGCCAGGGCAATCAGACAGGAGATGGAAATAAACGGTATTCAATTAGGAAAAGAGGAATTCAAATTGTCCCTGTTTGCAGATATATATCTAGAAAACCCCATCGTCTCAGCCCAAAATCTCAAGCTGATAGGCAACTTCAGCAATGTCTCAGGATACAAAATCATTGTGCAAAAATCACAAGCATTCTTATACACCAATAACAAACAGAGAGCCAAATCATGAATGAACTCCCATTCACAATTGCTTCAAAGAGAATAAAATATCTAGGAATCCAACTTACAAGGGATGTGAAGGACCTCTTCAAGGAGAACTACAAACCACTGCTCAATGAAATAAAAGAGGACACAAACAAATGGAAGTTTTTTTTTTTCTTATGCTTTAGCTTTCAAAATCTTTCACACGTAAAAATTAATGCTATCCCTGGTATAGTAAAGTATTTATTTTTATGAAAGCTTTTCCTAAAAGAAATTTTTCCCACACATTGTTTGACTTTTCTTATTAAATGTCTTAAGTTATTTGGATGTTGATACCTGTTTTTATAAGACAAAGATAATTGATAATGGATTCTGGAACAAAGTAATGAAAAGGGAAAGTTATGCGTTGTGAATTTTTCTATGTCACGGATTCATGATATAACTCACTACAAGCACACTTTCCTGAAGTGTTGTTGGGGAGGATAGGTAGGGTTGGTGGGAGACTCAGGTACAAGCTTTAAGGCTGGATAACGATAACAATGTGTTTTAGGGTGTGTGTGTGTGTATGTGTGTGTGTGTGTGTGTGTGTGTGAATTTGGCTTTAAATCAATCCTATATATTTTCATAGGCAAAGATGGGGATTTAACAATTTGGCTACAGGACATAAAGCTATGTGCTTTCAGAAAATAAGACAAAGTAAATGTGAGAAGATGTGACTATTATTGAAAGATAATTCATTTTTCTTTAGTTGCTTTTCAGTAAGTACACTACTAAAATGGTATACTGCTATATACCTATATGTAATGATATAATATTTATTTGAAATATTACTTTTATTCTATTAGCCAGCAAATATTGTCATGGTTTCTTGAGTAGAAAACATGCACAAGTGATTGTGAAGTACCCAGAAAATAACTGTAAGCTTGTTTAATCTAACAGCTTTGAATGGTAAAGAGTCTTGATCAGGCCGGGCGCAGTGGCTCACTCCTGTAATCCCAGCACTTTGGGAGGCTGAGGCAGGCGGATCACGAGATCAGGAGATCTAGACCATTCTGGCTAACACTGTGAAACCCCATCTCTACTAAAAATACAAAAAATTAGATGGGCGTGGTGGCGGGTGCCTGCATTCCCAGCCACTTGGGAGGCTGAGGCAGGAGAATGGCGTGAACCTGGGAGGCGGAGTTTGCAGCGAGCAGAGATCGCGCCACTGCACTCCAGCCTGGGTGACAGAGCAGAGACTCTATCTCAAAGAAAAAAAAAAAAAGAGTTGTGATCAGGAATTAGAAAATATGTCTTTTAATTGGCAGTCTGAAAATTGAAAACTGTATGATTTTTTTGAGGGTGAGTCACATCGTTTCTATAACTTTGTTTATAAAATCTTAGTCAATTTCATACCTTATGTTAGATTAACAACAAAACTTCCTTCGAGAATTTTTAATTCAGAAAAATACACCTCCTTTTGATAACTAACATGAAAATATAGCTATTTTCTACTTACAGTAATATTCATATACACATCACTGCCTATAGTAAGTGGAATAAATTGTTGTGGAAACAACTCAGAAAGCTAGAAACACTGAACAAAATTAAACAAACAAGCAAAAATACCTGTTTTAAGTCATCAGTGAGCTACCAAGCCATCTAGATATGAGATGTCCCAAATCTCAGTGAAAAGTAAATGCCTCTAGGTGAGCTTGAAATTTAGTCAATATTTTTTACTTTAAGATATTTGCAGTTACTAGTGCTATGTCCAGAAAGTTAGAGTCAGGTAAACAAATAAGCATGAAGATAAGTATTGCTTTCAATAATTTTACAAAACTACGTGACAAAATTTGGAGTTTAAAGATTGGCAAGGAGGGACCCTGAAATTATTCATATTTCTAAGGACCCTAGACCCACTATAGCAAGGAAATAATGGTAAAACCAGAGACTGCCCAGCTCTCACAAAATATCTCAGTTCCAAACTATCTAAACCTTATATTATATTAAATATATATGCACCTATTCTAACTCCCTGTCAGAAAGAAAAGGAAATCTTGTCTGTTAAGTGGTAACATCAGAAAGAGCTCCAAATTATTCTTGTTAAATTGTGATATAAAAGTCAGAAATTAAATAGAAACATAGTAGAAATGTCATAAAATTAAGACCAAATAATCAAAACCTAAGTGAAAAAACTAAAAACAATAGAAATATATCTATAAGTGATATAAAAGTTGGAGTTAATCAGATACAGACTTTAAGCACCATCATAATCATTCATGATTCTAGTGGGTAATTTTTCCAGATATTGCAGCCTATTAAAGAACAGTAAAATGGAAACTCTAGAATGTAAAAATACAAAAAATAAATTTGAGAATAAAATAGGTAAATTGAACAGTGGATTAGGCATAGCTGACTACAGGACTGGTGAATTGGAATGTGAGAAATACAGAATTTTTGAGACATTAAGAAGAAAAGGAGAAACACTTCAGAAAAACGACATAGTAGACATATGAGACATGATTAGAAATCGAAAATAAGTTACTTTGGAGACCAGCAGAAAAACACAAAAGAGTGGGGCAAGAAGTAGTATTTGAAGACATACTTTCAGAATTTTCTAAAAGTGATGGATGACTTCAAGCCTCAGATTCCAAAAGCTTTGTGGATTTAAGCAGAGGAACACACGCACATGCACACACACACACACGCACGCACACTGGCCCCTCCCCACCAGGAGAGCAACTACAAATCTGACATCTCGCATTTGGAAGAAAATACAGAGAACAGAATAAAATGGGATGATATATTTAGTGCTTAAATATTAATAAAATAACTACTAACCAATAGCTCTAATCCAGTGGAAAGCATTTTAAACAGAAAAATGAAATAAAGATGTCTTAAATAAGCAAAACCAAGAGAACTCATCACCAGTAAATCGTATTGAAACAAATGCTATAGGAGGTGCTTCAGAAAAACTAAATAAATAAACAAACCAGGTGGGCATACAGAGTTGTAGAATGAAATGAATAAATAACAGCAAATGCAAGAGTAAATTCAAGCAAATATTAGCAACTTAAAATATAATAAGAATAACTTTTGGGGATTGAAACATGCACAATAAACACATGAAAATAATAGCAAAATGCGAATGGTATTCAAGTGTTGTTTCGGTTTTTGAATTGTCTGAGTAGTATATAGTAATTTAGGTACTAATTTATATCAGACTTTAACAAGTCAAGAATGTATGTTGTAACCACTAAAGTAACATATGAAAGAAGAAAAAATGTGTAGTCTATACAATAATGAAGTGGAGGAGGAGTGTGTTAGTTCATTTTGTGTTTCTATAAAGCAATAACTGAGACTAGGTTGTTTATAACGAAAAGAAATTTATTTGGCTAATGGTGCTGCAGGCTGTACAAACTTGGCAACAGCATCTTCTCAGCATCTGGTGAGGCCCAGGAAACTTTCACTCACAGCTGAACAGGAAGGGAATGGAGGCATGTCACAAGGTGAGACAGGGAGCAAGAGAGAGAGAGAAGGAGGAAGTCCCAGGTTCCTTGGAACAATCAGATCTTGTGGTAATGAGTTACCACAGCGAGGGCACCAAGCCATTCCTGAGGGAGATTTGCCCCTGGGACCCAAACACCTCCCACCAGGCCCCACATCCAACATTAGGGATCACATTTCAATCTGAGATTTGGAAAAGATAAACATCTAAACCATATTAAGGAGCACTGAGAAAAATTGAAGTGATTTTTTGAAAATACCAGAAAGAAAATGAAGAAAAGTCATGTGGTATGAATGGAAATCTAATAGTAAAATTGTATTTAAACCTAAACACAAATTAAAGAAGCATATTTTCAGATTAAGTAAATATGTCAGTATGTAGATTGCTTATAAAAGAAACATATTCAATATTAGTACTCAGAGAGGTTAAAAGTAAGAAGTTAGAAAAAGATATGCCAATCATATTCTAAGAAAAGGAAAATTGTATAGCTATATTTGTGTCAGATAAAAGAGACAGTAAACCAAGAATCACTACCAGAAAAAACAGAGGCATTTAATAACAAACTGATTAATTCATCAGGGAGATATAATGTTTCTAAATTTGTAATTGTTGTCTTGATATATTTCCAAGTACTTGAATCACACAGTATGAGTTGACTCAAATGCAATTACATTAGAAATAATTAAGGTGGAAACAATAGCAAACATCTACATTTAGGGGGATATTAGAAAACACTACTAAATAGCCTATGATTAAAAATATAAAAAAATGAAATGCATGATAATAAAAATATGACATTTTAAAAGAGGATAAACAGGAAGTCGTAACTAGAGAAATACTAATATAGTCTTAACTACATGTATTAAAAATATGAAAAGCTGAAAATCAATAATAAGTCCAATTTTGAAAAGGAAGTTTAAGTTAAGCCCAAAGGAAATAGAAAGGAAATAATAAAGAAAAAAAAATCCCACAGAAAACAATGGCGTATATGGTGAGACTATAATAGAAAAAATCAACAAAATAGTTGTTATTTGAACAGACTGAAAATAGGCTAGGCAAAATTTATCAATGAAAAAACTGAATCAGGAAAAAAGGAATGCTAATGTCATAAAAGATAATAGTAATATATTTTAACTTACTTCATGATAATGAATTTGAAGTTTTAGGAACATTAAACAATTAACCAATTCAAATTGATATATAAACATCTCGTAGTTGATGTAGTTGCTCTAATTTACTGCTGATTTTTTTTCTTCAAATTTAAGGTCAGATTAATACCAATCTCACAAAAGCTCTGCCAGGGAAAAGAGAAAAAAATGTCCCAACTCGCCTTATAATTTCAACTTATTTTTGATATTAAGGCCTTTACAGACTTTAGAAGTAAAGAAAACTACAAAACTATCTTCTTTGCTGACTCAAAAGCCCTACATCAGTATTACAAAATTAAATATAGTTATATGTATAAGAAAAGGGGGAAAGAAAATGGGGAGTAGCGAGAGGAATCATATAGAAAAATACTAATAGCTAAATTATTAATTTTAAAAACCTTTAGTAAAACAAAATAGATCTTCCTTCAGCTGATAACTATTAAAATGTATGTGAATTTGTCTACATAACTTGGTACAAAATCAATATGCAAAAGTCAGTCCCTGAAAGACAGAACTAATAAAAGACTTTTTGAAATTGATGTAAATTATAGTCACATCATAAAAAAGTTAACACTTTTAAATAAATCTATGAATGATGTGGAGGTTTCCTATAAGCAAAACTATGAAGCATTACTAATGCATTTTGAAGTCTAAATATTAATATATAGATATATCATGTTTATGGGTTGTAATATTCAATAATGTGTGAAAATTTGGTGTGATTCTCTGATATAATGCATGTGATGTTATTTTGTGGAAATTGAGAAGATGATTCTAGAATTGATATAGAAATGGAAAGACCAAGCATACTCATCATGATCCTAAAATATGTAAAATCTAATTTAGAGAATATAT
Source organism: Homo sapiens (assembly GCF_000001405.40). NCBI lineage: Eukaryota > Metazoa > Chordata > Mammalia > Primates > Hominidae > Homo > Homo sapiens. Next base: position 48,433,381 of record NC_000014.9, on the reverse strand, counting down.
ATGAACATATATCAAAACTCATTAAAAATGTACAGAAATTAAGAAAGTATATTAATGGAAAAAGGATAGACAAATCATCAGTGAAAGAGAGTAGAATAAAAAAATCCTTGCATATAGGGATGCTTGATTTAGAAAGAGACTGGAATTATGGCATAAAGAATATAAGTTTTGTTTTGCATTGCTTTGAATAAATGACACTGAGTCAATTGAAACCCATACTAACAGCTAAATTATTAATTTAGCTTTTAGTGTTTTTCTATATGATTCCTCTCTCTACTCCCCATTTTCTTTCCCCCTCTTCTTATACATATAACTATTTTTAATTTTCTAATATTGATGTAGGGCTTTTGAGTCAGCAAAAGAGATAGTTTTGTAATGAACCTTAACCAGACTCTGATATGGCAAATATGTTGGGATTATCAGACTGAGAATACAAAACAACTATCATTAATATACCATGGGCTCTAATGGAATACGTAGACAACAGGCAAGAACAGACAGGCAATGTTGGTTACATCTTTTAATATGTTGTGAGCTAAAACTCACAACATACCAAAAAGAAAAAAAAAATCCAAATGGATTGTGGATTGAATGAAGAATGCCCTAAATGATTACACAGTAGAAAAAAAATTTTAACCAAACAAAATAAATCATTTTGTAAGCTGGGCACAAAAAGCATCATTTGCCATAAAAGAAAATATTGAAAAATTGAACTCAGAGAAAATAAGAATTTTCCTTTATCGAAGTATACTTTATGGCTGGGTGCAGTAACACATACCTGTATTCCCAGCACTCAAGAGGCTGAGGCAGGAGATCATTTGAGCCCAGGAATTCAAGGCTGTAGTGTGTAGTGATTGCACCTGTAAATAGCTACTACTGCACTCTCCAGCCTGGGCTACATAAGGAGACCCTGTCTCTTAAAAAACAACAACAAAAAAAGAGTGTGTGTGTTTGCGTGTGTGTGCATGCACATGCATACTTTAAGAGATTGAAAGTACAATCCACAAGATTAGAAATATTGTTTGCAATACACATAACTAACAAATACCTTGTATTTATAATAAAATACTTTTACAAATTTACAAGCTAATGACAAAAATCTCTATATAGAGCTCAAGTGTCTGTGGGGGTCGTGGGGTCTCCTGCTGCCAGAATTCCAGAGGTCTATGGCAGGAATATGTTTCTCCTTGCCTGTTCAACTCATCCCTTTCCCAGGAGTCGTTGGAAGCCAGGATTGATTTCCAGTGTACAGGGTTCCCAGCTTCCTCCTGTTTGGGCTCAGTGTTTCCTCTGTGTCCTCCCTCAGTCTCCTCTCAATCTTCCCTCCAAGATCTGCTGGGAGTGGGCCAGACTTCCCATGTCCCTGACTGTCAGCAGCAGATGTTCCTCCTCTAGACCACCATCTTGAATCCAGATTCACTCCACTCTCTTCTTGCTGCAATATCTCTGAGAAGGTGGATGTAATTTTACCTTTGCTCCTGCATAAGTGAAGTGTTTTCTCTCTGTATCTCTGGCTCATTTCAAGGTTTTTTTGTTTTTTTGTTTTTTTTATTCCTGCAGTTCAGATATGACATGCTGATACAATGACAGAGGCAGGAGGCAGAGAAATTCTAGGCAGACAGGGGCGGGTGTCTGGCAAAACCCCACCTTTGAGCCGAAAAGCCTGAAACCCATGGCCCAAAGTGAGAACTTCCGTCCCTGTGTGCCCACTCTCTTCCAATTGATTCTTCTGAATAATGTCTTTCTACCAATCGAATGTTGCCTTTTTCCAAAACTACCTACAGCCCACCCCATTCCATCCTGTGCCTATAAAGACTTCAGACTCAGCTGGCAGAAAGGAGAAAGAGCTGGATGTCAGGGAGAAGAAACTTGACCTCAGAGAGGGTGGCTGGATGTCAGAAAGAGGCAAGTTGGCTTTGGAAGCGAGAGGCAGAGAGGTGACTTAACTTCAGGGGAGAGTGATCTGCCCTTCCCGCCCCCTTCCAGCTCCCCTCTCCACTGAGAGCCACTCTCGTCACTTAATTAAATTCTCCATATTCACTAACCTTTAATCTGTCTGTGTACCCTCATTCCTCTTGGGCACTGGACAAGAATTCAGGATGCACTAAGTACAGTACCCAAAAAGGCTGTCACATTGGCCCTTTGCCCTCGCTGGAGGAGGGCAGCCACCCCACGCAACAAGGTAAAGAGCCCACTGAGCTAACACACACTGCTTTTTGCAGATAGAAGACCTAAGAGAGCATTGTAACATACCCTCTGGGGTCTTGGGGTCACAGGCACCCCCACCTGGATGCTGCTGAAGGGCCTGCACAAAGTGCTCTCCTCTCAGTGCTAAAGCGGTCAGGTTCCTGCACTGGCTTACCTGTGTGCTCCCTCCCATGAGGGGTGGAGCCTAGCTTGCCCAACTGAGAGGAGTTTCCTCCTGCCAGCACCTAAGCAGCCCTCTAGTTCCCGAGCTCATTTGCTCCAGTTCTCACACTTGTTTGCTCCCATGCCCCTTCCCACGAAGGACACCCCTGTTGCAAGCCCCTTGAAGGGATCAAGAAAATATCCTGGCTGGGCGCAGTGGCTCACGCCTGTAATCCCAGCACTTTGGGAGAACGAGGCGGGCGGATCTTGAGGTCAGGAGTTCGAGACCAGCCTTGCAAATATGGTGAAACTCCGTCTCTACTGTAAATACAAACAGACTAGCCGGGTGTGGTGGTGCATGCCTGTAATCCCATCTACTCAGGAGGTGGAGGCAAGAGAATCGCTTGAACCCAGAAAGTGGAGGTTGCAGTGAGCAGAGATTGCACCACTGCACTCCAGCCTGGGCAATAGAGGGAGACTCCATCTTAAAATAAATAAATAAATAAAAAAAATCCTGCATCAATGCCTGGGTGCAGTTTGGGGGTTTGTTGGTTGGTTTTGCATTTATATTGCTTAATGTTCTCTGAGCTTCTTGGATTTGTGGTTTGGTGCCTGACAAAAGTAAAAAGTAAGGTTTATTGCAAAAAGTAATGTGGGGAAATTCTCAGTCATTATTGCTTCTGTTGGGGGACCGAGGTGGGCAGATCAGTTGAGCTCAGGAGTTGGGGAACAGCCTGGGAAACATGGCAAAACCCTGTCTCTACAAAAAATTAGCTGGGGTGTGGTGGTGTGCATCTGTAGTCACAGCTACTTGGGAGGCTGAGGTGGGAGAACTGCTTGAGCCTGAGAGGTGGATGTTGCAGTGAGATGAGATCATACCACTGCAATCCTGCCTGGGTGACAGAATGAGACCCTGTCTTAAAAATATATATATATATATATATATATATAAAATATATTATATATTTATTATATATGTGTATATTTTATATATAATATATATTATATATAAAATATATATATATACTTTTTGGAACTTTAGGGGTAGGGAGGAGTCTTCTTAAGCTTTGGGGCTATCTACTGACATATTCTCAAACTCAGAGATTCTTTCCTTAGCCGTGCCCAGTCTACTAATAAGCTCATCAAAGGCACTCTTCATTTTTGTTACAATTTTTTAAAATCTCAGCATCTGTTTGTAATTTGTTTTTATTATTTTTATCTCTCTGCTTACCTTGTTTATCTGTTGTCTACTTGTTCCATTAAAGCCCACAGTATATTAATCATAGTTGTTTTTATATTCTCAATCTGATAATTCCAACATGCCTGTCATATCAGAGTCTGGTTCTCATGCTTTATCTGTCGATTCCAGCTGTGTTTTGTTTTTTTTGTTGTTGGTTTTTTGCCCTTTAGTATACTTTTTTTTGTTATTAAATCTACACATGATATGTTAGGGAAAAAGAACGCTGGTAAATAAGCCTTTAGTGGTATGGTGGTACAGTGTAAGGGGAAGGGAAGCCTTTAATAGTCCTGTGACTAATTCTGAGTTTTTAAGTGAGCCTGTGCTCCCAGCTGTGAATTTCAGAAAGCCTTCTTCATTTTTTTCATCTCTATTTGGGACTGGTTGGGTTGAGGGGGATAGAGTTGCATGCTTCCTTTCTTCCAGGTTGGTTAAACTCTGGTAGCACATCAGTAGGTTAGAGTATGCTAAAATGGTTTTTGTTGAAGAAAAGCCCTTTGAAAAAGAATGCTTGATTTAAATGTGGTTACTTTTTCTCTCCTCCTCCTGCAGAAGCCGTAGGGGATTGTTCTCCAGTCTTGACTTTGAGAACTTGGTAGAGCTCCTGAAGGTAACACTTATTTTTTTTCTTCTTTTTTTTTTTTTAGTCAGAGTCTTGATGTGTCGTCAGGCTGGGTGCAGTGGCACGATCTCGGCTCACTGCAACCTCCGCCTCCTGGGTTCAAGTGATTCTCCTGCCTCAGCCTCCCCAGTAGCTGGGATTACAGGTGTGCGCCACCATGCCCAGATAATATTTTGTATTTTTAGTAGCGATAGGGTTTCACCATGTTGGCCAGGATGGTCTCGATCTCTTGACCTTGTGATCCACCCACCTTGGCCTCCCAAAGTGCTGGGATTACAGGTGTGAGCCACTGCACCCAGCCAGTAAAACTTTTTTATAAGTATGTGCAGGTCCCACTACAACTGGCTCCCCTGCAGTTTTTAACCATCAGATTTGTCTGCACTGAGCCTCTAGGAATTGTCAGTTACAGTTTTGTTTTCCTATGTCAGTACTGGTTCCCATGGAGATTTTTGCTAATGAATTTCTGCTGATTCTTAATGCCCATCTTATGATTCTCTGTGTCCATCTGTTTCTCCAATTTTGGGGGCACCAATTTTCCCTATGACCTGAGTTTTCTGATGAATCTAAGAAGGGTAGTCAGTTTTTCAGCTTGTTTCAAGTTTTTACTTATTGTTAGCATAGAACGTTACCTTCCAGTCTCCTTACATGCCAGACAGCAATGGGAAGTCCATTTTTTTTGAATACAGTTGAAGTCCTGTGTGCCAGGAGAAATATCAGTGCAAAAAATTTGCTCTGTATTTTCCTTCCATGTTCGTTTCCCTTTTTTTAAATAAATGGTGAATTGATTGCTATTTATAACTAAATAGGTTATCAAGATTTGATAATCATTTCAGAAAGCTTAAGGAAATAGAATGATAGGTGGAAGGAATTTAAAGGACACCATAAGTTTCCCTTTCCCTTTTGAGCCATTAAATGGAGAACATTTATAGGCACTGAGAGCCATTTGGGGCCAGGGATAGAGGCAGGTACCTTCGGTAGAAATTAAGAAATATTTTTAAAGGATTCCTAATATAATTGTTGCAAGGGCTGGAGGTAAAAATAGGTCCTTGTATGTGTTACTAGACATGACATGACAGTCACATGGCTTAATATGCAATTCCTTACTATAAGAAAGTGATGTGAGTGAGTTATTAATCCTTACCTAAGTACTCAGCATTAAGTGGCATATAGTGTACACTAGATTATCTATATTTAACAAGATTTTAGAAGTTCTGACTCTTCTTACAAACTTTTGTATTTTATTAGGTTTCTAGTTTCATGCATTAGCACAGATTTTGTCATGGATTTGGTATACTGAGAAAAGAATTTCCTATCATTGGGAAAAATGCATTAGCTTTATTGAAATATGATTGTAATGTGGAACCACAGGGAAAAAAACTACCTTAAATGGTCTAATGGAGTTTTACGATGTACTATAATTACAGTGACTTACCTCTTTAGTGATATAGGCAAAATTGTATAGGAGATATGTATTCATTTAAACAAGCTTTGGAATAGCATAGTAATAATTTAAAGTTTTATTAATTTTTGTCATATCTGTGTTAACTCGCAATGCCTTATTTTTGCTTCTATTTGTTTTATTTATCCAGTACTTATAACAATTCACTTTTTTTTTCTTTGTTAAAATTCACCCACAATTGCCTTCAAAGGCTCACCTGATAAGAGATGTATGTCACAATCTGCTCACCCTGGCATTTCTCTAAATAGAAGGTAAAGTTTGTATACTCTTTTTTTCTCTCCTGAGTCAGTGATTTATCTCTTCAAGGGCAAAAGTACATTTACTAAAGTGCTGAATTAAATTAAATATTATTATTGACTTATTCCAAGAAAGGAAATGTGCCCCAGTTTAAAAGTAATAAGAAATATTTCACACCTATATACAACTTTTAAATTCTTGTCTAAGAGTTTTATATATAACAGCCTGCATCATAGTTCAAAGTACTGGGATGTTCAATTTGGATTTAAAATATACATATTAAAGATATGTATCTATATCTATGGTCTTCTATTACACTTGAGTTTTAAGAGAAATTTTAAATTATATTTTAAACATTCTAGCCTATTCATTATATGTAATGAGTATTCTTTTATTTTCTAAATCTTTCAACGTAATTATTGTGTCTTCATACAAAGAATTAAACTATTACAAATTATATTTCTTATAATTTGAAATTATTGACATATACATAAAGGTATGTATATTTGATATGTATGCATGAGGGTGTATGTGTATGAATGTATGATTTCATCGATATATTTTATTTCCTTGGTTTTGGGACTTTTTCATGCAAATTTACTTTATCATAGTAATATTTCCCTCAAAGTTATTTAAAACTATGTAATAATTATCTGCTATGAGTTACAGGACATGTTGGATTTTTTTTTTTTTTACAAAAGGTAGATCATTTTAAAATACTTACATGACTGTTTATATTATTCTTACATTAAGCTTTATTTTCAGATTACGTTTACTATTCTACAGTGCTATATTTATAGTCTATAAAGGTACTAAGCTATTTATGTATTTACAGTTCTTCCCAATGGAAAATTTTTTATTATAGAAATAGTATATCATTATTGTCTTTTTATATGTTAGTAATTAATTATATCAAAATAACTGGTAGAATCTTATAAATTACCTTAGGGTATAATCAGAATTGCAAAAATATGGTTTATACCGAAGTAAACATCAATGTTTGATGACCAACACATTGAAAATTACATTTCAAAATAACAAGATAAGATGAAAAAGTTTACTTTTTTTCGTGTCTAATTATTTTAAACAGGTCTTTACTATTAAGTTTGTTTTTTATTTCTAAAAAGAACCCAGTATGAAATGTAGACAGAAACAAATCTTAAGAGAAATTATACTCAAGTAGATATTTGCCTTGTATCCAAAATGTCTTATCAGACAGATTTTAAAATGTGTGGTTTATACTAATTTGTGCTTATAAATTGGAATGATTAGAAACTAATCAATATGAGGTCATTTTAACAGAAAAGCAACAAATAATAATAATGTAAGTGATTTACAATGCCTAAAACACTCATTTTCAAATGAAGAAAATCAAGGACAGACCTAAAATTTATTTATAAATAATAACTATCTGTTCCATAGTTTATATCATCTATAATGTGATTAGCAATGCAGTGGAAATATATTTAGCCACATCACATTGTAATGTCTTACAAGAAGTAGTGCATTGGACGTGAATTCATCAATGTATTCTGTAATATAATATTTAGTTTTAAGACTTACAGGCTTTTTTGAATTGTGTGCTCAGTGGTATTAAGTGGTACACGCAGTAAGAAATGAACACCCTATTTTGAAAGCTCCTCATGAGTTATGCACATAAGGGTTAGTATTCCTGAACAGGTACTATGTTTGTTATAGTGTTAATAAAAAAATCTGAATTCTGTTGAATCCACACGGTAAGTTGACTTATGGCAAATCTGTACAATTAGTTGATTTAAGTAATTCATTTGCTTATGTAGTAACTTCAATCTAATCTATAGAACAACACATCTTTATACAAACAGAGTTAGGAAATCAGAGTAAGGAAAGACCAATCGGAACTGTGCAGTTTCTTCCTTTGATCATCACAAAGTTTAAGATTGGATTATACAGGGATTATGTCCTTATGATAATCTCTTCGGTTTATATTAATGGGCAATTAATGGTAAATGTGACTTTTTTTGATTAATTGGAGTACGCCTATTAGTATATCTTCTTCTCAGAGATTTATGTCAACCCCTTTTGCTGAACTTAGCCTGTAAACCCTAAGAAGTTCAGGTTAAGCTTTAGATTTTCTTTGCATCTCACTTTCTTTCTTCACCATCAACCTTTCACTTCCTTCATGATCTCATCCACGCCCATGACAGTTCTTACTGCCCATATACCAATGAATCCTGCATATGTATCTCAGCTATAATACTGCCACATATATATTTTTATAATTCAAGACTTCTTTGACTACTTCCCCTCCCTTACCCCTACATATGTTTCTAATGTGCCTGTTAAGTTTATTTTCTAAATCTCTTATATTCATTTCTTTTCCTTGAGCTCCACTACTACAGTTCTAATGCAAACAACCATTCATCTTTTCTTTGAACTGAGGAATTACCTCCTGGTTATTTTTTATTATGGTAAGAACACTTACATAAAATTCACCTTCTTAACTATTTTTAAGTGCAAGTTCAGTAATGTTACCTATATTTACATTGTGAAACAAATCTCCAGAGCCTTTCCATCTTGTAAATCTGACACTGTACTCGTTAAACAACTCCTTTTTTCTCTCTCCTCACCGTTCCTGGTAACCACCACTCTACTTTATGTTTTTATGAATTTGACTACTTTAGATACCTTATCTAAGGTGAATCATACAGTATTTGTCTTTTTCTGTCTGACTGATTTCACTTAGCATAATGTACTCCATGGCTCATCGCTGTTATAGCATGTGAAACATTTCTTTTTAAGGCTGAATAATCTGTTACATGAATGTATCACATTTTATTTATTTATCCATGTATCTGTGGATGAATATTTGGGTTGCTTGTACTTCTTGACTATTGTAAATAGGGCTGGCATTTAATGTGTGAACACAAATATGTTCTTGAGACCCTGCTTCCATTCTTTTGGATATATGCTCAGAAGTAGAATTGTCAGATAATATGGTAGTTGTATTTTTAATTTTCTGAGGAACCTCCATACTATTTTCCATAGCCGTTACACTATTTCACAACCACAGCTAAAGTGCCCAAGGGTTCCCATTTCTCCACATGCTTTCCAGCATTCGTTACATTTTGTTTTTGGATGAAATACACCCTAACCAGTGTCAGTTAATATGGCATTGTGGTTTTGATTTGTATGTCTTGGTGACTGGTGACTCTGAGCATCTTGTTTTATGCTCACTGGTCATTTGCATATCATCTTTGGAGAAATGTCTATTCAAATCCATTGCTCATTTTTTAATTAGGTAATTTGACTTTGTCATTGTTGTTGTTTAGTTGTAGGAGTTCTTAATATGCTCTAGATATTAGCCCCTTATCACATACATAGTTCACAAGCATTTTTCCATTCTTTAGGTTGCCTTTCGCTCTGCTGATTGTGTCCTTTTACCTAACTCATTTTTAGTAGCTTCTTTTGTACACCCAGTTCATTCTCCATACTCTTTACTGAAAAATAATTATGAAGCCTAAATATAATCCTGTAATTTCACAACTTAATATTCATTTGTGCCTTCCCAAGTCTCTAAGGATAATATTTAAAATAATTAAAATTGTGCTAGATAATCTGGTATCTACCTACCTCAGCAATAATTTTACACATCCGCCCCACCTCTCACTTCACACCACACTTGTTTTCATGTACTTCCTTTCATGAACCAGATTCCTCTCTGTCTTAGGTCCCTTGCCTATTTTGCTCATTCTGTATTGCTTTTCTCCTTTTTCTTTGAAAAGTAAACTTGTATTGTTTTTGAGCCTCAGATTAAATGTCACTTAATCGGGGAAGTCTTTCTTGACTCACCAGCCTAGGACAAGTTTCTTTTTATATAATATGAATGCTCTAAACTCATTTGCGGTATTTATCAACATTATAATGGAATAATCCTTTAAATTATGCAAATATTTATTTTATGTTACTCACCTCAACTAGAATGTAAGATACGTAAAGAACTGGTCACTCCTATTCACCATCGTGTCTCTAAGTCTAGCAAAGTTCCTTGCCCATTTAAGTGATCAATAAATGCTTTTGAAATGAATAAAATAACAAATGAAGGAATAAATTAGTATCTGATCTCTATCTCACCAGCCAATGAGGTCAGTTTAAGAAATATGGTGCTTGGTCCTGGAATTGGGGATGTTATATTCTAGAAGTAAGAGACCAGGTAAAACTCAACATGTATTTAGAGCAAGGCTAACATTTAAAAAACTGACAGGATCTTAGAAAAAACTGACAGGATCTTAGGAAATCCCTATGAACAAAATTGAAGGGAGGTTTGCTTGAGTTTACTGGCCTTGAGACACACCCAGGATAGGTGGATGGCATAGAATGGAAAGCATATTTTCAAGGGGAATAAATGTTAACACCATCAAATTCACGGCCAAAAGTAAGGACATAACTATTCATATTTTTTCATATTTTATATACCTTTCAGTTATCACAACTGTACATCACTTTATTATGTTTTTTTCTATAATATCCACATTATTTGTATTATTATTTGTATTATTTTGCAACAGGTATTACTCATAAATTTAGGAATGTATTACAAGTAAGGTATGCAGAGTGAAACAATTTAGAATACTTTACTGGACTAAAAGAATCTCACTAATTTTAATTAGTGGTCTAGTGTTCCAACTAGGAATGTATGCAAATGTCTGTCAGAAACCATCTCTCCCTGTGACCAGGAAACAAGGCTATTTGCTCTCTTCATATACACTGGAATCTAATCATAGAACATTATTTACTGCTCTGATCTTAGCAGCAATCTTCTGCTAAATATTTTGCAGTCATTTACATCAGGAAAATGAAGACATTAATTTCAAATGGCAGTTTTACTTTTTGGTTGTGACTCTTTTTTTATTACTCGAATGTAGGACATAATTTTCATAAATAACTTGAAAGAACAAATTTAATACTCTTTTCTAGATGGTATTTAACACACTGTTTTACATGAAAAGATATTTGTTCTATTTCATAAAGATGTCTTTTACCCTTCGAAATGCCAGCATCTGACAGTTGTGAACTCTTTACTTTGTCGAATAATCTCTAACTGTGGGAAAATACCAAGAGTATTCGAGTGATTGACCTTTAAACAAGTCTTTCCTTCTATTGGAATTTTAAAATCTCTGTGGCTGAATTCGACAAAGGATTATTTTTCTATTATATATTATCATAAAAATAATACTTATTTTATAAATTATCAAGTCATATTACATTCTGTCTGTATGAAAATATCAGACGAAATTGTAATACCTTGAATGTCCTGACAGTTTCATTATCACTTCGTCATCATGCAGGTATCATGGGGTTTCTTCCTTACCCACAGTGCTTTGGTGGGAATGGAAACTTTTTCTGTGGGAAAGGTAACTTGTTCAATATTAGTTGTATGTAAAATCAAATTCACCATATTCTACGCCTTACATTTCTTTTGTTTTCTCCACAATGCCTATTAAGTATGTATCCTTTTAGGCAAATCAATTTTCTTCTCTGTGTCCCAGGTTCCTTGTTAGTAGAATGAAGAGTTTTGAATAACAGCCTATTAAGCTTCCTTCCACTACTGTCACTCTGTGTTATGGATCTCAGTGGGGGTGATATTGGCCCCAAGAGTGTGAAAATTCTTTCCTTAGGAGGTGGCATCTTAGCTATTACAATAGTTTGTGGCCCTCCAAGGGCTGCCATGCATAAACAAATATACAATAAATCTGTAGTATTAAAATTCTACGGAAGGAAGGAAGCGATTAGAAAAAGTGTGTCCAGAAAACTCCTTAGGAAGTTATAACTTTTTAAAAAGTTGAGAAATACTGCTCTATGTGTTCATAAGCCTCATGTTGTGGACCCTGGCAAAATCATTTTTACAACCCTTTTTCTGCTGATGTCATATAATCATTATGTGGGTCACATATATAGGCAGGGTGATTAGTTTCCATCCAATGTTTGCTTGCAGGTAGACATTGCTTTTGTCTTTCAGGTCACATTATCTGATTTATGAGGTATGATTTAAAGATAGAACAAAAAATTGAGCATGATTTGAGTACTACCTCAATAACTATTGAAGGTCAGTTTCTTCCACTTTTAAATATTCGACACAAATTATAGAAATACAATGAATGCTGTTTCTTGTCATCCTTGAATCCAGCATTTTGAAAAAAAATTAAGCAGATGTTTTTTATCACAGAACATTGTCTAATGTCCATTTTCTGTTTAGTAGGCAAGATAAAGAAAATAGAAAGCAAATCACATATAGCAAGTGACTCAGAATAATAACAGACCTGTCATCAAAATGTAGAGTTTTTACAAAGACTTAAAGAGACTCTACTCTTGAAGATTTTATACTTTAAACCATAGAAGCAGGTTAAATACTCAAATAACAAAGTTATTATCCCAAGAGCCTAGAATAGAGTGGACAAGCCATTACTGGCTGCAAACTATAACAACTTTCAGATTCGCATGCCAACTATTACTTTTCCAACTCTGCTGGAAGCCCTAATTATAGCACTCACAGGGCCTTGCTGAGGTTTACTGACCAAATGGCGATTTCCAACATGAACCAATTCATCAGTGTTTAATATAGGTAACCTGTTTTAAACCACAGACTAACTAATACAATGTTTGTTTAAGGTATGGTTAATTAAATAATTAATTTGATTTCCCATTACACTGTGATTATATTATGCATACATACACACTCATTATAGGTACAAAAAACACAATACAAATACATAATGAGTGTAATAGCTCAACGATGTATATGTCCTAATTTTCTGAACTTGTGAATATGTTATATTACATGGCAAAGGGCAATAAAGATTTCAGATGAAATTGAGGTTGCTAATTAACTGACCTTAAAATAGATTATCCTGGATTAGCCAGGGGGCCCACAGTAAACACGAGTGTCCATATATAAGAAAGAGGGAGACAGAAAATTCAGAAATTAAGAGATAGCATCATGAGAAAGAGTAACTTGGCCATTGCTGACTTTGAAGATAAAAAGGCACCACAAACCAAGGGCTGAGGGAACCTGCTAGGAACTAGAAAAGGTAAGAAAACTGATTCTACCCTAGAGTCTGCTATGTTATTTCACTCCCACAGTACAATCAAGAAATACCTGAGACTGTGTAATTTATTTATAAAATAAACAAAGGTTTAATTGGCTCATGGCTCTGCAGCCTGTACAGGAAGCATGATGCTGACATCTGCTAGGCTTCTGGGAAGGCCTCAGGAAACTTATAATCATGGCAGAAGGCAAAGGGGGAAGAGGCATGTCACATGGCCAAAACAGGGGCAAGAGAGAGTAAGGGCAGTGGTGCTACGCGGCATACTTTGAGATGGTGAGATCTCATGAGAACTCACTACCATGCGGACAGTACCAAGAGGGATGGTGCCAAGTCTTTCATGAGGGATCCATTCCCATGATCCAATCAATCACCTCCCACCAGGTCCCACCTCCAACACTGGGTGTATTTGTCTGTTCTCACACTGCTAATAAAGACATATCCAAGACTGGGAAATTTATAAAGATAAGAGGTTTAATTGACTCACAGTTCAACATGGGTGGGGAGGCCTCACAATTATGGCAGGAGGAGGAACAAAGTCACATCTTGCATGGTGGTAGGCAAAAGAGCATATGCAGGGGAGCTCCCCTTTATAAAACCATCAGACCTCTGGAGGCTTATTCAGTATCACAAGAACAGCATGACAAAGTCCTGCCCCCATGATTTAATCACCTCCCACTGGTTCCCTCCCATGACACATGGGAATTACAAGAACTACAATTCAAGATGAGATTTGGGTGGGGACACAGCCAAACCATATCACTGGGGATTACATTGCAATATGAGATTTGGTTGCGGACACACCTCCAAACTAAACTATATCACCTGCTTAAAGGAAAGTGTCCCTACCAATACATTGATTTTAGCCCAGAGAGACAATTTCAAATTTCTGAGCTGCAGAAATAAGATAATAACTTTGTTTTGTGTTAAGCCACTAAGTTTGTGGTAATTTGTCAAGCATCAATAGGAAACTAATACAATGAAATAAATATTAATTGACTATCAGTGTACTACTAAGGACATGAATTGTAAAAGTATCAGAAATCATACTTATGTATTTAAAAACATTACTTCTATAAAGAGATATTACAGTAAAGTCATTCAAATGTTTCCAGAAGTAGCCTGCATGGTTTTAAGCCCCAGCTCCACCACATTCTAGAAGGGTAATCCTAGCAAGTTGCTTAATATCTATCTGTGGCTCCATTTTCCCATCTTAAAAATGGATGAAGTAATAATTGTACCTCAAAAGTTAGAGTAAATAAATACAGATAATACTATAATCCACAGTACATGGCACAGAGTAAATCTAATGCATATCTTTCCTATTACTTTTTATTTTTATTTGTAATTTGTACAATTATTATTATTCCAAAAGATAGCATTATAGCATCTATCTCAGTTTTTGTATGATATATAGCCAGCATATTTCTTTTGTCTTCAGTGTTATATCTCAAAGAGCTGGAATGAAGTGTTTTTTGCCCTTGATTATTTAAATGGATTGATAGAAGAAGATTTACTAAGAGGTATCTTGTAATTATCTTTCCATAGGTGAAGTATGAACTATCTTAGGCATCCCTCTTCTATGGCTGGGCATGTACGTGCTTTGACTCACTAATAGTATCTTCAACATGCATTTTGTACATCAAATAAATATAAGAAACTTGATAATTTTTTAAACCACTTGTGGGTATTTCAATCACAAATTAGCTCAAGATGGCTGATGAGAGCCACCCAGCTCCTTCCACCTTCACAAGAGTGGACCAAAACAGCAAGTAGATAAAGCACATCTAAGAAGACTAATGGAATCCAGCAGGAAAACTACAGGTATACATACATACATACAGGAAAACCCTCTGAGGCATAGAAACTTAAGATGACAGTATTCAGAGGGAAGTGAAGCAGCTAGCCAGAACAGTTTGAAGCTAAGAGAAATTTCTCATTTTGGGTAAAAGTTAAGTGAGAGAGTCCTAGCAGTCCACATTTCTACCACAGATGCCTGCAATTCTAACTAAAGGAAAGCCCCTTGGCCTTCACAGGCAGGGAACCTATTATAGGGAGCTGCCTGGAATTTATGCGGCTGCATTTTTCCAGGAAGGGAATCTTCCCCAGGCCCCACCCCTGGGCTGCAAGCCACTGCATCAATCCACCATTTTGACAATGGAGCCAGGACTGAACCACAACCTGCCCTGGGGTCCAATAGCTGCTGCATCTCCACATCACTAGGCTTCCACCAATACACCCTGACATCTGCACAAAGAGCTGCAGCATCATGATGGTGGCTAGACCTAGTGGTGTGGATGTCACTGGCACTCATACTTATGCTGCTCTCTACACCCAGGAATAGGTGGTCCAGCACATCAAGGAGGTTGCCCCAAGAACACAGGGAGCAGAAGTGTCAGCTTCCCAGAGCCTGAGAACAGGCTGCCTGAGGCCACTGCCCACCTCAAGCAGTGAGACGCTATGACCCATGTGCCCCATCAGGAGCCAAGGACCAGCCCACCCATCCTGCTGTGGACACCACCGGCACCTGTGCATCCTGACTGGGGCCCAAAGACTAGCCCACTTGAGCCACATCACTGCCTCTGCCAGTGCATGCACATGCCATCCAGGAGCCTAACGACTTGCCCATCTTGCAACCCCATCCCCAGCAAAGCCTCACCAGAGGGTCTACAAATAGCCTATGCCACTAAGGAATTTGTACACCATGCTGATGTTAAGTATAGCCAAAGTTATCATACAGAGACTATAATATAGTGCTGCTGTATTAGCCTGTTCTTGCGTTGCTATAAAGAAATGCCTGAGGCTGGGTAATCTGTAAAAAAAAAAAAAAAAAAGCGATTTACTGTGGCTCACAATTCCGTAGCCTGTACAGGAAGTGTGGTGCCAGCTTCTGGCATCTGCTTCTGGTGAGGTCCTCAGGAAGTTTACAATCATGAAGGAAAGCAACAGGGAGCCAGGATGTCAAATGGCAAGAATGGGAGCAAGAGAGAGAAGGGGGAGGTGCTATGCACTTTAAAAGAATCAGTTTTTTTTGTGAAATCAGAGCAAAAACTCACTCATTACCAAGGAGATGGCACCAAGACATTAATGAGGGAACTTCCCCCATGATTCAATACCTCCCACCAGGCCCCACCTCCACCATTGAGTTACACATTTGAACATGAGATTTGGAGACAACACATATCCAAACTATATCAGGTACCCATTTAGAGCCAAAGCAAAAGCACCCTATCCAATGAACATTATAGATGCATCTACAGGAAAAACATCCTTCACATAGAAGCTACTTGATAAAATTGGAAGAGGTGCAAGTTACAACTGATGTGTACATAACAACGTAAGCACAAAATAAATATGAAAAAGAAAGGAAACATGACACCTCCAAAGGAACACAATAACCCTCCAGTAAAAGATGCCAAAGAAAAGGAAATCTATGAAATGCTTGAAATTTAAAATAATGATCATAAGAAAACTCAGTGAGATACAAGAGAACACCATTTTATCAGTGATGGAAAACGAAATGAATGAAATGAAGTGAAAAGTGAAGTTTAGAGAAAAAAGAATAAAAACAAACAAACAAAGCCTCCAAGAAATATGGAACTATGTGAAAAGACCAAATCTATGTCTGATTGGTGTACCTGAAAGTGACAGGGAGAATGGAACCAAGTAGGAAAACACTCTGCAGGATATTAACCAGGAGAACTTCCCCAATCTAGCAAGGCAGACCAACATTCAGATTCAGGAAATACAGAGAACGCCACAAAGATACTCCTCCAGAAGAGCAACTCCAAGACACATAATTGTCAGATTCACCAAAGTTGAAATGGAGGAAAAAACGTTAAGGGCAGCCAGAGCGAAAGGTCGGGTTACCCACAAAGGGAAGCCCATCAGATTAACTGGGGATCTCTCAGCAGAAACTCTACAAGCCAGAAGAGAGTGGGGGCCAATATTCAACATTCTTAAAGAAAAGAAGTTTCAACCCAGAATTTCATACCCAGCCAAACTAAACTTCATAAATGAAGGAGCAATAAAATCCTTTACAGACAAGCAAATGCTGAGAGATTTTGTCACCACCAGGCCTGCCCTAAAAGAGCTCCTGAAGGAAGCACTAAACATGGAAAGGAACAACTGGTACCAGCCACTGGAAAAACATGCCAAAATGTAAAGACCATCGAGACTAGGAAGAAACTGCATCAACTAATGAGCAAAATAACCAGCTAACATCATAATGACAGGACCAAATACACACATAACAATATTAACTTTAAATGTAAATGGGCTAAAAGCTCCAATTAAAAGACATAGACTGGCAATTTGGATGAAGAGTCAAGACCCATCAGTGTGCTGTATTCAGAAAACCCATCTCACGTGCAGAGACACACACAGGCTCAAAATAAAGGGATGGAGGAAGATCTACCAAGCAAATGGAAAACAAAAAAAGGCAGGGGTTGCAATCCTAGTCTCTGATAAAACAGACTTTAAACCAACAAAGATCAAAAGAGGCAAAGAAGGTCATTACATAATGGTAAAGGGATCAGTTCAACAAGAAGAGCTAACTATCCTAAATACATATGCACCCAATACAGGAGCACCCAGATTCATAAAGCAAGTCCTTAGTGACCTACAAAGAGACTTAGACTCCCACACAATAATAATGGGAGACTTTAACACACGACCATCAACATTAGACAGAAAGTTAACATGGATACCCAGGAATTGAACTCAGCTCTACACCAAGCGGACCTAATAGACATCTACAGAACTCTCCACCCCAAATCAACAGAATATACATTTTTTGCAGCACCACACCACACCTATTCCAAAATTGACCACATAGTTGGAAGTAAAGCACTCCTCAGCAAATGTAAAAGAACAGGAATGATAACAAACTGTCTCTCAGACCACAGTGCAATCAAACTAGAACTCAGGACTAAGAAACTCACTCAAAACCACTCAACTACATGGAAACTGAACAACCTGCTCCTGAATGACTACTGGGTACATAACAAAATGAAGGCAGAAATAAAGATGTTCTTTGAAACCAACGAGAACAAAGACACAACATACCAGAATCTCTGGGACACATTCAAAGCAGTGTGTAGAGGGAAATTTACAGCACTAAATGTCCACAAGAGAAAGCAGGAAAGATCCAAAATTGACATCCTAACATCACAATTAAAAGAACTAGAGAAGCAAGAGCAAACACATTCAAAAGCTAGCAGAAGGCAAGAAATAACTAAAATCAGAGCAGAACTGAAGGAAATAGAGACACAAAAAACCCTTCAAAAAATTAATGAATCCAGGAGCTGGTTTTTTGGAAAGATCAACAAAATTGATAGACTGCTAGCAAGACTAATAAAGAAGAAAAGACTTTAATCCATCTTGAATTGATTTTTGTATAAGGTGTAAGGAAGGGATCCAGTTTCAGCTTTCTACATATGGCTAGCCAGTTTTCCCAGCACCATTTATTAAATAGGGAATCCTTTCCCCATTGCTTGTTTTTCTCAGGTTTGTCAAAGATCAGATAGTTGTAGATATGTGGCGTTATTTCTGAAGGCTCTGTTCTGTTCCATTGATCTATATCTCTGTTTTGGTACCAGTACCATGCTGTTTTGGTTACAGTAGCCTTGTAGTATAGTTTGAAGTCAGGTAGCGTGATGCCTCCAGCTTTGTTCTTTTGGCTTAGGATTGACTTGGTGATGCGGGCTCTTTTTTGGTTCCATATGAACTTTAAAATAGTTTTTTCCAATTCTGTGAAGAAAGTCATTGGTAGCTTGATGGGGATGGCATTGAATCTGTAAATTACCTTGGGCAGTATGGCCATTTTCACAATATTTATTCTTCCTACCCATGAGCATGAAATGATCTTCCATTTGTTTGTAACCTCTTTTATTTCATTGAGCAGTGGTTTGTAGTTCTCCTTGAAGAGGTCCTTCACATCCCTTGTAAGTTGGATTCCTAGGTATTCTATTCTCTTTGAAGCAATTGTGAATGGGAGTTCACTCATGATTTGGCTCTCTGTTTGTCTGTTATTGGTGTACAAGAATGCTTGTGATTTTTGTACATTGATTATGTATCCTGAGACTTTGCTGAAGTTGCTTATCAGCTTAAGGAGATTTTGGGCTGAGACAATGGGGTTTTCTAGATATACAATCATGTCATCTGCAAACAGGGACAATTTGACTTCCTCTTTTCCTAATTGAATACCCTTTATTTCCTTCTCCTGCCTAATTGCCCTGGCCAGAACTTCCAACACTATGTTGAATAGGAGTGGTGAGAGAGGGCATCCTTGTCTTGTGCAAGTTTTCAAAGGGAATGCTTCCAGATTTTGCCCATTCAGTATGATATTGGCTGTGGGTTTGTCATAGATACCTCTTATTATTTTGAAATACATCCCATCAGTACCTAATTTATTGAGAGTTTTTAGCATGAAGGGTTGTTGAATTTTGTCAAAGGACTTTTCTGCATCTATTGAGATAATCATGTTGTTTTTGTCTTTGGTTCTGTTTATATGCTGGATTACATTTATTGATTTGCATATATTGAACCAGCCTTGCATCCCAGGGATGAAGCCCACATGATCATGGTGGATAAGCTTTTTGATGTGCTGCTGGATTCGGTTTGCCAGTATTTTATTGAGGATTTTTGCCTCAATGTTCATCAAGGATATTGGTCTAAAATTCTCTTTTTGGGTTGTGTCTCTGCCCGGCTTTCGTTTCAGGATGATGCTGGCCTCAAAAAATGAGTTAAGGAGGATTCCCTCTTTTTTCTATTGATTGGAATAGTTTCAGAAGGAATGGTAGCAGTTCCTCCTTGTACCTCTGGTAGAATTCAGCTGTGAATCCATCTGGTCCTGGACTCTTTTTGGTTGGTAAGCTATTGATTATTGCCACAATTTCAAATGTTAGACCTAAAACCATAAAAACCCTAGAAGAAAACCTAGGCATTACCATTCAGGACATAGGCATGGGCAAGGACTTCATGTCTAAAACACCAAAAGCAATGGCAACAAAAGACAAAATTGACAAATGGGATCTAATTAAACTAAAGAGCTCCTGCACAGCAAAAGAAACTACCATCAGAGTGAACAGGCAACCTACAAAATGGGAGAACATTTCTGAGAAAGGGCTAATATCCAGAATCTACAATGAACTCAAACAAATTTACAAGAAAAAAACAAACAACCCCATCAAAAAGTGGGCGAAGGACATGAACAGACACTTCTCAAAAGAAGACATTTATGCAGCCAAAAAACACATGAAAAAATGCTCACCATCACTGGCCATCAGAGAAATGCAAATGAAAACACAGTGAGATACCATCTCACACCAGTTAGAATGGTGATCATTAAAAAGTCAGGAAACAACAGGTGCTGGAGAGGATGTGGAGAAATAGGAACACTTTTACACTGTTGGTGTGACTGTAAACTAGTTCAACCATTGTGTAAGGCAGTGTGGCAATTCCTCAGGGATCTAGAACTAGAAATACCATTTGAACCAGCCATCCCGTTACTGGGTATCTACCCAAAGGACTATAAATCATGCTGCTATAAAGACGCATGCACACGTATGTTTATTGCAGCACTATTCACAATAGCAAAGACTACGAACCAACCCAAATGTCCAACAATGATAGACTGGATTAAGAAAATGTGGCACATATACACCATGGAATACTATGCAGCCATAAAAAATCATGAGTTCATGTCCTTTGTAGGGACATGGATGAAATTGGAAATCATCATTCTCAGTAAACTATCGCAAGAACAAAAAACCAGACACTGCCTATTCTCACTCATACGTGGGAATTGAACAATGAGAACACATGGACCCAGGAAGGGGAACATCACACTCTGGGGACTGTCGTGGGGTTGGGGGAGGGGGGAGGGAGGGCACTGAGAGATATACTTAATGCAAGATGACGAGTTAGTGGGTGCAGCGCACCAGCATGGCACGTGTATACATATATAACTAACCTGCACATTGTGCACATGCACCCTAAAACTTAAAGTATAATAATAATAAGAAAAAGAAGAAAAGAAAGAAGGATCAAATAGACACAATAAAAAATGATAAAGGGGATATCACCTCTGATCCCACAGAAATACAAACTACCATCAGAGAATACTACAAACACCTCTATGCAAATAAACTAGAAAATCCAGAAGAAATGGATAAATTCCTCGACACATACACCCTCCCAAGACTAAAGCAGGAAGAAGTTGAATCTCTGAATAGACCAATAACAGGCTCTGAAATTGAGGCAATAATTAATAGCTTACCAACCAAAAAAGTCCAGGACCAGATGGATTCACAGCCAAATTCTACCAGAGGTACAAGGAGGAGCCGGTACCATTCCTTCTGAAACTATTCCAATCAATAGAAAAAGAGGGAATCCTCCCTAACTCATTTTATGAGGCCAGCGTCATCCTGATACCAAAGTCTGGCAGAGACACAACCAAAAAAGAGAATTTTAGACCAATATCCTTGATGAACATTGAGGCAAAAATCCTCAATAAAATACTGGCAAACCGAATCCAGCAGCACATCAAAAAGCTTATCCACCATGATCAAGTGGGCTTCATCCTTGGGATGCAAGCCTGGTTCAACATATACAAATCAATAAATGTAATCCAGCATATATACAGAACCAAAGACAAAAACCACATGATTATCTCAATAGATGCAGAAAAGGCCTTTGACAAAATTCAACAACCCTTCATGCTAAAAACTCTCAATAAATTAGGTATTGATGGGACGTATTTCAAAATAATAAGAGGTATCTACGACAAACCCACAGCCAATATCATACTGAATGGGCAAAATCTGGAAGCATTCCCTTTGAAGACTGGCACAAGACAGGGATGCCCTCTCTCACCACTCCTATTCAACATAGTGTTGGAAGTTCTGGCCAGGGCAATCAGGCAGGAGAAGGAAATAAAGGGTATTCAATTAGGAAAAGAGGAAGTCAAATTGTCCCTGTTTGCAGATGACATGATTGTATATCTAGAAAACCCCATCATCTCAGCAGAAAATCTCATTAAGCTGATGAGCAACTTCAGCAATTCTCAGGATACAAAATCAATGTACAAAAATCACAAGCATTCTTATACACCAATAACAGACAAACAGAGAGCCAAATCATGAGTGAACTCCCATTCACAATTGCTTCAAAGAGAATAGAATACCTAGGAATCCAACTTACAAGGGATGTGAAGGACCTCTTCAAGGAGAACTACAAACCACTGCTCAATGAAATAAAAGAGGATACAAACAAATGGAAGAACATTCCATGCTCATGGGTAGGAAGAATAAATATTGTGAAAATGGCCATACTGCCCAAGGTAATGTATAGATTCAATGTCATCCCCATCAAGCTACCAATGACTTTCTTCACAGAATTGGAAACAACTACTTTAAAGTTCATATGGAACCAAAAAAGAGCCCGCATCACTAAGTCAATCCTAAGCCAAAAGAACAAAGCTGGAGGCATCACGCTACCTGACTTCAAACTATACTGCAAGGCTACAGTAACCAAAACAGCATAGTACTGGTACCAAAACAGAGACATAGATCAGTGGAACAGAACAGAGCCCTCAGAAATAATGCCGCATATCTGTAACCGTCTGATCTTTGAGAAACCTGACAAAAACAAGAAATGTGGAAAGGATTCCCTATTTAATAAATGGTGCTGGGAAAACTGGCTAGCCATATGTAGAAAGCTGAAACTGGAGCCCTTCCTTACACCTTATACAAAAGTTAATTCAAGATGGATTAAAGACTTGTATGTTGGACCTAAAACCATAAAAAACCTAGAAGAAAACCTAGGCAATACCATTCAGGACATATGCATGGGGAAGGACTTCATGTCTAAAACACCAAAAGCAATGGCAACAAAAGCCAAAATTGACAAATGGGATCTAATTAAACTAAAGAGCTCCTGCACAGCAAAAGAAACTACCATCAGAGTGAACAGGCAACCTAACAAATGGGAGAAAATTTTTGCAACCTACTCATCTGACAAAGGGCTAATATCCAGAATCTACAATGAACTCAAACAAATTTACAAGAAAAAAAACCTCATCAAAATGTGGGCAAAGGATATGAACAGACACTTCTCAAAAAAAAACATTGATGCAGCCAAAAAACACATGAAAAAATGCTCAGCATCACTGGCCATCAGAGAAACGCAAATCAAAACCACAGTGAGATACCATCTCATACCAGTTAGAATGGCAATCATTAAAATGTCAGGAAACAACAGGTGCTGGAGAGGATGTGGAGAAATAGAAACACTTTTACACTGTTGGTGGGACTGTAAACTAGTTCAACCTTGTGGAAGTCAGTGTGGCGATTCCTCGGGGATCTAGAACTAGAAATACCATTTGACCCAGCCATCCCATTACTGAGTATATACCCAAAGGATTATAAATCATGCTGCTATAAAGACGCATGCACACGTATGTTTATTGCGGCACTATTCACAATAGCAAAGACTTGGAATCAAGCCAAATGTCCAACAATGATAGACTGGATGAAGAAAATGTGGCACATATACACCATGGAATACTATGCAGGCATAAAAAATGAAGAGTTCATGTCCTTTGTAGGGACATGGATGAAGCTGGAAACCATCATTCTCAGCAAACTATCGCAAGGACAAAAAAACCAAACTGCATGTTCTCACTCATAGGTGGGAATTGAACAATGAGAACAAATGGGCACAGGAAGGGGAACATCACACTCCGGGGCCTTTTGTGGGGTGGGGGGAGGTGGGAGGGATAGCATTAGGAGATATACCTAATGCTAAATGACGAGTTAATGGGTGCAGCACACCAACATGGCACATGTATAATATGTAACAAACCTGCACATTGTGCACATGTACCCTAAAACTTAAAGTATAATAATAAAACCATTAAGCAATGAAAGAAATCAGAAAAAAAATTATCTGAATGAAAATTTAACAAAGAGATAGATAACAAAAAGATAGAGTTGATATTCAAGATTTAAATAATCTTGAAACTGAAGGTTTCATTGAATAAAATACAATAAACATAATCAAGAGCTTCAATAATAGATCAATCAGAAGAAAGAAATTCTGAGCTTAGACAAGTATTCTGAAATAACTCAGACAAAAAAAAAGAATGAAGAAAGCCTACATGATATATGTGACATCATCAAGCCAGCACCTAATTGGATTTCCAGAAGAAGAGAAAGAAAAAGGTATAGAAAACCTATTTAATAAAACAACTAAAAGCTTCCCAACTCTTAGAAGAGATATAGATATTCAATATAAGAAGTTCAAAAATTCCCCAGTAGATTTTTCTCAAAAAGTTTCTCTCTGAGGCACATTTTTATCAAATGGTAAAAATCTAAGAGAAGGAATTCTAAAAAGATCAAGAGAAAAGCAACATGTCACATATAGGAGAATCGCCATAGACTAACAGCAGATTTCTCTTCATTAAAAATTATAAAACACTGATAAAAATAAATTAAAGAGGACACCAAAAAATCAAATGGTAATCCATGTTTATTGTTTGGAAGAATCAATATTGTTAACATATCTATGCTACCTAAAGCAATCTACAGATTTAATGCAATCTTTATAAAATATCAGTTATATTTTTCACAGAAATGGAAAACACAATCCTAAAATTGGTATAGAACCACAAAAGACCCCAATCCTCAGTGAGAAGAACAAAGTTGAAATAACTACCTGGCTTCAAAATGTACTACCAAGTTATACCAACCAAAAAAGCATGGTACTGGCATAAACACAGATACATAGACCAGTGGAACAAAACAGATGATATGGTTTCGCTGTGTCCCACCCAAATCTCATCTTGAATTGTAGTTCCCATATTTCACACATTTTGTGGGAGAGACCTGGTGGGAGGTAATTGAATCATGGGAGTGGTTACCCTCATGCTGTTCTCATGATAGTAAGTGAGTCCTCACAAGATCTCATGATTTATTTTTATTTTTTGAGACTAATTTTCTCTCTTGTTGCCCAGGCTGGAGGGCAGTGGCATGATGTTGGCTCACTGCAACATCGCATCCTGGGTTCGAGAAATTCTTCTGCCTCAGCCTCCTGAGTAGCTGGGATTGGAGGTGCCCACCAACATGACCAGCTAATTTTTGTATTTTTAGTAGAGACAGGGTTTCAGCATGTTGGCCAGGCTGGTCTCGAACTCCTGAGCTCAGGTGATCCACCCTTCTCAGCCTCCCAAAGTACTGGGATTACAAGCATGAACCACCATGCCTGGCCAATCTGATGGTTTTATAAGTGGCTTTTCCCCCTTTCTCGGCACTTCTCTCTCCTGGTGTCATGTGAAAAAGAATGTGTCTCCTTCCCCTTACTCCATGATTGTAAGTTTCCTGAGGCCTCCCCAGTCATATAGAACTGTGATTTAATTAAACTTCCTTTCTTTATAAATTACCCAGTCTTAGGCAGTTCTCTGTAACAGCATGAGAACAGAATAATACAGTAAATTGGTACTGGGAGTGGGGATCTGCTGTAAAGATACCCAAAAATGTGGAAGCAACTTTGCAACTGCATAACAGGCAGAGAACTGTTTAGAGGGCTCAGAAAAAGACAGGAAAATGTGGAAACGTTTGGAACTTTCTAGAGACTCAGAGGTCTCAGAAAACAGGAAGGTGTGGGAAAGTTTGGAACTTCTTAGAGACTTGTTGAATTGTTTTGACCAAAATGCTGATAGTGATATGGACAATGAGGTCCAGGCTGAAGTGATATCAGATGGAGATGAGGAACTTGTTGGAAAATGGAGTAAGGTCACTCTTGCTATACAAAGAAACTGGTGGCATTTCACCTTTTCCCTAGAGATCTGTGGAACTTTGAACTTGAGAGAGATGATTTAGGGTATCTGGCAGAAGAAATTCCTGAGCAGCAAAGCATACAAGAGGAAGCAGAGCATAAAAGTTTGGAAAATTTGCAACCTGGGCATGAAAAGAAAAACCCATTTTCTGGAGAGAAATTCAAGCTAGCTGTATAAACTTGCATAAGTAACAAGGAGCTGAACTAATCACTAAGACAAAGAGGAAAATGTCTCCAGGGCATGTCAGAGAACCTTGCAGCAGCTTCTCTCATCACAGGCCTGATGGCCTAGGAGGGAAATATGGTTTTGTGAGCCAGGCCTAGAGTCCCCCTTCTCTATGGAGTCTTGGGATGTGGTACCCTGCATCCCAGCTGCTTCAACTCCAGCCACAGCTAAGAGGGGCAAACACACAGCTTAGGCCGTTGCTTCAGAGAGTGCAAGCCCCAAGCCTTGGTGGCTTACACATGATGTTGGGCCTGTGGGTGCACAGAAGTCAAGAACTGAGGTTTGGGAACCTCCACCTAGATTTCAGAGGATGTATAGGAACGCCTGATTGTCCAGGCAGAAGTTTGCTGCAGGGGAAGTGTCCTCATGGAGAACCTCTTGCTTGGGCAGTGTGGAAAGGAAATGTGGGGTCAGAGCCCTCACACATGAGTCCCTACTGGGGCACTCCCTGCTGAAGCTGTGAGAAGAGGGACACCAGCCTCCAGACTCTCAAATAATAGATCCACCAACAGCTTGCACCATGTGCTTGGCAAAGCTTCAGACATTCAACACTGGCCCATGAAAACAGCCAGGAGTGGGGCTGTACCCTGCAAAGCCACATGGCAAGAACTGCCCAAGGCCATGAGAACCCACCTCTTGCATCAGCATGTCCTGGATGTGAGACATGGAGTCAAAGGAGATCATTTTGGAACTTTAAGGTTTATGAATGCCCTATTGGATTTCGGACTTGCATGAGGCCCATAGACCCTTTAATTTAGCCAATTTCTCCCATTTGGAATGAGTGTATTTACCCAGTGCCTGTACGTATATTGTTTCTAGGAAGTAGCTAACTTTATTTTGATTTTTACAGGCTTAGAGGTGAAAGGGACTTGCCTTGTCTGAGACGAGACTTTGGAATTAGACTTTTGAGTTAATGCTGGAATGAGTTAAGATATTGAGGGACTGTTGGGAAGGCATGATTGTGTTTTGAAATGTGAGGACATGAGATATGAGAGGGGCCAGGGGAAAAATGATATAGGTTGGCTGTATCCCCACCCAAATCTCATCTTAAATTGTAGTTTCTATAATCCCCATGGGTTGTGGGAGGGATCTGGTGGGAGGTAATTGAATTATGGGGGCAGTTACCTTTATGCTGTTCTTATGATAGTGAGTTCTCAAAAGATATGATGGTTCTATAACAATCTTTTCCCCTTTGTTCAGCACTTCCCCTTCCTGCCACCATGTGAGGAAGGACATGTTTGAGTCCCCTTACACTATGCTTCTATGTTTCCTCAGGCCTCCCCAGCCATGCAAAACTGCGAGTTAATTAAACCTCTTTCTTTTATAAATTGCCCAGTCTCATGCAGTTCTTTCTAGTAGTGTAAGAATGAATGAATACAATAGAGAACCCAGAAATAAATCCACATATTTACAGCCTACTCATTTCAACAAAGGTTTCAAGAATATATATTTGGGAAAGGACAATCTCTGCAGTAAATGGTGCTGGAAAAACCAGATATCACATGTATAAGAAAGAAACTAGATCCTTGTATCACCATATTGGAAAAAGCAAATAAAAATGAAAAGACTTACATGTAAGACCTGAAACTCTGTAGCTATTAGAAGAAAACATTATTAGGGAAATGCTTCAGGACATTGGTCTGGACAAAGATATTTTGGGTAAGACCTCAAAAGCACAGGCAACCAAAATAAAAGTTGACAAGTAGAATCACATTAAGCTAAAAAGCTACTGCACAGCAAAGGAAACAATCAACAAAGTGAAGAGACAACTCACAAAATTGGAGAAAATATTTGCAAACTACTCATCTGGCAAGGGATTAATAACCACAATATGTAAAGAGCACAAACAACTCAATAGGGAAAAATTGACTAAAAACTGGACAAAAGATCTGATTAGACATTACTTAAAACAAGATACACAAATGGCCAATGGGTATGTGGGGAAACAAAAAGCTAAACCTCATCCATCATTCGAGCAATGCAAATTAAAACATGACCATATGAGATATCATCTCACTGTAGTTAAGATGGCTTTTATCCAAAAGACGAGCAATAATATATGTTGGAGGGGATATGGGAAAAGGAGAACTGTCCTATATTGCATGCAAATTAGTACAGCCACTATGGAGAATAGTATGGATGTTACTCAAAAAACTAAAAGTAGAACTATCATATGATCCAGCAATCCAACTGCTGGGTATATATCTAAAGAAAGAAAATCAGTATATTGAAAAGATATCTACACTCCCATGTTTATTGCAGCACTGTTTACACCACAATATAGTTTAAACCTAAGTGTCCATCAATGGATCCATTGATAAAGAAAAATTAGTAAATATACAGACAATATTATCCAGTCATAAAAAAGAATGAAATCCTATCATTTTCAGCAACATGGAAGAGCCTAGAGAACATTCTGTGAAATGACATAAGCCAGGCACAGAAACAAAAATGTTACACGTACTCTTTCATATGTAAGAGCTAAAAAAGTTGACCTCAAGGAGATAGAGTAGAAAGGTGGTTACCAGAGGCTGGGAAAGGTAGGGGGAGGGGAGACGAAGAGATGAAGAGAGGTTAGTTAATGGGTTAAAAAGAATACAGTTAGAAGAAATACTCTCTAGTGTTTGACAGCACAGTATGGTGTCTATAGTTATCAATAATTTATTGTATATTTCAAGATAGCTAAAAGAGAAGAGTTGGAATGTTCTCACCACACAGGAATAATGCTTTAATTGATGGATATCCCAATTACCCTGACTTAATCATAGCACATTGTATTTATATACCAAAATATCACATATATCCCATAAATATATACGATTATGATGTATCAATTTAAAAATTGAGAATAGTGATAAATTAGTTCATCTTGAAGGCATTTTCTTACCTTTCAAATATACACTGAGTTTTTCTATTTCTACATATATACATATATATACATGCATCAGTCACTTCAGATTTACCAATTATTGTTATCAACTGTTTTTGAATTATATTTTTTTGTTACATAAGGCTACTATGACAAGTAGTAGTAATTTCCCAGTCTTGAGTATGTCTTTAGTAGCAGCGTGAGAACAAATACACCCAGTTGTTGGAGGTGGGACCTGGTGGGAGGTGGTTGGATCATGGGGATGGATCCCTCATGAATGATTTGGCACCATCCTTCTCGGTACTGTCCTCACGGTAGTGAGTTCTCATGAGATCTCATCATTTCAAAGTATGTAGCCCTCACTCTCTCTTGGTGTGCCTTTATTTGTGTAAAGAGAATAATTTGCATGTACCATAAAGATAAACTTTCTCTTTTATTTGTTCTCTCCTTATGGGAAAGTGTTGATGTTAGCAATTTTTAAAGAGAGAAACATTGGTTCTCTTTAATATATTTATACCACCACAAATTCACTTATATCAGACAACCTCAAGGAAAGAGAACATATTGTACACTGTTCAAAGCCACACAAAATCTTTGAGATGTAAAAAGTTAGCTAATGACAGTTTTTATTTTAAAAATGAAATTACTTTTAAACAGAAAAAAAGAGAAATATCTGCAAAATCTCAGATATTTTTCCCTCTATTTCTAAAATGAAACTAGATAAAACATTCCTAGCTTCATCAAGTTTCTTGAAGGCTGTTTATATTGTGCATGATGGGGGGATGTTTTGTTGTCACAACTACTTCAAACAGTGAAAGGTTATACGTTGATAGACTCAGCAATTTGAGGAGCTATAAAGAGTTTGAGAAGTCATCAAATCCACATACAGCTAGAATTCAACAAAATATTGAATAATCCGTTAAAATTTATACCATTCTTTTGTCAGAGTATTACAGACCTTAGATATTTGTGCTGTGACTTACACCCTTTTAGTTTATGTATGGTTAAAAATGAAAAATACTAGATTGTTGCTTTGCTTTATTTGTTTTTCATGATAAAATCTCATGGGCTTGGCACCTACTTGAAAGATTGCCTTTCTTATCTTCTGATTAGGTAATAAGGATACTGTTGTCTTTTGGTCCTCAAGTTATGGTTTCTAACATCTGATCTTTCCCACCAGTGCCAGCAAGTTTGCTTTGAGTACCTAAAGATTATACTGAGTATAATGAAATTTCATCAATTTATTGTAAAGGCAAAACATCTTCTTGTATACTCATTAGATACCACCACCTTCAAATGAATATGATAAATCAATCTTGTCCTTATTGAATGGATTTAGTATTCAGCATCCAGGCCTAATAAAAAATATGATCTAATGAAGGTAAGAAATAGAAAAAACATTCTTTTATTTAGACTGTTAAATCTAACTAAACTAAAACTAAGATGTTCATTTATAGAAGGAGTAAAAACTAGTTATTTATTAACAGAAACTGAGTTGTCATTGCTGAATTTCCTGTGCCTGAATGTTCTTGGAGGTTAATTTTAAAGGCAAAAGAAGATTTAACTCTCCTCAAACATAGTGAATTTGGAGAGATAAGGGAATCATAGGTTGAATATAACTTTGAAAATATAGCAGTATTATCTCAGAAAATAGGATATGACAATGTTGTTTCACAAGGAAAAAATACGAGTATTTCTATTCAAGCAATCTCAATAAGGGATCAGAAAATTGAGATGGGACAAGACAAAAGTGGAAACTGGAAAAAACATGTTGAAACCTCTTCTGTGTCATGAAGCCTGGAAGCTAGGGATGTCTGTCTACTAAATAAAATGATAAGTCAGCTTTAATGTCAATGTATAATAAAGATTTTTAAAAGGAGATTCACAATTGTAATTTTTAAAACACAGAGGAGTTCAAAAAAGCAAATAGTCTTCATTGGTGTCCTTCCTTTTGTTCCTTGGCTGTCCCAATTTGAAAGCATAATATTAAAAACATAATGTATGTGTCTGTACATGTGCATGTTGTGTGTATTTATAGTACAATAAATCATACATATGCATTTCTTTTTTACTGAAGTAACTTTTGATAATTGGCAGGGAAGTCAGAATGTTCTTTTTTATTTAATATAATCCTAAATAGAAAATTTGCATTCATTTTTACAAATATTATTGAGGCTTTCAGGTGCTAACATGCATCCTTGAAGGTTAATTATGCTTTTATGGAAAAATGGTAGGGATTGATAAAAATAAGTCCTTTGGACACCATAGAAAATAAACTAAAATAAATAATTATTTTAAAATATTTTAATAGCCATGATTATAAAATATCTATAAACTATTTGCCTGCTTTTAAGTAAGTGATATTTATTTTAAAGTTAAATTATTAAAGTTTTAGTGAAGCAATGTCAGGCAGTCACAGAAGAGGAGGAGTAGGAGGAGGAGGAGAAGAATAATCATTTAATTTATGATAAATTTGTAAATGCCCAGTAAAAGTTTTGCCTTTTGGAACTCCCCTAAGTGTATTCATGTCAAAATGGGGTAATATCATAAATCCAGGAGTGATTTAGTAATCATAGATTATGAGTTACTGTAAAAATGTAAGGATTTTTTATAGGGGTTAAAACAATTGTGGCAATCTCAGTTTACAAGTGCATTCAACTTTGGCTGTGTGGAGCTTACAGTCTAAGAGAGTATAGTGTGTACATAGACACTTAATAAATAGATGAATCCTGTGGGGCGGAATCTGTACATATTACAGCTCTTAGCTTACTTAGATTCTTAATCTTATTGAAAAGAAAAAAAGACAAGCTACAGACAAAAACAGTATCAAAGAAAAAATGTATTTACCAATAGTAAACAGTCTCTATAGCAATTATTTAAGCCAAGAAGAGAAAATGCCTTTCCAGACTGTGTCCCTGGTCTCACTTCATTTTCCATTGCCTATTCCAAATAACACCATGTACATCCAGCATAAAGTCATTTGTTCCTTGCCTTTGAAAACTGGAGGCCTTATTTGTTCTTGATCTCTGCTTCAGAGAAAAAGCAATGCACTTACTTTGGCAGGTTTTATGAATCCACAGCGTTCCTTGCACAGAAACTGAAAAGAAAAAATATGTTTTTACTCTAAGACTGGGGAAAATGTAGCTGATAATGTGAAAAGTTGTAATTCACTTTTCCACTTTTGCTTGTTAGTTGAATTAAAACATCCTCCTTATTTTAAGAAAGGTATATTACTACACGATGCTATTGCAGTGCTGTGGTTATTTACATTTGCTCTGGGTCATGGTACAATCCAACATGCTTCTCATTTTGACATTTTAGCAGCAGTTGGAATAACTGGTGTGAAGTATCACTTTTAATTGAAGGCATCTCAGTGGAGAGCAGAGAGGGCTTCCTGAGCACTCATTTAGATGAAATCTTCCTAAAATCCCTACTGAAAAGATGCATTCAAGTAAAAAAACAAAAGGAATCAGAAATGCGGAATTGTAAATGAGATATTTATCACAATGCTTTTCCTCCTTCTCTGGTTTATGCCCTCTCAAGCTGGAATCTGAAGTTCAGTTTAATACCGCCTTTGAAACTTTTCTGAGTGCTTACCAGTTCTTTTCCTTTCCAGTTTCTGTTATTAATTCTTATCGCTGAGGAAAATAAAGAAGATCACTTTTTTTTTACCCTTTTCCTGAGTGTTGAGTAGAACTTGAAGAAAGAATCCTCATTTATTTCAGCTAACTCACAATAGAATAGCTATAGGAATTCAAGAACTCTAAGAATAAAATCCCCTCTATTGACATTATGTATATTATATCTAGAGTTAGATTATTCTGGCTCACTATGGTAATTCACAATTTCTACTCCTGTTGGTAGTAAGTCTTAATAGACATTCTGCGTAATTTGTTCCATCCGCAGGTTCATCTGTCTGAATATAGATATCAAGAAGTGGCAGAGTATCAGAGGAGAAAGATATCAAGAAATAGAATATTCAAGGTACTAATGGGATTGTCAATAAATATTATCCCCAACTCTCATACACCAGGACATCCTAAGGGAGAAATGGCATATTATCTGATATTAACTTAATGTAATGTATTTAGTGCTAACTATGTGTTAGACAGTATTCTAGGTACCAGATATACAGTGCTTTCATGGAACTTACACTCAAATGTTAGGAGACATTCAATTTAAAAATGAATACATAAATGAAAATGGTGATAATTTTTGTGCAAAAGGTGAAATTCAGAAGAAGGTAGGGATAATTGGAGAGGGGATTATTAGTTATTGGGCAGGAAAGGCATCACTGAGAAGGTCATATTTGACCTCTAAAGTCAGTAAGTAACCAAGATTTGTGGAGTTTGGGAGAGAAGTGCATTCAAACAGACAAAACCACAAGGACAGCTTTGCTTGGCACAAATCTCAAATTTTCGTGGCATTTTTGCTCAGCCTATGTCAGCAATAACAAGTTATAAAAGCTTGACAAAGTTGTTCACAGAGGTGTATTAGTCTGTTTTCACACTGCTAATAAAGACATATTTGAGACTGGGTAATTTATAAGGAGGTTTAATTGACTCACAATTCAGCATGGCTGGGGAGGCCTCATAATCATGACGGAAGGCAGATTAGGAGCAAAGTCATGTCTTACGTGGCAGCAGGCAAGAGGTCATGTGCAGAGGAACTCCTCTTTATAAAACCATCAGATCTCATGATACTTATTCACTATCATGAGAACAGCACAGGAGAAACCCAACCCCATGATTCAATCACCTCCCATGACGTACGGAGATTATTACAATTCAAGGTGAAATTTGGATGGGGACACAGAGCCAAATCATATGAAACGTTTTGCATATTTCCCTTCTTTAATTCATAAAATTATTAGAACAAAACAATTATATTTAAAAACTATTATTGTGAAATCAAACCTTCAGAAAAGTAAAGAGAGTATGACAAACACTATATACTTACCACCTGGATATAATAAATCTTATGTTTTTTGCCATGTTTTCCAAAATTATTTTAAGGTAGTAGTAACACATCATAGTAGCAATGAAGACATTTGTGTATCTGTGTTATTTAGGATTTCTTGCTCTCCATTAACAAAAAATGATATAAAGACTGTACTGTGGACTAATGCTGGGACCAAAAAGCAACTATGGCAATATAGTTCTTAGTATACAAAAGATCCATCCATCAGTGAGTAGAAATACTCCATCTAGGAAGGTAGTTTTCCTGTCAGCATACAAACAGGGCCCACAGTGAGAAGTAGAAGGACTATCAGGGAGAGGGCATTCTAGAAAAAGACTTCAAATTGCTAGGTGTCCAATTTGCTGTAATCTATAAAAGAATAGATCTAGCGAAGGAGCAAAGACCAGGAAGGCTGCCATGTTCTCTGATAGAATGAGCTGCAAACACAAGGGAGATCCCCACTCCCCCAAAAAATGGTGCTCAGGAAGTAAACAGTACAGTAAGCAACAGAGATCCAATGGAAAAATATCTTATGAGTACACAGAAAGAGATTGGTTTGATCAGGAACACAGAAAATCCCAAAGAGCCTATGTAAAAACAAGAAAGAATGCAGTTGGCTACCACTAGATGGAGCCCGTATTTAATGCCTTAATCCACATGTATTATGGGTGAGCCAAATAAAAAAGATGGCAATCCCTTTGTTATCACAGGATACAGCCACATGTCAGGATGAACAGGCAGGTACTATTGCAATTATGAAAGCAGAAAAAAGCCCAGATCCTGCATCCATGAGCCCTTTAAAGAGGTGGTACTCAGTGTTGACTGTGAAGTAGGAGAAAAGAAAGGACAGGGACAGCCTTTCTGAATGTTGATTACAATGTGGATAAAATGAAGTTCATGGTAATTTACAGCAGATGTGATCATTAAACCTGGGCTAATTGTACAATGACTTGCTCCAAATAGTATCATTCCTGGCTATCAAACCAGGTACAGTACTTATAAAACCCCTCCTCAGCCAGGAACTTGTTAGTCTAATAATTGGAATGCAGATACAATTTATAGATAACGTTTTCAATTCTCATGACTACAAAGAGACAGGTGAAGAGAGATAACAAAGTGGCTATTAACAGGTGCGGATGCTTAGCAAGTGTGTCCTGTTTCTCATAAGACAGCAGCAAAAATCCCAGCTAAGTAATTTTGACAACAGTGGTTGGCAACAGATGATACGTGAATATCTACACAATGTTCCTCAAGAGTCTGTTACTTTGGAACAAGATTTTTGACAATATGTTGTATTATTCTGTTCTCACACTGCTATAAAAACATGCCTGAGACTGGGTAATTTATAAAGAAAAGAGGTTTAATCGGCTCACTATTCCTTGGGCTGTACAGGCTTCTGCTTCTGGGAAGGCCTCAGGAAACTTACAATCACAGTGGATGGTGAAGGGGAAGGTAGCACATCTTCACATGGCCCACAGGAGAGAGAGTGAAGGCGGGAAGTGCTACACACTTTCAAACAACCAGAACTCATGAGAACTCACTCACTATCGTAAGAACAGCAAGGGGGAATTCAGCCCCCATAATCCGATCACCTCCCACCAGGACCCTCCTCCAAAGTTGAGAATTACAATTCAACAAGATATTTGAGTGGGGGCACAGACACAAACCATATCATTCTGCCCCTGACTTCTCGCAAATCACATGTCCTTCTCACATTTCAAAACACAATCATGCCTTCCAATAGTCCCCCAAAGTCTTAACTCATTCCAGAATTAACTCAAAATTTCATAGTCCAAAATCTCATCTGAGACAAGGCAAGTGCCTTCTGCCTCTGAGCTTGTAAAATCAAAAGCAAGTTAGTTATTTCTAAGATACAATCGGGGTACAGGCATTGGGTAATAATACCTGTTCCAAGAGGGAAAAATCAGCAAAACAAAGGGGCTACAGACCCCATGCAAGTACAAAACCCAGCAGGGCATTCACAAATCTTAAAGCTCCAAAATAATCTTCTTTGACTCCATGTCTCACATCCAGGCCACACTGATGCAAGGGATGGCCTCCCAAGGACTTGGGCATCTCCACCCCTGTGACTCTGCAACATCCAGCCCCCTTGGTTGCTTTCCCAAGCTGGTATTGAGTGCCTGTGGCTTTTCCAAGTGGATGATGCATGCTGTTGGTGGATCTACCATTCTGGGGTCTGGAAGATGGTGGCCCTCTTCTCACAGCTCCACTCTAGTCAGTGCCCCAGTGGGGACTCTGTGTGGGGGCTCCAACCCCACATTTCTCCTCTGCACTGCCCCCAGCAGACGTCTGCCTGGACAGCCAGGTGTTTCCATACATCCTCTGAAATATAGGCAGAGGTTCCTAAGCCTCACCTCTTGCCCTCTGTGTACCTGCAGGCTTAACATCACGTAAAAGCTTCCAAAGTTTGTGACTTGTACCCTCTGAAGCAGTGGCCTGAGATGTATTCAGGGCCCTTTTAGCCACAGCTGGAGCTAGAGCTGGAGCAGCTGGGACACAGGGAGCAGTGACCTGAGATTGCACAAGGCAGTAGGACCCTGGGCCTGGCCCATGAAACCATTCTTCTTCCCTCCTGGTCCTCTGAGCCTATGATGGGAGTGACTGCTGTGAAGGTCTCTGAAATGCCTTCCAGGCATTTTCCCCATTGTTTTGGCTATTAAAATTTGGCTCCTCTTATTCAAATTTCTGCAGCTGGCTTGAATTCCTACCCAGAAAATTGGTTTTTCTTTTCTACCACATGGCTAGGCTGCAAATTTTCCAAACTGTTATGCTCTGCTTCCCTTTTAAATATAATTTCCAGTTTTAGTTCATCTCTTTGCTTACAAATATAAACATATGCTTTTAGAAACAGCCAGATCATATCTTGAATCCTTTGCTGCTTAGAAATTTCTTCCACCAGATACCCTAACCTGTCTTCTTTTGATCCCTCCAAGCTGTTTCAACTTCTACCCGTTCCACATTTCCGAAGCTACTTCCACATTTCAGGTATCTTTATAGCAATGTCCCATTTTTTGGTACCAATTTTATGTATCAGTTCATTCTCACACTATTATAAAGACATACCTGAGACTGGGTAATTTATAAAGAAAAAAGAGGTTTAATCAGCTCACAGTTCTGAAAGCTATACAGGTTTCTGCTTCTGGGAAGACCTCAGGAAACTTAATCATGGTGGAAGGTGAAGGGCAAGCAAGTACATATTCACATGGCTGGCAGGAGAGAGAGAGAGCATGAAGGGGGAAGTGCTACACGCTTTCAAACAACCAGATCTTGTAAGAACTCACTCACTGTCATGAGAACTGCAAGGGAGAAGGCTGCCCCCATAATCCAATCATCTTCCACCAGGCTTGCCCTCCAACATTGAGAATTACCATTTGATTTGATTTGGTCATGTACACAGACCTGAACCATATCATATGTTATTGATTAAAATTTTTTTAATAGTAAAGTATACCTTATTGGGTAAAATAAACTTACATAGTACATAAGAGGGGTATAATTATTAAAATGAATAACAAAACATAGTGGAAAAATTAGGTATGGAATAAAATACTTTCTGACTCTAGAGCCTTACATTAGTCTTCAAACTTACAGCACCACTCACCCAAAGAGGATAAGAAAATTGAGTTATTTAGTTCCCTTAGAAAACAACAGCCTAAAGAACCAGCATAATAACAGTTCCCAACTCAAATCTGACTCCATGCTTTTCTTACATAATGCTTTTTAAAATGTTTTATTCTTTTTAAAAAATGTAAAGTAGTGATAATATTTAAAATTTTAGTTAGCATTAAGCCCAGGTGGGATTTCATATTTTTACTAATACATAATCAGAATGCATGATGAGACGCAGAATTTAAAAATGATTTTTTTGAATTTGGAATTGCCTTTGTTTTGTTGCTACGATTAGATTTTTCTGGACATCTCAAACTTTAATATGTATAAAAATTACCTGGGGGATGTTATTAAAGTACAGATTCTGATTGAATAAGGTTGAAACAGAGCCTGAGAGTCTGCATTTCTAACAAGCTCCCAGGTGATGAGATGTTGCTGATCCAAGGGTTATGCTTTGAATAGCAAAGACTTAGTTCCAGGACAGATACTTCACTTTTACTCATTCTAATTCTAGCCTCGGAGAGTTGACAGCTTTCAAATTTCTCAGTGAAGTCAGAACTGGAGAAAAGGCCAGAAACAAATGTGAGATATTACAATGGATTTTGAATAAACATTTTATCAAGCCTTAAAAAAAATTGAAGAATTTTTCCCACATGGTGCTTTTCTTGCAGCCAAAGTGCTAGATCTGTGGAGATGTAAATAGGTTATTCTTTGTATGCCGTAAGCTTGTCTTAAACACTTTGTATTTTTTTTTAATTAACAGGTAGCAAGAAACAGGCCTCTGAAATTTAAGAACCACAAAACAATAAAAGAAGTAAACTCTTTTGTTGAAAAGCTCCAATTCCCCTGTAAACGTCTCATTCAGAGTCTAATTGTAACCCAATTAAGAAAATTAAGATGAGTAGAAACAGCTGGAACAGAAGGCACTTGGGGTGAAGTGTACCCTCTGCAGTCATTATTTGATGGAGATCATTACCCAACTCTACACACAGCACATGATATTTAATATGATTGGACTAATTTATATCTGAAAAGAATAAAAGTATGTTATGTAAATAAATCGAGTGACCTATTAGCTCAAATTCTTAAACACTCAGTTATCCAACGTTGCAAGTACAGTCATGTGATAAACCTTCAAAATGCGGTTAGTCCTCTTTCTGTATCTGTCCACAGCATTACCTTTTTTCCTTTTGGTCATGGCAATATATTCATCTCATGAGTGTTACAGCCAGAGATGCACCAGTAACAACATTGTGATGTCCCATGTTTAATTTTATGTGTGGTGAGTGTTAAAGGGAGAATAAAGCCTTAATTTGAATTTAAAACTGGTAATTACATACACCTGTTCTTGCAATTCAAGACACTCTCACATTGATGAAAGTGTTCCATTGTTTTAGCATCTGTTTAGAAATACAAGTTACAAAGTTAAAAGTAATGACTTAACTTCTCCAAGACTTACTTTTCTCATGTGCAAATGGCAGATAGTAGCAGTGAATACCTCACAGGACTGTTGAGAAGACTAAATGAGATAGTTCAAGGAAGGCACGTGGATTGTGCCTGGCCCATGTAACTACTCAGTAAATGTTTGCTATCTTTATGTATTTGAACCCAGAGCTTTGATAATCATGATTCCTATAATCGCTTTTAGATTAAAAGATACAAGTTTTAACTTTAAGAGACAAATTTTAAAACACTTAAGTATCATTTTCATTTATATATGGTCCATCTCACCATTCCAGCAGGCCCATCTGCAGTCATGTTACGGAGTCAATGCAAACAAGTAAAATAAATGACAGGAAAAATAATACTTTTGATATGCACATCAGCAATGTGAATATGAGCTAAAGCATTAATAAAGACAGTTTCATATTCTCTTGGTGTGCCTCCATTTTAAAGGGAAACCTAAAGACATTACATTTTCTTGCCTGATATCATGGTTAGTTGTCTATTGTTTCTACCTTTTGAGTGGATACGAGTAAGGAAATATAATAATGCTATATAGTACATGATATTTAAGTACTGCAAACTCCCACCTGACGTTTACACACATATACATTCATACATACACATCTACGGAAAATATGGCCACTTGAAAAGGGTCCTGATTAAGGTCTGGTAAGTTTGAACGTTTTCTATACAATACTAACATAACTCTTCAATTTGATCAAGACTGAAAAACAACTTAACAATTTCCTGGGGAATAGGTTTGTCTCATGGAAGTGGCCAGTGGTTCACAGAGCTCGCTGATCGATTCAATTTGTTTGATCTCATAACCCTGGAGAAGGAGCCTGCCAGGGCCAGTAACTTCAAGCACTGCTATGGTTTACACTGCAGTGATAGTCTTTTGTTGATATAACCATTTTATAGTAGGAGGGAGTTCTCAGACTTTATAAGAGAATGAGCTACCAGTTACATTTTGTAATACCCGAAAAAAAAAAAAGTGAATAAAAAAAGATGTTCTCACTAGTACATATGTAATGTGTTATATCCACAGGATAAATGAGCTAAAATTCCATTTCTGATATAGGCAATCTCAGATTCAGAAGAATAAAAATAATATATTCATGACTGTGACCACATTTGCATTAACATAGCTAAAGGTAAAATTTTACCCCTTGTGTTTATGCTCCTAGACAATCTGGTACTTAATTTTTTTGAAATTTCTATTTTCAATATCCCCAGGGAATACGCATACATAGAAATGTTCAGCTACTTAAAAGTGACATAGAAGCAATTCTGCATATCTTTCATGACTAACAGAAGTACAAAAAAACAGTTTCTAACTAGCTAAGTCTGACAAGTTTAGATTTATACTCAGCAAGCCTGATTATTTATAGTCTATTTATTTCTACACTATAGAAAAACCAGAGTCAATGGAATTTGACTGTTATTTTAAAGATTGGTAAGGAAGCTAATTTGCACATTTTATTTGAATTCAGTTTTTATTACAAGAAAATTATTATTTTTTAAAATCTAATGAAAGATAATTGGATAGGAGTAATGCTAATAAATCAATAAAAGTTATTCAGGAAGAGGATTAATATCAAAGAACTTTAGTGAATTTTAAAGTAATCAGCACTTTTTTAATGACCAGGATTCAGCAATTAAAGGCATAAGTTAATCACTACTGAGATACTATAGAATTATTGGGGAAAATATATAGGCTATAGATAAAAATCAATCATAAAGGATCTGTCAGATAATGTTTTGGTGACAACTCTAAAATTTCATTAGATGAAATATGTGTCCATACATTCAAATTTGTGAAAACTTACCTATAGAATATATACTATTCACATATAATACATAAAAAGCATTTTAACCTTATTTGTATTATTTTGCAATTGGGAAAAGACCATTCATGTCACTAA
This sequence comes from Homo sapiens, assembly GCF_000001405.40. Classification (NCBI taxonomy): domain Eukaryota; kingdom Metazoa; phylum Chordata; class Mammalia; order Primates; family Hominidae; genus Homo; species Homo sapiens. The sequence goes on along the minus strand of NC_000014.9, from coordinate 48,392,503 downwards.
AGCTTGTAGCATCTGTAAGTTTATATCTGGTTTAATCTTCCTGTCCACTTTGTAAAATACACGTGAGCAATAAAAGACACCAAAACCAAAATCTGCAGGTTTTCTAAGAGGTCAAAAGCTTGCTTTGAGAAGTCCTTACAGATTGCAGTGGCCATAGACTATGGGAAGAAATAGGGAAGACAGCAGAGAGAAGGCTTCCAAGGAATATATCCTCTAGGAAAAGGAGAAGTTGATTTCTTAAAATATGTACTTAACATTCCCTCATCCTTTATTCCCTCAAAATCTCCAGCAATCCTGTTTCTTGTATTTAATATGTGTCTTAATATGGTTAGGATTTGTGTCCCCACCCAAATGTCATCTTGAATTGTAACTCCCAAGCATTGAGGGAGAGACCTGGTGGGAGGTGATTGGATTGTGAGGGCAGTTCCCCTCATACTGTTTTTGTGACAGTGGGTGAGTTTTTACAAGATCTGTGGTTTTATACGTGTTTGGTAGGTCCTCTCTTGCTCGTTTCTTCTCTCATCCCACCCTGTGAAGAGCTGCCTCCCGCCATGACTAAGTTTCCTGAGGCTTCCCCAGCCATGTGGAACTGTGAGTCAATTAAACCTCTTTTGTTTATAAATTACCCAGTCTTGGGTAGTTCTTTACAGCAGTGTAAAAACAGACTAGTACATGGCTAAAAATGTACTTCTTGAGCAGATTTCTGTGCTGATTTTACCAAATCCGAGTCATTAATTGTGCATGCTTTCTATCCCAGTCATAGGCTTTTAAATCTTCCTGTATCTTTGCTTGTGATATCCCCTTTTTCTAGAATACTCCTCGCCTTTCATTCCTCTAATTAACTCCTGTTTGTCCTTTTACACTCAGTTTTGACCTTACTTCATGTAAGTCAGAATACTTATGTTACAATGCAGTAATGAATATTTCCCAAATCTCAGTAGCTAAAAGACAATTTTTTTCACCCACATCATATGTTTGAGGTCATTTGGCAGGAGGTTACTAATTTTAGACCCGTAGGATTGGCAGAAGCCCCTTCTCATTCTTTCATTATTACCACAACAGTTGATAAGGAAGTAGGTAAAAGAAACCACGCCCTGGTTCTTCAGACTCCACTCAAAAGGTAACACATCACCTTTGACCACATGTCTTCAACCAAAGATAGTCACCTGGACATACATAAAAGGGAGTACAGAAGTGCCATTTTACAGTGTGGTCCAGTGGGAAAAGGACCAGGCATTCATGACCATCCCAATTGTCCTCAAACGAGTAAAAACTGTGTCAAGTTTATGAGGATATTCCCTGGTTATGTAGATTTTAGATTCTGTATATCCTGAGTCCCTTTCCCATATCTAACGATTTTGATGCTACTTATTCCTAATAAGTGTAACATGTTATCCCTGCACTTGAGAAGAGGAAATCCACCCCTCAAATTTTAATTAACCAATCCATCTCTAACTTGAAAACCACAACATGCTTGAAAAAATAATCAATTGGCCTTTGAAATGATTTTTCCTTTTCTTTAAAAAAAATTGAAGAAAAACATTCAGCAAGATAGTGAGCCTTATAGTCAAGGGTAAAACAGCATTGAAAATTCATGGTAAAAGTGACTACAGGGTGAGAAAAGGGCTATTTCCTGGTGCATTAGGCTTCTATTTTTTAATGCATGTATATATTCAGACAAATTGAAAAATTTGTCATAACATTGAGGAGGAACCTACCTTTTCACAATAGATAGTATAAAGCCTAAATGAGATCCTGGAAGTAAATCCCATTTTATTTTTGACTATGGCATAACAAACACTTAGATTCTCTCGTAAGCGGGAAACACTCTCTTCTCTGCCCAAACAGAAAAGACTGGAAGTGCTAATGACAGATCTGATTATGCACCCAGAGAATAGAAACATCTGCACATGGGGAAACATTCCCAAAGGCTGAATGACAACTCCTCTTTAGCAGATAGTTCTTGGGAGGGAAAATTGAGTTTCTGTTATCATTTGCCACAGCTTCTCTAATGAGCACTATCTGGATGTGACTGGCAATGCCCCTCCCAGCTGTACCCAAATAAGTTTATATAAAAGTGCTATGAAGAGCATCTGTCTTGTGTGCTGGTGCTATATCTGTTCCCAGCACACAGTCTTTCTTCCTTGGTACCAGTCTTGTGATAGCATAATTTTATTGGCTTTCTAGCTGCATTATTTTGCAATCGGTTTTATGTTTTATTATTTTTCATAGTTTCACTATGGCTCATAGTATCTGTAAGCTTTTATCTAACAATATTTCTGCTCACTTTATGAGAAATGTTCTTACATTAATCCAGCTAGATGAACATATGGCAAATTCACTGTGCAGAAATATAAATGAGAAAAGTCTTAAGAAAGCAAAGTACGTATTTGCATGCTGTATTAAATAGGGTCCTTAGCTCTCCTTCAATACAATTTAGGATATTTTTTAAATTAATAGATTTTATTTTTATAGCAGTATTATGTTTACAAAAACTCCAGCAAATAGTACAGAGTTCTTATATACTCCTTTCTCCTTCTGCCTCATAGATCTCCCTGTCACTAATACCTTGCACCAGGTACATTTACTATAATTGATGAACAAATATTGGTGTATTATTACTGACTAAAGCTCTCAGTTTACATTAGCACTTCGTGTTGTACAGATCTGTGGGTTTTGACAAATACTAAATATCATGTATCCACCATTATATTATACTGAATAGATTCACTGGCTAAAAATCCCCCATGTATCTCCTATACATCTCCTCTGCTCCCTACAAATCCCTGGAAAGCACTGCTCTTTTACTCTGTCTTTCTAGTTTTAATTTTTCCAGGATGCCATGTAGTTGGACTAAGACAATGTGCAGTCTCATCACACTGGCTTCTTTCACTTAGTTGTATGTATTTAAGCATCCTCCACATCTTTTTGTGGCTTGATAGCTCATTTAAAAAATATATATATTTTTATAGTATATATTGAGAATGTATAACATGATGTTCAGATTTATTATACATATACATAATGAAATGATAACTAATACTACAGTCAAATGTATGCATCCATCACCTCTATAGTTATCTTTCCCTTCTTGTGGTAAGAACACCTCAAATCTATTATCTTAACAACTGTTCAGTATACAATACAATATTATTAACTATAGTTCTCATGTTGTGCCTTAGATCTCTAGATTTAGTCATCCTACCTAACTACAAATTTGTATTCTTTGGCCTACTTTTCATTTCCTCCCTCTCTCTGCCTCTGGTAACCACTGTTCTACTCTCTGTTTTAATATACTTGATTTTTTAAAAGATCCTGTATGTAAGTGAGATCATGCAGTATTTTTCTGTGTCTGGCTCATTTCACTTAGCATAATTTTTAAAAATTGTAAATTAATAAAATTTAAAGACTGTATTAATTTTTATCCTATTGCAATTCCCTTAACATCTTTATCATAGTGGATTCTTAGTAAATATTGTTTCATGAGAAGGATGATGATGATGATCACGACGAGGCTGTCACTCGGTGAATGTGGATAATAAAGTCCAGATAACTGGGCATATCTGTAGCCAAATCAGTTCTATCCCATTGTACAATACCTTGAAGAACATGCTGAGACTAGGCATTCTGACAAAATTTTGTGATGGGGAAGAATTTCCCACCTTTGTTCAATGTAGACATTTGCAGAAGCTCACTTTTTAGTGCCTTTATAGCATTGTGTACCATGCTGTTATTTAGTTTACACAAAGGCCTTAGTATATCTCTGCCTGTATGCTTTCATGCTAATATCATTTTCTCTAGTCTTTTATTTACATAGTACAAATAAGAGGTTGCTTTGACAATCATAGTAAGACAGGAAAACTGACCTTTCATTTTACACTTATTTTGGTCTTCATCATGGATTTTAGCTAACAATAGGCTTACTTTATCAGAATAATAATAATATTTGCATGACTATAAAAGACCATCCCTGTAAAAGTCAACCAAGAGAGCAGTCAATAATAAATTATATAATTTAAAATATTTGAGCTGTGAAAATACTCCCTTTCTTGCAGTATTTGCACAAGTAAAACCCAAGATGCTAGTGCGTCTCTGAATTTTGGCAGATGTACAAAGCTTATCAATAGAAATATAATAATTATATTATGTTTGCTGCCACAGATCCATATTAAGTAGATGGTCTTAACATCTACATGTTTTCTTCTATTGAATAAAAGAAAGAAAATTACTATTTGTTAACCCTTCAGAAACTAAGTATTTATAAATATCCTTAATAACAATAAATATGTAATGCGCTATGGGTAAAATAGTTAACAGTTGCATGTACCTTAGCATACACTGGCAGATACAGAAAAGCAGATTACCAGTTACCATAGATAAATGAGCGCCACAAGACAGAAGCAGAGATGCCCTGTGCTTCGGACTGGCTATGAAATAGTGTGTGTAATGGCTTCCTCCAGAAATTAATATTGAAACAGAGATCTACAGATTGAATAGTAGCTCAATAAAGCATTGGAGACGGAGTGTAAATGGTTGAGTTGTAATGATTGTGTGTGTGTTTATGTCTCTGTGCATTTGGACAGAAAGAGCAACTTGAGTTGCTAAAGGGACAAAGGACAGAGGCCAAGTAATTAAATGTAAGAACAGGGCCAGCTCTATAATTAAGATAGGCAAATATTAAAAAAGGGCTGGCTCTATAATTTGTGAGGCCCTGTGCAAAATGAAAACATGGGGCTTCATGTTCAAAAAATATTAAGAATTTTAAGATGGTAGAGCAGAGCATTCTCAGAGCAGGATCCTGTGCAACTACACATGTCCCATGCCCATGAAGCTGGTCCTATCCAGGAGCAATGGAAAACTATGAAAGATTTTAAGCATGAGAATGGGAAGAGGTAATTGGCATTTTAGAAAAATCCCTCTGGCTTTATCACAGAACATAGCTTAGAAAGGAAGCCACATTTGAAGAAGGGAAACTTGCCTGAAGGCTATAAAAATAATTCAGATGATAGAAAACCTTTTCATGAACCATGGTCATGACCATAAAAATAAAGTAAAACATTACAGGATGTATTTAAAATAAAGAACACAGAAGAATTATGACAAATTGGATGGTGAGGATATAGAGGAAAATTCAAGAATGAGATTGAAGATTTTTGTTTGAGCATAAGAAACAGAGGGGGTAGAATAGGATCAGAGTGCTTTCTCTATCTAATTAAAATTATAGTAATCAGTTGTACATATAGTCTGCAATAAAAAGAGATCTATTCCAAATGTGGAAACTACAAACTTTTTGGTATTTTTTAAAAGAATTTGCAATGATAGTGTTTTTGAGCCAACCTAGAGAGATTTTTGCAGCCAGTAGCTAATAAGACTAACAGAACCAGAGAAAAAGTAACATAAAAATAATAGGCAGAGGAAGAAAAATCCTGAAAGTAAACTGTAAAAGAACAAGAGACACAAGTGGAAAACCAGAAAAGTAGAAGTCGTAGATACCTATGTATGTGTGTTAAGAAGCAATGAGTTACCGACACTGCAAATGCAACTAAAGAGTCAAGTGTAAGAACTGAAGAGGTTTTTGTAATTTAAAAATAGTCACAGTGGCCTTGGTGGAAGTCGTTTCTGTACTACCTGTGTATGTGTATGTAGGGTGATGAGGAAAAATACATTTCTCTAGGCAGCTCAAGAAGATTGGTTCTGAAGAGTTTAAAAAATGAGTTGATTTCAAGTAAGGTTAAGGGAGTGAGAATAGGAAAGCAATGAACATTTCAACACGCTGATAGAAAGGTGTAATAGACTGAATAATGGTCTCCCAAAGATGTCTATGTTCTTATCCCCAAACCTGTCAATATGTTACCTTGCATAGAAGATTTGACTTTGCAGATGTGATAAAATTCAGTGTCTTGAGATAGGAAGGTTATCTTGGATTATCTGTGTGGGCTCAATGTAATCACAATGGTTTTTATAAGAGAAGTGTCAGAATCAGAGGAGATGTGAAGACAGAAGCAGAGAAACAGAGATTGGAGTCATATGATTGCTAATGGGAATCATATGTGCAGAAATCCAGGAAGCCTCTAGAATTTGGAAAAGGCGAGGAAACATCTTCTCCTTTAAAGCCTCCAGAAGGAACCCAGCTCTGCTGACATCTTGATTTTAGCCCAGTGAACCCATTTCAGACTTCTAACCCCTGGAACTGTAAACTAATAAATCCAGTAAGTTCTGAAGGCCTTGTACAGATAGAAGTCTACACATAGAGTGACATCTGTCTGCATGGTTGTGTGGTTTTCTTTGTAATTGCTCTTAAGGTCAGATTCAGAAAAGTCTGAGGGTTGGGTTGATTTAGAGTTTGGACACAAAGGCAAAGGAAGTGGTATCATTGGCAAGAAGGTAGCTAAACGGATTGATGATGGGTTCTAGATGTATTTGATCTAAACTGCTACTGAGAGAAGTTGAGAAATTTAAGGGAACAGTTAATAGAAATGACTAATTTTGCCTCCATTCACATTGATCTCCAAGCTCATTTTCTCAGCTACTTCATAATGTATCTATCAGTATATAGCAAAATTAGTAGGAATATAGAATCTAGCACTGGATAGCGGGAGACTAAAAAAGAAACAAACAGGAGATTTGAATAGTCACAAACTCAGTTATGTCCCCTAATCTTGGGTGGATTATTTTAACACTGATTTAGAATTACTCCTCAATTCATAAATATAATTATTGCTGTTACTTGGGATGCCTATTGAAATTCCCTTAACATCTTTATCACAGTGGATTCTTAGTAAATATTGTTTACCTTTATTCAATTTAAACATTTGCAGAAGCTCACTTTTCAGTGCCTTTCAGTAATATATTATTTTAAATGCATGGCTTCCCATGCATATAAAATATTAATTAAAATGAATTAAATATTTTGAGAAATATGATTTACCTTACCTGGTATGACTAAATGCAGAAGAAACTTCTGAGGTTTTAGTTAAATATATGTTTTAATATAAATTTATAAAATCCTGTAACCTAAATTTTCTTAAAATAGTTAATGTGAAGATTCAGGCTCAGGAAGATCAGGTGTATTTATTTCTGGTCTGCTCAGTATCCTATTCTTCAGAGATGTATTTACCATTATTATGATCATTGACTGGTTCTGGTGTGACTGAACACATTTCCAAGGCCCATTGGCAATAGTGTGCACATACATATCTGACCAGTCAGAGTTCTCCATTCATAGACAAGTAATTAGTCCATAAATCAGTATACGATCCAAACTGGGTTAATAAGAATCTGGGCTGGGTCTTGCACTGAAGCCATTTGGCAAAACACATACTTTTATTTTTCTTGCATGTCAGTCTCCAAGGAACATGTAAGTTGACAGTTGCCTGGGAAACTTGCTGCTGTATTGGACCACATCTATCTGAGAGTGAGTCCAAATTGAAATACGGATAGAAAGATAAAGAGTTCTTACAGCTCTTTGAATTCCTGGAGCCAGCCATGCCTGAAGATAGTGCCATCCTTTGAGTCAATAAGTTATTTTTGTGCTGAGGTAAGATTGAGCTGTGTTGTCATTTGTAACAAAAATAGCTGTGACTAATAAGAGGGAGTAAGTGATGGTTTGCCTTTATCAGGGGTAGGATTCAAAATTCAATGAAAATATTCTATCACTTTGTTTTCTCTGGGTGAAAGTCTTAGTCATCCCAATATTTCAACAGCTTCATGTTTCATGTCAGAGATAATTTTTACATGGTTTTGAGTATAGTGTAAACTTTGCTGTAATTACAAGGAAAATCTCTATCCAAATTATAATATAGGAGATGCATCCAAGAAATTACATCATAAAAGTACTGAATGTGTGAACTTGGATATCATAAACTTGGGGGAAAATAAGCACAAAACCATCCTTATAAATTTGAGGAAATGATGTTGGTTTTGATTCACCAGGATAATCAATAATCTTCCTATATAGCCATGCTATCTAAAAACATTGTGTGATAGAAATAATCAATTTTTAACATTTTAATCCTGTGTATTAAATGTGTAAACACAAAGAGAAGCATTTTTTCACATAGTTTATAGGAATTTTTATTTGTATATTTAAGCTATTTCTTATAGGATATTTTTATATCTGACTAACTTCTATAAGTTCACGTCGAATTGTGTATAACAATTTTATGTAATGTTTAACATCATTTTAGAATATTATGGATAAAGAGTTTGTATCTTTTTTTTTTTTTTCCTTTTTGAGATGGAGTTTTTTTCTTGCTCTTGTTGCCCAGGCTGGAGTGCAATGGCATGATCTCGGCTCACCGCACCCTCTGCCTCCCAGGTTCAAGCGATTCTCCTGCCTCAGCCTCCCGAGTAGCTGGGATTACAGGCATGCGCCTCTATGCCTGGCTAATTTTGTATTTTTAGTAGAGACGGGGTTTCTCCATGTTGGTCAGGCTGGTTTCAAATTCCCGACCTCAGGTGATCTCCCAGCCTTGGCCTCCCAAAGTGCTAGGATTACAGGCGTGAGCCACCGCGCCCGGCCAAAGGTTTTGTATCTTTAACAGTAAAATAATATTTAAGCTTAAGTAATCATTCCTTATTATAGGGGCATTTATATGAATGCTAAATAACTTTGATTTAATTTCCCAGTTAATAACCTTATTAACAATATTCTAGTAAGCAAGGATAACTACTGATATAATGATAGAGGCAGGAGACAGAGAAATTCTAGAGGTGGGTCTCTGGCAAAACCCCACCTTCGAGCCGCAAAGCCTGAAACCCTTGACCCAAAGTGAGAACTATTCTTGTTTTCCTGCTTGAAAGTTGCCTTTTCCTAAACTACCCATGGCCCACCCTGCCCCCCATCCTGTGCCTATAAGGACCCCAGATTCAGCTGACAGAAAGAAGAAACATCTGGGCATTGGAGAGAGGTGACTTTGACTTCCGAGACGGCAGCTGAAGAGAGGCAACTTGACTTCAGAAAAGAGGCAGAGGCATCTTGACTTCAGGGGAGAGTGATCTTCCCTTCCCGTTCCCTTTCCACCTTTCCTCTCCACTGAGAGCCGCTTTCATCACTCAATAAAATTCTCTACATTCACCATCCTTCAATTTGTGCACATGACCTCATTTCACTTGGGCACCAGACAAGAATTCCGGATGTACTGGGTGCGGGTACCCAAAGAAGGCTGTCACACTGGCTCTTTGCCCTCGCTGGCAGAAGGCAGCCACCCCATGCAGCAAGGCAAAGGGCCCCTGAGCTATTAACACTTAACCCGTCCACAGACCGCAGAGCTAAAAGAGCACTGTAACATGCCCTCTGGGGCTTTGCGAGTTGCACGCACCCCCACCTGGATGCTGCCACGAGGCCCACAGGGAGTTTGCTCCTGTTGGTGCCCAAAAGCAGCTGGCCGGATCCCGCACTCGCTCACCTGTGTGCTCCCTCCCGCAAGGGTTTGCACGGGGTGGGTTGAGTAAATGAGGCACCCCTGTTGCAAGTCCTGTGAAGGGGTCCAGGAAATATCTTGCATCACGACCACATTTGGCTTTGTCAGAAAAGCCCTCCAACATCCATCATCTATAGAGCTTTATGGATTTTAAGGATTTTATTTGAGATAAATTCATTGGTTTCCAATTTGTGGCTTAGCTAATTTCCTTTTTTTTAAATTTTTTTTTTATTTTGAGACAGAGTCTCACACTGTCGCTCAGGCTAGAGTGCAATGGTGTGATATTAGCTCACTGTAACTTCCACCTCCCGAGTTAAAGTGATTCTCCTGCCTCAGTCTCCCAAGTATCCGGGACTGCAGGCGGGCACCACCACGCCGAGCTAATTTTTGTATTTTTGTAGAGACAGGGTTTCACCATGTTGGCCAGGATGGTCTCGATCTCTTGATCTCATGATCCGCCCACTTCGGGCTCACAAAAGTGCTGGGATTACAAGCATGAGCCACCACACCCAGCCAGCTAATTTCCATTTTTAGTGATTGTTTTTTGTCATTGAGAGACACCAGTTTGAGAATACAGTGCTATGAATAGTGCAAGACTGGACATATTAATATGTAGCTAACTTACTTGTAATATGGAATATATAGTCTATGTGGTAAAGGTTATACTAGCTTAAAAAAACACAAACACACATATACACAATACACTAATCTAACAGCATCAAAGAAAAGTTCAGTCTAAATGTCTTCACAGGAGTCAGCAGGCAAAGGTACTAGAACATTTGCTGAAGGGGATTGTTATCTATACATTCACCTTTGTACTTATTTATTACAATTATGTTTGGTTTGTCCTTATATTTACTATCATTATTAATAATTTTCTAAAATAATTTTATTTTCATATCACTTACTATGCCATTAATCTATTATATTTAATAACTGTCATTTGTAAACATTAAAAATAACTATAGGATCTATTTTTCTATTTATTTTCTCATTTATATTCATTTCATAATGCTGTAACTAGATACATAGTATCTCCATTAGGGAGAGTAAACAAGTAATATTGGATATCAAACAGGGACTTATATTATCTAATATAACTTTGATTCAGTTACCTTTTTACTTACTTCTGACCACTGAGCAGGCATGAATAGCTCAATGTTTTATTACTGTTTATAGATCAGTTCTTAAATACATTTTTCATGTCTAAGAAAAGAGAGTGCAAACTGAAAACATCTTTCTGTCCACTCAACTTTGTCCCTGCACCCTACAAGATAGAATTTACCTTAATGAATTCACCTCTGTTAAGAATCTAGTAAAGACAAATATAATAGACTCATCTGGAGGGCATATTTTAAAAATCTGTATACCTCAGAGTGAAACACACATTAACTAATCTCATCCAGACCACTCAAAAAACCTAAATGTGAATATGCTAATTTATAATAAAAATGCAATGCAATAAGAATGTGGGTTAGTGCTTTTTTCCTAAAGCTTAGTAACTTATAAAGTCAAATTATAATCCAAATAATATTTTATAAACTAAACAACAAACGGGAAATATGAATTTGTTTTTCCTTACTGAAGGCAAGTACTTCAATCATCCAAAAGGGAATTACCGGATATTAAGAAGTATCTTTTAGCTACATAGCCACAAGTGTTATCCTTCACTTTGGGAAACCTTAATAAAGGAACCCAGATGCTGGGTTCTATATAGCCAAAAGTCCCTTCTCCAAAACCATCCTCACTGCTGTGCTTGCTTTCCACTTATGTCCAACCCTCATGTATCTAATAGGTCCTATGGAGGTCTTCCTTAATGTGATACTAAATTATGTCTCTTTTATAACACTGGAGTATTGTCTTCATAGCACTTGTCGAAATTGTGATTGTAAATCAATTTAAGTGATTACTTAGTGTCTGTTGAAATGTGAGCTCCAGAAAGTCAAGGATCTTACCTGTTTTGCTCATTATTTTGTACACAATGCTTGACACAGTAAGCATTGGGTAAATATTTTGTGTGTGCTGCAAATGATAAATGAGCCTCAGTCTCTAAGCTTGGCATGACATATGCTTGATCAAATTTTGATTTAAGTGTAAATCTGGCTTCCGTAATTTAACTCTTTTAAGATTACTGTGATTTGAGTTCTGGGTCCTCCTACACATGCAGGATCTAATTGTTCACTCCCACATATGGTTAAGTTTATTGCATGTAAATTTCCCAGTTAACTCTCAGGACAATCATATATTTTAAATGTCTAGGGTGGTCACTTCTGTCATTACAATGTACCTTCCTCTGTAGCAGTTACAGTCCACAACAGAAAATATTTATTTGAATGTATATACTTACAGCATTTTATTGTTTAAATTCAATTAGTTCCAATATATATTTTTATTCAATTAATTATGTATACCACAGCATGTAGTTCATCTATATAAGAAGTTATACCTACAGGAATATGTATGTATTTATGGGCAAGTAAGACTGTATTTGCTGATCTGAAGGCCTAAAATAAGAAGTCCACCATGTGTCTCATTCAATTACAGACTTCTTCATAATGAATGAATAAATAGATAAACAAACATAAGATAAAGAGCGGTAGATATTTACACAGTACTACGGAATTTCCTTTTAATATGATTTGGTCTATACAATGCAAAAAATGTCATAATGATATGACAAGAGTTAACTGGAGATAGATATGGGAAACAAAAAGCATTGCTTAGTCCGTAGACTACTACATAAATACCGATAACTGTCAAGAGCTGTGAAGGGTCTGAGATTTTAACCTACTTACAAAAAAACAATTTAGACTACCATCATTTTATGAATGTTAGTAGAAGACACAGACTCCTTGTTATACACAAAGGATAGTTGATTATTCAGAGCAACTGTAGTAGCTAAAATATCATAATTTTGGTAGAAAAATAAATAGAAGGTGAGACAATGGAGATACAAATTAAATTGTAAAAGATGCTTTGAAGATTTTTCTATGAAGAAGAATAGAAAATGTCCCTCACAGGAGGAGTTGTAGCATCAAGTAGGAAGAATTTATTTTTGTTTTGTTTTGGGTTTTAGAAAATAGAGTTATAATTATTTTGGTAGGAGTCACTGGAACAGCTAATACTTATAATCCAGTGGATCCAGATAATTTGATGAAGAAGGTGATGAATAATGAGTAAAATTTTGAGTAAAGTCAAACGAATATTCAGAAGCGAAGACAAGAGAGGACTTTGATAAGATTAAGAGGATAAGATAATAGACACATGAGGAATAAAAATTTTTATTGGATTATTGACGTATTGGTTGATAAAATAGTTTTTGTTCTGTGTTAGGTTATATTTTCTCAATGAAATACGAAGTGAAATCATTATCTAAGAGTCAAGGGTGCTAGAGAAAGGAGGTGGTAAGGACTTGGAAGAGAAACGAAAATATACTAATGGAAATATAGTAGAAGAGGGTGGATTATTTGAGGTCAGGAGTTCGAGACCAGCCTGACCAACGTAGTGACACCCCATCTCTACTAAAAATACAAAAAATTAGCAGGGTGTGGTGGCTCTTGCCTGTAGTCCCAGCTACTCAGGTGGCTGAGTCACGAGACTCGCTTGAACCCAGGAGGGAGAGGTTGCAGTGAGCCGAGATCGCGCCACTGTACTCCAGCCTGGGTGACAGAGTGAGACTCCATCTCAAAAAATAAAAATAAAAAAAAAAAAAAGAAAAAGAAAAAGGGAAAAAAAATTATAGAGTTCTTTGGCAGTGAGCTTTGTTTATTTGTGTTTGTAATTGTGAATTAATACTGAAACTGATTATTATGCTTGTGATATTTTCTCCCAGCTACAACCAACAGCTTGATGACACATGCAGAGATGGAATACCCTGTGTTCAAGGATGACAGAGGTTAAGTGGGCAAAAGAATCGTGAATGTTTTCAATGGAGTCAATAAAATTAATGATAGGTAAATAAATCCAAATTGAATGAAGATGGAAGTGCACTGAAGAGTGTTCTGATGAATAAAGAATAAAGAAAATAAAGAAAGTAGAACATATCAATTGAACCAATAAGAAATGGTGGTAGGAAAGTGAAGTGTTTAAAATAAAGCTTTTGAAAGTGGTATATATCTTGCCACTACCTAGAATTGAGGGATGCAGGCAAAGCATTAACCTTTACAGAGAGTGAAATTTTAGTTAACATCAGGAGGAGCACAGAAGAAAAAGATGGATGATACATGAATTTTTAATTCCATATATCATCTGATTCAGAGTTACTACCAAGGGCACTGCATTGTAGTCTGGGCGCTCACTAAGGGGATGAAAGATGACAGATAAAATCAGATTAGGGCATGTCCAAGATAGTAAGCAAGTTAGAGTGCAGGCAATTATTCATAAACTCAGGAACTTGGTTCTAGAAATGATAAATATTTCCCAGAATGAACAATGGCAAATAATAGGATTTGTAATGATTGCATCACAGAACAAAGTGAGCCATTAGTTCAAAATGGTGTTATGGGTTCTTGGAATCATTAGTCTGTCTTATAGCTAGGAATCATATACCACTGCTCAATAGGAATATGATAGCAGGAGTATTTCCCCTAGATCCTGAGGCAATATGGTTAAAAATATAAAATCAGAAGTAAAATAGACATAATTTCAAATACTAGCTACATAACTTAACTGCTAAGAGAATTACGTAATTTCAAGCCAGAGGTTTTTCAATTAGGAAAAAAACCTTGGAGGGGTGATGGGAAGGTTGAAGAGTAAATGAAATGAAGTGTAGAAAAATACCCAACACGTGTCTGAATGTTACCTTCCTTTCTTTCCATTCTCCTATGGGAGCTGTGCCTCCCCCACCCCTCTTCCCTACTTCACTACCATATTAATTGTGTACATTTGTGTGCAAACTTTGTCACCAGGTAAGTAACAATAACTTTAATAATTAACAGGAGTGGCATTCATTGTTTTTTTGATAACCTGGCTCATAGTAAGCACCACTATTTATTTACTAAATTAATGAAATGTATACCTGTGGAAATGTTAAAGTTTTATATCCAATAATGGCAATTTTTGTACTGAGTTACTAATATCATTTTTATTATTAAGAAATGTGTTAAACATATTTAACAATAAATAAGATAGACAACTATTGATACTTTAGTTTCTTCTGATTTATTTTTTTCTTAAGAAAACTTTACAAGGTAAAATTATTAGAAATTCAAGATGGAATTATCCACTTCTCAAAGGAGTCAACCTGCCCTAGAAACAAGGTCGTCGAAGTAAGAAAGACAGCCAAATATTTTATTAAATATTTTAGCCCATATTTTAAATGCCAGAGCTACTACAGTTTCTATTGTGTTTTACAATTGTTTACATAATACTATTTTTCTGCTTTGTGAATTCTCATAAGCTCCCTTGATTAATGTTTACTGACCTCCCACAAAGAGCGTGACACTATACCTGGCATTGAATTTAATGATTTCTTCAAGCTGATGAATCAGCACTGTTGGATGAAAGGGTAACCTAAGGCTGGGTGCGGTGGCTCGCGCCTGTAATCCCAGCACTTTGGGAGGCTGAGGCAGGCGGATCACGAGGTCAGGAGTTCGCAACCAGCCTGACCAACATGGTGAAACCCTGTCTCTACTAAAAATACAAAAATTAGCCGGGTGTGGTGGTGTGCACCTGTAATCCTAGCTACTCAGGAGGCTGAGGCAGGAGAATCACTTGAACCTGGGAGGCAGAGCTTGCAGTAAGCCAAGATTATGCCACTGCACTCCAGCCTGGGTGACAGAGCTAGACTCCATCTCAAAACAAAAAAACAAAAAACAAAAAAAGAAAAGGTAACCTAAAATAGCAGTACTCCACAAAAAATAAATAAATACATTGCTTTCAGCCATGCTAATTCATTCTCCTTTTTAATGCTTTTGTCTTTAAGGGGCCGGCAGTCAGGCACTGTCTTTCCTCTGCCTCACTTCACAAAATGCTACCTTAGCACTGCTGATATCATTCTTGCTATTTCCATTTTCTTTTTCTTTTGCTGCCTTTAGTTAGAAATAATAAATGGACTAATTTTCTACAAAGAAGAGAGTTGATTCTAGCCTTTTGTTGTTTCAAAGGAAAAATAATTCTATAATATTTTATCAGGTACTTCATTTATAACACGATTTTAATCTAATGTTTTTTCCACTCTGAGGACATATTATTTCTCATCATCACTTAATTCCTTTGTTTCTTTGTTACTTTTTTTTTTCCATAAAGCACACTTTTTGGAATTAAGTCCTGCTAAATCCTTTCTGGAATTTCAAATGAGAAACTGCTTTAAAAGACAGATCACAAAATTTGGCGCATATCTTCATTTTAATGGTTTTGCACAAATTTGATCATCCCCTCTTCTGCTAGATACTGGACATATACCTGAATTCAGATTAATCATGTTTTAAGAAGCAAACTTTTGGTATAATCTGCAACCTTTTCTTGCTAATGTAAACTGAAAGTATTCTATTCAAATTATTATAAGAGATATAAACCCAGGGTGCCAGAACTAATGTGCTCATTGCTTGGTGTAACTTACTGACCTGCTCTGAAGGAGCATATCCTCATTTAGAGCACTAACATGAGGCAAATGTTACTTTTTGCCTGTTCTCTAGTGCAAGACAGATAAGGAAAAAGACAACCTATTGTAAAATAAATCACTTGGAAATATGCAAATCAGAGACAACCTTGTCCAAATGGTGACTATATTAACAAATAGCTTTACCATCAATCTAAATGTAATTTTCATCTGGGTTAAGGTTTTTAACTGTGCAAAGATGGGTCTCCTTCATTTGCAGCTTTGACAAAAAGGCATGATGACTAATTTATTTAACTGAGTTTTAATAAACAATTTTGGGGTTTTTGTTTTGTTTCTTTTCTTCTTAACATAGTAGTTCTCTTTTGGTCTTTTGCTATGTTTCATAAATCAAACTGCATTTTCTTCTTTCACTTGGTTAGGAGCTAGGATCTTGTATCATTGGTTATTAGGAAAAAAAATCTATAATGAAATCTCTGATAGGTAATATGGTAGGAAGAGAATCAGCACCCGTGAGTATCTGGAGCAATTTCAGGAATATTATAAGCCAAAAAAAGGAAGATAAAGTCTCCCCAAAATACAAATTTTCTTACCATATTTGTTCCTGATGATTATGTATTTGAGTTGTGGAAAGACTGAAATAAGAGGATTTGATTAAAGAAAATAGAATAAAATATTTAAAATCTATAAAAATTGATACAATCTTCTCCAATGTCATCCTGTCTGAGGCAAACTTTGAATGAGTCACCATCTGCTTCCTTAATAATTGTCAAAACCAGGAATTAAATATAATTTTTCAAGATTGTATGAGCTGGACTACGTTTTTTCTTCTCAAATTTGTCTCTTGGATCCTAAATTGCCAAAATTACAATGTCTAGAGTCTTGGTAATAGCTATACCCTAAGTAAGAAATTCAGGAATTAACCTTGCTTCAAATAGGTTGGAGCATAAGACCGGTCCTAATCTCTGTCTGAATTTTAAATTCTTTTCTAAAATTTTGTGTTTGCCTTTCTTTGCATGGGAAGACTCATTGAATTATCTTTGTTTATTTAAGTCAAAATTCTAATGCACAGCTCATGTTCCCAGTTTTCTGTTTCT
The DNA here is from genome assembly GCF_000001405.40 of Homo sapiens. Classification (NCBI taxonomy): domain Eukaryota; kingdom Metazoa; phylum Chordata; class Mammalia; order Primates; family Hominidae; genus Homo; species Homo sapiens. The sequence goes on along the minus strand of NC_000014.9, from coordinate 48,375,428 downwards.
GCTACCATCGCTTTCAACTTTAAACAATTTCTGATTTACATTTCCTCTGGCTACATTCACTGTGGGGCTTTTTAATTAGAGGTCTTTTTGTTTCTGTTCTTGGACACACACTTTCTCCAGCTGCTCCTCAGAGCTATCAGAACCCCTTGACTAGTCTTTGATCTAAAGGCATAAAAACTTAGATATTATATCTTTAAGGTACATTGCTTTATCTATAAACAATATTACCATGAAAGCTAATTTTGTTCCAAGGCCAGTATTTCCTTCAGTCTGATGATTTTTACGGTTCACTGACACTTCCAGTGGTTTTTGAGACTTGGGCCCAGTGACTTATGTTCTTTCTGCCTAGTCTGATGTGCTTGATGAAAAAATTTTTGAAGTTGCAATTGTAAATGAGACACACATTTGGGATAACTCAGAGCATACAATTCCCTTGGGTAACTGAAGAGAACAGCCCCCTTTATTCTATTAGTCTTTGCTATTTTAGGACAATTCCTATTCCTTTCCGCACTACTGTCCTACAGAGTAAAAATCTCAGCATTTAATATGCAAAAGGTGCCTCTTGCATTCAAATTGTTGATAGCCCAGCAGAAAAATATTCTTCAACATTTAAAGTTCATTAATGCTTACTTTCTCACTGTATTTGTGGTTTACACCATAGGTGCTACACAATTCTAAATGATTTCCATAAATAAGGCATTGTCTTTCTTTTATCTTCTAATAACCTTTCTCCTTGTCTTTAATCATACCTCATGGCATAGATCTGTAAAAGCAATTATGAGACAACACATGTTTGGCTGCCTTGTCATTATCTATGAGTTAAGAAAGGTCAGACTCTCTCAGTACATTGGGTGGAAATCGCCAAAGAAAAGCCAGGTGTTTCATGGATAGGCACTGGGGATTCACATGGAGGAACTTTGTCCTTTGAGAGGGAAAAACACAGTCTTCAAAAGACAGTAAAGTTCTTCCCCTCCTCCCAATGAAGCAGCTCTGTTGCTTTCAGGTGAGGAGATAAAATTGCCCATGAAAATATATATTAAAAAGAATGAACAAATGGACATTAATGACTTTTTAAAACAAGGCTCTTCTAAGAAAGTAAAATAATTGAATAGGATTCGGAGTTGTTTACACAAACGTGGTGACTCTAGCCCTCTCTCTCCCCTCTAATCTCCACAAGGGAAAAGAGGACAGCGGGTATTCATGGTGATTAATTACACACACATTCCTCCCCAGAGTCATATCATGGTGATAGATGTCTGCATAATGTTGAAGTCCTCTAATTAGGGCTGACTGAGTATGCTAGATTAAAATTCTAAACATTAGGCTTTGAGGAGAAACTCCAGCCCCTGTTCAATTTTCATTAATTTAGAGTCACTTCATATATTGAAACTCATCTGAGAATATTCATGGATTCTCTGAGAAATTTAGCTACATCCCAGGAATGCAGAAATTTGACAATGATTTTAAATCCTTGAGCAGACTGGATTGTTTCAGTGGCACCTTCTGCCTAGAGGCACTGTCTTCATAACATTAATTAAGATAATAAAGAGAAAACAGATAGAATGTCTTCTAAATGATTACATTTATTTTGTTTGTTCCTTAGTTTTAAAGCCTTAACCTAGTTTCCCCTAAGTAACAAGTTCACACCTTGCTTGGATTTTTCTTACTCTACTCTTTTAAAGCAAAATTTCCATTTCTTAAATATATTAGCCCTAAATGCATTAGTTGGTGAAGAAAAATAATCCAAGCAAATTTTCATTTTATCTGCTTTTAAGTTTCCAAAAAAATTTTTAAAGGGAATGTTTTAGTACATAATGTATATAAATGAAATGATACCATTACCACACTTAGTAAAAACAAAATCAAAGGAAGAAAAACAATGTAGTCAGTCCGCTGAGGGTTATTGTAAGTAACCTATAAATTTAGTGCAATAAATAGATTTGGTAAACTTTTAAAAAACGTAGGTATTGGGTCTTAAAACTGACTTGTTATTTCAACAAACTCATGGCAGGTGATGCTGTTCCTGGTGTCAGTTTCAATGTTTGCCTGTTTTACCTCAGCCTGAATTCCAAGAGGGCAAGACTGCTTAAACAAGTGCACTAAGACTGAAAGGAAGGGCTCGGGTGGAGGGAAAGTACTAGCAGAGAGTTCTTGATCTATAATCTGCTCCCACCTCTAAAAATTCCCTCTGGCAGGCCTCTCCCTTGACACTATTCTGCCTCCGAAATGCTGATAGAGCCTCAAGCGAGGATTCTTATTACTGAACTAATTCCAGGTTTGAAGACTATCACTTGCCTGTCAGCTGAAAGTTTAATGAAAAACTTCCTAGGCAAAATGACAATCTGAAAGTGGGAAAATGGAAATCAAACCTTGAGCATGTAGCAAAATAAAATAAATAGTTTTCCCACTTGGTTCTAGCTGTTCACTTTGCATTTGGCGGCAACTGTCATTGTTGGCATTTTTGTATTTGTTTCCAGCTCTATACTCTTGGATAACAGTGGTGTACAATGTGAGTCTTCTCTCGCATATCTTGTGCATTGTCTGTGATTTCGTGATTGAGACAGAGCAGAAATGGGAATTTATATCTGCTTATTTTCTCATTCTGATGACTTTAGGTTAATAGAGAAAGTTTCAAGTACCGATCATGTTCCTGTTTATAGCCTATATTTACTACTTCAAGGCATATTTATGCCATCTCTGATCTCAAGGTGGTGCTGAGAAAGAGAACTGAGCACCAAACCACACTAGTTATAAGATACGAGTGAAAGGTAGTCCCGAGATACAAGGGAGAGAGGTTTTGTGCACAGTTAAAAAGAAACTATGTCACGTTATATGTTCACATTCGTCATTTATATTTTGTTGAGTTCTTTGATCCCTTTTTCTACTTCTTCTCGTTCTTAACCATAGCCAGAAAGCCCTCCAAATCCTTTGATTGAAATATTCCTATTTCTTGCTGCTGGGTTATTATTATTCTTGAGGCTTTTCAGTTACTGTTTATCTAAAAATTTGACACCAATTCAGAGAGGGGGAAGAGCCAAGATGGCCAAATAAGAACAGCTCCAGTCTACAGCTCCCAGTGTGAGAGACACAGAAGACAGGTGATTTCTGCATTTCCAACTGAGGTACTGGGTTCATCTCACTGGGGAGTGTCAGAAAGTGGGTGCAGGACAGTGGGAGCAGCACACAGAGCATGAGCTGAAGCAGGGCGAGGCATCACCTCACCCAGGAAGCGCAAGGGGTCAGGGAATTCCCTTTCCTAGTCAAAGAAAGGGGTGACAGATGGCACCTGGAAAATTGGGTCACTCCCACCCTAATACTGCGCTTTTCCAACGGTCTTAGCAAAGGGCACACCAGGAGATTACATCCTGCGCCTGGCTGGGAGGGTCCTACACCCGTGGAGCCTCGCTCATTACTAGCACAGCAGTCTGAGATCAAACAGTAAGGTGGCAGCGAGTCTGGGGGAAGAGTGCCCGCCATTGCCGAGGCTTCAGTAGGTAAACAAAGCAGCCTAGAAGCTCGAACTGGGTAGAGCCCACTGCAGCTCAAGGAGGCCTGCCTCCCTCTGTAGACTCCACCTCTGGGGGCATGGCATAGCCAAACAAAAGGCAGCAGAAAATTCTGCAGACTTAAATGTCCCTGTCTGAAAGCTTTGAAGAGAGCAGTGGTTCTCCCAGTACATAGCTGGAGATCTGAGAACGGACAGACTGCCTCCTCAAGTGGGTCCCTGACCCCTGAGTAGCCTAACCGGGAGGCACCCCACAGTAGGGGCAGACTGACACCACACATGGCTGGGTACTCCTCTGAGACAAAACTTCCACAGGAACGGTCAGGCAGCAACATTTACAGTTCACCAATATCCGCTGTTCTGCAGCCTCTGCTGCTGATACCCAGGCAAACAGGGTCTGGAGTGGACCTCCAGCAAACTCCAGCAGACCTGCAGCTGAGGGTCCTGACTGTTAGAAGGAAAACTAACAAACAGAAAGGACATCCACACCAAAACCCCATCTGTACATCACCATCATCAAAGACCAAAGGTAGATAAAACCAAAAAGATGGGGAAAAAACAGAGCAGAAAAACTGGAAATTCTAAAAATCAGAGTGCCTCTCCTCCTCCAAAGGAACGCAGCTCCTCACCAGCAACGGAACAAAGCTGGATGGAGAATGACTTTGACGAATTGAGAGAAGAAGGCTTCGGATGATCAAACTACTCTGAGCTAAAGGAGGAAGTTCAAACCCTTGGCAAAGAAGTTAAAAACCTTGAAAAAAAAATTAGACGAATGGCTATCTAGAATAACCAATGCAGAGAAGTCCTTAAAGGACCTGATGGAGCTGAAAACCATGGCACGAGAACTACGGGATGAATGCACAAGCTTCAGTAGCTGATTCGATCAACAGGAAGAAAGGGTATCAGTGATGGAAGATCAAATGAATGAAATGAAACAAGAAGAGAAGTTTAGAGAAAAAAGAATAAAAAGAAACAAACAATGCCTCCAAGAAATATGGGACTATGTGAAAAGACCAAATATACGTCTGATTGGTGTACCTGAAAGTGACGGGGAGAATGGTATCAAGTTGGAAAACACTCTGCAGTATATTATCCAGGAGAACTTCCCCAAGCTAGCAAGGCAGGCCAACATTCAAATTCAGCAAATACAGAGAATGCCACAAAGATACTCCTCCAGAAGAGAAACTCCAAGACACATAATTGTCAGATTCATCAAAGTTGAAATGGAGGAAAAAATGTTAATGACAGCCAAAGAGAAAGGTCAGGTTACCCAAAGAGGGAAGCCCATCAGACTAACAGCTGATCTCTTGGCAGAAACTCGACAAGCCTGAAGAGGGTGGAGGCCAATATTCAACATTCTTAAAGAAAAGAATTTGCAACCCAGAATTTCATATCCAGTCAAACTAAGCTTCATAAGTGAAGGAGAAATAAAATACTTTACAGACAAGCAAATTCTAAGAGATTTTGTCACCACCAGGCCTGCCCTAAAAGAGCTCCTGAAGGAAGCACTAAACATGGAAAGGAACAACTGGTACCAGCCACTGCAAAAACATGCCAAATTGTAAAGACCATTGAGGCTAGAAAGAAACTGCATCAACTAACGAGCAAAATAACCAGCTAACATCATAATGACAGGATCAAATTCACACATAACAATATTAACCTTAAATGTAAATAGGCTAAATGCCCCAATTAAAAGACACAGACTGGCAAATTGGATAAAGAGTCAAGACGCATCAGTGTGCTGTATCCAGAAAACCCATCTCACATGCAGAGACACACATAGGCTCAAAATAAAGGGATGGAGGAAGATCTACCAAGCAAATGGAAAACAAAAAAGGCAGGGGTTGCAATCCTGGTCTCTGATAAAACAGACGTTAAACTAACAAAGATCAAAATAAACAAAGAAGGCCATTACATAATGGTAAAGGGATCAATTCAACAAGAAGAGCTAACTATCCTAAATATACATGCACCCAATAGAGGAGCACCCAGATTCATAAAGCAAGTCCTTAGAGACCTACAAAGAGATTTAGACTCCCACACAATAATAATGGGAGACTTTAACACCCCACTGTCAACATTAGATAGATCAACGAGACAGAAAGTTAACAAGGATATCCAGGATTTGAACTCAGCTCTGCACCCAGCAGACCTAATAGACAACTACAGAAGTCTCCACCCCAAATCAACAGAATATACATTCTTTTCAGCACCACACCACACCTATTCAAAAATTGACCACATAGTTGGAAGTAAAACACTCCTCAGCAAATGTAAAAGAACAGAAATTATAACAAACTGTCTCTCAGACCACAGTGCAATCAAACTAGAACTCAGGATTAAGAAACTCACTCAAAACCGCTCAACTACATGGAAACTAAACAACCTGCTCCTGAATGACTACTAGGTACATAAGGAAATGAAGGCAGAAATAAAGATGTTCTTTGAAACCAATCAGAACAAAGACACAACATACCAGAATCTCTGGGACACATTCAAAGCAGTGTGTAGATGGAAATTTATAGCACTAAATGCTCACAAGAGAAAGCAGGAAAGATCTAAAATTGACACCCTAACATCACAATTAAAAGAACTAGAGAAGCAAGAGCAAGCACATTCAAAAGCTAGCAGAAGACAAGAAATAAGTAAGATCAGAGCAGAACTGAAGGAGATGGAGACACAAAAAATCCTTCAAAAAATCAGTGAATCCAGGTCCTGGTTTTTTGAAAAGATCAACAAAATTGATAGACTGCTAGCAAGATTAATAAAGAAGAAAAGAGAGAAGAATCAAATAGACACAATAAAAAATGACAAAGGGGATATCACCATTGATCCCACAGAAATACAAACTACCATCAGAGAATACTATAAACACCTCTAAGTGAATAAACTAGAAAATCTAGAAGAAATGGATAAATTCCTCGACACATACACCCTCCCAAGACTAAATCAGGAAGAAGATGAATCTCTGAATAGAACAATAACAGGCTCTGAAATTGAGGCAATAATTAATAGCTTACCAACCAAAAAAAGTTCAGGACCAGATGGATTCACAGCCGAATTCTACCAGAGGTATAAGGAGGAACTGGTACCATTCCTTCTGAAACTATTCCAATCAATAGAGAAAGAGGGAATCCTCCCTAACTCAATTTATGAGGCCAACATCATCCTGATACCAAAGCCTGGCAGAGACACAACAAAAAAAGAGAATTTTAAACCAATATCCCTGATGAACATCAATGCAAAAATCCTCAGTAAAATACTGGCAAACCGAATCCACCAGTACATCAAAAAGCTTATCCACCATGATCAAGTGGGCTTCATCCCTGGGATGCAAGGCTGGTTCAATATATGCAAATCAATAAATGTAATCCAGCATATAAAGAAAATCAATGATGAAAACCACATGATTATCTCAATAGATGCAGAAAAGGCCTTTGACAAAATTCAACAACCCTTCATGCTAAAAACTCTCAATAAATTAGGTATTGATGGATGTATCTCAAAATAATGAGCTATTTATGACACACCCACAGCCAATATCATACTGAATGGGCAAAAGCTGGAAGCATTCCCTTTGAAAAGTGGCACAAGACAGGGATGCCTTCTCTCACCATTCCTATTCAACATAGTATTGGAAGTTCTGGCAAGGGCAGTCAGGCAGGAGAAAGAAATAAAGGGTATTCAATTAGGAAAAGAGGAAGTCATATTGTCCCTGTTTTCAGATGACATGATTGTATGTCTAGAAAACCCCATCGTCTAGCCCAAAACCTCCTTAAGCTGATAGGCAACTTCAGCAAATTCTCAGGATACAAAATCAATGTGCAAAAATCACAAGCATTCTTATACAACAACAACAGACAGAGAGCCAAATCATGAGTGAACTCCCATTCACAATTGCTTCAAAGAGAGTAAAATACCTAGGAATCCAACTTACAAGGGATGTGAAGGACCTCTTCAGGGAGAACTGCAAACCACTGCTCAATGAAATAAAAGAGGATACAAGCAAATGGAAGATCATTCCATGCTCATGGGTAGGAAGAATCAATATCATGAAAATGGCCATACTGCCCAAGGTAATTTATAGATTCAATGCCATCCCCATCAAGCTACCAATGACTTTCTTCACAGAATTGGAAAAAACTGCTTTAAAGTTCATATGGAACCAAAAAAGAGCCTGCATTGCCAAGTCAATCCTAAGCCAAAAGAACAAAACTGGAGGCATCACACTACCTGACTTCAAACTCTACTACAAGGCTACAGTAACCAAAACAGCATGGTACTGGTACCAAAACAGAGATACAGACCAATGGAACAGAACAGAGCCCTCAGAAATAATGCTGCATATCTACAACTATCTGATCTTTGACAAATGTGACAAAAACAAGAAATGGGGAAAGGATTCCCTATTTAATAAATGGTGCTGGGAAAACTGGCTAGCCCTATGTAGAAAGCTGAAACTGGAGCCCTTCCTTACACCTTATACAAAAATTAATTCAAGATGGATTAAAGACTTACATGTTAGATCTAAAACCATAAAAACCCTAGAAGAAAACCTAGGGAATACCATTCAGGACATAGGCGTGGGCAAGGACTTCATGTCTAAAACCAAAAGCAATGGCAACAAAAGTCAAAATTGACAAATGAGATCTAATTAAACTAAAGAGCTTCTGCACAGCAAAAGTAGCTGCCATCAGAGTGAACAGGCAACCTACAGAATGGGAGAAAATTTTTGCAATCTACTCATCTGACAAAGGGCTAATATCCAGAATCTACAATGAATTCAAACAAATTTACAAGAAAAAACAAACAACCACATCAAAAAGTGGGCAAAGGATATGAACAGATACTTCTCAAAAGAAGATATTTATGCAGCCAACAGACACATGAAAAAATGCTCATCATCACTGGCCATCAGAGAAACACAAATCAAAACCACAATGAGATATCATCTCACACCAGTTAGAATGGCGATCATTAAAATGTCAGGAAACAACAGGTGCTGGAGAGGATGTGGACAAATAGGAACACTTTTACACTGTTGGTGGGAGTGTAAATTAGTTCAACCATTGTAGAAGTTAGTGTGGCGATTCCTCAGGGATCTAGAACTAGAAATACTGTTTGACCCAGCCATCCCATTACTGGGTATATGCCGAAAGGATTATAAATCATGCTGCTACAAAGACACATGCACACGTATGTTTATTGCAGCACTATTCACAATAGCAAAGACTTGGAACCAAGCCAAATGTCCAACAACGATAGACTGGATTAAGAAAATGTGGCACATATACACCATGGAATACTATGCAGCCATAAAAAATTATGAGTTCATGTCCTTTGTAGGGAACTGGATGAAGCTGGAAACCATCATTCTCAGCAAACTATTGCAAGGACAAAAAACCAAACACTGCGTGTTCCCACTCATAGGTGGGAATTGAACTATGAGTACACGTGGACACAGGAAGGGGAACACAACACACAGGGGCCTGTTGTGGGGTCGGGGGAGGGGGGACGGATAGCATTAGGAGATATACCTAATGTTAAATGACAAGTTAATGGGTGCAGCACACCAACATGGCACATGTATACATATGTAAAAAACCTGCACGTTGTGCACATGTACCCTAAAACTTAAAGTATAATTAAAAAAAAAAGAAACCTATTCAGAAACTTTATTTTAAAGGCTATTTCATTACTATTGGTATCAGGCGAGGCTAGGTTATACAAAGGGGGAAAAAAAAAGACCAAACGTATCTGTGGCTTAAATAATATCTGCTTTTATTTTTCTCACATGTAAAAGTCTTGAGGTAAACTGGCCAATTGTTTTCATGTTAATTTTCCTCTACGAAATCTCTGGGAACTCAAGTTATTCTATGGCATTATTTTTATCTTGTTTTAGGAGTAGTTTTGATTCTAAAGGCTATCTTATATTCCAGAATTGTTGCTTCAACTCCAGACAGCATACTCAGATTCAAAGAAAGAAAGGGGAAGAAGATGCAAATGACACGCGTATTGGCTTTCTTTTGAGGAAGATTTCCATCTGTTCACATCTCTTTGGCCAGATTATATGATATACATAATTGAAAGTGGATTGAGAAATGCTGGGTCCAACTAAAATTAGGCATTCTATTACTATTTTATAAAGGGAAAAATGGATATTGAAACAATAATCTCTGATTTTTTTTCTAGAAATTAAGGTTTTTTTTTAATCTAAGAACTTTGTAAGCAGCAGATAAAAACTTTAGCTTCTGATATTACTTTTAACTTGCCCTATATAAACGGCAAGTTAACTACTTATACTTTGGAAATCTTGACAATAAAATGGGGATAATAATAACATAATTCACAGAAGATATGCTGAATATTGATCATATATAAAATAAATAGGATAAAACCCTATACAAAATATGTGTTCTGTAAGTGTTGTCCTCCTCCCTTTCTCGTAACTTCTTTTCTTGTAAGTTAGTTTGTAATCTTACAGGAGCTTTGCTAATTACACAAAATTAACCAGCACCGTGCAACAGAAAAAACAACCTACAAATGTGAGCTACGAATACAAATTCATTTAATTTCACATTTTCTGTAGGCACATTTTTAAAAAATGTTAAAAGCTGGATGAAATTAGTTTAATGTCATATTTTATTTAATTTTATGTAGATAAAATACAATTTCAACATAAAATGAATAGAAAATTCTTGAGATAATGTTTATTTTTCTTTTTCATACTAAATGTTACATATTGCTGTGCATTTTACACCTATTACCCATCTCAATTTGGACAATACACATTTTGAGTGTTTTTTTTTTTTCGTCACTCTGTCTCCCAGACTGGAGTGCAGTGGCACAATCATACCTCACTGCAGCCTCCAATTCCTGGATTAAAGCAATATTCCCAGTCCTCCTGCCTCAGCCCTCAAAAGCACTAGAATTATAGGCATGAGCCACTGCACCTTATCCATAAGTTGTTAATTAATATTAGAAATGAATATGTAAAATAGGTCATGGAGTCAATGGTACTGAACATGGTTCAACTGTACCACTGAGTAGGAAGAGTCAAATCAACACTTGATTTTGCAGTGCCATCAAAATCCATGTTTGAATCATTGTACCTCACAAGTGAAAAAGAATGAATAGATCGAAAGCAGACAATTAAAATGCAGACAACTTACTGATAGTCTCTATGACAGTAATTAAATAAAACTGATAAACTCTATACATGTACAAATCAACTTAACACTTTTATGGTAAAATTAATTGATTTTATGTTTAAAATTTATCTGAAAATTACAATGAGATTATTTTAGAGAAAAATTGTTTCTTCTGATTTGAAATCCCTCATTTAGTGTATGAACACAGGCTCAGGGAAAGTAATTTACCTCTAGAAAACTAGTTTGTGACAGAATTACTATAACTAAGTCCTAAAACTAAACCTAAAAATCCATGTAAATGCTAAAGATTATTTCAGCAAATGTATAAAACACAGAGTTTCATTCCAAGTTGCAATTCTGCCCCAGGGCACTTGCCACACTTCTGCTTGTTCCGTGCACACTCATGGCCAAGCCTCTGCACTCACTTGTGCTGATAATTTCGTTTCCTCAAAATATTCACAAGAGCCAACTGTGTTCACAGTGAAGTCAGAGGCAGCCCTTTTATTACATAGGAGTTTATAAGTCTCCATATTTACTTAAAACAGCAGTAATGTGTTCATTCACAGTTCTGGAAGCCAGAAGTCTGAAATCAAGGTATCAACAGGGTTGGTTCCTTCTAGAGACTCTAGGGGAAGAATTCATTCTATGCCTCTCCTGGCTTCTGGTGGCTAATGGCACTTCTTGCTTACGGGACTACTGGCTTGTAGCAGCATTCCTCCAATCTCTGCCTCCATCTTCACATTGCCCTCTCCTCTAGGTGACCACATCTTCTGTCTGTCTAAACTCTTCCTTAGTCTTTCTCTTATAAGGATATTTGTCATTGGATTTAGGGGCCACCTAATAATCCAAGAGCATTTCTTACTCTCAAGGTAACAGTCACAGCTTCCTGTGATAGGACATAGACTTCTCTTTTTGGAAGCAACCATTCAACCTACTAAGGAGGGGTGTTTAAAATCCAAAAAGACTAAGTTAATTAACCAAAAATTAGTATAATGTGACTATTAAGCAGTAAGATTGCTTTTCTTATATGGTTTAGTTAATTCAGAATCACAAAAGAGGGGTTGTGTAATTTCAGAAAAAAAGAGTTTTGGGAAAAAAGTGCTCTTTTAGATACTTTGAAAGTGAATTTTGCATGTACGTACTCTTTTTCAAGAGATGGGTGAAACAAGAACATTTAATAAACAAAAAGCAAAAGCAAAGAATTGTGTTCTATAATAATAAAATATACTCAACAATGGACTAAGGGAGAATAGCTTTTTTTCTTCAGTCTATAAGATTGATAATAAAATTTGGCAGTTTTTGTCTTTGACACTGACTACCATTTAAGGAGGATGATTGAGTTATTTTTATATTGTGAAGCAATAATAGTTAAAAAACCAATATATAACATTCAGTGACAAATTTTTTTAAAGGTTGGCTTCTACATTTCATATCATAGGCATATTTGCTCTCACAATATTTTATTACTTGCTATACTAAGGTTATTATTTGAAGAAGGAAATTTTCCTTTTTCAATTTATTTTTATCAAACTAATACATGAACATGTGTATTTTTTGAAATTTTTTCTTTTTTTGAGGCAGGCTTTCTGTCACCCAGGCTGGAGTGCAGTGGTGAGTCAGGGCCCACTGCAACCTCTGGAATCCTGAGTTCAAGAGATACTTCTGTCTCTGCCTCTCAAGTAGTTGGGATTACAGGGACACACCACCATACCCAGCTAATTTTGTTGTATTTTTTGGTAGAGATGGAGTTTCACCCTGTTGCCCAGGCTGGTCTCAAACTCATGACGTCAAGTAATCTGCCTACCTCAGCCTCCCAAAGTGCTAGGATTACAGGCATGAGCCACCACACCTGGTCCGTACGAACATGGTTTTAAAAGTCAAATGGATATCACTTTAAAACAGAGATTGGACATGTGCTTTTATTTCTCCCCCAGAAGTCACACTAAAAAGAGGATAGAACAAAAAAAGCCTAAGTATGCTAGGACAGAAAGACGAAAGAAAAGCCAACATCAGATAAAAGAGACTAGACATGAGAGCCAAACTGTGGAAAATTGAAAGTGTATGAAAGAATAATAACTGACTTAGGATGCTGGTAGTATTACAACCCAAGCTTGTAGTGTGAGGAGTCAATTAGATGCAAGGTAATCCAAGCTAAAGAACCCCTAATTTCTCAGGAATTCAAGGTAAGAAACTGAAAATGACTTTTGGTTAAAAATTCTCATAAAGGGAAATTGGACTCACAGGTACCCCCACTTATCTTATTTCAAGGACTATACCTCTCAATCCTAGGAAGCTACTGGATACTTAGAACAAAGTTATACATCAACAGACACTGAGAAGACTGGAGGGGTGGTGTACCGCAGAGGTACATGTGAACTTCTACCTGATTATTTTTCTACTCTCTTTGAAGAATGTAGAGATCTAGACTTATACTCCTAGGAAAGATATTGGACAGTTCTTCTAGAGGAATATGAAAATAATCCAAAGAGGATAAGATGTATACACGATAACTGATATTCAGGGATTTTATAAAGTGTTGTGTTTTTAAGCCATACCCATACACAGAGGTTCCTGTATGCTTATGAGTGCCAAAGATTGACAGATATTTGGGAAAAGTATGTAAACTTGCAGAAAAAAGTAAAAACATACAATTATAAGAATAGATTCTGAGAAAATAAAGGCAGAGATATTTCAAGAAACAGAAGTAACTCAGAAATGAAGGAATTTAATACTTACAAAAAAAGAGATTGCATCCATGAAATAAGAACAGAAGGCAATAAAAAGAAACATTCAAATAACAAGAAAGCTCTTAAAAATGAAAAAGATGATAGTGGATACTTATTTTAAAAAATAGAAATAAAGTTAAGAAAAATCTCACAAAATTGAAGCAAATGGACAAGGACAAAAAATAGGAAAAATTCAAGTCAATTTAGATCAGTCTAGAGTAGTCAGAGTTGCTTTAGGAAAACAAGAAGGTGAAAAGTAGGGATCTTCCTTTTATCAAAAAAATTGATACAATTTTTTTCAGGACTAAAATTTATGAATTTCCACACAGA